>NC_000004.12:148296381-148921381 GCF_000001405.40 Homo sapiens | reverse complement strand
AGAAAAAAAAAATACAAAACTTAGAGTGTAAAAAGAAACAATATCTCCAGTATACAAAAAGCACTATATATTGATAACAAAAAGACAGAAACAGGATATGAACAATTAGCACAATAGGAGCAGTAAGTGGTCAATAAATGTGTGAAAAGGTGCTGAACTTTGCTTTTGGAGACTGCACAACACCCCTTCCATTAATTAAATAACGTTTACCCACCTGACAAAACAGTGTGGGACAAATGGTAGGGAGAAGCTTGGTTTTGCAGTTTGTTGAATGGGAAGAACATCCCATGCTTCTGTGGTCAACTCTTCGATAATTACCGGTATGCTCCTCCTTGATTCTCCCAGAAGCTCAACTGAACAAAAGGAAAGCTGGTCTGAGGGAAGTTAAGTGACTAGCTCCGTCAATTAGGGACTGAGTTGTGACTTCAGGATCTAGGGTGGAAAATGCGATTAAAGGGGGAATAAATGTGTGTGTGTGTGTGTGTGTGTGTGTGTGTGTGTGGTATAAAATAATTCTGGAAGAATCCATAAGAAAACTAGTATCCTTGTCTACTGGGAGAAGAATTGGCTGACAAGAAGAAAAGGTGGGGAGGAAGATTTTTCCCTATGTACTTTCCTTCACTACTTTTGAATGTCTCTAGGCCATGAGCCATGGAAATATACTATTAATTTAAATACAATAAAATGGAAGCGACTTAACTTGCTTATTTTAAAAGAATTGAAGTAGAATGTGCTTACAACTGCCTCTCCTCATATAGAGTCTGTTTCTGGAGAGTTCTGAGTCTGGCCAAGGAAACCCGAGATTGCTCATGGAAATTAGTGTCTGTAAACGGTCAATAAATATATGAAAAGATACTGAACTTCACTAGAAGTAAGAGAAATGCAAACTGAAAGTAAAAGGAGATCCCATTTTTAATGGACAGGTTGGCAAAATCATTAAAAGTGTGATAAATTCAGTCTTGATCGAGGAAAAGGAGAAACAGACACTCTTCAATGCTGACGAGAATGTGAATTGCTGTAAGCCATTTTGGAAAATTTTCTTGTAATATCTATCAAAAGTAAAGAAACTCTTACTTTGACCTACTCATGTCATTTTTTCTTATGTAACCTATATATATATATATATATGCATAATATATATAAGCTGGTACACAAATGTATATGAAAAGTATGTTAATTACAACATAAATTTTTTCTAGCAGAAAAAAACTAAATTGGCTGAAAAAATAGAGTAGTTTGAACAAACAATGGTATATTATCATGAAACACTATAGAGCCATTAAAATAATACATTATTTTTGAAAATTACTAAGTAGATTTAACTGTTCTCATCACATAACAATAAGTATGTGAGGTAATGCATATGCTAATTAGCTCACTTTAGCTATTCCACAATAGATGTTCATATACATATTTCAAACAACTTGTTTTACACAATAAATATATTCAATTTTATATGCCAATTAAATAAATAGAAAACTTTCACATATTAAAAACATACATTATTGGCCAGGAAGACAGTCCATAACAATTTTTTAAGTGAAAAAGAAGTGAATTGCAGAGTGATGTGTTTGGTATAATTCAATATTTATAAAAGCAAAAAATAGCCAAAATTATACATGTGCATATATGTTTTAATAAACATACAGATGTGTAGCATGAAGAGAAGTATTCAAAGATGCACACGAGGCTGTTAACATCATTATCTACTAGAAGCTGATGGATTGTGGCCATAAACAACAGGAGTGCAGGGTAAGAGACGATAGGGAAAAATTCTTAATTATTTTTCTTTCTATGTGTTTACATTATACTTTTGGTTACAGGAATCATGGGTTACTCTTGAAATGTTTAAAGGAAATTTGGCAGTGAAGTGGGAGAAAGCAAGAAGAATGTGAGGTGAAAATAGTCTGCAGACAGAAGGGAAGCACACACTAGGCCTCATGTACACTGCCTTCCCATACAAGATCAGCCAAAACCCTGGTACTAAACACAAAAGAATATGGAGCAGAGAGTTTTGTCTAACTCTGTATGTATAATATGTACAAATGATCTCCAGAGTGTCTGCATCTTATTTAATAAAAGACAGAATTTCTTTCCTCCTGAAAATTTTGAATAGAAAAAACATCAATTTACAACGCTCCGACTTAAAATGATCTTTCAACTCGCAATGATTTTTTAACTTTACCATGGTGTGAAAGTGAAATGCATTCAGTAGAAACTGTACTTGGAATACCCACATAACCATTTTGTTTTTCACTTTCAGTACAGTATACAATAAATTACACAAAATATTCAATACTTTATTATAAAATGGGCTTTGTGTTAGATGTTTTTCCCCAACTGTAGGTTAATGCAAGTGTTCTGAATGCATTTAAGGCAGGCTAGGCTAAGCTACGATGTTCGGCAGGTTAGGTGTATTAAATGCATTTTCCACTTAAGGTATTTTCAAATTATGATAGGTTTATCAGGATGGAACCCCACCCTAAGCCGAGGACTGTCTGTACATCTAAATCTCTTTAGGTAGCCACTATCATGACTCCTCGCTCCACCTACAAATATAACTGACATCTGTAAAGGGCTTTGCAGTTATGAACTACTTTCTTTACAGCCCTGTTCCTATGGGGGGCATAGACATTGTGCTTCCCATTTTACAGATGAAACAAACTCTTTATTTAACAACCTAAAATGATAACTGGGTCACTAAGAAACATTGTCATTTTTCCCCCTTTATCCTTAGGGAACAGGAAACACGGCTTTGTACTGCAAACACCCAAGTACACTATGATTTTGACTACACAGGAAGCATAGCCGGGGAAATTGAAGAATAAATGTGGTGAAATCTATCAGGAAAGCCTATTAGTTGGTTAAATTCATATCGAAATTAATTACGGATTCTTCATTAACAGGTAGCTGTTATTCCCACCCCCAGCCCCCTGCCCCGACACACACAACTCAAATAATTACCTTAAATGTCTACTTTATTTTGTGCATACAGACTTGGCCTCAAAAACTCTGCCACAAAGATGAGAAGCAATCCTTTCAAGTTAATATATTATCTCTGTGTAATTTCCATCATGAACAGAGCATATTAATGCATTCATTTACCATCTGTGTCCATTGGTACCATGGCCAGTTACCCCAGAGGACTAAGACACCCTCTTTTGTGATAGACATTTGGACAATAACAGGGACTCCCAAATGAACAATGTGAGGTCTATATTATGTGCAGATGGAAGACAGATAAATAGGCAAACACTGCAGGTTCAGCAGTTTGCTTGGAATCCTCAGTCCTGGAGGATTAAGATAGGCACACAGAAATATGTCAAAGCTGGTCTCCATTCTTATAAAACACTACAAGTGAAGCTTAGAGAATATTTTTATGTTAGCTTTTCATTTGTACCAACAAAAAAAAATTGTCAGTTCATTTAAAAAGTACCCGTTCTTGGGGAAAACCTGGCTGCTTGTTCATTCTCAATGTCCTTCAAACGTTCTGTTTTGTTTTCTCTATGGGCAGTTTCAGGTGGAAAAAAAATACCCATTGATGGAGAAGGAATGAATGAGAGATTGGAAAACAAAATGGCTAAGCAGCTCTTCTCTTTTGGCATTGAAGAGACATACGAGTACCTACTTTAAAAATCAAATTCCATTTAAATTTAAATAAGTCATTTTTTGGCACATTAGTCATTTTTAAAAGAAACTTGAGAATAATTACATTTATATAATATTTCCTGGTTTGAAATAGTTAATTTCTCTGCTCCAGAGACCAAATGTCATCCTTCTTAGTCACTCATCATTCTCATTGGCTTCATAGAGAATTACATACAGATAATTGAGACCTGTGCAGCCCTAAATATTTTTCTGTGGGCTACATTATTCTTTGCTCAATATATGACTCACTATTATATTACTTGGTCTACTCCTCGAGGATTTTTCTGTTACTTGGTTAGTATTCTATGAATTTCACATAATGTAAATTATTATTTTAGTAAAACTAAAATATGCATTTCACATAAATACTAACGGAACTTCTTGAGGTTTTTCAGGTATCTGAATAGAATGCTATATAGTTTATCTGCTGAATTCTCAATCCAGAGCAATTACCTCTTCTTCCCAAAACATATATCTGTTCTAGATAGGTTAATTATTCATTTATTCATTATGCATTTATTGAGTACTTTATTACGTGCCAGGTACTGTAAAATATACTGAGGACAACCCGATAAATGCCTCACTCCCTGTTCTGGAGCATCTCATTGTCAGGGAAAGCAAAGAAAGCATATAAGATAAATTACAACTTAATGTGATAAGAATCAAAATAGAGCTATATATAGAGTTATCAGAGCACCAAGGAAATGTGCTCAATGCCAACTGGGAATCTGGGGGTGCTTCAGAAGATTGAAAAATTTCCCCTGGATTTTCAAGGATGTATAGATGTGGGTCAGGTAATACATGGAGGGATGAATGAATCAATCAATCGTTTGGCTGGATAACTGAAGAGACAATCATCTGCACATGCTGTGTTCTAAGCAGACTTGGGAAGGGTTTTTCAGACAAAGGGAACAGCATTTGCAAATGCAGGGATGCATGAAAAACATGGCAAGCTTCAGGAATGACAACATTCATGTTATTTGAACAAAAGTTTTGTGCAGAGGAAGATGCAAAGAAATTAAGTAGAAATTCAGGTTGAGACCACTGCATAAAGTGTCAGTGTTAAGAAGTTTGTACTTCATCCTGGAAGAAAGGTAAGGTAGATTTTTTTAAGGAGGGGATATCAAATATATTTATTGAGCACCTAGTATATACCAGGCACAGTACCCACAGCTGTGAGGGAACAGATATCCTTGTCTGAAGAAACACACAAGAACTTCTGGTCTCCTGGGTTTTATAATCTAATGGACAGTAGCAAACAATAAGCAAAATAAAACTATGCAGTACATTTAAAGATGAGAAGTGCTAGGAAGAGACAAAAGAAGAGAGTGGAGGAAAGGGGTCAGACTTGTACTTTAGAATAGTTCCTTTAAGTCATTAGAAGAGATTAGACAGAGATTGGAGATAGAAATACAAATTAAGATTCCATTAAAGCATTCATGGTGGATACCATGAATGTAGGAACTGAAATTACATAATTGGAACAAATAGAAGGAGATAGATTCAAAAGACTCAATAGGACTTCATTGGAGATATATTGCATTATTATGAGATGTATTGTATACCGAAGAAGAAAATTAACAAAAAGATTATGCTGAGTTTTCTAATCAGAGTTTGAGTCATCATTATGAAGGGAAGATAAAGAATTAAGCTTTAGTTCTATAATTTCATTATAGTCATATGTTGCTTGATTTTTCTTAGACCCACAGAGGATGTTGTTGTTATCAGCAGGTCTTTGTCCTCAGAGCTCCCAAGATGTGGCAGGCCACTCCTAAGATGGGGGCGGGTGCTCCCAAGATGGCGGCAAGTCCTCCCAAGATGGCGGCAAGTCTTTTGTTCTCTGACCTGGGGTTCTTGGCCTCACGGATTCCAAGGAATGGAAACTTGGGCCATGGGTGAGTGTTATAGCTCTATTAGAAGCCATGGATCACAGAAGAAAACCATGGAACCCAGCGACTAGTGTTCAGCTGGATTAGGATGAACCCGGGAACTTAGCCATGCAGGAACAATGGCGAGCCTCTAGCCCAATCAGGAGCGGCAGTGGGCACCTCGCTGGATCAGAGGCGCAGCAGACATCCTGCAGGATCTGGGGGAGTGGAAGTCAGTGGCGGGTTTGCAAGGATGGAGATCAGCAGTGGTGGATGGCGAGTGAAAGCTCAACTCGAGCCGGAACAAACAGACCAGAAGAGTGTGCAGTTGCAAGATTTAATAGAGTGAAAACAGAGGTCCCATACAACAGGAGGGGACCCAAAGGGGGTTGCCCCTGCCCGCTCGAATTCCTGGGTTTATATCCTGATCATTGTCCCTCCCCCTGTGCTCTCAGGAGACAGATGATTTGATTATTTCTTTACCTCCTGTTTTTAGCCTAATTGGTATTTTAGTGAGCTCTGTTTACTACCTGATTGGTTTGGTGTGAGCTGAGTTACAAGCCCCGTGTTTAAAGGTGGGTGCGGTCACCTTCCCAGCTAGGCTTAGGAATTCTTAGTGGGCCTAGGAAATCCAGCTAGTCCTGTCTCTCATTGTCTCTTTTCATTCTTTGCAACAATGAAGTACTGAATAGATTCAATTGTCTGAGACAGTTTGGTATAGGCCACAATATCAGAGCACATAATCTAATGATTTTTATGGGTCACCTTGGGAGAAAATATTTGAAATGTTTCTGTGCCCTTTTCTAATTACTGTGAACCCTAAAGTTAGAAACATAGGCCACCAAAAGACATACCCTTCAACTTGTCTACTTCCACAAGCCAAGAGAATCATTGAAGTCTGGTGGATAACAGTGTGGGCCCAGGTACAAGGCTGCGTGGGTACAAATTCTGACTCACCCATCACTATCTGTGTAATCTTGGGCAAGTCACTAATCTTCATCTTCCCTCTCTAAAAATGGAGATAATAGTATTTTCTGTAGATTAAATTAGGTAATTCTCATAAAGTTCATGGCACAGTGACTCATAGTAAGTTTTCAGTGAACAGTAACGGATATCACATTTGTTAACATCTCTGTGAATCAGGGATTTGATGGACACATTCTGGGATCCAGCATCCGTCATTTGGCTCAGGTTTCTTTAGACTGGGATAGAATTGTGATGCCTTCAGATGTATTCCACCCTAATAACGGAAGTGCTGGTGTTCTCCAAGTCTCCTTGGTGACTCTCCGTGCTCTGGACCACCTGTGTCGTCTGGCTTCGATGCCTGTTGCTGCAGTCCTGGCTGCCACATCAACGACAACTCCATCCTTGTGTGGGCGAGCTGTGGAGACAGATGGTTCCTTGGTACAGGGTAGGGACTGTCAGTCATGATGGGGAGGGCTGAACACGAGGCTGACGTGTGGAGTGTGGATCAAGAGCACTCCTTAAGTGGGTCCAATATCAGAAGTTAAAATGGAGCAACTCTACATTGGTTCACGTTCAGGGAATTCCTGGACCCAACTGAAAGACTGCTGAATTTTCTTTAAAAAAATAAAATAAAAGGGAAATGAGCAACCAGATGAGGACTACCCATTTTATCATGCCTCTTTTCTAGCCATTATTCAGTTTTGTTAGGTCATTGATCATTGAAGAAATGTTGTTTCCAATGTAAATGTCTTCTTAGTATTGGTGCCAAGACTGACTGCATTTCTCTCCAGGTAGAAGGGACATAGCCACCCCCCTGACAAGACAGCGGAGTCTAGAAAGGAGGCACAGAGTTGCAGAGGACAGGGGCCCCTTGGAGGTTATCACAACAGTTCCCAGAGAGAATTCTGAAAACTGTAACTGACTCCAACAGTGCTAACTTATTCTTGAGGGGAAAGAGTAGTTCGTAGTGATGGAAATAAGCTTTTAAAATTTTCTTTACCTCAGAAGGGGTCTTTATTCCATGTTTTCTTTTATTTTGGCCATATATTTTTCACTTTCTTACTTTTCTGTATTAATTCTGGGGATAAGGAAAGAGAAAATTCAGGGAAAGCTAAGGACATCTTCTTAAGTGAGCATATAGAACCTCATCTGAGAAACTTCATTCTTACTCCTAGGTCTTCTTCTTGAAGCAGAATGAATGAATAAAACAAACTCATCCCAAGACTTAAGGAGACAAAAGGTAGTTTCCTCAGAATATGTCCTTTGTTCAGAGAGGATCTCAGCCACCTACTCATTTTCTAGCTGTTGATCTAAAGGAAGACTTGCTCAGAGTGAGGTGATTTTCCAAAGAACAAGACAAGGATCTTGGGTAGAACGTAATTATCAACTAGTCACAGTGCTGTCCCAAGGCTGGGCTTCTATTTTTATCCTCACTTGAATTTAACCATCCCCTACTTTGACCCTTTAAAAAAATACTTTCTTCATGCAGATGTTGCCCACAGTGTGTGCATTTTTGCTTACATATATGTGCACACTCACTTGGATACACATGCAAACAGAGAAGGAACAGGAACACAGAAAAAAAGTACGTTAGGTATGCACATGGCCTCATGGACTAACATAGACGATGGCCCTCTGCCAGGACCAGAAAAATCATTGGCAAGCTTGTCCAAGTGAAGTCTGAAGCCCTGCACTTTTACACCATGTTGCATATAAAGGTAGATACAAGAATAGGTAGATCTAGAGGTATTCATATGAGTTTGAGGACTTCTTTCATCCACCTTGAAATGTATTGTTGTTAGAATTCTAAAAAACTATCATTCAGCATTCAGAATTATTTTCTTCCCCCAGGAGAGATGAGAGAGAGAGAGAGAGAGAACAGACACATATGGCAATGATTCCCAAGAGCAAGACAAGAAAACAGGCAAATTGGGGGCAATGGAAACTGACAAGGAAGAAGTGAAAGGTAGGAAGCCAGTGCTTTATTGATCTTGGGACTCCCTGCAGCACTCTCCAAATCAATAGAACAAATTGAGGCCTCAGCAATTGCATTTCTTGTGTTTATAAATGTGCAGACCCTAGGGCAAAATTTGGGGGGTATTATCGGTTTAGATTCAACAGAAGAGACAAAACAAAATATAACACTCTCAAATGTTGGCAAAAGTACCAACAAGGAGTCTCCTTGAGACTTGAAGATAAACTCATCTAAGACCTCTGCTCCTGGCTGCTATGCCCCTACCCCACCCTCTCCCACCTTGTACCTGGTGGACAAGAATCGCAAGGATTCTGGGAAACTCCTAGAGACTCCTGAGCTCTAACCCTTGAAAATACTTAGACTTACATTGTTTTAAGGTGACAGAGAACAGTACTAATAAGTGCTTATTTGGTTTGGACATCCCTTCTAAAGAATTAAATCCAAATTCTGTACCAATTATATTAAAACATTACCTTACTAATTTCAGAAAATTATAAGCAGATGCTCCATTTTCTGTACCTCAGTGGCTATCCAATTTCACAGCATTTCAAGACTTTTTAAAAGGTGGAGAGCTGCACATCATTTGTTCCTGAGATAACCTTTACAAGTCAGTCTCCCACATAAGCCTCTCCCTCGCTGGTAGGCAGATGCATTATGGAGAATTTGGCAAGGTTCAATCAATAACTGAAGTAATGCAGGAATGACACTAGTGTGAATACTGCTGGCTTAGATATTTCCTGTTTTTCATAAGGAACAAGTACCCACTATTCCTGTCATTTTAAAGGAAAGAAACAAGGACCATTATTTCCTTGGCTTAATATTAATATTAAATGGGTGCCCACAAAATGTTGTCAATGAAAATCTGTGTTTAAAGCGATAATATATTCTGGAATGCTTGGCTCAGAGTTTTCTTAAGAAACAGCTCCTAAAATAATGGAGTTTAGGACAAAATTTCTGAATATCTTGTAATCTTAAGACTAAAGGTCAAGGGGAGCCCAACGAGTGACCTGCCATGTCTTTAATGTGACTGACAAATTAACAAATTTGTGGCGATCACAGTTCACATCTTCATCATCCTCATTGATTGGATAAGGCTCGCAGATCACTGTTGAATGGAAGTCAAAGCATTTATTATTATAAATGCTCAGCTTCTGGGGTGCTGGCCTCAGTCACATGCCAATGTTATTTTAATAATTTTCAAAGTAGCATCGGTGTTTTGTTGTTGTTGCTGTTCCATAGGGAATTTTACTTTCTTTGTGGTCAGAAAACCAACCCACTGGATGGTCAAAAAGATTAAAATTTACCAAAGAAAGACATCATGTAAAGTTAAGTCATTTAAAAATTGACACAGAGCTGTGAGTTTGTTTTTATTTGCTGTTTTTCTTTTAGAAGATAACTTTTCTCAGAGATAAACAGCTAAAAATGTCCAAGTCAGCAATGAGGTTTCCTTGGGTCTGTTTGTATTTCAAACATGGCTAGCATGAAATACATAAATAAACAAATAAACAAAAAGAATCTGCTTATTCTAAATTGATGGGCAAAAGAGATGGTGGAAGCGCAGTAACGGATGATTTATAAGGTGACCCAGGATGTACCTTGGAACCTTGCTACCCAAGCTGTGATCTGCAGACCAGTAGCATGGGTGTCACCAGGGAGCTTGTTAGAAATGTAGAGTTTCAGGCCTCTCCTGAGACCTAGTGAATTCAAATCCACATTTTAACAAGAAGGATCCCTAGGTGTTTTTCTTGTATATTCAATTTATGAGAATTTCATTCTACAGTTAACGTTATCTGCAAGAAAAGCAAATATTTTCATATGGTAAATTAGAGTCATTTACTACCCTAAAATATCTAATGGGATAGCTGATGGGTCAGGAGAGCGGGGAGAGAATGCACATTCCTAGGTTAACTTATGACAATACTAGGCAGTTAGCAGAGCACATTTTGAAAAAGAGTTGAATTCCTCTTGTTCTAACTTTGCATACATCTATGCAGTAGCCATTAGTAGCTGATAGTTTTAGGCATACAGTTGATGGGCATTTACTTCTTTATTGTGTGTAAACATACAATGACTGAAAACAGAGAATCTGAGATTCTAAATTAGGATAAAATCCAAGTCAGCTCAAGGCTCTGGAGATGATCAGTAAATGATCACTGCAGAGGTAAAAATACCTGCAGAGGTAGAAAAATAAAAGGTAACTAAGATAAGGAAACAGGCTATACTGGTACAGTTCCTTAGCCAAAGTTAACTCAGTTTCACCAATTTTTTTGTCAAGTTAGGACTATAAGTAAACATCAAAACCACACAATACTTTAAGCAAAATGAATGAATAGTTATTGAGCATACACTTTTTGCTGGGTCTGATACCAGGTTCCAGGGTCTGTTTTTTTCTTTTAAATCTCACAGCAACTCAAATGAAAAATGAATTCTCATTCCCATTTCACTAATGAGAAAATGGTGGTTTAACAAGGATAAAATAATGGCCCAAGATTACAAAGCTAGTAAGTAGAAGAACTGGGGTTTAAAATTAGTTTAACCTGACTCTGCAGTCTCTCCCAATTATGGCATGGTGCTAAGTGTAGTTATTGTAAAAGTAAGTTATATGTTTAGTAAAATATACACAATTATTACAATGCTCTGATTTATTCTAAACCAAATGGTTCTTTTGTCTTTATATAGTCTTGAGTTAAAAGAAACTCTTCATATATTGTTAAATACAGATAGCTGAACTGGGTGGGCCACAAGTGATCATTCCAGTGAACAGTCGGGTACATGCAGTCAGCAGAACAGATAGATGGCAACCATTTTAACATTCTGCCTGAATCAGGCTGGTTTGCAATTGCATGTGCCACCCTCCAATTACAAAAGTATGTTCTCCAACACAATTTCAAAGGATCGTTAAAGTTCACCACATCAATATTACCCCCCTTTTAATTATGAATTTTCAGAGGAATTACCTTGAGGAAATGGGAGGTGGAACAATAGAGACCTTGTCATGTGTAGCCCACAAGAAATATGTATTGGCCCAAGAAATAGTGAATAATTTAAAGGTGATGAAAACATTTGTGACACGTGTGTTAGTGTGATGCACTAACTGGAGGCCTGAATTAACACCATATTTTTGGCTTCATGCCATAAATGACCAGTGGATGTAGCTCTGGGCTTTCTACTTTCACTTTAGTCAGGACCACTTAGCTTTTATCTGGTTCATTTATTAGGATTCCATGAAAAATTTGTTGCTGTTGTTGTTCACAGGGCTCTACTGCTTTTTTCAAAATTGAAAATGCTTGTGCTATCAATTAAAACTTCTCGTGTCATGGATGAAGACACTAAAAAAGATTCAGAACCCATGATTCTACTTCATGTGTGTCTGCTATATGCTAGGCACTGTGCCAGAGATTTTCACAGGATGTCTCATTTCTTTGTCTATACACTAAGAAACGAAATCTAAAAGATGAATTCACTTGCCTAGGCTATTCAAGTAGTGAAGACAAACTGAAGGCTAGAGGCCAGGTTTATTAACCACCAAATTCTATGCTTTTCCCAAAATATCTTATTGCTGGCGTAAAGATAAGACACCTTGGTTTTCCCATCTTAGTCCCAGGTTGGATAATTGGAATCTGTTTTCATATTCTGTTCTCTCTACATAAAGATTATAATATTGATAATCCATAGGGTTTATATGCTAGACATTTTTTCCAATAATTAAATACAGATGACACGGAGTCACATTGGTCTGTTTTTCCCTCTTCTGGCCAAGAAGACCAATTGGCAGAATGTTTAGTTGATATTCAAGCTGCCATTTTGACTCTGGGACTTTTTTTTTTCCCAATCCAAATCCGTACAGATATACTATGGGGTAGGAAATTCCTGTTATTTCACTAGACCAATTCCATAATAAAATGGGTAATAAAAAGCATCTTATCTTCTCTATATGGTTAAAACAGCAAATGTTAACAAAGCTACTTTGCTCATTTACCTCATATACGAGAAATAAAACATCATGTGAATGAAATTAAATATAGTCAAACTTGATCTATAAGCCTAATGTTACAATGGATTCATTTTCTTCACACTGTATTTTCTCATGTTTTTTTTCCCACTGAAATAGAAAGAAGATCAAGGTAAGAAGACAGAGGAGAGCGAGAGTGTCCTATATGGCCACCACTTGAGGTAGCAATTCTGAGATACAGATTAATGAGGAAGTATGATCCAGTCAATGTCATAAAGTGAACAGTGATCAAATTAATTATAAGCCAGTAAATTTCTGGCACATTTTTTTTCTTTAGTGGTACCATGCAGTTTAAAGGGATAAGATATTAAGAGAGAGGGAAAGTAGAGTTCTGTAATAGATAAAATATTAAAATATGGGCTTTACATTTAGGATTCCTTTTCTTTCAAGTTCCAGAATATTTAATACTTTGGGACCCCTCAAAAAATGGTTGGTTGGCTAATTTCTTTTTTTGGTTTTTTTTTTTTTTTTTGAGACAAGTCTCTCGCTCTGTCACCCAGGCTGGAGTGCAGTGGTGCGATCTCGGCTCACTGAAAGCTCCGCCTCCCGGGTTCATGCCATTCTCCTGCCTCAGCCTCCCAAGTAGCTGGGACTACAGGCGCCTGCCACGATGCCCGGCTAATTTTTTGTATCTTTTTAGTAGAGACGGGGTTTCACCATGTTAGCCAGGATGGTCTCGATCTCCTGACCTCGTGATCCACCCGCCTCGGCCTCCCAAAGTGCTGGGATTACAGGCGTTAGCCATGGTGCCCGACCTGGTTGGCTAATTTCTAATCGCTCCATCTACCTGGCATTTACCTTATTTACAAAGTTAGACATATATTTGTAAGCAAATAGGCCTTATATTCTACCCAGGGGAGAAAAGAGGAAAACAGATACAGGGGAAGGACAATTACATCAATAGATGATATTTAGATAAGTAAGCAATGACCAGCTCTTCCTTTCCTGAAAAAATAACCCATGCTCAGCAACTAAATCTTTAATTTGACCCTTTCTCTATGATGACAATGACAAAGTATGTTCCACTTCATAGAAGCTTCCAGAGGCAGCAGTAATTGCTATTTCAAATAAGAAAATAGACAATCATGAAGAGAAAGCTTTTTTCCTGAATGTATATATTATTCACAATTTCAGTAGGAGAAAAATTATACAAAAAGTTAGGTGAAGCAGGAATATGTGTTAGTGTAACAGATACAATAGAGAGCCAAACTGTCAATTCACTGAAATTTTATAAATTTGCCAGTATTTGTTAGTGGACTCTATTGCCTGAAGTGTCTAGTTTTTCCCAATTGAAAAATAGTCTCCTAGAAGACTTTAATTTACTCCTCAACCATTAGTAAAGTAGGGAAACATGGAATATTCCAGTAGGAAAAAATCCTTAAGGCCATCTAATCCAATTTCCTCATTATCACGGATAGAGTAACTAAAGCCAAGATAAGTTAAGTAACCTCCTGAGGCCGGGCAGTACTATTCACAATCCTTCACCAGTTCTTTTTCTACCTTTGGCCTATGTCTTATGCTGTTATTATATGAGTAGTTTATAAAAGATTCAAACTGGAAGAAATATTGAAGATCACCTATTTTGTCCTTTTCTCCTTCTCAGCAAGCAGCTATGTAGCCATGCCTGAACACCTCCAGTGACAATAATTCAATATCAAAATCTTCCAGGGCAGTTTTTACTAATGTATTAAATAATTTCTAAGACATTTTTAAAGTTTCTTTAAATACAAGGGCATTCTCAAAAGTAACCAGATGATTTATTGCCAAATTATTTTTAGCTCTTTTATTAAAGGGTTTTTTAAAAGATTAAAAGCAGAATCGGTGAATATTGTGGCTAATAAAATATTGGAGAATCCAGGTAAACATCTCAGATTTAATATTACGTTGAAAGGACACTTACCAACTTGAAAGAGATGATTTACTTCCCTAAAGAATGACTTGGCCACCAGGGGAAAAAGGGCAACATTAATAAAATTATTTAAGTTTACAAATTGTTCTCATTCCTATTCATTATTACTAGTTTGTGTCCTTTCTGAATGAACTATGGAAAGAGCAACTGCCTTTGCAATGGATCAATATCTAATATTTTAGTTTAATTTTTTTTTTGAGGAAACTTGTATTCTTTTGGGGGGCGGGGAAAGCATAATGATACATAATGAAAAATACTGTTACTATCCTGGAAAATTTTCTATGTGAAATTGCAGCAGAATCCATCAATTACAGTAAATGACCAATAAAAATGTTCAATCAAAAACTCATTTTAAGATACATTGTTAATGAACTGTATATAATGATGCTTAATCAAAACCCGACAAGATCGCATGGGAGAAAAGTTCCACAGGACCTCCAGAGCACTATTGTTCTGAACAAAAGATAACAATAAAACTGTATAATTAATAGCCTGCGGTCATGTGGCACTCTCTGGGAAACTCAATTCCATAACAAGTTCCATTGTTTTTTAAAACATAGGAATTGTGTTCCATAATATCACTAATGCCATCAGCAAGAAGGCACCATTTTTCAGGCTGTTTTTATTTGACATGGAGTTTTTTATTGTTGTTACTTGCTAAAGTATACCTAAGATGCAAAAATCAGTGAAGGAAGCTGCTGACCACAAAGATAAGGGGAAAATAAATCTGCTTATTTTATATCTTCACAGTCTATAAATGACATACTATTTAAAATATATTAGAATATCTGTATTAAATAAGTCTATATGGAACTTTTATCTTTTTCTCGGGTGACAGTGTAATAGTGATAGATAACACAAGGCACTTCGAGATGCTGAGATACAGTCCTCAAGGTGCAAATGAAAATATTCATGGAGAAATTAAAATAAGAAACATAGTCAATTGTGAAAGCCACCTTGTTAAATCAAACTTTACCTGATAAGCTGTATTAAACTTAGTATGCCCGTTTAGATAGTTATCAACCCTCAAAGTTCAGTGTGTCTATTATTAGTAATAATACTTTGCAGTTTATATACATGCAGCCCATGTATGGACCCCAAAATATAATTCAATGCCAATTTTATTGACAGGAAAATGAAATAATGAAAAAGATGCTTACCAAAACCACATTGGGAGGCATGAGGCCTGTTTATGAAGGGTATGAATCAGAAATTGGTGTTGTAATATTTTACTGCTAAAAATCTGGGTTAAGGCCATTGGCTCAAATGCTGATATGTAGCTTATTTTTCATAAATATGAATACTGAGTATTAAAAAACCTATCTCTATGCATGCAAACTAAATGTATTAATGTTCCCTATATTTCAGCTATATCTAAACTCAGAATTAAGGACACAGTAATGCTAATGTATATTTTCAAGCCAATGAGTGTCCTGTATAAATTAGTATTCAATAACTCCTCCTATGTCAGATGGACTCTTGACCCAGCTGATATGAAAATCATAGTTGAGAAATGAAGAAACATTTTACTTTCCCATTAAGGCTAATAAGCAATGTGGTTGCTATCAATCTCAGAAAGATTAGTCATGAAAATATTAATACTGGGTACAAGTAAGCACTTATTCAAAAAGACCCTACAGTGAGCACAGAAAGTCATGTACAAAGGCAATTCCAGTGATTGAGAGTTGTCAAAACAAAAAATAAAAATAAAAACCAAAGAAAAAAGCGAGAATCTGTTTATTCCTCCAGGGAGATACTGATGTATATCTATATTTACATTTAGATAGATAGATGATAGATAGATACATAGATAGATAGATAGATAGATAGATAGATAGATAGATAGATAGATAGAGATATACATCATTTCAGGAAAAGCCTGAGACTCAAATGTAGTTAAATAGAGTCCAAATATTGGTAGTAGCTATAGTATGCTTAGAACTAAAGAAGAGGAAATAGTAAGAGGGCAAGGGTCCAGGAAGATAAGCTGTACTAACAAAGACTTACTGCTGAATTGCACCTTTTAATTAGCATTTCATTACTTCCAAGCTGCTCTAAGAAAGGCCATTTCTAAACTATCTACAATGAAATGGACAGTGGCCCCTATAAGGGCCCTGTCTTCGTCTGTTTTGTGCAGCTACAACAGAATATCTGAGATGCCATAATTTACAAGGAAAAGAAATTTATTTTCTCACAGTTCTGGAAGCTGGGAAGTTCAAGATCAAGGCACTGTCAAGTTGGGTTTGCTGGTGAGGTTTGCTCTCTGCTTCCAAGATGGTGCCTTATGCTGTATCATCTGGAGAGAAGGAATACTGTGTCCTCATACTGTAGAAGGCAAGGGGGCCAAACTCCCTCTATTAAGCCCCCTTAAAAGGGTACCTAATCCCATTCATGAAGGAGGAAAATCCATGGCCTAATCATTTCTTTAAAACCCCGCCTCTTAGTACCAACAGTGAAGAAAGGAAAGCATCAGTTAGGCAGATAGCTAGGGCAAAGTCCTGAGTTGAATTTCTTTTCTGACAGAAGGGGCAGCCTGAAAGACCAAGCTGTAAGCACAGATAAGAAAGCAAGGTCCAGCATAAAAGGAGGTCTTCTGTATAACCAGCAAGCTTCACATATACACAATGGGCCTCAGTGGACACAGTCTTCTCCTTTTTCGGATGTACCAAGGTAAGGAAGCTTACAGAGGTGGAAGGTTTGCTTGGAACATGTCTGCAGCTGCACAGATAAGAGGAGCTACACTGGACCAGGCACGTCCGCAATGGAGAATCCCATCCCCTAACACATGTGCAGGAAGGGAGATTAAACAACATGGAGTAACTTCAGCCAAGAGCCCGCATGCGCACTAGAAGGACAGGGTGGGGGCTGCTGGGAATTCACGTCTTATACAAATGACACGCCTAGTCCTAATGGGTTTTTTGCACCTTGTGTAAAGGAAACACCTCGCCCCACTAGCTTGTTTATAAAAGTCTTTGCATTCAACTGTAAAACAGCAATTCTCTTTCGGGACCCCTCTCGTGGCAGAGAGATTTCTCTCTTCCTTCCGCTTATTAAACTTCTGCTCTAACTTCACCCTTGGAGTCCACTTTCCTTGTTTTCTTCAGTTGTGACGAAGAACTCCAGGTGATACCTCAGGTAACAAGGCTGTTTCAATACTATCACATTGGGAATACCTGAATTTTGGAGGGGACACATTCAAACCATTGGTGGTCCTGTATCTCCTTCAGACAGCTTCCAAAAATAGAGTAAGATCACATTTTAATATATCTCTTTTGGACCATATTGTGAATCTCTTTTGGACCATATTGAGAATACTCAAGGCAGAAATAAACTCAGAAGCCTCTATGCCATCCCCACCAAGACTGAGATTTATAGCTTGTTGGAGAGGGTGTGGCCCACTGGATGACACTGAGGAGCCATAGGCTGGGATTGGCAAGCAGGAAACAACCAGTTGGAATGTCAGGGAAACATGTTGGGGATGGGCAGTTTCTGAGTCTCCCTCACTGCACTGTCAAGGGAGCTGCCCACTGGGGTACTGGTGAAACTCACTGAAAGCCACTCACTGAGGTGCTGGCAGAACTCACTAGAAAGATGCTGGCAGGAGTGCCAGTAAGACTTGCTGGAGAATGTGCATTCCCTGATCTCCCACATGAGGATGCTTGCTGGACACTGCATTGTAGAAGCCAGAAGAAAAGCAATGGAACAAGGCACTCACGCAGAGTTCCTCCACCATCTTCTACTGATAAAGTTTAACCCAGAGATTACTGGCACAAGAGACATTTTTATAGGATCCAGATTCAGTTTCAAAGTGAAGTACATAGTAGGGTGAATTTGTACTAAGAAGGTAACAAATTGGCAATTGGCACATGTGGGTAATACATCTGGGAAACAAAATTCCAAGTCTGGTCTCCTGAATTATATCTTTCCTGATCATCAAGTTACTGGAGTAACTCCATTAGATATAGCAGTCCAGGAAGACCAAATTTCATGGAATAAAAGCATGGAGTTGAGTCTAGGAAACAATTTAAATAATGGAGAAATTAGTTGTTACCAAGAGTTCAGTGACAGAGAAATGAATTTAGAGGAAAACATACCACCGACAGATTGAAAATACTAGGTCTTAGGTCTAGGACTAGAGTCAGCACTTGCAGAAACCCAGGAAAGTGTGCCTGTGTCCTAGTACCTCACTTGTCTCACCTGATACCCAGCCCTCTTAGGTCTATAACTATAGGGCTCACAATTTTCACATTGTCTCCCAGGGACTGACACATGTGTGATTCCCAATAGTTACCGTTTTTTTTTTTCTTTTGTTTATTTTTTAAGACAGGATCTCACTATGTTGCCCAGATTAGTCTCAAATGCTGGGCTCAAGCAATCATCCCAACTCAGCTTCCCAAGTAGCTGGGATTACAAGCATGAGCCAGCATGCCCAGCAACTGGTTCCCTTTAATTACTAAAAAACCACCTATGAATTGAGATGCAAAGAGCATAAGTACGTAAAAGTGGGTGGAAGTTTTGTCCCAGTTCTGAATTTTAATAACATAGACTAGATAACCAAACAATAATTTTAAAAGAAACTTGGACATTCAGTGTCAAAATAATGCAGGTATATTAGCAACAGTAGTATAGTACTCGAGTATATAAATTAATTCATTTTGATTGTTAAGCAATTATATTGGATTCTAACATTTAAGACTAGTGGAAATGAAGAGTGTCAGTGGCATCAGACTAATACACTTTTGATGTTTTCATGTCAGTTCATAGATTCTGAATCTCATGGGTTATCATGTGTAATACTAATTGATGAAGGCTGATAACCTTAAATACAAAGTCAGTCTAGGCTTCCTTTCAAATGCCTCAAGCAAGGAAACATCAAAGTGGCCACACACAGAGTGTCAGTACCATCTCAGCTGTTTCTACAGACTTAAAGACCCAAATTCCTTTTTCCCTCCTCAGCCCAGGGTCATCTTCTGGAATATTAGTCTAGAGCCTCTGGAGCACTATTATAGCCTGAATACCCAGTCCAGGAAGGCCCAACTTCATAGAATAAAAGCACAGGGCTGAGACTAGGGAACAACATAAAAACCAGTATATATATTGAAACAAGAGAGAAATTGTATATGCTTGTATATAACCAGGATTGAGGAAAGGTGCTGTGTGGTAGACATACCTGACAGCAATAACTTAAGAAATGAGGGCTACCACATGGAGGTTATGGCGGGGAGGGAGCTAAGTGAAGACGCTATGTATATAAACTGCATGCTTTTTATAAGTGAGAGCGGTTCTCCTGTCCAGCCCACTGACACTGGACAACCCTGTAAGTAAGTTCCCTCAAATACACCCTATGTTCCATTCACTGGCTCTGAATCTCTTCGTCGGCTTCCTGAACCTGGTGTCATCCCTGTTGTAGTTAACAGGGGTCCAGCACAGCAGGTACTACTGGAAGGAAGCAGGGAGGCTGTAGGTGTTGAGTCAACACAAATACCTGTGAGCAGCTTGAGGAATTTCCCAAAAGGTGGTAATTTATCCAGGAAAGATGAAAAGGAGCTCTGAGAGAAGCAAGGCTTCAAAGCATTTAAGGTTTTGAATATCAGTCACCAGGGGTTCTTGTTAAAATGCAGATTCTTATTAGGTACACCTGTGGTTCAGGCAGATTCTGCATTTCCAACAAGTTTGCTAATGTCAATGCTGCTGGTTTTCAGATCACATTTTGAAGAGCAAGGCTCTAGAGGGCAGTGCTCCTCAAACAGAGGGGATATTTGACCCCCAGAAGACATCTGGCAATGTCTGGAGACATTTTTTGGTTGTCATTGTGGAAGTGCTACTGGCATCTAGTGAGTGGAGACCAGGGATGTTGCTAAACATCCTACAAGGCACAGAATGGCCCCCACAACACACGATTATCTGGCCCAAAGTGTCAACAGTACTGTTGTTGAGAAAATCTGCTAGAAAGAACATCTGAACGGTTTAGCTTTCAAATGCTTTTCCCTTAAATGGGTAGGATTATGGTAAATGTCATATTTAAAGGAGAATTGCACAAACTTTCCTGAGTCATTGCAATGTCCTTTAATTTTCAAAGCCTTTCAGTAGACTTACACATTTGCATACAACTTTGTTCAGTGACATACTAAAGGTTAGCAGAAGAGACAATAGACAAATGGAGAGAAACAGTCATTTCACAGGTAGAAATACCAGCTCAGACGGCCTAACAGAATAAAACTGCTAACAGTAACAGCAAGTAGTGGTAAAAGACTTTACAAAGCAGAGGGTATTCCACGAGTTTCCAGCTAAGTGAGAGGTGGCCCTCAGTAAAAAGTAGCATCAGAGCTGAGCACATAATTCAAAGAACAGTCCAGGAATTTCTGTTCCAAACCTGCCATTCCTGACCAAAGGAGAATGCTCCTCTAATATAAGAAATATCTCTTTTTCCTCAGATATTTATGGCTTGGGATGATAATATAAAGTACTGGTGAGCTAGACTATTATTCAGTCAATACAAGTGGTTTATTAAGGCCAGTACCCATGGTCCATGGTGTACAGGCTAAATATTTTAACATACGTGTGTGTATATTTGGTAGTTTGATAGAGATGATGAGAGGCTGCCTGGAAGCATCCAAGGAAATGGAGAGTGGGGGTTAGACAGCAGCTGAGTTCTCTGGTGTGTAAAAGCCACCAAATCATGGGAGTCCTTTCTAACAAAGGGCCTTTATCTGTTCCAAGAAGAGACAGACATAATCTGAGATAGGTCAAGGATGCAACGGGAAGTCCAGCAAACTACACAATAGGCAGATTTGGTAAAAAGGTTGTAATAAGTACATCCTTGAAAAGGAAATTCCCATTCCACAAGAAAGGGTTTCTCACTCATCAAATGGTCCAGTTAACAAGTTAAGAATGCCTCAACCATTTCCCTCAGAGACTAAGCCAAGTGGCAGAAAGTGTGACTTTTAATCCTATGATGCCAGATGTGATGTTTAACAGGTAGAGAGCACTTGGTCTCCTCCAAGACAAACAAAAGTGAATTGCTTTTCAAATCTCATCTTGGAACACCAGAGAGGAGGTGCAATAAATGTACTTCACTTCTATGACCTAAGTTTGAAAAGAAATTTTTAATAAGCAAGTAAGTTATAGTTAATAAGAAATAGAATTTTATTTGAAGAAAGAGCCATAAGCTGCTGAACACAATGGCTGCAATTGCCATCATTATTGGAAACCGGATTCCAAAATTCAAGGCTTGAACCAAGGATAGGACAGCGCTACCCCTTCAAAAGTGGCACCTGGGCAAATAAAACCATCCCCAGGCAATTGGCATTACCAGTCCAGTCTACATTCCCTGATATCACCAGTTTCAAAACCTTATCTGTTTATGTGTTCTTATTTACTTGGTACACCATTGTCTAAGATTTGTCCATTTTACCCTGGGTATCTCTTATTCCTGCTTTTTAGGTAACCTAACTTTTGCCACATTTTCTTGGCCTCTGTCAAATTTGGAGCTTTAATTCCTTTTGGCTGACTCCATCCTGCCACCAAGGGAGTACCACACCCACAGTGCTGAAGAGAAGCAGCTTCCAAAGAAAGTAGTTGTATGGAAAATCAGAAAGAAGTACAGGTGATATGGTTTGGCTGTATCCCCACTCAAATCTCATCTTGAATTGTAGCTCCCATAATCCCCACATGTCATGGGAGGGACCCAGTAGAAAGTAATTCAATCATGGGGACAGTTTTTCCCATGCTATTCTCGTGACAGTGAATAAGTCTCATGAAATCTGACGGTTTTATAAAGGGCAGTTCCCCTGCACATGCTCTCTTGCCTGCCTCCATGTAAGATGTGCCTTTGCTCCTTCTCTGCCTTCCACCATGATTGTGAGACCTCCCCAGCCATGTGGAACTATAAGCCCATTAAACCTCTTTTTCTTTATAAATTACCCAGTCTTGGGTATTTCTTCATAGCAGTATGAAAATGAACTAATACAGTAAATTGGTACCAGTAGAGTGGGGTATTGCTATAAAGATACTCAAAAATGTGGAAGCAAATTTGGAACTGGGTAACAGGCAGAGGTTGGAAGAGTTTAGAGGGCTAAGAAGAAGATAGGAAAATGTGGAAAAGTTGGAACTTCCTAGAGACTTCTTAAATGACATTGACCAAAATGCTGATAGTGATACGGACAATAAGTCCAGGCTGATATGGTTTTAGATGGGGATGAGGAACCTTTTGGGAAATGGAATAAAGGTGACTCTTGTTATGTTTTGGAAAAGAGACTGGTGGCATTTTGCCCCTGCCCTGTAGATCTGTGGAGCTTTGAACTTGAAAGAGATGATTTAGGGTATCTGGTGGAAGAAGTTTCTAAGCAGCAAAGTGTTCAAGAGATGACCTGGGTGCTGTTAAAAGCATTCAGTTTTATGAATTCACAAAAATATGGCTTGGGATTGAAACTTACATTTAAAAGGGAAGCAGAGCACAAAAGTTTGAAAAATTTTCAGCCTGATTATGCAATAGAAAAGAAAAATTCATTGTCTGAGGAGAAATTTAAGCTGGCTGCAGAAATTTGCATAAGTAACAAGGATCCAAATGTTAATCACCAAGACAATGGAGAAAATGTCTCCAGGGCATGTCAGAGGCCTTCATGGCAGCCCCTCCCATCACAGGCCCAGAGGCCTAGGAGGAAAAAATGGTTTTGTAGGCAAGGCCCAAGTCTTGCTGCTTTGTGCAGTCTCAGGACATGGTACTCTGTGTCCCAGTCATGGCCAAAAGGGGCCAATGTACAGCTCAGGCCATTGCTTCAAAAGGTGTAAATCCCCCAAGCCTTGGTGGTTTACATGTGGTGTTGGGCCTGCAGGTACACAAAACTCAAGAATTGAGGTTTGGGAATCTCCACCTAAATTTCAGAGGAGGTATAGGAATGCCTGGATGTCTAGGCAGAGTTGTGCTGTAGGGGTAGGGGTGGTGCCCTCATGGAGAACCTCTGCTAGAGCAGTGCAGAAGGAAAATGTGGGGTGGGAGACCCCACACAGAGTCCCCGTTGCAGCACTGCCTCATGGAGCTATGAGAAGAGGGCCACCATCCTCCAGACCCTAGAATGGTAGATTCAATGACAGCTTGCACCATGCACCTGGAAAAGCCACAGACACTCAATGCCAACTCATGAAAGCAGGCAGGAGGGGGGCACTGTACCCTGCAAAGCCACAGGGGAGGAGCTGCCCAAGACCATGGGAACCCTCTCATGCATCAGCATGAGCTAGATGTGAGACATGGATTCAAAGGAGATCATTTTGGAACTTTAAGATTTGACTTCCCTGCTGGACTTTGGATGTGCATAGGGCCTGTATCCTCTTCATTTTGGCCAATTTCTCCCATTTGAAATGGGTGCATTTGCCCAATGCCTGTACCCCCATTGCATCTTGGAAGTAACTAACTTACTTTTGCTTTTACAGGCTCATAGGCAGAAGGGACTTGCCTTGTCTCAGATGTGTCTTTGCACTGCAAACTTTTGAGTTAATACTGAAATGAGTTAAGACTTTGGGGGACTGTTAGGAAGGTATGATTGGTTTTGAAATGTGAGGACATGAGATTTGGGAGGGGCCGGGGCAGAATGATGTGGTTTGACTATGTCCCCACCCAAATCTCATCTTGAATTGTAGTTCCCATAATCCCCATTGTAGTTCCCATAATCCTCATCGAATTACCCAGTGGAAAGTAATTCAATCATGGGGATGGGTTTTTCAATGCTGTTTTTGTGATAGTGAATAGCTCATGAGATCTGATGGTTTTGTAAAGGGCAGTTCCCCTGCACAGGCTCTCTTGCCTGCCACCATGTAAGATGTGCATTTGCTCTTCCTTCACCTTCTGCCATGATTGTGAGGCTTCCCCCACCATGTGGAATTGTGGGTCCATTAAACCTCTTTTTCTTTATAAATTACTCAGTCCCGAGTATTCCTCATTAGCAGTATGAAAATGAACTAATACAATAGGCATACCTAGGAGATATTACAGATTTGTTTCTAGGTCAATTACAATATTAAAACAAATATTGTAATAAAGTGAGTCACAATTTTTTGATTTCCCACAACATATGAAAGTTATGTTTACACTATGCTGCAGTTATTAAGTGTGCAGTAGCATTACACCTAAAAAAAACCAACGTATATACCTTAATTTAAGAATACCTTATTGTTAAAACAGGCTGACACAGAGTTACAAAGTGAGCAATGCTGTTGGAAAAATGGCACCAATAGCCTCACTACACAGGGTTGCCACCATCTTCAATTTGTAAAAAATCACAAAGAAGCAAGGCACAATAAGGGAAGCCCAAAAAAACAAAATGTGCCTGTAAACCTGTACTTCCCTTATTCTTTTCTATGCTGAAAATGATATGATGATATGAACCTTTTCTACCTTTCATGCAACTTATCAAATTCACAGTATTTACAAAAATCAGAGGGGAAGCAACATACATGAAGTACAGTGTTAGGATCATGCCCTGGACTTCCGCAATTGGCAAATCATCTGCCTGAAATACCTTTGGCCCCACTCCCCTTCCCTCACCATAACTGCTCAGGCTTTGGATTCATACAGGCCTGTTGTCAAGGACTAGACGTGTTATGCTAGGCAAACAGCTCACCTTTATAAGCCTAATCTATAAACCGACACTAGTAGTCCCTGCCTCATAGGGTTGTTGAGAAGATAACAAAAGAAATGAATGTAAAATGCTTAGTTAGCATTGTTCAAGGAACTTAAGAGGCACTACTGAAATGAATAAATGAGATAATGGCCAAGTAAGTTGGCCATAATTGACAACATTTGCCACGGAGTCTTTAATCATAGCATGAGCAATAAAAATGATAGCTAACTATGTGGCAAGCACTGTTCTAGATGCTCTCACCTCACAACAAAGCCAAGAGGTTAATACTAGTAGCATCTTTTCATGGGTGAGAAAATCAAGGCACAGAGAAGTTAAATGACTTGCCCAAGGTCAAATAATTAGAGGATGGTGTTGATAATAATTTTTTGTAGACCTAATTAGACCTAAACCAACATGTGTTTAGTACCCATAATGTATTAAATCCTACGCTAGGCACTAGAGATGCCTCTACCCTCCTAGAGCTTATCGCCAACCTGTTGGACAGAGCACATGTGCTCTGGTGTCCTTGAATTCAGAGTTTTTCAAACATCAAGGTACAACAAATTTAATATATAGCAAAAAAAAAAAAGAGAAGAAAGAAAGAATAGAGAAGAATTGAAAACATTCAAGAGCATTGCACACAACCAGGGTAATTATTGTTTCATGAAATCTTTGTTTCACGTGTGTGTGTGTGTGTGCACACACGTGTGCACTTATACATATCTTGGGTATAATGTAAAATGTGTTAAGTGTGGGTCACAGTCAAAAAGGTGTGAAAACACTGCCTTGACAAATTGCATACTCTACTTCATTCTCCCTGAGGAACCTAGGGCAATACTCTTCACACACATTCTCCTCAATTTGTCCAACAAATAGCCGTTTATGCTGAGAAATACATATTTTAAGGAAAAAAGAAATGTCTTCCCACATTTTATAAATGGTTTGCTCCATTTCCAAAGTTCAAGTAGTCGTGTAAAAACTACATTGCTGAGCAACCTAAAAAGACACATTGCCACCCCCAGAAGCCCGCCTTCTAAAACATATTCACACAGACACACACTAAAATGTTTGGAGGCTCCCTGAAGACTACAAAAGAAAAGCAGTGGCCTGCGTTCCACATCCCAATCGTGCAGGACTCACTCTTAGTTACTCTGAGCATGAACATGCATACATCTTCAATAGATTATGTGTTTTGTATCAAAAGATGCAGTGGAGGAAAAGCATATATTTTGAAATGCTGTAGCTTTCATGAGGCACATTTGTCATAGACATAGGTTTCATCCATAACTCATGGTGAGGCAAGAACGTTTTTGTTGTCACTGCAGCCACTGTTATATTCTGTAGCAAATTCTCTCAAATGATGCCGCTTTTATCTTTTATGGCATAATTCTTTGGGAAGAGAAGGTAAGGTTGTTTCTCATTTGTCCCAACTGTTTTTTTATTTTTTTTGGTAGACCTAATTAGATTCACTGTCAGGGCTACTCTTTTCAGTCAATGCCCTTCTCCCTCCCAAGGCTTTTATAGTGTATTATTTACCCACAGTAACTAAGGGTGATGGTTATTTTCAATTCTAGGACTCATTACTCCTGCTCCTCCATTTTTAAACCATTACTTTTTATTCTTTCTGTACCCTGCAGCATCTTATGAAATATAAAATATAATAAAACATTCAAACATTTGACATTCTCCTTATGGGTTTTCAAAGAAGCAAGTGTGCACACGCTTTAGCTTTCATTTCATTAGTTACCTCTGCACTCCAACAACGTTCTCAGAATAGCAAAACAGATCCACCTGCACTTGCTGGTTGGCAGGGCAACCCATTGCCATCATTGTAATCATCATCATCATCATCATCCTCATCTTACTTTCACTTCCATAGCAGATTGTACAAAAGCCAGATTAGCTGTACCAACAGACTTTCAATCTGAATCCTGCTTCATACTTTCCTGGAGCTGGCCTAGTTCCAAGTTAACCTTACAGGGATGGAGAGAGATACAGATAAGACTTGGAAATTTGGAAGGTGGGCAGCTAAGAGAGTGCTTAGCTCCCAGGGCAGGTGACATATTTGTGTTCTCTTCCCTAGTTCCCTGTTACAACTTGTAGAACTTTTTTCAAAAATGAATAATTTCACAGCAAAACTAATATGCATGGTGATATAGTTTGGCTCTGTGTCCCCACCCAAATCTCATCTCGAACTGTAATCCCTATGTGTCAAGGGAGGAACTTGTAATCCCCACATGTCAAGGGACAGAGGTGATTGGATCATGGGGCGGTTTCTTCCATGCTGTCCTAATGATAGTGAGTGAATTTTCAAGAGATCTGATGGTTTTATAAACGGTAGTTTTTCCAGGCTTCTTCTCTCTCCAGACGCCATGTGAAGAAAGTCCTTGATTCCACTTGCACCGTGGTTGTAAGTTTTCTGAGGCCTCTCCAACCATGTGGAACTATGAGTCCATTAAGCCTCTTTCCTTTATAAATTACCCAGTCTTGGGCAGTTCTTTAAACTAGTGTGAGAACAGACTAATACACATGACCAGGTGTAGTGGCTCATGCCTGTAATCTTAGCACTTTGGAAAGCCAAAGTGGGAGGATCACTTGAGACAAGCCTGGGCAACACAGTGACACCCTGACTCCACAAAAATACTCTGCAAATTTAAAAATAACTAATGCAAAAGTTAAAATAGAAAGTTCTTCAATTGGTGTCTTTGCAATGACCCCATGAACTGATATTTGGGGATATTTGTCCCCCTCTACAAAGTTAAGCCTGAGTACTTCTCAGACCATAAATGCCTAGGAAGCCAAATTGGACCCCTGCAGAGCTAACATAATTTCTCAAAGGCAAGATGGTATATAAAAAAGAAGAGATGGGAGTCGAGAAACTTTCATGTTAAGGAAATTTATGCCACCGACTTGTTATTTCACCTTGAGGATCAACTTTCCTTTGTGTACAGTGAAGAATGGACTTTTCTGCTACAACACCAGGATCTCATCTACAGTCCTGCAGGTTCCAAGCCCTAGCCTTGGCTTTCAGCCACAATGCAAATGTTTGCAGAGCCTGAGCTGCTATGCACCATTACCCTTGCCTCACAGTTTTCCCATACTTTCTCAGAAAATAAAAGCCTTACTTTATTTGCTGCATTCCTGGCCAGTCTGTGGGTGGCACGGATTTCCCAGTGGCTCCCAAATATGCTACAACATTGAATGCGGTACTTCCAGGTGACCTTCAAGCATTTTCTCCTATGGGGTAGCTTGAATTTGCCATGGATTCTGCAGACTGATATTTCCTTTCAGAACTGACTGTCCATGTCACTTAAGGGAGGACAGGGTCTTAACCTCACCATTGTCCTTTGTAGCATTGAAACTTTTATGATAGACTCCCTTGTTACTTGAAAGAGCTCACAATGTAGCAAACTGAGTAAATTCATTGATCATCATTTTTTCTTGGCAGAGTTGACTGGCAACACAGAGTCTTTCACCAGGATTCTTCAACCAGGCATGTTAAAATTCAGAAACAGTCAACACCTTATTTTTCTTACCAGGCTGCTTTGAATCACTGAGAGAAAAAGAAACCAGAGCTAGAATGAGAGTGGAGCAAGTATAAGGAAGAGAACAAGAGTGAGAGTGAGAGTGAGAGTGAGAAAGAGAATTGTGCTCCATCCTCCTTGAGTTTCAGTGTTCAGCCCAAATGCTGATTATACACAATTTCTCAAGCATTCTTTCAAAAAATTCCTCTTTTGCCTAAGAAGGTATTATTTGGGTTTCTGTCACTTGCAACCAAAAAGATCCTGAATAAAAAATAGTTAGACTAAGATCACCTAATCTAAAAAGCCACTCAGTGTTTGGATGTCTTCTGCCTGTATTACAGTGAAGGGCACTTGTGTCAGAGAACTAGCTACTTCCTAAGGCAACGCTTTTGATCAACTCTAACCATTATTATTAAATTACTCTATTTGAACTGATGTCTCTCCCATGGTAGTTTCCTCTAGTAGTCTGTGAACTACCCTTAGAAGAAACAAGGATACCTTCCAAATGGTGGTTCTTTACTATTCCAAGGCAGTTAATAGACATCTCTT
Organism: Homo sapiens; assembly: GCF_000001405.40. Lineage (NCBI taxonomy): Eukaryota > Metazoa > Chordata > Mammalia > Primates > Hominidae > Homo > Homo sapiens. The sequence continues at coordinate 148,892,314 of NC_000004.12, read as the reverse complement.
AGTCAAAGAGTTAACTTTTGTTTTTCCCAAGACTCAAATACTCAATTTCTTCCTCTTTCTAAAATGTGTTCCTCTTTCTCAATGTGTTTTTAAATCCCTTCATCTTCCTGGTGACAGTTTTCTGACTACCAATGGTATAGAACTGAGAACTGGACACAATACATAGCGTGTGGGCAGTGCAGAAAACGGCAGTCCTGAATCCAGGACTATTCTTCAATCTAAGTTTGCACTTACGCTTTGGCAATCACAATTGAGCCTGTTGTTGGCTAAGACCCATAATTGTTTTTCACTCATGCTATAGATATGTTCCCATCTCCTTGGCCTCATGCTTATGAAGTTGGTTTTTACATCCAGATATCAGATCATATGCACTCCCTACAAAGTTTCATTTCAAATTCAGTGAAGCAAAAATTGAGAATGATTATGAAAAAGTTCTGGAGATGGATGGTGGTGATGGTTGCACAACAATATACTTACTGCCAATGAACTGTACACTTAAAAACATTCAAAAGGGGCCAGTGTGGTGGCTCACACCTGTAATCCCAGCATTTTAAGAGGCTGAGGCAGGCAGATCACAAGGTCAGGAGATTAGGACCATCCTGGCTAACATGGTGAAACCCCGTCTCTATTAAAAATACAAAAAAATTGCCGGACGTGGCGGTGTGTGCCTGTAGTCCCAGCTATTTGGGAGGCTGAGGCAGGAGAATTGCTTGAACCTGGGAGGCAGAGGTTGCAGTGAGCTGAGATCGTGGCATTGTACTCCAGCCTGGGCGACAGAGCGAGACTTCATCTCAAAAAAAAAAAAAAAATCAAAAGGGTAAATTTTACGTTGTGTATATTTTACCACAATAAAAAAATTTTGAGGAAATTTAAATGTGGATTGGTATTATGATCTGAGGGAATTCTTGTTAATTTTCTTAGGTGTGATCCATAGTACTAGAGTTGTATAAGATATTTAGAAGATGTGAAATGGCAAAGTTTCATGAGGTCTGCAATTTGCTTCCAAATAGTAAAAAATTCGATATTTGCTAAGACAGGTAAAGAAAACTGATAAAATGTTAACAGTTATTAATCTAAGGACTTGGTATATGAATATTCATTGTAGTATTCTGTCAACTCTATTGTATGTATGGAATTTTTCTTATTAAAACCTCAGAGAGAATTCAATCCAATATTTTAGACTGTTCTGAATTTTGAATTGTCTTTCATTCTTGCTAGCCTTCCAGAATTTCTATTATTGCAAATTAAATAAATATTACCAATATATCTCCACTCAAGTCATAAACAAAATTGCTGAGGCGAACTTGCTTGAGGACTTCACATTGGGTTAGCTACTTCACACTTTATTCTGAGCCCACAATAATCAATCCATCAATGCCTTTATGTGTGGTTGTTAAACAAGGTATGTATCCATTTAATTATCCTAGATCCACATCCTATTTCTCCATCATTTCCATAAGAATATTACGACGCACACTGGTAGCTTCTTTTCTGAAGTTCTTTTTAATTATGTCTCTGTGAGTGACACATTATGATAAACTGACAAAATTGTGGTTTTGGAAAGCCAGTCACTTCAGTTTAAATTCTGACTGAGCTACCCAGCAGCTATGTGACCTTGGATAAGCTTAATAATCACCTGAATTTGAATTTCTTCATCCCTAAATTGGAACAAGATAGAACCAGTTATGATGATTAATTAGGCTTTTTCATTCATCTAATACCATGTCCCAGGCACAGTGCCAGGTGCTGGACATGACGCTTGTAACATGGCACAGGGAAGATGCTCAGTAAGTGCAAGTTCACCTCCTCTCGGCCCTCGTGAGAAGATGCTCATGCAAAGAAATATGTGCTGAACTAGCCCTTTAGCAGAGGACAAGGTCTCCAGACTACACCAGTCATCTTTGATGAGGAAAAGAAGATACAGCAGGGAGACCAGACCCCTGGCAGGTGATGCCCCCAGGGGAAGGAAGGCATCCTGGCCCCAGGATATGGTCTGAGAGTGTGGAAGTCTGGAATGACCAGAAGTTTCAACAGGAGAGAGGAGAAATGAGAAGGACCTTTAAAGAAGCTTATGTTCACTTCGTAGCCAACTTGAAATCTGCCTAAAGTGCTACTTCTTTATTGCTTAAATGCATTTTAAAAGATATGAAGTTTTAAGTGTCATTTTCTTCAAGCCTTCAAAGATCTTCCTCTATCCCCCTGTCATCAGAATAGGGCCCAGAGTAGAGCACAGAAAGTTCTTTAGGATCTGATGCTTACTCCTCTTTTCAGTCCCACTACTTCCTACCCTCTTCAGTTGTATAATTCAGATGCTTGGAATTAACTTGCAATTAATACCCTGATTGCTTTGGGCCTTTGCACCCACAATATTTCCTCTGCCTGGGAAGCCTCATCCTCACCCACACCCATCCTCAACTTCACAGCTAATTCCTGTTGCCTTCCTTAGGCAATACCTTTAACCCCCCAGCTTTTTGTGCAATATTCTTGCATTTATTATTCTATGCAATAATAATCTGTTTAACTCAATATTTGCCACCCAAAGTCTCCAAGTCCTCATTAGTTCTGGGTCATCATATTTCCTTCAAAGCCTACATTAAATTGCTTGGGTGGAAAACTCCAGGCAGTCCTCCCTCATTAGCTTGAATTTCCAAGGGGCTTAGGTTCTGGCCACCACTCACTCTGACCCCCTCTTCTCATTCGTCGACCTACCTCCAAGAGTACCTCTTTGCTTTCCAGCATTTCACCCACACAATAAAAATTTCCTTCTCCTGCATTCCTCCAACTTACCAGGAATATAAGGTTGCTGGACATAACAGGCTTTTCGTAAGGTCATAAATAAGGTCATAAATAACAGGCACTAATTGCAGCCCAGTACAAGAAATAACTTTACCTTCCATATTCCTTAAAACTTCTCCACAACAGGAAATTTTCACTGGCCCTGCCTCTCCTGAGAGCCCAGCCTGCTGCCTAGTGTCATGTCTCACTCTAAAATCCTTTCCACTGCTCTCTCTACTTTATTTCAATTCCTCAGGACCAATATGAAAACTCCAAATTCTTCACATTTATTATGTGGATCAGTTTTGCTCATCTGTCCAAATCTCTTCCACCATACTACCTCTAAGATACTTTGTGTTTTATAATTAAAACAGCCCATTCTATCATTTTCCTGAATAAGAAATTCTTTCCCCTAAACAAACCTCTGCTGGCTGAAACCTCTACCAGCATTAGTTAATATGTCATCTCTATCATAAAGCTAGAGGATCCTTGAGGTTAGAATCTTGCTTGGATCACTAGCAAGTAGCACAGTGACTGATGCGCGAAGGAGTCTCTGTGAGTGTTTGATAAAGCGAAAAAGTGAGGAAGAAAGCAGAGAATTCAATCTTTTCTTGTACTTCTAAAATTGTGTGGTGTCACTTTCTACTTAAACTCCTCCACTAGACTCTTTAAGATCAATCGGCTTCCAGAATACCTTTCTGTTTTGTCCTTCTAGGCTGTCAGTCTTAGAAGGGCAAGACTCTCAAGGGACAGCCCAATCCAATGCTTCCTGTGATGGGGCAGGCAATTCTAATCCTAATGCTGTCTAATATTTGGAATACCACTTTATCAATAGATACAGCCCACATTCTCTGTTTGTTTTATGAATAATAAAGTTGATATTTTGGTCACATTCCCAAAAATATTAGTGATACGGTTTGGATATTTGTCCCCTCCAAATCTCACATTGAAAAGTGATCCCCAATGTTGCAGGTGAGCCTAGTGGGAGGTCTTTGGGTCATGGGGTTAGATCCCTCTTGAATGGCTTGATGTGCTCCCTATGATAATGAGTGCATTTTCAATCTATTAGTTTGCAAGGGAGCTGGTTTCTAAAAGAGCCTGGTACATCCTCCCCTCTCTCTCTTGCTCTCTCTCTTGCCATGTGACACACCTGCACCCTCTCCCCTTCCACCATGATTATAAGCTTTCTGAGGTCCTTCCAGAAGCAGATGCCAGCACTATGCTTCTTGTACAGCCTGCAGAACCATGAGCCAAAATAAGGCTCTTTTTTTAAAATAAATTCCTCATTTCAGGCATTCCTTTATAGCAACACAAAATGGACTGATATAATCAGTTTTGTCAAATAATAAACTTGATGTTTTGGTCACATTCTCCAATGTTACTTTCATCAGTAATAAAGGAGATATTTAGAAAAAGAGATATTTAGAAAAAAAAAGCCTGGCATGGTGGCTCACACCTGTAAATCCACACTTTGGGAGGCCGAGGTGAGCGAATCACTTGAGGTCAGGAGTCTGAGGCCAGCCTGGCCAACATGGTGAAACCCCATCTCTACTAAAAATACAAAAATTAGCCAGTGTGGTGGCTCATGCCTGTAATCCCAGCTAGTTGGGAGGCTGTGGTACAAGCATTGTTTGAACTCAGGAGGTGGAGGTTTCAGTGAGCTGAGATCGCACCACTGCACTCCAGCCTCGGTGACAGAGCAAGACCCTGTCAAAAAAAAAAAAAAAAAAAAAAAAAAAAGGTTGCTCTTCATTAAATGGCTTCCCACTATGCTGGGAATAAATTCCCAATTCCATGCCATGCCATGGCCTGTGTGACTGGACTGTGTCTTTCTCTCCAGCTTTATCTCCTTCTGTTCTTCCCTCTCTCCCCACTCTAGCCTGTCTCACACCCTCTCTGTCCTAGAAACCCCACCAAGCTCATTGCTGCTTTAAGCCTTTGCATTTGTTCCCCCTTCAGCCATCCCCTCTTCCCCCAGCAGCCGTGTCTTTTGGGTTTCAGCTCAAATGTCACCATCCCAGAGGTCTCTTTCATGATCACTCAAGCCCCACCCCACCCCATTCCCTTTTGTCATATCATTCTGTTGCATTTTCTGTGTCCTACATGTTATGACCTAAAATGATCTTGTTGTGTGTTTAATAACTCATATCTTATGTCCTACTCACATCCATCACCAATGGAATGTCAACTCCATGAGGGCAAAAACTAAATCTTCTTGATTTGCTTCTATATTCTCAACACCTAGAATAGTACCTTGTAAACAGTAAGTGCTTAATAAATATTTGTAGAATGGATTTACAAATAAATTGTTCATCTAATTTACTCACAGTTTAAGGTAGTAGGAATTTCAGGAACAACTTTGAAGAACTATGTCAGTATGTCTGCTTTAGAAACAACTTATTTACATATTTAAAGTAATAATAGCTAACGCACTGTGATAATGCTTGTAAAATCTGCCCACTCTCTGTGAAGAGCTGGGGCCGCACTGCCACGTATAGCAGGATAATCTTAAATTGTTCTCTAAACAGACTCTAATTGATATCAACTTGGAAAACATGGCCACATTTTTATGCTAGCTCTTCACACTCTACATTAGATGAAAGATGATACAGAAAATGATATATAAAAGACTTTCGAGAAGCATAAAATGATTCTCAGGTATTTCTAAAGGTAACTGATCTTTTCTAATATTCCCAGACGGTTGATACATTGCCCTAATCTTCTGATCCACTCTTCTTTAGGACTTATTGAATGTCTCTTCTCTGGTAAAATCTCTGAATTGTCTTTTACATGGACTGTTTCAAAGATATGCTCTCCAGATTCCCTGTCCAATGTGAAAGTCCAAACTAGACTTGCTCCATTCGGAGTTCCTGTTCACTCCATGGCCCTGGTGCTCAATCTAGGTCACACTATAAAAGGTTTCTATTGCCTTTGGTAGCCTCTGGTGATATTTCCAGGTTCTATGAGCTCCTCGAGCTTGACCTATATTACCTGTTCTCTTCTAAACTTGTTCTCCCTCCACCCCCTTATCCTTCCCTTTGCCTCTCAATTCCTACAGTTCAGTTTGAGATCTGGTTTCTTGAATTTCCAGGAAAGGAAACGCATTGCCATTGCCAAGCTATCTTCTCTGATTATAGTTATATCTCTTCCAAGGACTTAGAAAGGGTAAGTACATTGCCATAATCCTAGGCAGTATTTCCAAGAACTAGAACTTCCCTACCATTTGCAGGGCCCTGCGTTTTTCCTCTCTTCAGTCTCTAGGAACTAAGGCTCCTCTCACTATTCTCCATAGCAGTGTCTGACTTCAAAAGCGCCCTTCACCCACTGGTGCCCATCATCTGAACAATGAAGTATACTTTTTCACTTTGCAGGAATCTATTACACTTCAGATTAGGATTAATCTATTTAATCACTGCCTCTTTATCCTTCATTCCCTTTAGATTCCTTTATTCCTCTGGGGAGCTTCACTTTGCCATGAGCACATGGGCAAACAGCCTTCTTTCCTATTTTCATTCCACTCCCACCCACAGCCAAGCCTTCTCCCAAGCTGCACGCTAAACTCAGAACATCCTCCCTGTCTAAACTCATTTACTTTTCTCCCTCCTTTCATTTAAACAGCTCAGAAAAGTCTATTCTTACAAAGACTTTCCAGAACAATTAATGTTTTATATTTATAATTTATTTAACAGTGGTTTCCAAAAATAATTTATGGTATATATAATCACCCGGGAAAAAATTATTCTTTTTATATACAACACAAGTTGTATCATACTACCTATGTACTTATCTCCCTGACTTAAGTAACTTAACATTTTCAGTTAATTATATTCCTAATATACTTTTATTTATCACCAGCATCATCATAATCTCAGACTATAATTTTAGAAGACACTATGTAAATAATGAATACCACTTATATGAATATTTACAAGGGGTAAAGAACTTACATCAGAAACTTCATTAAGTCTCTAATCATAATAACACTTTAAATTTGGGGAAAAGAATTAAACTAATCATATTTATCTCAATCTGAAAAAAATGTAAAACTTTATTCCTATTTAAAATATAAATGGTAGTAGTCCCTGGATTAGGCTTTCGGAGGCCATGGACTATATTGTTTTTCTCCTCAATGTACTCAGCACCCCACACAGTTGAGGGCACATAATGAATGCTCATTATGTATTTGGTGGATGAATGAATATATATATATAACATAAAGAAATATGCTTGAGATTATATAAAAGGTAAATGCTAAAATTTGAACTCAATTCAGCTCTTTCAGACATCAAAGCCCATAGGGTTTTTTTTTCCTTCTTTTTTTTTCTTTTTCCCACAAAAAAGAAGTCTTGACTCTTTCCATTACCACATTCATGACTGCCATTATCCCATGTTACTTCATTGTTACTTAATAGCTTTAATTTTTAAAATTCTGACTTGAGTTTAATGACTCCAAAAGACCAACCTACAAGACAGATGAAATTCCAAAAGCTGGCAATAGTGTGTCAGTCACATGACCCAAGCTTGTAAGGCTTAAAACTGCTGGCTAATTTGATCAACATAGAGATAAGTAAATTTTATCTTTTTTCTCTAAAGATAATATATTATAAAAATAATTGAACTTAAATAGTATTAACTATTACAGCATAAAATACTTTAGAAACACATTTGAAAGGAAAAAATCTAAGGTGCAGTTCAAGAGCTTCCCGGACCTCTTTCAGATGGTCAAAATTACCTCCCTCTGAGGTCAAGCTTGTTTCAGAGAAATTTCCCTGAGCAGTTTGTTAGAAAACTTAGTCTCTTTTCTTTCAGGCTAGTCACCCCTTTCTACACTTTGCATACACAAGAGACAGTGTCAGTTTACCTTTTCAACTTTCTTTTCTCTCCAAGTTTGGTCTTTTTTTTCTTTTTTTTCATGATGCAAAATCAAAAAGTGAAAAAAAGGCTCCATGATAGCATGATGTTGCTGAGAAACTGTTGTCATCTAATCAGAAGAAAGTATCTACACTTTATTTACGTTGGTTTTCTCCATTCTACCTGTCAAGATTCTATTTCCCCAACACATATGAACACAGCTCATTAAAAGCACACATGTGCAAGCCATGGTAAGAGAGACCCAAGACCCAGTTCCACATTGGAAGGGACATTAGAGATTCAAATCAAGGGAGTAATCTTATTTATTGAGCAAAGTTTGAGAGCCATTACAGAAATGGACGAGGAAATATCACATCTACAAAGTCCCAGAGGAACAAAAGATCATGTCACTTTTAGGAAGCTGAAATGGTTCAATATGTCTAAATGCACATGAGATATCCATCAGCACCTACTTGTCCACAGCCCCTTATGAGTGAAATTTTCCAGCCTATGATCTCCTGCTTCCCACTCAGTCATGTTTTAAAGCATATGAACTTTTTACTCACATCAGCTAGAGCTGGTGAAACCAGGACTGGTACTACGTCAGTCTACCTGTTGGCTCATGACACATGACACTTAGCATTGAAAGATAAGTAAATCAATAAGTTTCCTTTCTCAGAAATTTGACCTAAAAATCGCCAGGAAAATGAGCTAGATAAGAGTGAGAATTAAAACTAAGATGTTGGAGGAACAATGATGAGACATACAAGCTAAATTTATCAGGGAACCGAAGTTATTAGTACAGGTAAAAGGACAAATAAGAGAGAAAAGTGGAACATACATGCAGAGAGCAGCAAAGCATGCTCCTCAAAGAGCTTTTTAAAAATACAATTTTATTTTTGTTAAATCTATCATAAAAATATACCCTCATAAACATGAAAGACAAGGCTGTGTGACCAGCCTGGCTATGGTCCACTTCATCACCTTTGTTTTTCCTGGTACCATTCACATATCTCTTCTCATTCCATTGTACAAATGACCCCATTTTACAGATTACAAAACTGAGGCATTGAGAGAATAAGTGACTGGCTGAAGTGAATATGGTATATTTTTGGTGCCCTTCAAGAACTTACATTTTTTACTCATTTAGCATTATTCACTTCAATGGGCCACGAATCAATCAGAAATTTGTACATTAAAAGCAGTCAGAACCTATATTTGCATCAGCCAGAGATTTTTCACAGCCATTCTCTGCTTCTTATCCAGATTTCCAGTTATACATTATAATTTATTTATATACCTAAAAGTATAAAACAATATTTTTAATATTAGCTTTAATGACTTTTTAGTATGTGTCATTATTCTGATGTTGTCATCTCATTGAGCTTAGTGTAAATGACATTATTAAATTATACGGGCAGTATAAAATTACATTCTTTAAATCATGTGCTTCATAATATTTCACTTTAATAAAGTCTTTGCAGCAGAAATCTTCCGCCACTCACTTATTCTTTCTCATGAGATAAAAAAATTTTGCTCTAGGCTTTTAAATGAAGGCCAGTTGAAAAATTAATCATAATTGCTATATAACAGTCTCAAAGTCGATTTGGAGTGTTGTTTAGAATTTAATTGACTATCCTTTGGTATGAACATCAAGAACTAAAATTGTGGTGAAAGGAGGAGGAAGAGAAATACAAGTAGGCACACATCCTAGTACATCTCAAAATGACAAAGGTTTGGTTAAAAAGTTTGTCAAAGTTTGTTAATTGCTCTATTCCATCTCCAGATGTTGCCATGGCAATACACCCATAGTTAAAACACATACATGCGCATGTACACACACACACACACACACACACACACACACACACACAAGCTCAGTCTTTTTGGTACTTTTACATGTATCTACATTCTCATTATATGGAATCTAAATGAAATATTCCTCAGTAGTCCCACTGCTGTGGCTATTAGAAGTCTGTAAAAAGTGAGGTAAAATATGCAATTGGTAAACTACACTGAATCTTTTAAAATACAGCATATCCTACATAACCCAGATTTTTAAAATACAAGCCTACGAGAGTGTATCATGTGAGATTCCAAGTAATGTTTTATTCAAATAGCCTAATCAGAGACAAGTCTTTGTGAGCAGGCGGGATTTAGGTTACAGCATCTGTGTTTACCAGGTGCATCCTTGCTGACCTTGAAGATAACAAATAGTTGTAAAAGACATTTAGGCCCTTCCACTGCTGGCATTCTGTGTTCTTTGTGATCCTGCAGGAGATTCATTAGCATGACACTGCGGCTACAAGACCACGGCAGGGGAAACAAAAACCCACCCCTTAGATATCATTGCATTGTAGCTCTGCAGACACTCTGGACTCAGGGAGTAACTAACAACAAAATGCATTTTAAAATTTTCAAAAACACATTAGCATTAAGAATCCCAAAGGTCTAGTACGTATTATGAATGTGAAAAAAGAAAAAGAAGAATCCCAAAGGAGGAAAGTTCTGACTGAAGAACCATATTTGTGTCTTTTGGTTGTGATTCTGGACTTTCAAGGAAGTTGCTGGTAAACTGGACTCTCCTGTGAGCACTTTCAGTTCTCAGGAACCTGGGTAATAGAGCAATTCAAGTTATTACTGTTCAGGGAAAACCTGGCTACTTCAGCCCAGCTGACTGAGCCAAAGATTGTCTTCCTGATAGGACTTGAGAACCTCAGTAACATTTTAACCCATGATCAGAGAAAACTATTTACACATCACTTACTTGGGGATCAGTAATGATTTTTTACTTGGAAACTTAATTTCATTTTCCTAACACTGAAGTCTCCTGGCTATGGGAGTGAGAGTCAGGGAAGGGAGGGCAGAGGATGGCTTGATGGATTATTCCAAAGAACGGGAGCAAATTTATAAATTAAAGACACTATTATCCAGCCCTCTCCTCTCTTCTTGTGCGTGCTCCCTTTCTCCTGGACTCATCATTCTTCTTAGAATCTAAGGCATCGTTAGATAGCAAAATTTTAAAGAATTTGCTATATATTAAATACACGTGTCACCATATTGTCCCCCAGATTGTGCTAAGTGACATTGCCCCCAGCAAGATCTGAGATAGTCCACCATCCAGCAAACTCGTCAGCTTCTAACAAAGCTCTCTTTGCTTTGCCAATTTCATAAAGGAATATATTCCTCTCTTTTGTGTTACTAGAGCCTGATATGATTTGGCTCTGTGTCCCCACCCAAATCTCATTTTGAATTGTACTCCCATAATTCCCACATGTTGTGGGAGATAATTTGAATCATGGGGGCAGTTTCCCCCATAATGTCCTCATGGTAGTGAGATCTCACGAGATCTGATGGTTTTATCAGGGGTTTCTGCTTTTGCATCTTCCTCGTTTTCTCTTGCCGGTGCCAAGTAATAAGCACCTTTCACCTCCCACCGTGATTCTGAGGCCTCCCCAGCCATGTTCAACTGTAAGTCCAACTAAACCTCTTTTTCTTCCCAGTCTCAGGTATTTCTTTATCAGCAGTGTGAAAACGGACTAATAGAGTAAATTGGTACCAGTAGAGAGGGGTGTTGCTGAGATGATACCCGAAAATATGGAAGCAACTTTGGAAGTGTGTAAGAGGCAGAGGTTGGAATGTTTGGAGGACTCAGAAGAAGACAGGAAAATGTGGGAAAGTTTGGAAGTTCCTAGAGACTTGTTGAATGGCTTTGACAAAAATGCTGATAGTGATATGAACAATAAGGTCCAGGTTGAGGTGGTCTCAGATGTAAATGAGGAACTTTTTGGGAACTGGAGCAAAGATGACTGTTGTTACGTTTTAGCAAAGAGACTGGTGGCATTTTGCCCCTGCCCTAGAGATTTGCAGAACTTTGAACTTGAAAGAGATGATTTAGGGTATCTGGCAGAAAAAATTTCTAAGCAGCAAAGCATTCAAGAGGTGATTTTGGTGCTGTCAAAAGCATTCAGTTTTAAAAGGGAAACAGAACAAAAAAGTTTGGAAAATTCGCAGCCTGACAATGTGATAGAAAAGAAAAACTAATTTTCTGAGGAGAAATTCAAGCCAGCTGCAGAAATTTGCATAAGTAAAGAGGAGCCAAAAGTTAATCCCCAAGACAATGGGGAAAATGTCACCAGGGCATGTCAGAGGTCTTCGCGGCAGCCCCTTCCATCACACACCCAGAGGCCTAGGAGAAAATGGTTTCCTGGCCCCGGTCCACGGTCCCCGAACTGTGTGCAACCTAGGGACTTGGTGCCCTGCATCCCAGCTGTTCCAGCCATGCATGGCTGAGAGGGGCCAAAGTAGAGCTCAGGCTGTGGCTTCAGATGGTGCAAGTCCCAAGCCTTGGCAGCTTCCACGTGGTATTGAGCCTGCCAGTGCACAGAAGTCGAGAATTGAGGTTTGGGAACCTCCACGTAGATTTCAGAAGATGTACGGAAATGCCTGGATGCCCAGGCAGAAGTTTGTTGCAGGGGTAGGGTGCTCATGGAGAACCTCTGCTAGGGCAGTGCAGAAGGGAAATGTGCACACAGAGTCCCTACTGGGGTACTGCCTAGTGGAGCTGTGAGAAAAGGGCCACCTTCCTCCAGACCCCAGAATGGTAGATCCACTGACAGCTTGCACTGTGCACCTGGAAAAGCCACAGACACTCAATGCCAGCCCATGAAAGCAGCCTGGAGGGAGGCTGCACCCTGCAAAGCCAGAGAGGCAGAGCTTCCCAAGACCATGGGAATCCACTTCTTGCATCACCGTGATCCAGATGCGAGACATGGTGTCAAAGGAGATCATTTTGGAGCTTTAAGATTTGACCACCCTGCTGGATTTTGGGCTTGTATGAGGCTTGTAGCCCCTTTGTTTTGGCCAATTTCTCCCATTTGGAATGAACGAATTTACCCAATGCCTGTACCCCCATTGTATCTAGGAAGTAACTAACTTGTTTTTGACTTTACAGGCTCATAGGAAGAAAGGACTTGCCATTTCTCAGATGAGACTTTGGACTGTGGACTTTTGAGTTAATGCTGAAATGAGTTAAGACTTTGGGGGACTGTTGGGAAGGCAGGATTGGTTTAAATGTGAGGACATGAGATTTGGAGGGGCCAGGGGTAGAATGATATGGTTTGGCTGTGTCCTCACCCCCAAACCTCATCTCGAATTGTACTCCCATAATTCCCATGTGTTGTGGGAGGGACCCAGTGAGAAATAAGTTGAATCATTGGGGCAGTTTCCCCCATACTGTTCTTGTGGTAGTAAGTTTCATGAGATCTGATGGTTTTATCGGGGGTTTCCGCTTTTGCATCTTCCTCATTTTTTCTTGCCGCTGCCAAGTAAGAAGTGCCTTTTGCCTCCCGCCATGATTCCGAGGCCCCTCCAGCCATGTGGAAGAGAGGTTTAAGTCCAATTAAACCTCTTTTTCTTCCCAGTCTCAGGTACTTCTTTATCAGCAGCATGAAAACAGATTAATACAGAGCTCATTTTGCCATCAGTTTAAATTATAATATTTTAAATCTAACCTGCTAAAATATTTCTATTAATGTTTCACAATAGTAAATCAACCTTGCATTCTTAGGATAAAATCTACAAGATGATGATGAATGATTCTGTGAACACCCTGCCGGTGTCAGTTTGATCTCCTTCATTTAGGATCTCAACATCTATGTTAGGGGTATTGGTCTCTGACAGTCTCTCTAGTAGCTGAGAACACTAGAACATACCAATGCCTGGAACACTTGAAAGACAAAGATTGTGCATGGTTAATAGGTATATAGAGCAGGGCAAAGAAAAAAATAATGGGAGAGGTTCTCATGGTCACATAAATTATAGAGATTTATAATGTATATTAGCATTTTCTAGATTCTAGGATATCCTGTATTAATGAACTCTATTAAGATTTATTTCACCACTGATTTATCAAATATATTTTGCTAAATATACAGAATGCTATCTGTATAGAATAACTATTAACCTCTCACAGGACAGTCACATGTTCCATTTAACAATTTGAAAAGAAACATATAGTTTTCTTTTTGTTTTGTGTTTGGCACATGTTTTATGCTAGCTTCACAAAATTAATTTGTATTTTCTGGTTCTCTAAGGTGACTTAAAAGTACAGCATATAATTTTTTTTTCTGAAAGTTTGAAAGAATGCTCCTATGAAATCTACTAGTCTCAGTAATTTTTGGTGATAATGGTTTTATTTGTTTTTAAATTTCTTTTATGGTTATTAATATTTTTTGATTTTCCATTCTTCATATGTACTTTTGGAAGTTCTTTTTTCAAAAAAAGTACCTACCTCATTAAGATTGTCAAATTAATAGGAAAATGTTATATACTTAATATTTTTTAAAAATATCTTTGTCATTTCTTGATATTTCACTTTTATTTACAATTTTTTTTGCATTTTCTCCCTTTTTCTTCATTAGATTTTTCAGAGTTATATTTCCTTTCTATGACTTTACTGTTATTATTATTCAATTATCACTACTTAAGCTTATCTATTGTTATTCTTTTCTTTTTTGAATGCTGCACAGTTTATTTCTTTGTCATCTTTACTAGTTAATTAATATAAAAGTTAAGGCTCTGGGTTTGCCTTTGAGTAAGATTTTGGCAGCATTTTATAAATTTTGGCATACAATATTCTCTTATTTGTTATAGTCTATATTGTTTATCCATATAGTATTTGATTATTTTATGATTTAAGAATTATTTAGAAGAATGTCCTGTAATTTTTGTTTTGTTTATTCATCCCATTTATATGGCTAATTTCTAATTTTATTGCATTTATTCAAAGAATGAATGAATGAACATGTACCAATTTCTACACTGAAATCTAACATAGCAATGTTTCTAAATGTTCAATAAATGCTTTTTTAAAAAGTTGTAATTTTGTGTACAGGACATAAAACTTCACATAGTCCAAATAATACCTTCTCTTTAAAAGACTGAAAATTTTATGTCTATATTATTGACCTTTTTATCTCCTAAAGAAATAAAGAGGTAGAATAAGATCTTCAAATACAATTGCAATGACTTTACTTTACCCATGTATTTCTAGACTTCCCAAATATATTAAGAAACTGTGCTATTTGGTATATAAAACTTATAGCTATTATAATTTCATTGGGTAAAGGAAAGTTTATTAATATGAAAGTACTTTTGTCATCTTTAATGTATTGCTCTTAATTTTACTTCATTTGAAATATAATGCTACCACTCATAATTTCTGTGTGATTATCTTTACATTTTAGATCTATGATTCTCAGATGTAGTCTAGGGACTCCTCAGAGTCTCTGAAACCCTTTTTGAAAGCTCATGAGGTCAATATTGTCAGAATAATTCTGAGATATTATTTGCCTTATTTACTCTCATTTTCTCAGGAGTGTACAGAAGGACTTTCCAATCTTCATGACATGTGATGACAACAACACTCTGATGGCTTACAGAATGTGTGCTTGAGTATTTTTTTTTCTGTTTTAAAAATTTCTCAGATTTTATAAAACTTCTAGAAGAAAACATAGGAGAAAGTCCTTGTGACCTTGGGTTAGGCAAAGATTTCTTAAGTAGAATACAAAAGCATGAACCATAAAATTAAAAATTGATAACATGGACTTCATCAAAATTTTAAAATGTCTCTGAAATATACCGTTAAAAGAAAAAAGAGAAAGAAACAACAAGCCACAGAGTAGAAAATATTTACAAAACCTATATCTAATAAAAGACTGGTATCCAGGAGATATAAAGAACTATCGAGATTTAATAGTAAGAAAACAAACAACCAATGGGCAAAAGATTTGAATAGACATAATATATCACCAAAGAAGAGATACTCACAGAAAATAAGCACATAAAAATATGCTCAACATCATTAGTCTTTAGGAAAATACAAATTAAAACCACAATAAGATAATACTACACATCTATTAGAATAGCTAAAATATTTTTTAAACTGACGATATTAAGTGCTATGAGAATGCTAATGCTAAGTAAGTGGAATTCTCATACATTGCTGGTGAAGCTGCAAAATTGTTCAATCACTTTGGAATTGCTTCTTATAAAATTTCTTATAAAGTTAAGCATACACTTACCATAAGACACAACAATCCCACCCCTGGTTCTTTACCCACAGAAATGAAAATGTATGTCCCACAAAACCCTGGATACAAATGCTCATAGTAGGTTTATTTGTAATAACCAAAAACTGGAAAACTCCAGATATCCACTGACCAGTGAATGGATAAAAAAATCATGGTGCAGCTATAACTGAGTATTGCTCCACAATAGAAGGAACCGAACTACTGAACCAAAGAGCTTGTAACAACATAGATGAATCTCAAAAGCATTATGCTAAGTGAAATAAGTCAGATTTCATAGGCTACATAGAGTATGATTTTATTTATATAATATTTGGAAAATACAAAACCACATAGCCACAAAACAGGGCTAAAAGTGGAGAGAGACAATTGATCTCAAAGGAACATAGAAACATTCTGTATTTTCATTGTGGTGACATTTACACAACTGTATAGATTTGCCAAAATTCACATAATTTTATACATAAAGGGTGAATTTTACTGTATTCAGATATATCAACCTGACCAAAAGAAAAATTTAGTTTTAATGTGTAACACAATTCATATCCATAGATATAATCCACATAAATAAAAGCTCTTTGGCATCCTCAATAATTTTTAAGAGGTAAAAAGAGATCCTGAGATTAAAACGTTTGAGAACCATTATTATAAATCACAGTAAATAATATAATTTATATTTACTTTGTATTTTAATTTGTCAAAGTAGCATACTATTAATATTTTTAACATATTCTGAGTGTTTTCAGCTTTTACTATGCAGATTAGAAAATATACAGTAATTTGGTGTTAACAATATTTTTAGGCTTACTTTAATTTTCTTATTTTACCTTTTTTTTTTGAGACGGAGTTTCACTCTTCTTGCTTAGGCTGGAGTGCAATGGCGCGATCTGGGCTCACTACAACCTCCGCTTCCTGGGTTCAAGAGATTCTCCTGCCTCAGCCTCCTGAGTAGCTGGGTTTACAGGCATGTGCCACCACACCTGGCTAATTTTGTATTTTTAGTAGAGACAGGGTTTCTCCATGTTGGTTAGGCTGGTCTCAAACTCCCGACCTCAGGTGCTCCCAAAGTGCTGGGATTACAGGCATGAGCCACCACGCCCAGCCTCTTATTTTACCTTTTTAAAAATCTCTACCTTTTGCTATATGCAATTTTATTTTTGTCCTGTCATTTGAAAAATATACTTTGTATCTGTATTACTCTTTATGTGTCTCAAACACACAAATATAACTTTTTCTAACTATTGGGATGAAATGAAATAATGTCTTTTATCTTTCTTTTATGTCTTGTGAGACCAGATATTATTTTACCCACCTATCCTGCTCTCATCTTTAGCTTGAAACGAGGACTATTATAATTCAAATCATTCGACATTTATACATATTTTCTATTAAGGCTCATGCATTTTTAAAAATTATATTGATATGGCCGGGTGCGGTGGCTCACACCTGTAATCCCAGCTCTCAGGGAGGCTAAGAGGCAGGAGGATAGCTTGAGCCCAGGAGTTCGAGACCTGCCTGGGCAATATAGCAAGACCCCGTTCTCCAGAAAAAGGAAAAAAAAAAAAAAAAAAAGACAAAAATTATATTGATAATCATTTATGTTAATGTACTTCTTAAGTCTGATTATTTCTTTCTTCTTCCTTTATTTTATTCCCTCTATTGTCAAATGTTTGAACGTTGGGTTTATTATGTGTTTTGTTTG
This sequence comes from Homo sapiens, assembly GCF_000001405.40. NCBI lineage: Eukaryota > Metazoa > Chordata > Mammalia > Primates > Hominidae > Homo > Homo sapiens. The sequence continues at coordinate 148,874,896 of NC_000004.12, read as the reverse complement.
CAATGCTGTGCCAAGTATCTTCCATCTGTCCCTCTGTGTCCCTTCTCTATCCTGTTTTCTGCCCTGAGGGGCTGGCCTGAGTGACTTGTACCATTGAGACCCCATGCCCTGTGGCTTTCTGTTAGATTTGAACTATGGGGCCAAATCTTGGAAGAGAAAGGAGAGTAATTTTTTACTGCAAAATTAGTAATTTTTTTCCTCTGTGAGGTTGCCTAAAGTTGGTATGTTCCTTGACAGAAAGTCACTGATCATCTCAAGGTGGCCTGCTCTATGTACCATTGTTACATGTTGGATGGGATAACCTGTCTTCCCCTTAGATCTACAGTGGGTGGCAGCCTGCTGCTGCCAGCCCTGGGTTTTTGCCTTATCTCTTACGGTTCTCTTAACATCCCATTCACCCCTTTGCAATAAATCTCTCTGTAAACAAACTCTCCTCAGCTTATCCTCATTTGAGTCTTCATGTATTTCGTGTAGAGATACTGACTGATGTCACTGATTATTCAAAAGATTAGCCAAGAGATAGCTTGGCATAAGCTCTTTTCATAATTTTATCTAGAACATGCTGAACTTTATCAATCCACATGCTCAGGTCTTTTTTTTTTTTTTTTTTTTTTCAGTCCAGACACTATTTTTCAATTTGTCTTTGTTTACTGCATCTGTTCCAATTGTTTGGCATTTTCCTCTAGGTTCACATGTAGTTTTTATGTTAGATACTTGTTCTCGGTCTTCACTAACTATTCTCTCTCTTTGCTGTCATGTTTTTGTCCTATGTCTCTGCACTCTGGGAACACTTATCACATTTACCCTTGACATTACTCATTTAGTTTACCATAATGTTAATTCTTCTCTTTTCTGGCATATTTTAATTCTGTCATTACATTATTAGTTATTGGTGTTCTTTAAAAAAAATTAATCCCACCTCCAATGTTTATCTTCATAGTACTACTTTTCTGGGTAGTTTTTGCTCTTGTTTCATAAAAATTTTATCTTCTTGTAAATTATGAAGACTGGCTGTTTTATTAAATTTTTCTTCTGTTCTCTGCAGTAATTCACTTTCTGGGTTCTATTCTTCTAACAAATCTTCAAGAGGGTATTCCACTCTTAATTTCTTTTTAATGTTTAGAGACAGAGTCTTTCTATGTTGCCCAGGCTATTTTCAAACTCCTGGGCTCGAACAATTCTCCCACTTCAGCCTCCTGAGTAGCTAGGACTTACAGGTACACACCACTGTGCCTGTCTAATTTCGTTTTGATGTTTTTTTCTTAATGACTCATTTACTCTCTAAATTTCCCCAGCTCCATGTACTATCCATTTTTTGATGAGCAGATTCCCAGTCTCACATACTCATCTGAAGGGCAAGATTATGTATATAACTTCTAGCTCCATTCCTGCGTCTTCTAAGCCATTACGCAGTATGGATATGCAGGTCTTTGATTCGCTAATCCTGCCTCTTTTGGAGTAATTGAAATGTGTGATAATCTAATTTGCAATTTGTCTTCCTATCAGGGCTTTTCCAGATCTTCCTCCATTTACAGCTTTTTTCCTTCATGACATAATAGGTCACTCCCATTCTCTTTTTACAACTGCCTATTTTGTGCTCTATCTTCACTTTGCTTTTTCATTCTAAAATCTGTATAGAAAGAGCTGCTGATGGTGAGAGGAAATGGGGAATGGTGCCTTAGCAAACTGCTACAAAGACAACTGTGCTGCCCATTTTAATGTTTGGAACAGACACAGGAACTTGCAGTGAAAGGCTCAACATGAGTAGGGCTGAAATAATTCAGTCTTCTTTGAGACCCCCAAATGAGCTCTATTAGAGAAAGAAAACCATGTATAGACTACTACCCAGAGTGGAAACTTTAATGGCCTCATAATTCATGGCAATTCTTCATAAATTATGGCAATAGAATGACCTTTTTTACTTCTACTTTTCAGCATTGTTGTATGTTTGTCCATATTTCCATTTCCAGGTTGAGAGAAACGGCATCAGGACTAATAGATGCCTGAAAAGCACTTACACCCAAATTTATATATTCTTAAAATCTGAGATAGACTTCTGAAAAAGTGAGGCTGGATTGGCAATTCAGAGGATCCTTTCCCTGATGTTGCTTCTGATGGTATTAATATTTACAAGGACTACATTTAAAAGCCTATTTTTTGGATATCTTTAACATTAGCAGCTATTATATTTATTGCTCAAATTCAGGAAAAAAATCCATGTTTCACAGGGCTTGAAACTTATCCTAGGGAGACTTTCTTTAAGAAAAAGAATACAAAATCATGAACCTAAAATTAGGTGCAAAATGATTACTTATTCAGAAATGGAAAAGCTAATATAAAAATGTTTCTAAAGGTTAAAAAATAAGATGAGCATCACAAAATCCAGAAAAATAACAATGTTTTTATTAATTGACACAGTTCTATAAATCTTTTTTTAACTATATATTTTGGCATCTTCCTTTTAAATCACCACTCCTTAGGACAACAATTTTATAATGTAATTTTTATTGAGAGAATAGAAAAATAATTCAGCATTACCTTTGGCATGATAGACCAAGATTTGTTTGTTTTAATTAATGATACTTAAGAAAGTTTCTTTCAGCTTCACAAGTTATTATTAGTACTGTCATATGTGTTTTTGTGTTGTTATCAAATTTGGCAAACATTCTATTTTGACTCTCCCTGCCTTTTTATTGTGGTAAAAAACACATAACATAAAATTTACCTTTTTTTTTTTTTTTTTTGAGACAGAGTCTCACTCTGTGGCCCAGGCTGGAGTGCAGTGGTACAATCTCGGCTCACTGCAACCTTCGCCTCCTGGATTCAAGTGATTCTCCTGCCTTAGCCTCCCGAGTAGCTGTGATTACAGGCATGTTCCACCATGCCCGGCTAATTTTTGTATTTTTAGTAGAGACGGTGTTTTGCCATGTTGGCCAGGCTGGTCTCAAACCCCTGACCCAAGGTGATCTGCCTGCCTCGGCCCCTCAAAGTGCTAGGATTACAGGCTTGAGCCACCACTCCCGGTCAATTTACCATCTTAAGTGTAACATTTTTAAGTGTACAGTTTGCTAGTGTTCAGTATATTCACACTGTTGTGAAAGAGATGGCCAGGACTTTTTCATACTGCAGATCTGAAACTCTCTACCCATTAAACAACTCCCAATTTTTCCCTTCCCCTGGCCCCTTGTAGTCTCCATCCTTTCTGTTTCTATGAATTTGACTGCTGGATGCCTCATAGCAGTAGAATCATATAGCATTTGTCCTTTTGTGATCGGCTTATTTCACTTAACACAATGCCTTCAACGTTCATTTCTACTGTAGCATGTGTCAGAATTTCCTCCCTTTTTAAGGCTGAATAATATTCTGTTGTATATATAACACATTTTCTACTTCCATTTGTTTGTCAATGAACACACAGGTTGCTTTCACCTCTTGGCAATGATTGTGAATAATGCTACTATGAACATGGGTGTGCAAATACTTCTTTGAGATCCTGCTCTCAATTTTATTTTTGATATATACCCATAAGTGGGAATGCGGGGTCATGCAGGTTACTTCTTATATAAACTATGAAATATGAAAACATTTTCCTCAGCTTGCTCTCCCGACTTTGTTACATTTAACACTTTATTTCTTCTCCACTACAGGCTCCACGTTTTCACCACTAGAGAACATATTTATATCCTGATACACCTGTGCCTCTGTGTCACAGTGCTGCGTGGGTCAGCACAGAGCAGGTCACTGTATTTCTGAATACAGGCTTTCCCTACACCAGGATAGACAGCAATAACATAAATACTCATTGAAATGATAGTGAATTACAGAAATAAATTTCACTAAACCCAAACTAAGTATATCCACGACTCAATTTCCCTGTCGTGGCCAGATTCCCAGTTCAGACTTCACAGGTTCAGCAAAGTGCTCTGCCTATCAGCTTTGGAGCCTGTCTGAATGAAACTGTACAACAGTTACAGCTCTTTAAAAGCAATTTCTCCATTTTTCCTTCCTTTATTTTAGAATTGCATGTGTATATTCTCTTTTCTTTATAACTCGATGTTTTCTCTGAGCATCTGTTTCTTGGTTACATGTTTGCTCCATGTAGGGTCTACGAATAGTGAGAATGGATCTGCTGAGTTCTGTAGGCTTTTCTAGTGTGCTTTGTAAAATGCTAGTTACCTGTCTTCTATTTAATGTAAATAGCATGTGATATGGTGGCTTTCTCATACCTGACTTTTCCTTGTTCAGTTTCTATAGTGGCTGCATTCTCCTTGTTAAGTCAATGTTTGGCAAATTTTGAAAATGAAAAGACATTTTGAACATCCTTTAGAAGGAAAAAGCAACTTTTGTTCAAAGCTCATTGCATAATTCAGGACCCACTTCCTGCTACCATCATTGAGTATCATGCTAGAGGCAGCAGTTGACCTGCATTTCTGCTAAATCACTTTGTGCTATATAACATGTGGACTATATATGCACATCAAAAATAATGTGCACATAACTAAAAGAAAATGCAGTATCTCTTAAGGGATTCATATGAATGGGACAAGAAGGTAGGGAGCAGCAACAGACAAACAAGGATGAAAGCACATGAGGACCACTCCATATCATGCGATTGTTGGAGACAATGGAGACGTCACTCTCACTCAATGTGCATTTCCGAGTAGGAAAGTTCTTCCCTTGGGTCAACAGTGATCATGGAAGGCCAAGTTTAAATAAAGATGTAATTGGGTCATGGTCTTTAAGGAAAGTCCAATCTATATTGAATGGCCTGGATTCAGGGTTTCCCAGATCCCAAACTTTCTATTTTTGCTACCTTTTATCATTTCCGACCTAGGATTTGACCACAGGCTTTTACTTTGTGTTGGTACTATTAGATTTCCATATTTTCTGTTCTCCAGGATAATAATATTAGGGAATAAAAAAGCATAGACTTTATTGTCAAGCAGATCTAGGTTCAGATTTCAACTCTTACACTTATTAGCTGTAATCTTAGGTATATTACTTTACCTGAACTTCAAATTTTTTATCTGTAAATTAGGAATACCAATATCTCTTTCTTAGAAATCTGTAAAGATAAAATACAATATTATACCTCAGGTTCTGAGACAGTCCTTTCCGTAATTTTATCTGATCCTGGTCAAATCCATAATTCTATATTATACATATGAATTTGTTAGTAATATTTTTTTCAAATTATGCTGCATAGTAAGGCACAGAAGTGCAGAGACAAATCTGTAAAACCCCGTCCCAATCCTCAGATTGCTTAAATGTTTGCCTTTTTAAGAAAAAGGGAATCTAGGGGGTGGAAACCATCAAAATGAGAATGAGGTACAGGCAAGAAAATAAGGGGACTTGAGGTATATGTAGATCACTGGAGGCCAGCAAAGCTTCTGATCCCCTGACATATATCTCAAGGATCTGAACTCAGTCAAGCCGTGATGGGAATCCTCCATCCGAGGACCCTGATCTACTTTTCTATATTTGCTTCCACTGTTCTCCAAAAAGCCCAGCTCTTCAGATTCTAAAGACCTCTTCCATATCCCTACCTCCAAACTTATTCTCACATACTGTATGCTCATTCTCCCTCTCCTCACCTCTGCCTTTCCAAACTATTCTCTTGAGTCCTATTGAATTATATTTCTCCCATGAAGCCTCCATGGCTGCTATAAAAATAAATAGGTAGGCAGAAGGAACTCTAAATCCTCTGTCTTATCTGAGGTAAATTCGTAGTAGACAGGGACCATTCCTAATTTACATCTTTAAGCAATGTCAAGAATGCCCACAACCATGCTTGTATTGAACACTCAATTTAAACCAAGGTATTTTAAGAACTTTATCCCTGTTATGGATTGAATTATGTTCCTAAAGTTTAACTGTTGAAATCCTAACCATCCATAATTGAGAATGTGACCTTATTTGAAAATAGAGTTGTTGCAGAGGTAATAAGTGAATAGAGTGGGCCCCTAATCCAATAAAACTGGTGTCCTTATAACAAGCAAAAATTTGGACACAGACACATGCACAGGGAGGATGCCATGTGAACTGGAGATACAGACCAAGATGATGGAACAGGAGCCAGATGCCAGAGATTCTAGCAATCCCCCAAAGCTTAGAAAGGTGAATAGAACAGACTGATTTCTCCCTCACAGGCCACAAGCCTCAGAAGAAACAACTCCACCAACACCTTGATCTTGGAATTCTCACTTCCAGAACTAGGAGACAATACATTTATTGCCATCCAGTTTGTGGTGCTTTGTTATGACAGCCCTAGGAAATGAATACAGTCCTTTCAGACAGAAATAGATCAAGGACAAAGTCAATGTGATTCTTTAGGTTCCTGTGAAACTCTGGCTTTGACCACGAGGAAACTGCAGAAATCTGCAGTGGTCTCTTATTAGATCATAAGTCCCGCTGTGAAGGAATGTGGTCCATGGCAGGCCAGGAAATGTTGGAGCGTGCTATGTGGTCAGAGCTAAGTCTGCGTTTATTGTGATTTTAGAAAAGCATGAGTAGTGAGAGTGTGGCTAGGACTTGGCCCTGTGTCTTTCAGGTGATGCAACTGAAACAGCAAGGAAGCAGAGGGCGGGTCTCCTTCGGGCTCACCATGGAAACCGTGGCCATGGCCCTCATGGCGGGAGACCTGGGTGTGGGCTTTCTTTGATCTCCTCTTCCCCAAGGCACAAACTCTGCAGGATTAAATCCACATTGGCTGCTGCATAGGTGGAACAAGGTTTGGTGGTGGTAAACCCGGAATGGGCTCACTGCCCAAGCGTCATCGGTATAATCACGCCTCTGAAATTGTTCCCGTCCTTAGTTTATACTTTTAAAAATTTCCAGAGTCTCACAGTATAGAGTTAGAAGAGGATAATGGCTGCTCTGGACTGTGAAAAAAAGCAATAAACAACCCCACAGTGGAAATATGTGAAGGCTTATTTGTCACGAAATCTTAAGACTGGCATGAAGCCTAGCAGAGCCTACGATCCAGTCCCCAACCATGAAGCCTTTTTCTTAGAGATAAGAAGCTACCTTAGGCCGGGCGCGGTGGATCACGCCTGTAATCCCAGCACTTTGGGAGGCCGAGGCAGGCAGATCACGAGGTCGGGAGATGGAGATCATCCTGGCTAACACGGTGAAACCCCATCTCTACTAAAAATCCAAAAAATTAGCCGGGCTTGGTGGCGGGCGCCTGTAGTCCCAGCTACTCTGGAGGCTGAGGCAGGAGAATGGCGTGAACCCGGGAGGCGGAGCTTGCGGTGAGCCGAGATGGCGCCACTGCACTCCAGCCTGGGCGAAAGAGGGAGACTCCGACTCAAAAAAAAAGAAGCTACCTTAGAAAGAAAGGTGAGACTTTGCTATCTATATTTTCCAGCATCTGCTACTTGGAATTCCAAGGGAGAGAGGAAAGAGGTAAAGACTGAGGAAATCCATTGATTACATTAAAACTCACATCCATATTTACTCTACATGTTACAAAGAAGTTGTTTTATCTGTTATTTTATTTTACCCTCTCAGAAACCCTATAAGCCAGGTATTATTATCCTCCTTGTACAAATTAGAAAACATGTATTCATTTTTTTCTAAAAATGAAACTCAAGAGAACTGGCTTAAGTTCATACATCTAGCAATGACCTGCTGAAACCTCACATTCAGAACTTCTGGCTGCAAATCTTACAATATTTCCACCAAGACATGCTGGAGTAAAGGGGGAAGGGAAAACAGAAAAGAAAGGGAAGGGAAAGACGGATGTGTGGGAAGGGACTTCTTCACCTCAGAGGAGCAGAATTAAAGACCCCAGAGGAAGAAGCAGGGCTCCATCCCAGCACCTCTTGGTCTGGCCTGGCCCTCTGGGCCCTAAAGGCTGCCTTCCTGCTGCACATGGAATCTCAACTCTTTTCATGGCTATAGTATTTTTATGGCCCAACTCCTCTCCAGGCTTTCTAATCACAATCCCATTAGTATTTCCTCCCAGGCTTCCCTCTCCAGCCTCTTGGCATCTTTGGGTCTTATCACTTTACCTTCCACGGGTTGTCTTTACTCCCCCTCACTTGTAGAAGCCAGAACTGGATAAAATCTTCCAATTCAGTTTTGACCTTCTCTGCATCCAGTGTATCTCACACTCTCTATTTCACAATAAACGAGTCTGTCAAAAGATTAGGACATGATTTAATTCAATGTACATCGGTTTTAAAATAAACTACATTTCAAGTAACAAGACTCTTAGGACCAGTGTTTTATTTAGTTGGCTATTGTTTTGGCTGTTTTTCCTTTTACTAATACTGCCTGATCATTAGATAATGAATGAGGAAAATAAATTCTATTGCTTCTAAACAATACTATACATACTTATTTCCTGGAGTGCCTCACATGTACAGATACCATTTTGCAGTTCAGGCAACAATGAATTCTAGTAAAAGTTGAGTTAAAACTTTCCATCAAATGATAATGGAAAGAAAAGTGACTGTCTGTTTCTATTTCTGGTTTCCTTCATTCATCACCACTTAACCCAAAGAGCTAAATTAACCAAAGAGCAGGTAACCCTGCCTCACTCTCTGTGTGCTGAGACCTTCACCTTCAGCATCCCTGCTAATCCCTGCAACCTAAGGAAGTGGATATCGTAACTTCCATTGTAGAGAACAAAAACATTAATGCAGCAAGTGAATGGTGAGACTTTTTCTAGGTTTGTTTAACTCTACAGTTTTTGGCCACTATGTTATACCACCAGAATACTTGCAGTATTCTCTACAACCACCAGAGATAGAGATGTTATCATAAGGAAAGGAGGGAAGTATGTTTTACAGACTGCTGGAATAAATAATGCCAACTTTACAAATGATAGTAGAAAAGAACAGGAATGGTAATATTTTTCTCAGAATATGGATGGCAAAACAGATGGATATTTTGGTGTTTAATCATTTTACCAGATTAGTGCCTTGATCATCTTATTTTTGCCATTACTTTCTGAACCAGGGCGGCTGGGGTCATGTGTATGTCTCAATTAACCATAGCATAGTACAGTCTGGCCAGCTATGTTAATTAACTCCAATTGCTAAATGATGGATCAGTTCAGTCACTAAACAATCCAATTAATAGATGAGAGTATGTAGCAGACAGAATGTGCCATGGCTAATTTCATCCCTGCCTGTTGATTTTTTAGTAATTGATCTGCTAACCCACTTGGTCATTAGATGCCTGGAATACTGTGTGGTGTTCCAGCTATTTCACTAACACAATTATGGCCTTCAAGTGCCTCTCCCTCAGAAAGAACCAGCCCTGGAAAGCAAATACAAAATGCATATTTGATTTTTTTAATGGACACATATTCTAATACTTGGATTTTCTATCTGAAATAAATTTATTGGTTTTCTTTCATATCTAAATATGAAATGAATGTAACAATAAAATAATTTGCTTCTAAAAGTGGTTACTTTACACACTAGAGTGCTCTGAATTGTTACACTGATAACTAACAAGTACTACTGGTTATTGTTAACTAATAGCTTATAGGGTCTAATAGCTTATATGTTATTTCCATATAAAATGTCCTAGTCCATGCTATTTTATTTTTGTTTTAGATATTGACAGTCTCCGTTGCCATTGTTACATATTAGAGCTTCTGCTCGGAAAAAATAGTTTAGTCAATAAACAAAAAGAGTGACTAGTCACATGACTAATAAAACTATATGGTTTTAATGAAAAGACCACTAGTCTACCTTTAGGAAAACTAGATTGTAATCCCAACTACATCATAGATCCACTGAGCTCAGAGAATATTGAGTAACAGGGAATGGGATTTTAGAGGCCATTTAGTCCAAACCCTCAAAGACGAGCATCTGGCAATATTAAATAAATTGCCATATCTCCAGATTCTTATCCCTATATCCCTCTACCTTTACTGCCAATGAATCTAAGAAGAAAAAGTTAAAAAATAGAAAGTAAACATTAAAACTAACTAGACTATGTGATATATCTCGTGTTGATTATTATGAATGAATCTATAAAGTACAGAATGATTATTAAGATTATATGGCTAATGGTAGCCCTCAAATTTTGAAATATGAATGCAAACCCATTTTGTAAAGCTTACTTGAGTGAGACTAGTTATAATAAATTACTAAATTTCTAACCGTACACCTTTATTACATATTCCACAGATGTTTTGGTCATAATAAAGCTTTTTAGTATTAATAATGATTAATTAGTAGTAGTAGTAATTAGTAATTGTAGTGGAAATGGGTAGAGAGTATAATGTACAAATTCATAGGTTTATATCCTTCTTCAACTGTCTATTCATTCATTTCCTTACATATTCAACAATTGATAGATGGCTCATGGACACTGAGATACAAAAGTGAATAAAGCCTGGGCACGGTGGCTCACACCTGTAATCCTAGCACTTTGGGAGCCCGAGGTGTGCAGATCACTTGAGGTTAGGAGTTTGAGACAAGCCTGGTCAACATCGTGAAACCCCATCTCTACTAAAAATACAAAATTAGCTGGGCGTGGTGGTGTACACCTGTAATCCTAGCTACTCAAGAGGCTGAAGGATGAGCGTCATTTGAACCTGGGATGCGGAGGTTGCAGTGAGCCAAGATCGCACCACTGCACTCCAGCCTGGGCGACAGAGTGAGACTCCGTCTCAAAAAAAAAAATATATATATATATATATATACATATACATATTTTATAAAGGTGGGGTCTCACTGTGTTCCCAGGCTGGTCTCAAACTCCTGGCATCAAGTGATCCTCCCATCTAAGTTTCCCAATCACTAGGATTACAAGCATGAGCCACCGTGCCCAGCCCCAGATGATATCTTATTGATCCTTACAATGAACTGGGAACTCTTCCAAGCACTTTATGTCTATCAAGGTATTTAATCTTCACAACAACACTTTGAGGCAGGTCCTATTATTATCCCCATTTTATATATGAAGTAACCAAGACTCAAAGTCATAGAGTTATGGAGTGGTAGAACTAGAATTTGAACTCAAACAGACACACGCAGGGTTGTGACAAAGAAAAGGGAGTGTGGTTGCACAAAAAGATAGGATGAGATAATGGTTGTACAAAAAGATAGGATGAGATAAGTTTATAGATATTAGCAAATCGTAAAGACATTGCATGACATATTAACAACTGTGAATTGATCCAAAAGATTAAATTCACAACGCTCCCCAGTGTATCAAAAGTATGACTCAAGCACATATATTCTCACTTCTATCCCTTTGCTCATATTATCCTCCCAAAAATATGCTCCTCATACTCCTCTTCTTTAGTTCTTTTCCATCCTTTAAAACCTACCTCCTCTATGGTACCTCCTGTCCAAACCCCCGCTATCCAACTCTTCCAGCAAATAGCCCATATCACATATCACATAATTCTATAATTCTGTCTCATATTGTATACTAATTTTTCACATGTGTTTATCAAATTATTCCATATAGACCATACACTCTTAAAGGCTGGAAATCATGTCCTATTTCCCTCTATGTTCCCACAGCATCGAGTTTGGTTAGTGGGCATCTAGAAGTTACTCAATGAATAAAAACTGTTAAGCTGATAAACTGTAGGAACAGTGGAATCTGTTTTTATTACTGTTCTTCAAAGTAGAAATTTCCCAACGTCTCTTTTTTTTTTTTTTTTTTTTTTTTTTGAGATGGAGTCTCGCTCTGTGGCCCAGGCGGGAGTGCAGTGGCGCAATCTCGGCTCACTGCAAGCTCCGCCTCCAGGGTTCACGCCATTCTCCTGCCTCAGCCTCCCGAGTAGCTGGGACTACAGGCGCCCACCATCACGCCCGGCTAATTTTTTTTGTATTTTTAGTAGAGACGGGGTTTCACCGTGTTAGCCAGGATGGTCTCGATCTCCTGACCTCGTGATCCGCCCGCCTCGGCCTCCCAAAGTGCTGGGATTACAAGCGTGAGCCACCGCGCCCGGCCTAAATTTCCCAACGTCTCTATCCAGTCTTTCTTGGTACTTGTTACATAATCAAGAGATTTAAATCTCAACAATAGATAATTATAACTTGCTTGGCAAATGCCCAAACTGCTGCCCAGATTAATGGATGAAGAAAGATAAAATAAGAATAAGTAACAACACATATTAGCTGTCTCTGATTTTCTAATTCTACTTCATAACTTGTATTATTTTCAAGATAATTGTTATATTTTAAGATCATAAGGTCTCTTTAGTGTTTATGTTACTCTCCTACACCTTCTAATTCACCAATCTCTAGCCCTACTATTCAGACAGGATTTAATTTTGAAATTAGCCTTTACAATTGAGAGACTATTTTGAAAGACCTCCCACATAGGAAATTCCATGTCCTTCCATAGTAATTCATCCTTCTTAGCCAGTTCTTCCCTATATTTAATCTAAATCCCACACACTGCAGTTTGGGCCCATTTCTTTTTCTTTTGACCCTTGCTGTGTAAATGGAGATTAGTTGCTTATCATCAATAATTAAATAACCCAGGCCTCTCTTGCTTAGCTGAATAATCAGTTTTTTTTAACCTATACTCATAGATCTTTTTTTTATTATTATTTTTACTTTCACTCCTAAATTTTTTTCTAAGTCCTCTAAATACTTTTGTGTAAAATCCAAAGCTTTAAAATGGAGCCCAGGGCATTTCTGGCTAGCCATAGACATAACTGGAAAATGGCCTCATGGTTCTTGATTTCTGCACTTCTATTCCTGCCTCCCAGTGTGATGCTTCCCATCTCTTACAGGGCTACCTTCTGGATTCATTGCTTGATAATCACTGCTAAAATATTCACCAGCTAATTTAAGGAAGATTACAGAGTAAGGATTCCCTTTAAGTAAGTATTGTCCTGTCCCAAGTACTTGATACTTTTAACTGAGAATCTCTGGGAATCTCATACAATTTGTCTACGTTTGTAAGAAATCTATTTTAATAATGCTAATCATATGCTCTAAGATCTATGCCATCATTTGCAGCAAACTTAACCAGTATACTTCTTTTTTTTTTTTCCTGAATTATTGACCAATGTGTCTACACCACTCCTCCTCCAAGTTGACCTATATTTTCATTATCACACTCCACATTTGGTCCCCTAACCAGCGAGCCTCCACAGGATGGCTGTAATCTGATTCCTTAATATGTAGAATATAACTTAAAATGTGTTAAAATTGAAATAAAGTGCACCAAGTCTTCCCGACCTACTTTTCATGGTCATAATGAGTGAGTTTGACAAGGTTTTTTTCCTTGAGTACTCAGTAATCTGTCCAAGTTTAAAAAGCAAAACAAAATTGTAATTCAGGTTGCTCTTTTTTTACTTTGAAGATGCATGCTCATTCATTACTATCTTTCTCCTTCCACTAAGTATAATATTGTTACCAATTTCCAGAAATATTTTCCTGTATTCTTTTCCCCCACCCTCAAATTATTTCCCAAGACCTGATCTTGGATTTTTTTTGTTAATCCTAAACACTTCACCAATTCTCCGTATTTCTTTTAAAATCTGCCTTGGATGTTGTATTTTTAATGACAGCAAAACAATCCACCAAATCCATCAAACTGGACAATTCAGTAAGAAAAAAAATTAAACTACATATTTATTACATTTTATTGGCTTATATTGTCAAAATCACTTGAGTTGGTAGCTTTAAATATAACCTTCTTGATAGTCCAGATTATTTCCATTTCAAATGTAGTTCTGTGTTCAGGAACTTCTATTTTTTTTTCTGCCTTTTGTTGTTTTATGTTATTTTCTAAAAGTGTGCTTAGTTCTTTTGGGCCCCCTTTCTCCCTAAGCTGTTTTAGTATAGAAGTTTTTTAAACTAGTTCACCTAAGATCATTAAAACCTGATATGAAAACATATTAACTTTATTTAACTGATAGAAAAGCATCTGTCAAGTGTGACAATCACCAGACATTAGTAGTTGAATCAAGAGGATAAGAGTTAAGATTCCTCAGTCTCAAATGCAACTGGAAATGCTAGGTTAAAGCACTAGGGTCCGGGCATAGTGGGCTCACACCTCTAATCCCAGCACTTTGGGAGGCCGAGGTGGGTGGGTTGCTTGAGCTCAGGAATTTGAAACCAGCCCGTGAAACATGGCAAAACCCTATCTCTACCAAAAATAAACACACACACACACAATAGCCAGGCATGGTGGCCCACACCTGTAATCCCAGCTATTTGGGAGGCTGAGGTGGAAGGATAGCTTGAGGTCTGGAGGTGGAGGTTGCAATGAGCCGAGATCACACCACTTACTCCAGCCTGGGCGACAGAGCCAGACGCTCTCTCTCCCCAAAAAAAAGATAAAATATTAGAAGGTGTTTCCCTAACGTTGTCTCTGATCTTCTTTTAACCTGTTTCTCTCATTAATCTTATTAATTTCTTTAATGCTTTCTCTATGTATTTATTTTGAGTGCCTTTAGCTACATATTAGCCACTCATCGATGATTCCTTCAAATCTGCCCTTCTCCTGGTGTTTCCATTTCTCTTGATCCCCATTTTCCTACTTACCCAGGCTAGAACTTTGTGAACAGAGATGTGGTTTTCCTCTTCCTTCACTAAACAGTCTTCAATTTTGCCTTCATTTCTATCACCATCACTCTTCATTAAGGCTTCATTAACTCTGACTTAAACCATTCACTGGTAATGTAACATGCATCTTAATTTATTTAATTCCCCTCCAACTCATCCCAGTCACTATCTACTACTGGACTAGTATTTCCAATAACAAGCTGTAGAGAGAAGTGAATGCAGATGAGTGAACAGTCACTTTCTAAGAGATGACAAGGGAAGTTAAAATAAAGGAAATTGCTTCTCTTGATAAAATACCACCTCCCAGTTGAAAATATATATAATGCCTTCTAAAGCTTAATTTATAAAGTTCAAAATTCTTACCTTAGGTAAAATACTCAATACCTCTTTATTCTGGCTCCAATTCCCCACAATTCTCCTTTGATGCACCAGTGTAACGAACATTTCATTAATTCTCAAGCATACCCTGTACTTCCATGCCTTCATGGCAGTACATATGCCATTTGCTCTCTTCTGAAAGCCAGCTCTTCTCCAGTTTCTACTCATCATTTAAAGCTAAGCTCTTATGTGATGTTTTCACTAATGTGTTCACATATGAGGTACTCATGTCCTCTAACTCAGGAGTCTCCAAACTGGCATACACACCCCCCAGAAGAAGAGCAAATGATCTATTGGAGTGTGGGAAGAAAATATTTGGACATCTTTTTATAGAACATCTTTTTAAGTTATATTTCTTATTAAAAATAAGAAGTAAATATTGATACATAATGTTCATACATATTTATGGGGTACGTGAGATATTTTGTTACATGTATAGAATGTATATTGATCAAGTCAGAGTATTTGGCATATCCATCACCTCAAGTATTTATCCCTTCTATGTGTTGGAAATATTTTAAGATCTCTCTTCTAGCCATTTTGAAATACACAATACATTTCTATAGTCACCCTACTCTGCTGTTGAACATAAGGACTTATTCCTTATATCTAGCTATATGCTTGTATCCATTAACCCATTGCTGATTTTTATATACAGATTGACACTAAGACCCTCACTGGGCCTATGCATCAGACATAGATGCTATGGAAAGTAGCCTTCAAAAGTTTGGAGTTACACACTGGGGAAGTGTTTGCTATGGCATCTATCCATCATCATTCATTTTCAACATCTTGTGACATATTGCAGATTATGTAGATATTTGGATAGTCTTATCTAGTTTTGGATTAAACTAACTCTTACAACATACTTAACATTTTTCTTACAAAGAAACTGCAAATTAAAATTACAGTAATAATGTAAGCATCCACAAATAATAATTAAACAGATATGATATTCCCCATCCTCCCAATATAACCTTTAAATCAGCCATTATAGGTGCAAAAACAATGACTATTGAATCAGACTGACATAAAAACCACAATGCTATCACTAAAAAATTATTAATAGCATATTCGACAGACCAGGAAAAGTTTTGTATGGTTCAATAAAACTAAAATCATTTAAACACTACAGCCTATTTCATCTTTACATTATATGTTAATCTCTATGCACACAATTATAATGTATGCAACATATTAGTACAGAGTACATATACATAATTTATATAAAATATATATTGTTGGTAGGTGTGCAAAAATTTTAATGGGCTGCACAATCAAAAAGTGTGGGGAACACTCTTCTCACCTAACACAGCACAGTTCATGCCTCTTTTGTGGAATTCATTACTTTATTTCTTTTATTTGATCACTTATATACAGACATTATTTGCTTCCCTATCTCTTCTAAATTATAATCTTTTAGAGGAAAGGGCACTGTCTTATCTTATTCACATACAGTTGTCCACTGCGCCTGATATATTCACTGAGCACTTTAGTGATTGTTCAATGTTTGGTAGAAGAATGAATGGAGACATAGATGGATAAATGGAAGAGTGAATATGTAGTGATTTAAAGTGCTATCTAAACTTATTCCTAGTTGGATGGCCAAGAAAGAACATTTAAGATAGCACTCCTAAGGCAAGAGGGGTTAAAGAGCAGCTTGGGTGGGGCTACAAAAATCAACATAGGACTCTGGATTTCCCTGAGAAGAATGTCACGTTTCAGGAAGTTGAAAGAAGGTAGAGTCCAAATTAGTAGTGGCAACAGTTTCTCTCA
Source organism: Homo sapiens (assembly GCF_000001405.40). Classification (NCBI taxonomy): domain Eukaryota; kingdom Metazoa; phylum Chordata; class Mammalia; order Primates; family Hominidae; genus Homo; species Homo sapiens. Next base: position 148,858,235 of record NC_000004.12, on the reverse strand, counting down.
CTGAAGAGAACAAGGGCTCCTGACACATTCTCCTTTACCCAAAAGAAAAATGTTTGATTTTGGTCAAGTTTCCTCTTGACCCCTATTGTCTAAACCTGCTCTATAACCCAGGGTTTCATCTGTTACCTACAATGTACTGACTCATCATAAAATGCGTTTGTACTGCTTCGTTTAGACAAGTACCACAGCCCTGTTCATAGTAAAATAGTTCATCGCAGCAGCCACATAAAAAAAATAATGCAGGACAACCACTGATGATAAAACATTTTAATCACAAAAGTCCTTCATGAGGCCAACACTGTAATTACCAAGGGTTTAGTGCTTCCTGCACTTAAGGAGACACAACCAGGCAATAATAGATGATAATGCCCCATGACACCAATAAACCTAAAAGGAAGAGTAGGACTGAGTCTAAAGGAAGGAGGTTGCTAAAGAGAAAAAGTGTCTGAATCTGATAAGAAAAGTGCAACACGTACTGCATTCAAAGAAAGGGATGTGGTGACAGGATGAATTATTGTGGGGAAAGAAAATCCAACAAAAGGAGAGAAAGAGAAAGGAAATGTACATTCCCGGTGTTGTACAAGTGCTATTTTGGGGAATAGATGCTTTACTGTATTTCAGAACACTGCAGAGTTTCAAACCCCTTAGTTACTTTGTTTCTGACAAGTCTCAGCTAAACACAGCACTCATGAAATCCAGATACCACAACTAGAGCCAGGTTCAGTTATGAAGTAGCCTCTAGTTGCTCTGGCAGGAGATGACTAGAAGATCACAGGGTCAAGTTAGCCAAAGGAGAGGCCTTGCCCACCCACACATTCCTCATCAGCACAGCACCTCACAGCTTGCTCAGGATTACATAAGCACTGAAACAACAAAGTCTGAGGGAGTCCGTGGAGGGAAAATACTCTCCCCTCGCACATGCCAAGTTGAGCTGCAATTGAAGTATGACACCTCCACCATGATGTTAAGAATTGGCTGGTTGCATGGTTAGGGAGCAGGAGGGGAATTTGTAATAGATCAGAAACTCACAGAGGATGAAGACTTGTTACAACTTCACTGAAGCCCAGCTAGAAGCCTAAAACTAGCCTCTCTCACGTAGTTATGAGGTCCTTGTGTGCCTTCAAACCAATCCAATGCTAGAGCCCTTTCTATGAAGGATACTAAGGTCAGAGAGAATCACATAGTGAGGGAAGCTGTAAAGCCCCATGCTACTTACAAAAGAAATGTGTTAAAATGAAGTCAAAGCCAGATTTAATGTCCAAACACTTTGCCAAAATGTTTTGTAATTTCTCATAAAGGTAGACACCCACCCACCCATGCCACACTAATCCCATTCTTGAGCATCTATCCAAGAGATAGAAAACATACGTCCACACAAAGACTTGGACAAGAATGTTTATAGCAGCTTTATTCATATTAGCAAAAAAACTGGAAACATACCAAATGTCCATCAACAGAATAAACAAATTGTGGAATGCATACATATAATGAGATAATTTCTAACCAAAATTTAAAAAAAACTCTTAATTTGATACACATAGCACATATGAATCTCACAGACAGTATGCTGAGCAAAAGAAGCTCAACTCTGAATACATACTGTATTATCTATGGTATGAAGCCCCAGAACAGGCAAAACTACAGTGAAAAAAAGTAGAACTGTGGTTACTCGAGGAAAGGAAGGGAAAATGGATTAAAAAGGGAAATTATTCTGAGATGATGGAAATAGTCAATATCTTTAGAGAGGTGTGGATTATATGAGGTATGCATTTATCAAAACTCATTGAATTGTATACAGGTTTTTATTTCATTATGTGTAAATTTTACCTTTAAAAAGCAGTAAACAATTATTGAAGTCTAATTCATAGACTTTTTTTTTTCCTAGTGGTATGGGTTAGTGATTTGGTTTGGCTGTGTCCCCACCCAAATCTAATCTTGAATTCCCATGTGTTGTGGGAGGGACCCCAGTGGGAGGTAAGTGAATCATGGGGGCAAGTCTTTCCCATGCTGTCCTCATGATAGTGAATAAATCTCACAAGATCCGATGGTTTTAAAAAGAGGAGTTCCCCTGCACAAACCCTCTCTCTTTTTGCCTGCTGCCATCCATGTAAGATGTGACTTGCTCCTCCTTGCCTTCCACCATGATTGTGAGGTTTCCCCAGTTATGTGAAACTGTAAGTCCAATTAAACCTCTTTCTTTTGTAAATTGTCCAGTCTCAGGTATGTCTTTATCAGCAGCTTGAAAACAGACTAATACAGTTAGCAATTCTGAAATGAATTTCTCTGTATCCTAATCTTAATCAAATGAGTAAATATATTAAGCATAATGAGATCCAAGTTTCTCACTGTTGTAGAAGAAAGTTACAAATATGGAAAAGGGAGGATTAGAATGTACAATGTGCTTTCAGATTAAAATTGGAGGTATCAGTATGAACTCATAGTTTTTAATAGATGGATGATAAATGGAGACTCTCTATATATATAGTTTCCCAGATCTGTCTACTTGAGAGGACCTAAAAGCAATAACAGCAGTAGCAATGAGAACATATGGCCTCTCCCAGGTAGTTCAGAGGTCCTTGTATGACTTCAGGCCAGTGCAGTGCTTCAACCAAAGCAAGTCAAATATGTGTACTTAGAAGTCAAATGCATGCCTGTAATTCCAGAACACTGGGAGGCTGAGGCAGGTGAATCACTTGTGCTCAGGAGTTCAAGACCAGCTGGGCAACATGGCAAAACCCTGTCTCTATAAAAAATATAAAAATTAACCAGGCACGGTGGTGCATGCCTGTAGTCCAAGCTACTTGGGGGCTGAGGCAGGAGGATTGCTTGAGCCCAGGAGGTCAAGGCTGACCTCCTATCCCATGATGGCAAGAAACTTAGCTTTTGAGGTTTTTCTGGGGTCACTTTGGCCAAAAAGGGTTCCTTCAGTTGGTTAAGGGGCTTAGGATTTTATTTTTATTTCTCAGTATGAAGGGTTAATTGTATTTTGGGCAGAATATATCCAAAGGACACCAGATCCTAATCCTAATTTCTGCTTCCATTTATACCCTACTATCAAAAACAAGCCAACTAACCTACAAAGTCATACTTTTTAAAACAAACCTATTAGATAGCTGAGGATTAATGAAACCAAAATGAACTAAAATCTAGGAAGTGACAAGCCCTTCCTGGGAACTGCCATACAGCTCCTATCATCTTTTGTAGGGTAGTGCAAGTAGGAAGTTACCATTAATAGATTTAAGGAGAAACTATCTAAACTTTGTAAGAATTTTATGACTAAATGACAGCTGGTGTGATGTTTAGGATCCTAAGCTCGATGCACAGTGAGAATCTGCACCTACTCATCACACCTTTCCCATGGGCCTTCACTAAGTGCTAATGCAAAAGATGATGAGCAGAGCAAGAGAGGTGAGATAGAATGATGAAAAGAGGGCAGAAGAACTAAAGGAAACTCTATGAAGTGCCACAGGCCTTCATTAAGTACTTGTCAGAGGGTTCTCACAGCTGGAGGAAGGGCAAGAGACCTAAAAGATCTCTTTGGGGAGCAAGTTCCCAAAATCTCAAGGTCTTTTTAGCTCTTCTGCATTGCCACCACTCAGAAACATACCATCCTAAGCCCCTTATGGACACTCTTAGCATTCACTAAAATTCACTGCCCAATACTCCATGGATAAGGAGAACATAGCAGAGCAGAAAGAGGTCCCTTGAACCACAGAAAGCCAGGAGGCAGAACTGTATAACAAAGCAAACTCTTTAACAACATAAAAATCTAGAAGCCAGTTTAGAAAGCAGAATGAGATTCTCCTTGGTTCAGGAAGCCAAAGATTGTTTGTACAAAAAGGTCTTGCCCTGTTGGAGGTAAAGTACTGACTCATTCTTGAATCATTAACCTATTGGTGAACTAAACCTAATTAAAATGACAGTAAACTTCACACATAGCTCAACTATAGTTTATACAGATGGCTGACAGAAAAAAAGGTATCCTGGGCAAAAATATTACTTACTTCAGTCTCTACTGTATTTTGACAAACAATGTCCTGTACACATTCAAAAATTACAAAACACATGAAGAAAAATAGCATATTTTGAAAGAAAATAAAAACAGACTGAGAGATGGCCCAAAAGTTAATATTATATAAATTTGATAAATATGTTAAAAGATCTAGTGGAAAAGGTACATAATATACAACGGGTAATTTGGCCACAGAAATAGAAACTATTTAAAAGAGCCAAATGAAATTGCTAGAAATAAAATATATGATGTCTAAGATGAAGAATTCATTCAATCAGCTTTTCAAGAGACTGGAAACGACAGTGAAAAGAATCAATAAACTTGACAACAGGTCAACGGATCATCCACATTTTAGCACAATAAAGTGAAAAGTAGAATAGCAATATCAAACAGTCTAAAGTATATGTAATTAGAATCTTATATTATGAATTGAAATTGTATTAATTGTAAAGGGAAAGATATACATAACTTAACCAAGTGATCAGAGTTAACAGTTCATCAGTATTGGAATGAACCAATAGCATGTGCCACCTGATATGACACACTAAGTATACTATATAACTTCAGTGGTGCAACTGTCCTAAAAATGCATAATCTGAATCTTACCATAAGGAAATATCGGACAAGACATAATTGAAGGACATTCTATACAACAGATGACTTGTACTCTTCAAACATTTTGTCAAGAAAGTCAAAGGAAGACAGGCATTATTCCATGTTTAAAGAGACCAAAGAGACAACTAACTGCAGTCTGTGAATCTGAATTGAATCCTGGACAAGAGAAACTATCAATTAAAACATTATTTGCATAATTAATTAAAATCAAATGTGGACTGTATATTATAGTATATATCAATGCTAAATGTTCTTGTTTTGATAATTGGACTATGGTTATGTAGGAGATGTCTGTGTTCTTAGGAGATATACAGTAAACTAACAATAAATGGTCACGATGCATCAAACTTACTCTCAAATGATTCTCTACAAATATATATAAGATATATGAATATGTATGCAGATATACATGCAGAGAGGGAGTAAGCAAATGGGGCAAGATGTAAATAATTGGTGAATCTGGAAAAAAGTATTATTGGAATTCCTTATGCAATTCATGCAGCTTTTTCATAAGTTTGAAATTATATCACCATACAAAGTTATCCCCAAAGAGCATCCTTGAAAATAAATGATGCTGCCAGAGAACACTATGCTGCTTGATAAATGCTTATAGGGCAGATAGGGAAATGCTGTGGTCAGGCAAGCAACCTAGGATTTCACTGGTGATCAAAGATATGTGTCAGTTCTGTACAGATTCTGAAATGACATTAGCTCAGAATCTAGGGACTTTAAAACAGGAAGAAACCGTGGCACTGCCCTAGCCCACGGTCCTCCTTTTACAGATAAGGAAATGAGATTCAGGTGTGAAGTCCAAGCTTCTTTGAGGAAGGTCCAAGTCTTTTGATTCTCAGTCTTCACCCCTTATGCCTTCGTTCTTCACTCATTCATCATGCTGCCTTCTCAAGAACATTATGGTGTCCCTAGCAGCCTTGCCACAGTCTCCTTCTCTTCCTCCTTCTCTTTAAGCCACCCTGAAACTCTGGCCCATAATATGGGTAACCAGCACAACTTGTGAAAGCTGAGGTGTGTATCTGCTTAATGTTATGGCATTTCTTACAGGGTGGGTATTGAGTTCCAAGGAACACGAGGGCTTTGCTGGCTCCTGGGGGCAGCATAACTCTTTACTACCATTTCCCCTCCCAGGCTACCACTTCCAAGTGGAGATTCATCTTAATTACTGTCCCTCCTATTTTTATTGACTGGTTGTTGAGAGGTATTGAACGCTCAATGTGTACTTATCACTCCCCTATCACACTGATAATATGACTTATTACTCACAATTTCGTTATTTCCTGATTAAGCACTCTTGAACTAAATAAGGGTGTGGTGTGTTTATGAGGAGGAGTAGAGGAATAGGAAAAGTTAGCACTTCCTTTCTCAAGAGTATGGGCACTCAGTAATATGTGGCATGTAACTTTCCTGTGGCATGAATTAATAAGGAGAAATATTGGATTCCAACTTCATGATGAGTTATTGCTAGCCTGATTACCCTCCATGCCACAGGGCAAGCCCTAAAGCCTCACGACCATATCACAATGAGATTCAACAAATTCCTCCTTCCCTGGAAACATATTTTATAGCAATCATCCCACTGGAGGCCTGATAATCTCTTCTTCCTATAGGAAGTTCAGTTTGGCCATAACTATAATCATTATTGTGACCATTAATCCTAGTAGCAGCAGTGTTTTGTTAGTGAATTGTTTATAATAGATGTTAATATTTATTTTCTAAAGAATGATGCATCAATAGCAATATCTTTTTGGTTCCCCAGAAACAAGGGGCCTGGGAGTAAAGGAGACTTTCTCTGTTAAAAATCATTTTACACCACGAGCCCTACTCCACTCCACCATCCCTATACCATAAGTAATTGTTTATTATTATTATTTTTTTGCTTCTTTTCAATATTATCTCCACCTTCCTCTACCATTTAGATTCTACTGAAAGCTCTCTAGTGTAGGCCCCACTGTCACTTGAACTTGGAATGAAAAGAATTGCGTGGATGGAATTAAATGACCTGCTATTCAGGCTGGCCACAGTAACTCATGCCAATGATCCCAGCACTTTGGGAGGCTGAAGTGGGAGGATCATTTGAAGCCAGGAGTTCGAGATCAGCTTGGGAAACAAAATGAGACCTTGTCTCTACAAACAAAAATTATAATAATAAAAAATAGCTGGGCATGGTGGTGCATGCCTGTATTCCCAGCTACTCAGGAGATTGAGGTGCAAGGATCACTTGAGCCCAGGAGTTCAAGGCTGCAGTGAGCTGAGATCACACCACTGCGTCCCAGCCTGGGCAACAGATTAAGATCTCATCTCTAAAATAAATTAATTAATTAAATAAATGACCTGATATTCAAAGAAAATGTATGAAGGAAGCAGTGAACAAAAAATAAATGGGTATATAGAGATACGAAATCAGAGATTTCCAGCCACCATCGGCATGAGCTGGAGCTGGCCACTGGGGTGTGACAATCTTCATAACTCAAGGCATTCCTGGGCTCTTCTACCTCTTTATATCCTGTAATTTTTTCAGTTATTTCACTACTATATTTCACATAGCAATGCTCAATAATATTTGTTAAGTCAATGACCTCTAGCACTTATGTATAGAAGTGATATCACTGAGCTTTTACTGGAACTATTAGGGGAAACCACTTTGTGTTTTTAAAATTCTATTCAGTACACTCCCCTCCCCCATTGCCAATCTCCCTCCTTTTCCAACACACACACATACACACACACACACACACACACACACGGTGATATAGAAAGATCAAGGACTTTGGTATTCACAAACTTGATTTCAAATCCAGTTCTGCCCTTATTACATTTGTGACCTTGGGGAAGTTACTTAATCTCTGTAAGGTCCAGTTCCTTGTCTATAAACAAGATTAGGTGAGATAATGTGAAATTCACTTGCAAATGGTTTAGTGACAAACATAAGTATTATTCCACCTCTCCTTCTAGTATTTTCTTTTTTAATAAGTCACAATATAATACTTTGTATATATTCAATTACTCCCTCAAAGTGTTAGTTTGTTTTTATGTGTCCCACAAAGTAAGTTACAACACTTTCCAGTAGCTAGCCACACCTTAAGCACATGACCACATGGATATAGTTTCCATGAAGTAAGATTGTGCCACTCTCCTCAAATAACCTTTCCTTAATATTTAACCAGGGCTGTCTACACTGAGAGAAGCTCTGCACACACAGGAAAAGTATACTCTGCCCAGAGATTTTCAGTCACACACTCATCTTCCTTAGATTACTTGGTATATATCCCAGCAACACAGGAACAAATTAACTCCTGTGGCGAAATAGCTTGCATTTAGTATGCTGGAGCCAGCATCCACCCTTACCTAAGAGCTGTCCTCACAAAGCCACTTTGGAAGTCAATTCCTATTCCAGAGAATTGTAAAGAGACGGTGAGAAAAGGCAAGTTGCCAGAATCATCCTGTCCCACCATGCCTCCGTCCCTCAGAATAGTGAAGGACAAAGTGCTTGGAGCCAGACTGACTGAGTTTGATGCTAATTCTGCTGTTTCCTTTCTATGTAACTTTAGGGGAGGTTATTTAGTCTCTCAGTGCCTTAGTTTTCTGATCTTCAAAACAGTGCTAACTACAGAACCCATCTTAAGATTTATAGAGAGGATTAAATGGCCTGACATATTTAAAGCCCAGAGTCCACACCTGGCACACTGGTAACTGGTGAATATTCACTATTATTGTCACCATGAAGTATAGCAGATTTGGTGGAAGTCCTAGGAAAGACCAGATTCTACCTGAAGCCACTTAAAGTCCTAGCTCACCAGTGAGTCACAGGACAGGCTAGTCATTTCTTACTCAAGAAAAGTAGGTGCTAAGAAAACTGTTAGTACCTGTGTCCTCACCAGAAAGCATTGCTGTGCCTGCCTAATCTCCTCATTTGTACCCAATATGTACCTGGAGCTCAGGGACCAGCTGCTGTGTCATGAGTATTAGCTATCACGGGTATTAGCGGAAACAAATACCCATGCAAGTCCACTCCCAGAAAGAACAGAGAAATACAAGTACCATAGGTGAAAACAGGGGACCCTGGGGCTGGTCCCCTTTTTTTCTTCCTTGTAAGTTGTGTATTTATATTTGGAATAGAGATTTGCAGTGGGAAGGCCGTGTGAAGCAGTGGAAGTCAGTGTTCAGTGGCTGATGAGTGGCTCTTGACCACCATAATTTTCTTCCTGACACATTTGACAGAGCATTACTGTCTCCTTTCTTAGCATCATGACACTATCTGGGCAGACACTTGCACAAGCCTGTGAAGACTGGATTGCAACTGCCCCTTCACACCTGTAAGAGTTGCTTCTCCATGACCATTCACAGAGCAACCAGAGGCAACGCCTTGGAAGTACTTCTTTAGAAAGGCATTTGAAGGATAGGTCAAGTTTCTTTTTAAAGTTGGTTTTGGATTTTCAATGCCCCTCCATCACCAAAAGAAAAATGTTCTTTCTTCTAGAGGTGAGTGATAACATATTAATCTTTGAATTTCTTTTCTGAAGAGATAGATAGATAGTAGATAGGTAGATGGATAGATGATACAGATACACAAAAAATATATTTTACATATTAGTAAACTATGTAGATATCTATATATATTATGTATATATTAATGTTGGTTATACTTTTGTATGCATATATTTCAGAGTGGGAAGACTACACAGTTATGTAGGGTTTAGTTGATCCTTGGTCTGTGAGGCCTGTCTTAGTGTTCTACAGTGAGGTGTTTCATAGAGAGGAACTGGTCTTAATGAAAAAGAACATGAAAACAAAGAAAACAAAACACAAGCAGGCAGTGAAAAGCCAAGAGAAAAGGATGGAGTGCACATTTCAGACAAGCAATATAGAGTGTTAACTGCAAAATTAAGGTCACAGTCATCGTACTACAGGGCTTTGATGGCTGTTCATTTATCATTGTCCATTTCGGAAATGGAATAAAGAACAAAATAAAGGCCAATGACTTGGGGTTGCTGGAAGTAAAATTGCCTAGAACATTTTTTAATAAAAGAAATAGACTGCATTAGCAGAAAAATGTAAAGAGGAAAAGCTAAATTAGTATCAGTAAATAACCACAGTATATAAGCTTCAGCCAATGTGGTTAATTACGGAAAATTAGAGGTAAAAAGCTCAAAGAAAAACAGACAAACATGTTCAAGAGAAAATGCCATCCTTTGTTATTAGAAAAAGGGGTTGGGCATGGGAACTGAAAATCCAGAAAGTTCACTTGTCTATTTTTGTTGTTTGAATCCATGGTAAAATAACCCCTTAGTTTAAATGTATCAAACAATACATATAATAAGTAAGAGGCTTTAGGTTCTGAAGAAAAAATGAATAGATAACAAAAACTAGACAATTAAAGCAGACGTGGGGAAAGGAAGTGACTCTATCCTTCTTTGAAGGCAGCTTCTTTTATTCCATTCAGTTAGTAGTGTTGGAGGGAAACACTGTAAGAACGTTAATGAAGCAATAAAACTCACTTTGAAATCTTCTGCATATGCTTTGTTCTTCTCCCAGAGCTGCTCACAACTACATCCATAGAAAAAAACAGAAACAGCGCCCATAACTGACTTGTGATTGCTTATTAAACATTTACCTTAACGACTACATATAAAACAGTCAAATATTAATACAACAGGAACTTGCAATGTCACAATTTCTCTAGTGCACAAATGGCAGCCTCAAACTGCTAAATGGGCAAGGGACTAAAGGAGAAGTGTTCCCTGAGCCTTTGAAATCCAATGTTCCCCTTGTCTTAAAATGTTTTCAGAGAATAAACTGGCAGCGACCTACGCGTGGCCTGAGTGCGCTCTCTTCACCCTGTCTAAGCCTGTGTAGCTCACCTCTGGGCGCTGCTTCCACCTTCCACTCCCAGGTCTCCACTTCTAACAAAGCTGAACTCTCCCGGGACACAGGGCATCCCACCCACCTTCCCTCTGGCTAGTACCAAACAGCCCTCAGTGAACACCAGATGGTGATGTCAGATTTCTTTTGTGTGTATGTGTGTTTTATTTTATTTTATTTATTTATTTATTATTATTATTTTTTTTTTTGAGTCGGAGTCTCGCTCTTTCGCCCAGGCTGGACGGCAGTGGCGCCATATCGGCTCACTGCAAGCTCTGCCTCTCGGGTTCATGCTATTCTCCTGCCTCAGCCTCCCGAGTAGCTGGGACCACAGGCGCCCACCACCACGCCCGGCTGATTTTTTGTATTTTTAGTAGAGACAGGGTTTCACCGTGTTAGCCAGGATGGTCTCAATCTCCTGACCTCGTGATCCGCCCGCCTTGGCCTCCCAAAGTGCTGGGATTACAGGCGTGAGCCACCGCGCCTGGCCGATGTTAGATTTCTTTTGGTAACAGGTGATAAGAAAAGTGGATGAAGGCTGAGGCAGTTGGCTGTTTAATTTATGAAAGGTGGGAGGGGTGACATATGTGGTTGTGTGTTATGTATGTATGTGTGTTTTGTTTGAATCCATGGTAAAATAACCCCTTAGTTTAAACGTATCAAACAATACATATAAAAAGAGGCTTTAGATATCTATATCTTGTGGCCAAGATACATACACACACACACACACACACACACACACATACATATATAAATTTTCCAACGATAGTAGCTTATAGTTCATAAGTCATTTAATTTTCATACCATGAAACCTCAATTATATTCCTGAGTGTAATTTTACATGTACGTTCATAGTTTAACATTTTATTTCACTAAAAATTATCTTGGCCATTATTATGTTATGTAACCTCAAGGCACTAAGTTTCTTTAAACAGGCATGATGGACAGGGACTTTTTCCCTTCTCTTGCAGTTTCCTCTTTATGGAGCCCTGTTACCTTAAACCTGCAAATGCCTCTCAGGCCTGTTTCTTTTTCTATGTGCTCTCTTACTGTTCTAAATTTACCTTTATTTTCTTTCTCATTATGAAAGTGAGATCCCCTTTCCTGGGTATTACAGATGAAAAATAGGATTTGGATTACGAAACTATGGGCTGTAATCAAGGATTCATGGATTTTTTTTTCCCCTTAGTATTTAAGTTTTCCAGACAAAACACAAAAGGTCCTTATTCTCCAGCTTTTCTAAGAGGTTTTCCCTAGGTTTATATTCTGCATATTCTTTTAAGACTCAACCATTAGGACTCTCTTTGTCAAGTCCTATGATATAATTGACTCATTTTATTTTTACCAGCTATTTAAAATGTTCTGTAAAAGTGTCATGGCATTTCAGGTATCCAGTGTCAGCTATTGATTTAGGAGAAATTTTTAGCCCCTTTTTTTTCTTCAGTGGTTCATTACCAAGTCAAATTTACAAACTAATTCCTTTGAATTTACCATACTGCTATCTTAGGAATTAATAACATTCCCTTCTATTTGAGAAGCCATTTCCTCTAGCTACTTGGCAATTGTGGTTGCTGCTGTCTCCAGTGAAATACCTCTAAACTAAGAAAGGAAATTTCTCTCTCTAAATTAAATTTTTTTAAAACCCTTGATCTAGAAAATAATAAATATAATAGAAATAAGAAACCTAAACCTTTTTTTTTTCTGTTGTGTTCTGCTAAAGAGTTTCTCATCATTCATAATACTATCTAGAGCAGTGGAAATGCTGGCTAGATCAACATGTTTCTCTTCTGGTTCTACATTTGATTTTAGAAAGAAGTAAGCAGTGGAGAAAGCCACTAGCTTTGTCTTCCAAAATGGTCTGTTCCTCAGGGCTGTGGCCAAGCCCAGCATAAGACCAACTATCTGGAAATGGCAGCTATTTTGAGGCAAGATGCAGCTGCATATTCTCCCATGAGATTCAGTGATTAATAACAATGTCGTTTACTTACACAGTGAGAAAAAGTACAAGAGGAATTCTGCAGCCTGTGAACTGTCAATCCCTTTACTTCACCTGACATATTTGCTGCATCTCAGGCTTCTTGGCCTGACCAAGAGCAACATCAACCTGTGTTTGATTTTCACATTTATCTTTGGGTTTTTCTTAGTCTTTTTTATGCCCCATAATTTTTAAAAGTACAAAAGCCCAATACACTATTCTCTAATTATTTGTGATCTTGTCCCACCTATTGAATTTAGGAGAATAAGATTTCTTATTTCCTATAGTGTAAGTACTCTCTGGCAAGTAAACTTGAGCATGGAGGAAATATACGAGACAGGGTCGACAGTGAAACATATCTAAAAACAAAGATAACCTCCTAGTTACTAACAAATGGGTTGCTTTGGCTTGAAAGGGTTCAGAGCATATGAAAAGTTATAACTCCTATGCAAAGAACCCACAGAGAAGGCCAATGATCAAGATCAAGAGTTTATTTAATTAGAAGGAGGCAAGTAGGAAAAATGGAACAGTTTGTAGGAGAGGCGCTTAATTAGTGCACCTTAAAACATGGCACCCCATGTATATAAAATCACAAAATCATAGAATTGAGAATTGTGGAGCCAGAATGGTCCTTTCAGTTCTGTTAGTTCCATGTTATTTAGGCACCAAGAATTTTCTTGGCTCTTTAGCTCTTTTTAAATTTAAGAGTTCAGCAATTCATAAATCGACTTTGATTATCTCTGTGGTTTGCTATTCCAGGGCAAAATATACTTTCCCTATTCCAACAATAAATCTATATTTGAGCATTTTCTGAAGGAAATCATAAAAATAATAGACCCTCTTAGCTGAATATTGTGCCTTTCTTCTAAGGAGCCCAAAGTACTTTCTCCCCGGGTCTGCTTAAATAAATGATGTAATTAATATATGGGAAAAGTATATCACCACTCTTATTTTATAAACCTAGAACTAAGGACCAGGGAGAGCAAACAAAAATCATGCTGTCCTTCCTTTCAAAAAATGAATCTTCTTTGCTACCAAGTGGCAAGTAAAACAAAAAAAAAAATTAAGAAAATGTTAAAAAATGAATTTTCTCATGTATTAACTATATATGCACTTTGAGTATTTCCCCGTCATTGTCATGAGTTTATGGTGTATTTCACAGCTATACTAACATCCTGATTCTAACCTAATGCCTCCTGGATCCTTTGCACCCACTTTGCTGTGCTACATTATTACACACACACACACGCAGGCTTGCGCACATACACACTCACACATACGTACATATGGCCTTTTGGGATTTGTACTGTCGTGTCCATACTGACCCGTTTCATTAGTGTTCTCATCTTAAGCATTACAAATCCACATAATAAACACAAGGATTAGGAATCCAATCTGTGATCATGAAACATGAAAGTTCACTGGCCCACACTAAGATCAAATGGATGAACTTAATGTTATTAATGTCCTTATTAATAAAGCTAACCAGTTTCCCTACGACAGAAACCCAATAGAAGGTACATTCAATGCATCTAATATCTAACTAGTAGCTCTCAACTATATCAAGTGGCACCATAAAATGTACATTGAGATTTACCACTAATAGTTACTATATTTTGTGAGCCATGCATTTCAAGACTTCAATCTTTAAGCAAAATGAACTTACATTTTGTTGTGATTCTGCTACTTATAATTCTATTAATTGGTCTATTTCAAAATGAATTTCCCTGATTTGAAGAATTTCATTCTATAGACATGGCAACTGGGGCATTTAAAAAAGTAAAGTACTTACTCAAAGTCATGCTTTAATAAAATGCTAAACTATAATTTAAATCTATTTCAATTTGACTTAAAGTCGTTAAGTTCAACAACAGCCAGCCCATATAGAAATGAGGCAACCAGTCACAAGCTCCCCCAGCCAGCAGTCACCCGACACCCAGACTTGTCACTGAGCCCAGTGAGGTCCCAAAGAACCACCAAGCCCTAAACTCCCGACCCACAGGACTGCAAGCTAAATATGAGATTATGATTTTAAGGCAACTGAGTTTTGGGGTGTTACATACAATATACTTTGCAAGAAATTGCAAATGTTGATGAATTTAATGTGTTAAGCACAGGCTAAGCACTAGGTAATTTCATTATCTTATTTGAACTTCACTACAACCCCATTTTAGGGATGAGAAAAACAGTAACTTGGATTTGAAGATATAACCTAGTCTACCTCTATAACTAAACCCTACCTTATGCATAGGCAATTGAGTAGTCACCTACAGAGTTTCAGGGCACCATTTCAAGGCACTTGAACATAACAGTCCCTACCTCACATAGGCACACTGTTCCATCATTAAGGAGTTAAGTCCTTTGAACTAAAGCATCATGACTTCAGTCATCACAGCTAAAACATAAAAACTTAGTCTTTTTTGTGCCCCTATAAGTATGAAAAGCTCAATAAACTCTTCTCTAGTTGTTTATTATCTTGTCCCTACCTATGGCATTTAGGAGAATGACATTTCTTATTTTCTATAGTGGAAGGAAATAAGAAATGCCTTACATTTGGTACTGCCTTAAATTTGGTACCACGAAGTAGACTCTGAGACCAAGATTATGTCTACGAGATATACCCACTTCCGGGGATATCAGGAAGAGGAGAAGGAAGCAGGGGAGGGGGAGGGAGAAGAGGGGAGGAGAGGAGGCTGAGCAAGCTCCAGCTTGAATTTCATCATTCCCTGTGACCCAAGTGAGAGAGCTAGGCTTTCAGAATACTATGCTTTTCAGTTGTTCATTAAGGACCATTCCAAGAGCATGTAAATTCCCAACTTCTTGTGAGCAAAGAGGCTCCCAAAGCAACAGATCATGGCCATTGAAAGTAAAAGCCCACAAAGCCAGGAGGGCCCCCAAAATGGGGACAAGGGATTGCAGGGGACCGGGGCAGAGCACCAATGTTGTCTGCACACACACTGAGCCTGCTCATCCATTAGCATTTCCCCTGCAAAGAATATAAATCCCTGGGGGAAGGGGGAATAGATGGGGAAGTTCTGTTGAAGCAAAAAGAAGAAATAGAATTTCAGCCAGGGTCCATGGCCTGAGAAAGGCGTAAGGACATTGAGAGAATGGTCTTGAGCATGAGGAAGCTTCTAGCATGAGGAAGCAATAAGACAGAATAAATGTGAGACAAGAAAGAGCACAAAGCAGTGAGGAAAAAACAAATGCAAAGTTAACCTTCTTCACAATTTGACTTGGTCGTCTGGGATTTTTCTTTGTTGGAATAATTTTCAAACATCTCAGCAGCCTTCTAAGAAGGGTTACTATTCATACATACCCATGGACCTTTTAGAACCACTGTAACTACTGTACTAACATAGCCTTTGATGAAAATAAAAATTATGGTACATTATTATTATAAACTGACTAAATTCTCACAATGAAGAAAAACAACAAGAAATTTAAAAAATTGCTCTTTTAATTTTCAACGGACCTGTTTTATTTTTTTCTTGTCAAATATAGCTATAATGACTGCTCTTCAGAGAAGCATTTAGGCTGGGTTTTGTTTTTTCTTATTCTGAAATTTCAAATTATGGAAATGTTATGGAGTTTACGTGATGGTGGAAAAAATATACTTTGTACCTGCTTTCAGAAACTCTGTTACATATGAACATTAATCATGTTTGGGATGATTTATTTCTGCATTCACGCTGGCCAATTTTATTAGTGTTTGGTTTGGCTGAATGGAAGAAAATCTGCTTTCTATTTCACCTCTATAAAAAGAAGAGTTAGAGCTGTGCTAGCTTATAGAAGGTCTATACTTCAGCTTCATTCCTTAATCTCAGGCACTTTATATTCATCTTTCTTTTATATTCATCCTCTGCAATAGCCTCTACAAAATCTCTTAATCTAGGTCTGTTCAAGTATATCTTCATTGTTTTTTTTCCTACCCCTTCAGAATCTTCAACATTGTACAAAAGAAACATTGGATGCACACCATATGGCTCTTGTCACAACCATTTCTCGCTTTACTACTTAGTCTTCAGTGCTTGCCTCAAGTAATTGTACCACTGAGACTGTGTGCCCATGTGCTCTGTGTCCACCACAAGGCCACGATAGCCTGTCCCCCGCAGCCCCACGAGATGCTGTTCTTTGGTCACTGACACATCAATGGCCTCTATCACTCCCAAATACAGCCATGCTCCTTTTCTTCCACAGAGCAAATGCTGTCTTTTTCATTGTTGTTCGACTCTCTGCATTCAGAAATGTTCTCAACTCCCTCTGCCCAAAATATTCCCTCAAATGTCACAAGATGATCAACACATTTATTTTGTTTTGTATTTCATATTCACTGCTACCCTGGTCTCCCTGAGGGCAGAATTCACATTGAGTAATTACTAAATTCCTAATACCAATCAGCCTGAACACTAAATAACTAAATACTTGGGCTCACTATACCATTTTGGTCATGCTACAGGAGTTTTGATTTTACTTTTCATGAGGGGTACATCTGAGATAGAATTTCAGATATATTTTTTTCCACTTTCAATATTCAAATTTCTGCCCTCTTCCAGCACTTCTGCCCAGTAGCATGCAGTATAGTAAAAATTCTATCTCTCTGGTATATATTTGTGTACCTACAATGTTTCAACCTTGTACCAAATGTTTGGCTAAGCCTATTCATTTACCCTTGGTTCCTTGGTTCCTTTCTCACAGTCAGGTCCACATGAATAATCAAAGGTAGGTCTAGCATCAATGAACTCAAAATGTTATGTTATAAAATTTGCTGGCCAAGTTGCTGACTTGAAATAGTTCAGGTCATTTTAAAACATATGGATAAAGGTAAGAAATAAATCTTCTGGATATTTAGTCTATACTAGAACAAAGGTTTAAATATTTTTTATATTTTCTACAAATATCCTTGGAGCTGTAGACACAACTGTATATGGAGAGGTGAAGTTTCCAACAGCGTGTTGAGTAGAACACTTCCCTCTTCTCATGCTCCTCTATGCACTATTTCATCAGGCAAATAATCAGGACGAGAACTTTTGCTCATGGCTATGTAGGAGGCCAGTGCTTGTAGAATGGGTAAGAGAAGAGGGCCTGGATTTTAGTGGAATGATTTGAAGCTTGGACTTTGAAGTCAGATGTGGGCTAAAGTTCTAACTCTGCTAATGGGCTCTAAGCCCCAGGGCAAGTTACTTGGCATCTCTATACTTCATTTTAGATCTGTTTTCATCTGTAAAGGAGGACAATGCTAGTACCCACTTCACAAAGTTTTTTGGGTTTTGTTTTTGTTTTACAGACAGGATCTCACTCTGTTGCCCAGGCTGAAGTGCAGTGGTGCAATCTTGGCTCAGGCAATCTCCACCTCCAGGGCTCAACCAATCCTCCCACCTCAGCCTCCTGAGTAGCTGGGACCACAGGTGCATACCACCATGCCTGGCTAATTTTGCATATTTTTGGTAGAGAGGGGGTTTTGCCACATTGCCCAGGCTGGTCTCAAATTCCTGGACTCAAGAAATCCACCTGCCTTGGCCTCCCAAAGTGCTGGGATTACAGGCTTGAGCTACCATGCCTGGCCCACAAAGTTTTTTAAGGGAGACAGAGCAGGGACTTCTTTTTAGAGGCCTGTGGGCCCCCAAGCATGGAAATAAAGGAAAATCTTGATTGATTTCTTTCAAGGGAAATTCCAGGCCAGCCTTGAGAATAATTAGGCAACTTGGTAAGAAGGTAATAGTAGCTTAAAAAAATAGCCAAGGAAGCTGGCATCACTAGATGTTTGGTTCCCTATAGAAACTAAAAATCACATCTTAAATTTGTCTCTGAGTCGTTTTTCAGAAACCCAGACACCTACCAAATGGATCCACTGGAAGGTAGACCTCAGATAAGGGAGAGATGAAGACTGAACTCTGACCACAGTTCTTTGTTCTAAATTTCTTTCTGAGGAACCTGGAGGAGGTTATGCCCGTGAGCCAGAGCTAACATTCTTTTCTGATGATCCCAAATTTTTAGACAAAACTTCACCTCCTGAACCAATCACAAATCGGAAAAGTTTTGAATTCATCTATGACCCTGTGAGCCTCCTCTTTCCCCCAACCCTCTCCCTCCTCTGCTTTCCTGGAATTCATGCTTGCCTTTAAAACCCCTTACCTGAAAGCCATCAAAGAGGTCAGAATTTAAGCGTTAGCTGCCTTGTCCTCCTTGCTTGGTGCCTTGCAAATAAATACTTTCCTTTCTACCGCTGCAGAACCTCAGTGTGTATATCTGGTCTTACTATGCCAGGCAAGCAGACCCCAATTTGATTCTATAACATACGTATTAGATGAGATAATAGGTGTAACGTAGGTAAGTGTGTGCTTAGATAAATCAGTGATTAATAAATGTAAACAACAATTAGTATATTAAAGTTATTATCACCACCACAATTCTAGATGCACTGCATAGTCAAATCTCAATAAAATTCTAAATAAAACATGATATGAGATAAATAAACTATGGAAACTATTAATGGAAAAAAAACTCAATCAAATAAATAACATATTTCTGCAAAATAAAAAGAAGCAGCTTAATACATACTGCCATGTTCCAAAATCTTTATTAGGTTGATGGCCATATACTTTATCATCCAAACTGGGACCATTTGGAGAGTAAAAGGGGCATTATAAACAATTACTCCAGGACAAAAGAATAAAACAAAGACCATCCCAGGCTGAATGGGACTTAGGGTCATCTTAAAGAAGAAGACTGAGACAAAGCCAACCATGCAGCTCTGGGATTTTCTATCCAGTATAATCCGTGAAAGCCTTGGTTATTATAGAGAAAATATTCTGAGCCAAACAAATTACCAAGATACAACTAAACATCTAGAAACACAAATGAAATTCAAAATAATGAACTGTAGAAAGCATACACATTTTAGCATCAAAGCCCTGGGGCAAGTTCTGTGTCTGCATTTAAGTCTGCATTAACTTGGGCAAGTCATTCAAAATCTCTAACTCTTTGTGTTCTCACCTGAAAGTGGGAATGATAATAATAATACCTACCCAATTATGACATATAAAAAGCTGCATTATACATTATAAAACAATAAACAAGTTAGTTACTTGAATTAATCATTAAAGATAATTTCCTGAAGATTCTATTGCAATTCTCTTTCTTGGAGAAATAAGAGAGAGAACAAGAAGCTTGTTTATGGAATGCAAGAACTGTAATAATAATAAGAATGCAAAAGCCTCTACTTTGTTGATGATTGTTGACCTGATCCTAGAATCTTTTAGGTATTATTAAAATTTATGTCCTTCAACAAAATGTTGCAATTGAGTCAATAAATATTATGGTCTTGCATTTTTTAGGTGGATCTAAAAAGTAATTAAATCAAAATGAAAATGTCTTTCTTTAAGAGACTGGGTTTAAAATGGTTTAATTCAGTCCATGAGTAGATTAGGGAGAATTGCATAAAAATGTTTCCCATGGCCCTACATCTTCTAACTCCTTGGTTTTCAATTTGACTAAACATTTGAATTATAAGCAGGGCTTTTTAACACTAAAGATGCCCTACCAAACAATTAAATATAATTTCTGAGGTGAGGGGCTTAGGTATTATATGTCTGAAAGCTTCTGGGGTGATTCTGATGGGCAAAGAGGGTTGAAACTGTTAGAAATGCTTGTTCCTTGGTGCCGTAAAGAAGTATCACTTGAACATAAATTTAATTTCCTCAGCAAGGCCATTTTTACTTTCTGCAGAAAGGGTACACTTGCCAGCAGTTTTGCCATGAGAGTATACTGAACAAAGGAGACAGGGTCATTTATAATCTGACACATCCACCTTACTGCTGTCTGGTTTCCATTGGCTGGAATGGGACCTCACATTCTGTATTTGTCCCGATTGGCTAGCAACTTAGAACTTTTTAAAAGAGGCAAAGGCAGAGGAGAACAAAGGAAGGAAGAAGTAACTTGTGGAATGCTGTGAAACATAAAAACACCTTTAAATAAGCAAGAGGAACAGGCTATGACCTAATGCTTGCTTGGACCAGTATAAGCATGCTAGGGCAAATACTTAGGCTAAGTTATGGGAGTTAAGAACATAAAGTACATTGATTTTTTTAATTACGGCTAGCAGATATTTAAGAATGTTAGCACAGGTCTTTGAATAAGTTTTGCTTCTAAGAGAAGTTACTATTTATTCCTAATTAGATGGGGAGGATAGTCTTTGAAGAGGAACCTCTACTTTGCTTTTTACAAGACTATTACCCTGATTCAGAGGCCAAATGTGAAGAGACCTCAAAAGCAGCCTTTGTACCCTTTGTCCCCTAACGCACTGAACTTTTCATCATGCCTCCATATATTCCCTAATCCCTCAGGCCCCAGAATTCCAGTACCTTAAACTTGTCTCTTTCACTTTTTCCCAATCAAATCCCACTAAAAAGATCTCTGATAAGTCCATTCACATCAAAGGGTGGCTGTTGGTAAAACTTAAAGTATTAATTCGCATGGTGTTTACATCTTAACAATGAGCTAAACTTTACAGAAAGAACACACTGAAGGTGGGAATAGAAACATCAGATCAGTATGTGAGAGGGTTTTGGAGCATTTTCCAGACTTTTCCAGTATCTCAGAAATTATACCAAAGAGGTCTGCCTCTGCCTCAACTTGTAAAGTTGATGTAGGTATCAGTTCATGATAAAACAAATAATACAACTCAATAAGCCACCATAATATTTTATTTATACCCTTCATTTCCAGACACTGTTAGGTGTTTTTACACATTATCTTCAGTTCTAAAACCTGATGGAAAGTTAGGAATTGTTAGTCCCATTTTGGATGAGAGGCCCAGAGAGACGAAATCACTTATGCAGACACGGATGTGAGGCTGTAACCTCAATCCACCTGACTTCAAATCTAAGCTCTTTCCACTCCTCCATACTTCTTCCCCAAGGGTGATCATTGCTTTGGAGAATTGATAAAGGCCATGATAAAATGAATTCAGAACAAAAGAGAAAAAAACCTGTTAGAAAGATTGATAAACTCTGCGGAAATTTGGAGCTTATTTTTCTTTTTTTCTTTTCTGTATTTTAAAGCCAGCTATCATGGGGAAATGCAAACAGGTAACTTCCAAAACATGTTTATTAAGTTTATTTAACATCTACTGTTTCTGCTATCACTTCAGGTATTATGGAGGGATCAGTAAGTCCCCATGAACTGCCCTTGATTGGAAAACTCTTTGTGGTGACAGAGTAAGCAGCACATTTAGTGTAATCTTGTAAGAGCAGAAGAAAGAATCTGCACCATCTCAGGAATGAAAAGCGAAACCAGTGATTTGTGTACTCTATATCTAAGCCAATCTGTTAAAGAACATCCAGGTACACTTCATAATGTATTGGTTTGATATTTTAGAGAAAATATCATCTATCCACCCAGGTAGTGGTTTATGCCAAAAAAGTCAGCTAGAATCTTGGCTTATTGATCATTTTTAAGAACAACTCAGTGAGTGGAAAATGAGTGGAAATAATATATAAGATGGTAAACTGTGTTCTTATTTTTTAAGGCTGATTTTGATGCACTATTTAGTGAATTTCTCAGCATTTGTCACTAAAAATTAGATTTTAAAGTTACATATTAAATACAATGAACTATATTTCATGTTATATTAAGTTGTAAGATTAATATGCACATATGAGGATAGAAATTGCTGGGCAGAATTATTCTGAAGGAAAAAGGAAGAGAAAAAAAATGACCTAAGGGAGAAAGAAGGAGGAATGTATAAAAGATTACCTGTTGGGCAAAGAATAAGAAGTTCCTCATATCACACATTTCTTTTGTCCCAGGAAGATCAAAGTTAAGTTTGAAGGAGAAGAAATAATTTTAGTCTTGTTCCCAGAAAGGAAAAGGAGGATGGATTGATTAGACAGAGTATGAGAGACATAATAAGTATTCATTGCATAAGGAGAGAAGAAAAATGTGGTACCAAATGACAGTATTTAAGTAGTCAACATGAGTAGATGGAAATAGAGGATGTGGCAAATCCACAGAGTTTCTAAATAAGCAGGGAGATCTATTTAAAATTATACAAAGACACAGAAAGACAGTAAACTTGATGTAACGTGGATTCATTATGATACAGAGTCACTAAATAGGAGCCTGTTGCTGCTGCTAGAATAGGAAACTATAAAGTAAGTGATGACAGAAATCCCAGTGATATATCACAAAGCAAATGGCCTTAGGAAGGACCAGATGAGAACCAGACTTCAGGGAGGCTGTCGGAATGAACAAATGGCAGGGAGCCAGCCGCAAACATGTATAGTCTTGGTGGCAGTCGAACTTTCAATGACCACACACAATCTTTATGTGAGGGCAAAACTCAAGCCCAATGTCCTTAAAAGTCAAGAAGTCCTTCATCCCAAAGAAAAAAACAAATGTTACCCAATAGGCAAACAATGCTGAGAGTTCACTTCCTCTAACTCTGTAGTTAAGTTACTCACTCAGTATAACATCACCCTCCTGCCAGGGGTTGAAGTCAGGAAGTAGTTTATTTTCGCTGAAACTGAAGGGGGAAGTTAAAGAGAAAAATAGCTGCAACTTGGTCAATTCAGGAAAACCAGGTACGAAAAAAGAGGAGCAAGTTAAAGGGAAAGCCAGCTCGGATTTGCTCACCAGTAAAAGGCAAAAATCCCAGTGTTATTCATCTGCATTTGGTGTGAAAGACAAAAGCTCAACTGGGATCTGAGGCTTTCTGTGTCAGAGGGCAAGGAGTCAATGGGGTTATGAGGAAGTAAGACCACTTGAGACATCAAAGAAAAGTAGATCAAATCACTAGACTCCTCCAAACAGGAGTGGGTGAAGACAAAAAGTGGAGAGAATCCAGAGGGAAGAGAGGAGTAGGGAAAATGGTGGAAAGGGAAGGTTTTTGAGATGGAAGGCAGAGAATGGGAACAAAAGAAGAAAAAGCTGTTTGTTTCAAATCAATATTCTCCAAGAGGATGTCTTGTTTCCCCAGGGATATTCTGAGGGACTCACAGGATCAGAGCTGCGACACTTCTAACATATGGTAGGTAAGAGCGGCTTTAGATTCTCAGGAAACCTCTTCCTCTGCATCTTTTTCTCTGACTATGAGGCCAGACTACCAGTCCACCCTGAATTCTCTTCACTTCCCACCTTCCCCTGAGTGCTGAGTGCTTTCCTTCCTTCTTCAGGGTCAAGGAAAGTAAAAAACATCACCGGTGTCTCCTCCCAACAGCTGAATTATTCTTCCACACTTTTATTTTGATAGCAAAGTAGTTCAAGGTATGTTTGAGGGTTGTGGAAACCCTCAAAGGGATTACAGAATGAAAAAGTTTTGAGAACTATGCTCTAAATAAAGAATTGGAGACGAAAACCTGTCATAATGAAAAATTAAACTAAACTGCCTCAAATACAGCAAAGGAGCAACCAATGTCTTGGCAAGCACGGAGAGAAATTCATATAATGTGGGGCTGGTAAGGAGGCCGTTTCTTGCCAAGGTCCAAGCCTCTTTCCACCTGCCCTGTACTAAGGAAATGCAAGTGGAGAATTTACAGCAATGCAATAGTAATATGCAAAAGCCAAAAATAGGAACCTGCAAAAGCCAAAAATAGGAACCTGAGGAAGAGTCTAGTCCTAAATTTGAAATTTACTTTTGCCAACTTCTACCAGTCTAAATAAACCTATATGAATGAATGAGTCTAATAGTGTCAGTAGACTACTATGCTCACTCCCTGGGTAACAAAATCATTTGTACACACAACCCCAGGGACATGCATTTTACCCATGTAACAAATCTGCACAAGGACCTCCTGAACCTAAAATAAAAGCTGAAAAAATTAAAAATAAATAAATAAATAATCAATATAGTAGGGTAATTAAGAGCCAAGGACAAAACCATCATCACTTATTAGTTATGTGATATTGAGAAAGTTAGTCATTCTTTCTAAGCATTAGTTACTTTGTTAAATGGAGATAATAATACCTACATCACAGAGGGATGTGGTGAGGATTAAGATTTTAAAGTCATTTTTATTTTTGAATTCTTTCTATATTGCTTATAGTATACTAAGTATTTTATACACATTATCTCATTTATCTCTAGAGCTACTCTCTAAATAATTGGATGGATGTACAGATAGATAGGTGGATGGACGGACGAATGGATGGATGGAATTACCAACCCCTAGTTTGGAAAAGAGGAATGAGACCTAGAGGAAATAATTTGCACAAGGTTTCATGATTATTGGAGGGATACCCATGATACCTTCAGACTCCAGAGTCTTTTCTTTATGTTCTACTATTACTATATCATACTATTATCTGTATTCTGCACTTTCAGTCTCTCTTTAGTCCACCTCGTCCCTCAGTTCTGAAAGTCCTACCAGCTGGCTCCCATCCTTAATCCAATCACCCAAAATCTTCAGATTCTTTTTCTTTCTTTTCCTAAAATTCTTTCTAATGGGAACACACACAAACACACACACACACACACATGTGCACACACACTCATGAACATGCACATACACACACACACACACCCCTGAAAGTCCTCTTACTCAACTCATCAAACAATAATGGGCCAAAAGCAGTGTGCCAGGCACTGGGTTAGATGCTGGAGAGACAGAATTAAACACAATGATTCACAAATAATAGCATCAGCCTTAAAGCCTGGGGTTCCATCTCACTTCTCCAACACTACACCTCCCCAGTTTCAACCCCCAGCCTAATCCTCCACCACCACTCCTCACTGTCCTTGAAACTCTGCAAATAAAATGTATTTTTTAGTAGGAAGTAAAGAAATGCTGTAAGATAGTATTTTAATTTTGGTGGACAGGTATATATGCATGTATTTCTTTTGACAGAAGGTCATTTTGGTGCTTTTAAAATCATATCCCTTATTGGCTCTAACTTTGTCTGATGAGAACAAATGTGATTTTTTAAGGCAAATGGAAATAGCCTGTGTGCTTGTAATCATTTTTGAATAATAGCAACCTGAGTTTTTCATCAAGTGTTCAAAAGTCATGAAGAAATGTCCCAAAGTATTTAGAAGCAGAGAGTTTTCTGAATTAGGGCTAGACATACACTAGGAAATCGTGATCTTCAGTGGAAATATGGCTTTTTGAGACAAAGAAGACTTTGGGTTCAGACAGCCTAATTTTTCCATGTCAGCTCTCCTTCTCACTAAGAATGGGACGGTAGGCAAACTGATTAACCTCTCTGTGCATCATTTCCCTATCTTTTCTAAAATGAGCACCATAATACTTTTGTCTCATGGTTGCCCCAGAAATTCAATAATTACGTAAAGCACTTTGGCACATAAGTGGTCAATATATTATGGCAGTTGTTATTACTATTATTTTCCATGTGAAAATCAACTAAGCAAACTTCTGAAAAAAGATTTAAGATAATGCTGCTCCTTTTGCCTTTCTCTTCCTAAGACCTACACACAGGCTTTCTCTGCATTTGTACATCATGCTTTATTTAAACCCATGATGGACAACTAGCCTCTCTGTATTCTGACATTGCCAGAAAGTTTTTCTGCTTAGTGGACTTTAATTATTACTGAATTGCATTAGGATCCCCATGGAATTACTTATTACAGCTGCACAGTTGCAAAATGAGTCATCATGATTACATCTATTACAATGGCTACCAAGGAAACCATGTATGAGTTTCCATCCTGTAAAGTATCTGGTCACATGAAACCAACAACCAATGAGTAACATGAATAACATCCCATGGATCTTATGGCATCATAGACAATGAATAAGTCATTTAACACATCAAATGGGAATCATAGGGACAATATTTATTTTGGCCCTACAGTGTACTTCGTTTTCAGTAACTTAAAAATTAAATTAAAGTTATAATCATTTCATATATCTTTAATTATTCACATATACCTTTTGCTTTTAGGGAAGCCATAAAATAAAAGAATAACTAAAACTATATGATATATGATAATGTAAAAGTATACAGATATCCCAAAGTTGTATTTAGTTAAAAATGTTATTTAGTAATCTACATAGCAAACATAGAATACCAAATCTACTACACAGTTCTTTGAAAAACAGCACTAAAATAAGGAACAAAACATTATTCTCTCTTCCCATGATTAAATCATTTCTTAGAAAATAATTTTACAACTCTATAGGTATATTCCACAGGTTAGTTTTAAAGTTAGCATAAACATTAACACTGCATTGATGGATCCAGGTCTTGGGAATGAGAAATAATAAGTAATAAAAATAAAACTAGTATGATGTTGTGTGTTGCTTGATTCATAAATATATAAAAATTATATTCACACTGAAATAATATTGCAACTAAGTTTGTACTGACATAGCATCATGGTTTATTCATGTAGAATTCTCTCAATTCTGATGCCCTTTGACCTCTGCCACACAATGCCAAGACAAACCCAGACCCCAGGCCCTGGAAACAGAGGAGGGGCAGGTAAGCAACCAGAGGCAGGAAAGGAAAAATGGGAAGGTATGGAAAGCCAACTCTATGGGAAATTAAGGTTTGTGGGGTCAAGTGCTGGTGGAATCATTCTACAATTTTATTCAATCTGAAATGCGTATAACTTCCATGTACTATTTTTAGAAGCTACTATTTTGTGAAGTGGGTCAACATTAGGTAAACCGTAAATGATTTGGTTTTACTGTTTTTTTTTCCAGGGACCACCTTCCCCCCCCCACAGAATTTATAGGAGAACACAAATATAGATTAAAACATCTTATATTTTTAAGAATTCAGTTGACTTTACATACAATTCCCTCCATTTTCTTTTTCTTTTATTTTTACTTCAAGTACAAATATTTACATATCTGAAGGCACTGAACTTATTTTGTGCAATCAAGACATATATTGTTTCAAACCAATGTGTCTCCAAGGGGATGGAGGTATTCTTGAAATGTCATTAATGTGACTTTTCTAGTGTCACACCTTATTTATATTATTTATAAATGAGAAGAATAGTATTGCTACTTGTTTTAAAAGTGACAGAAACCACAGACCAGAAATCCTTCCTTTAATCCTTCCCACTTGCTCACTGACATAGGGAAAGGCTTCAGTCATTTTCAGCTTTTATCCTTTTCTCCCACTTGTAAATTGGGTGCATTTCTATTCTTACACTTTCTCCTTCTCCATCAAATTCCAAAGTGGAATACAAGAAGGAAACTTACTAATACCATAGTTTGGGGGCAGGAATTATGCTCAGTGAGGAGTGGATATATTGGGCACGTAGGCATTTCTAGTACTTTTCTCTATTTTCTCATTAAATTCCTTTTACTCTGCTGAAGTCAATCTCTTTGAGGGAAATTCTAGGTCTCAGGAGACAGAGCTTAGGTTTTCATGCCAGAGATGCCTGCCCTAGAGTCTCAGAGACACCTATTTACCCTCTTTCCTCATCTTTAAAATGAAGGTACAATACTTATTTCACAGCACTTTTACAAGCACCAAATGCAATAAACATCCTAACTATCTGGACTGCAAAACTGGCCCTCACTCAAGGCAAGAACTTAAATAATGTTGACATGGACAAGAGACAGGGAAATACTGGGTAGAAGGGCGGTTCTCCAGCAAAGGCCCCATCCTCAAGCCTGGAATCCCACAGCCCTGAATAAGAATAGGCATTCTTGTTTTCACACCCAAAAGTTGCCTTTTGGCCTGCCACACCCCCTTCCTGTACTCATATAAACCCCAGACCCCAGGCTCCCGAAGAAGATGAGGAGACAAACAGAAAAGCAAAAGACCAGCAGAATAGTGCGGCAGAGAGAAGAGAAGGAACGTTTGAATGTTGAGAGGAATTCAGCTGGGGGTGATAAGAGAGGGGATCGGCTGTGGGACAGCCAAACTCCAGGGGAAGATCATCTTCCTACTCCATCCCCCTTCCAGCTCCCCATCCATCCTGCTGAGAGCCACCTCCACCACTCAATAAAACCCCTACATTCATCCTTCAAGTCCATGTATGACCTAATTTTTTCTGGATGCCAGACAAGGACTTGGGTACCAAGAGGGTCCACTGAGCTGTCTAACACTTAAGCTGTCTGTGGACAGCAAGGCTAAAATAGCACACTGTAACCGGTCCCCACCTAGGCTTCAGGAGTCACAGACATGCACCCCTAGACACAACCATGGGGCCAGAGCCCAAAAAGAACTTGCCCTGGCTCCTGCACCTGCCCATCTGCATGCTCCTCCTCCCATAAGGGGTTTGAGCACATGGCGGCCACACACAAGCCACACCCCTGTCGCATGTGCTGCAAGGGGGGTCAGGGAACTCTCCCATTTCAATGATGACTTTGTTAAATGGTCCATAAGGGCTATCCCCCCACACCTCTACCACACCATGCCCCATCTGTTTTCTTCCAGGGAAGTCCACATACTTTCTATCACCCAGCTCTCTCTAATCATGTCACTCTTTCAATAATTATTACTATGTGCAGGGCACCATGTAGAGAATTTTAGAAAATACCACTCTGTATGGAACCTTTCTCTAAATAAGCAAGAGAGCAAACATACCCCTATGCCAGGCATCAACGAGGTGCTAGATGAGCTCCACAAACCCTGAGCTGTGTGAGCAGAATCAAGTTACCTCACAATCTCCTGAGACTGTGTCCATATACTTGCTTGGATTTTAACACTTCTTTTTTTGAGACAGGGTCTCGCTCTGTCTGCCAGGCTAGAGTGCAGTGGTGCCATCATAGCTTACTGCGGCCTTGACCCCTGGGTTCAGTGATCCTCTCACCTCAGCTTCCCAAGTAGCTGCGACCTTAGGCGTGCATCACCACTCCTAGCTAATTTTTGGATTTTTTGTAGAGATAGGGTCTCGCCATGTTGCCCAGGCTGATCATGAACTCCTGGGCTTAAGAGATCCACCTCCCTCGGCCTCCCAAAGTGCTGGCATTACAGGCTTCAGCCACTGTGCCTGGCCTCTATCTTTCTTTTAATATTATCTTTTCCAACATTACATTCTTATATCAGATCAAACCACAGAAATTATGAGAATAGATTTTCAAAACTGTAACAAATAAGCTATAAAATGTTCGATGTAAATGTAAAAAAATGTATTACAGTTGTGTTAAATCTGGGAGACTTACACTCTCTCCATAGAAATATGCAGCTCACGTTTCTTTAATTTCACTCTTCTATTCAAATTCCAGTCCTCACTGAGGCAGGGTTCTTGAAGAACCTTCTGCCTCAAACTGGAGTGCAATCTTTTCCTCCTATTATCACTTCATTAAAATCTAATGAGGTGAGGAGGGAAAAGGGGTCATGCGACAGCCTTTACAACTATTCCAAATACATTGTTGGAAGCAGTGCTTAAAAACAAGCATAAAGATAGGCTTGCAAAATAAAGTTATTGTCTAAACTTCTTTAAAGCAGTTAAAATTTGTGGTGAAATTTGAGTTTCATTCTTTGTATGTCACCTCATTTTCCTTCTGACTTCATCGAACTGCTCTAACAGAGGGCTCCAGTTTGTATCTGAATCAAACCCTCCACACTGTTGGTGTAGACCAGTTGGATTAGATCAACTGAAGTCCCATCTAGATAAAGTTGCCCTGAGAGACATGAAAGGGCTACACAGAGAAGTCAGGTAAATCCTGAATGGAGTCTTCTGTGTGGAATAAATTAACTACAAAAGGCCCCAAGTGGCTTCTCCTATCTTCCAAGAATTAATAACGTTTCATTGTTATTTGAATAAACTTATGAGATTTTTTTTTTAATGACAGAATAAATGTTGCATATACACTACATAATTCCTTCCATCCTGACAGGAAATGGCCTTCAGTTTTCTCTGGGGAACTGTGCAAACATCTGGATAATCTTGAAATCTTTTAATATGAAAAAAGTGGTAATTACCCCCAAACTTATTACTTCCCACATTTATTTCTTCTTTCTCGATGATTAGGAATTTATTTCTTTCTCAATGAGGATTTAAAGATTGCTTACCAAGGAATTAATTTGGCCATGTGTCCACAAAAGATATAGTTGTCAGCCTGGTCCCACGGAAATACGGAAATTCACAGAAAGTTAATTTTTATCATTTTTCTTTAAGGCAGCCAAATTTCCTAATTTTACAGATTTTTTTTTTAATTTGCCAATGTAGTTCCTTTGGTTTTGAATGTTGCACTGAAATTCCTTTTTAATGTAATGAGCAGTGTTATGCGGTTATTTATATTTAGCTCTACATTCTCATTCATCACAACCCTATGGAAGAATTTTGACAAGCAATGTACAAATGTGACATGGGTACGAAAGCATATATCTCAGAGGTCTGGAATCTCTGAATGAATTCCGTGCTCAGTATAGTGCGGTATAACTCTGGAGGAGGTTCCCAGGAAGGTTGCATGGGACACAAATGCCACCTTAACATTTCACCCCATATACTCTTTTGCTTCTCCAAAAGCACTGAGTCCTTTCCTCTGTTACACTTTTTCCTATCTTCCTTTCTCCTTCTATGTGTTTCTGAGTGGCTTTTTCTTATTCTTTTGCTCAATTCACTCTGTTTTGTAGTTTAGTTTGCAAAACGGTCATCTCAAATGCTTTTCTTTCTTCTAGTCCTCCCTTGCCACTCCTGCGTAATTCGTGTTTGCTTGGTCTCTTTATTTATAGTACACCTAGAGCTGTATTAATTCCTTATGTAGCCTGCATTTGAATTCCTTTATTTCCTTGTGTAAATTTTTGGTGTTCTATGCTGAATTACGAGGACCTTGAAGAGAAGAAAAGTTGAGTGGCCTGGTTGGTTGCTGAGCCACCAGGTTTCACTTTGTTAGGATGTATTTTTTTGAGCTTTGGCAAATCTAGTGATCTTGCTGGACTCCACATTCCTGATCTGAAATAATAATTTGTGGCTGGGCACAGTGGCTCACACCTGTAATCCCAGCACTTTGGGAGGCCGAGGCGGGCAGATCACGAGGTCAGAAGATTGAGACTATCCTGGCTAACACGGTGAAACCCCGTCTCTACTAAAAATACAAAAAATTAGCCGGGCGTGGTGGCGGGCGCCTACACTCTGGAGGCTGAGGCAGGAGAATGGCGTGAACCTGGGAGGCGGAGCTTGCAGTGAGCTGAGATTGCGCCACTACGCTCTAGCCCGGACGACAGAGCGAGACGCCGTCTCAAAAAAAAAAAAAAAAAAAAGAAAAAGAAAAAAAAATGATAATTTCTACGTTCTGTTAATGGGTTTCGGTATAGGGTAATTACTTATTCTTCCTAAAGTTTTTAAAATTGTAAAGTCTATTCTAATAGCATTTAGAATATGATTAGAATAATAAAATATTTAATGATGCCTACCATATGCCTGGCACCATGCCTTTGTGCTGGGGGCACAGAGATGAATTAAGAATTTCTTTTCTCAAGAACTTCAGTGAAAGAGAGGCTCATAGAGAAGGATACTTTCAAAAGACAATGGTAAAGACTTTACATAAGTTCATGTTTTAGCACAACTATATATTTTAAATGTTCTATATTGAAATAATGATAAGAAGAATTACCAATGTAATCTAGTGTTTCTGGATCCCGGCAGCATTGTCCAAATGCCTTTTAACAAAATATACCCACTTAATGCCAGTCATTAAATCTGTATTTTAAGAGTTTTTCCCAAATCTAGTAAAAATGCACTTTTGCTTCAATTGAATCCACATTTTAATCCTGTTTTAAATGGAAGTAGGAGAAGAGAAAATTAATATTTGTTGCATGTCTACCATGTGCCCAATACAATGCTAAATCTTTCAAAAGCATGATTTCCTTAAACACCCAGAACAAGTCTCCAAGGTAGGTATTATTACCCCTAATTTAAAGATATGGGAAATTAAAATGGTAGATCAGGTGATTTGTCCAAGGTCACCCAACCAGAAAATGTAAGTCAATATTCACACCCAGGTTTACTCACTCTAAAACTTATGCTGGCTGTGTTTTACTACATTTCTACCCCAAATGAAACCACAGAACTGGACTTCACATTGTCTTTTAAAGGTATACAGGACTGTGGTAGCCTCTGAACCTAACTGCTTAGTAAAACAGGCTACAGATGAGAAAAATAAAGCTTCGAGAGTTTAAATGATTTGCCAGAATTCATTCTGCTAGTTGATGTCAGAGATTGGAAAACGCACAATTCTTTCTCCAGGGCAAGTCCATGGTATGCCCTGCAACATTCTGTCTAAAAATAAAAATTTTTAAAAATGAGCTCCCTGCTTCAAGTAAATCTTTTTTTTTTTTTTTTTTTTTTTTTTTTTTTTTTTTTTTTGAGACAGAGTCTTGCTCTGTCACCCAGGCTGGAGTGCAGTGGCACGATCTCGGCTCACTGCAAGCTCCGCCTCCCGAGTTGAAGTGATTCTCCTGCCTCAGCCTCCTGAGCAGCTGGGATTACAGGCGCGCACCATCACGCCCAGCTAATTTTTGTATCTTTAGTAGAGACGGGGTTTCACCATGTTGGCCAGGCTGGTCTCAAACTCGTGACCTTGTGATCCACCCACCTCGGCTTCCCAAAGTGCTGGGATTACAGGCGTGAGCCACTGCGCCCGGCCTCAAGTAATTCTTAAACAGAAATGTGATGACCAAAAATATTATGGAAGCAGTTTTTAATGGATGGAAGTTTGGATTTGAAAACCTACCAGTGCTCTTCCATCTCTCTGATTCTTTGAGGCTGTAGAATGAAGATACTTTTCTGTTATTTTATCTTCAATTAAAAATAAATGAATAAGCTTGGGCAACATAGGAAGACCCCCATCTCTACAAAATGAAAATTTAAAAAAAGAAAAATTAGCTGGGCATGGTGGTGCCTGTAGTCCCAGCTACTCAGGAGTCTGAGGTGGGAGCATGGCTTGAGTCACGGTACTTGAGGTTGCAAGTGAGCCGTGATCTCACCACTGCACTCCAGCCTGGATGACAGAGTGATACCCCATCTCAAGTAAATAAGTAAGTTAAGTAAGCTGATCAGTAAATAAATTCATTTTCCTTTTCCCTCAAAATTTTTATCTTTGATAATTTTTAAAAGTCATTTTTCACATTCTAGGTTTTCTCAGAGTTAACTTTCTCTAACCTTGAAGCCGAATCCAGGGGCAGGAGCAGGAGTCAACTCTGAGAAGTAAGGACATTTCTCTCTCCATAGCTCGCTCTGGTTCTTACCCATCCACATCTCCTTCTAGCTCTCCTTCTCTTTCTTTCTCTCCTTCTCCCTTTGAGCCTCTTTCCATCCCCTTATCTAATTCACACATACACATTCCGAAACTGACACTTAAAATATCCCGTGTCTTGTGACCTTAGGCAATCTGTGGTTAAGTTTATTAAAATAACAACAACAAAGCTTTCCTAAGCTCAGCACTGATACGCCAGGCACTAGGTTTTTCCATACACTATCCCAATATCCAATTACTTCTTGTAGATTTGTCCTTTGTTTTATCCAATTGGTTTCTGAGCTATTTTCCCTCAAACAAATATCCCTTTAAGCCTTCAGTACAGAAATTGTATAAGAAAAGATTTTTCCCCTAATTAAAAAAAATTTTCTTTAATATATGTAGAATTGACAACATCAATTTTTAAATTATTAAATTACTATTTTAATCTTGTATCTTAAAGTGCAAATTGGGATCAAATTGAATGATTCCAGGGCCATTACTTTAATTTTTATCACCAGATTCCAGTATTATGGATGGAAGGAGGGGTGGATGTGAAATATTTTCTGATTTTTCATTTCTAAAAATAATTTTAAAATAACTGGCAATTAATGTGGCTAAAGTGGAAAAAGCTTTTACTTGAAGATAAGTTTTATTTTTCTAATTATCATAAGAATTCTGGTTCACCGTGAATCATTCAAACATTATAGACATGTGTTAAATAAAAGTAAAAGTTTCTATCCTGATATGCCCCCACTTCCCATTGCTCCGGGGTTATCACTGTTAATAGTTCAATTACTAGACTTGCAGACCTTTTTGCACATATACATATGTTTGCATACAAAAGAACAGGATCAACTATACCTAATATTCCACAATTTGTTTTTTTTCCACCCAACAATAGTTATGGAAATTTTTGTGTTACTGTATATAGATATTTCTCATTCATTTTAATGTCTACCTACTATCCCATCTCACGGATGTGCCATAATTTGACTACTCTCTGACAAACATTTAGTCTGTATCACAGATAGTGCTGCAGTAAAACAGCTTGTACATATATTATTATAACATGCTTACTTTCACTGTTTACCCAACATGTCAGACACATCCACAGTCTGAGACTAGAAAAATCCTTCGCTGTCTACTTCCAAGGTTAAGCTGTGGGGCTCACAGTGGGGCAGGTCCTACAGAGGCACAAAACACAGCATGGCTTTTCATTCAGGGGGCTACAGATGACTTCCAGGTCCTGAAGATCAATGGATCTTAATATATTCTCAACAAGGAGAGAGCCCATTTAGATGCAGGCTAGGATATACAGTTCTTGTTTATAAAGGGAGGGACACATGGGAGGAGAAAATGAATCTCTCAGAGGGTAGTGCCTGAAATGTAAGACACACCAAAGGGCATCTGAGGTAAGACTCAGAAGAAAAAGAAAACAAAAAAACCTTCTTACGCTTCCCAAGTGCTTACAGAAAGTGAAGGTCAAAGCTCAGATAAGTTTGATTAAGTTTTCTGGCTCTTTAGAAGTTACACACCCTCTAAATTGCTATAGTCATCCGTTGTCATGAGATCTTAGCAAGAGTCATCTACAAAAGTAGCCAACTTGCAATGCCACGTGCACTTAACACCTTGATCACTGACTGCATATATTTAATCTCCTAGAATTACTGCATTTCTACCGTATGTAGAAAATATCCCCTCAAAGTGTAATTTTTCTCACTTCTATACCATCTCTTTCTCTTTTTTTCTTTAGCAAAATAGTTTAGCTACAATTTTTGAGCAACTACAATGTGCCCAGCACTATGCTAAGTGTCTTTGAGACATTATCTCATGTAACTTCCACAATAGTGTTATGAAGTCAATGCTATTATTACCGCCATCATGAAGGCTCAATGAGATCACACTGCTAATAAGTGGCAGAGCCAGGGCTCAAATCCAGGCAGGCACACTCTAAAGCCTGTGTATCTCATCACTATGGGATATTGTTCATTTTATTCTGAAAGTTCATGGAATAAGTGTGCAGATTGGAGTGATGGAACTCTATTAATATGTGATAATGAGACTAGAACTACTCAACTTCCGTTGGCTTTTTAGTTGCCAGTTAATATAATCCTCAGATTGTCAAAAGCAGAATTTTGGCCAAAAGGCCCAAAAGGCCAAAGTAAGGGAGAATTAGCCCTTCAAAATATGTTTGAGATCTTTCCGAAAGTTCTTTAAAAATGCCGGATAAGACTGTTGACTCATATTTGAAGCCTTTGAGGAAATCTGGAGAACGAA
Source organism: Homo sapiens (assembly GCF_000001405.40). Taxonomy (NCBI): domain Eukaryota; kingdom Metazoa; phylum Chordata; class Mammalia; order Primates; family Hominidae; genus Homo; species Homo sapiens. Next base: position 148,822,375 of record NC_000004.12, on the reverse strand, counting down.
ATAAATCATGATAATAGAAAACAGAAAAATACAGGATTCAGGTTCAAAAAGGTGAAAAGGGTAAATTTTGCAAAATTTGGGTCTAGGCTTATTTAGCAAACATGAACAAGATTCCAGGACTGATTATTTACAGGATCTCTTGTTTGAAACAAAACAAAAATCTACACAGAACTACAGATTTCAAAAGGTGAAAATCTATTCTTTTTTCCTTTGTTTAATAAAGCAATCTATCTGGCCATTGCTGAAGTCCTGACTATCATTTTGCAGAAATGTATTTAGCAAAAGTTTTCATGGTAGAAACAACAAGAAAGAGAAATACAAGGTCAATGACATGCCATTTGGTAAAGGACTAATTAATCAATTCAACCATCAAACCTAAGCCTATTGGCTAATTGTCCAAATATGTACAAAATACGAGTCTCTAATGTCTCTAATAGCAAGCTGTAGCAAATGCAGTGGGTGGCAGAATAAGGAAGTAAACAGTTTATTACAGGATCTCCATGCCTAAGTCTAGAAAGATAAATTTTAATGTGTACAAAAAAAAAAATAAAACATATGAGACAGTTCATTTCCCCCAAGCAACTTTGGATAATATTTTCTAATGGCATGATTGAGCATTCCTCAAAATATTCAAAAAATGAGATAAGCAAAATCAAGTTCTACCAAGAAACTTAATTAAATAACTAACACTACATTAGGCATGTATAAAGCCTTAAGTAGATAGAGTACATAAAGACACAAAATAATTGGACAATCTCAAGCTGCATGATTGTCCAATGTTACCATGTCCAATGTTGTTTTATTTCTTTCCTAGGCTGGGAAAAGCTTTTATTACTTTTTAGCTCATGATTGCCTCTTTTTTTCTTTATTAACCCTACTTTACTCAAAACCTACTGCAAATGGTGACTTCTGCTCCCATGCAAAATTGCTAACCCTGACATTTATAGCACACCATGTGTATTGTCAACCTAACAGTCACATGCTTCTTTTTTATGTTGCCATGGCTCAAATTCATTCTGGGGTATGAATGGGAATTCATACTTTTCCATTCAACTCAAATAGACTCTGAAAGGTCACAATCATAAGGGTCTCATCTTCCTTGTCCACGATTGGCTTGGCGAAAGGGCACACAACCCAGTTTTGGCCATTAAGATATATATTCAGTTATTCATTCTACAAGTATTTACTGAGCACCTACTACACAGCAGGAACTAGGTGCTAGGGAAACTGCAGTGAACAAAACACAAGTGTCTCTGGAGCCCCAGATTGTAACTGTGGGAGAAATAAACTAATAGTAAACACAAATAGTGTTAAAGGAGTTCAGAGAAAATATTATTCATTTTTAATATTCTAAAAATAATGCCAAAGGAAGAAATTGTTATTTATCTTCCTCTGACATTGATGAATAGGACGTGATAGAGCTTCAGCAACATGGAGAGGAGATAGCCGGTCTGGCTAGGATGGAAGAAATGTACATGGAGAAGAAAGACAGAAGAACCATCACTGAGCACTAAACTAATCAGCCATAATGTGTAAGCCACTTTTATGAATTTTTTTCCTTCCTTCCTTCCCTCCTTCCTTCCTTTCTTCTTTCCCTCTTTCCTTTCTTCTTTCCTTCTTTGATACAAAGTCTTGCTCTGTTGCCCAGTCTGGAGTACAATGGTGTGATCACAGCTCATAGCTCACCGTAACCTTGAACTCCTAGGCTCAAGGGATCAATCCTCCAGCCTCAGCCTCCCAAGTAGCTAGGACTTATAGGTACGTGCTACCACACCAGCTAATTTTTTATTTTTTGTGTAGACTGGATCTCGCTATGTTGCCCAGGCTAGTCTTAAACTCCTGGGCTCAAGCGATCCTTCTGCTTCAGCCTCCTGAGTTGCTGAGGTTATAGCTGTGAACCATTGAGCCTGGCCCCTGAATTTTCCATTACTTTCTGTTGAGAGTACCCTCACTGATATGACATTGTATACAGGTTTGGTAGAAATATTTTCGGAGCAATTTATGTTATCTCTGATCACTTTTTACAGGCAGATTGACTGGCAAGCCTATCACCACCTTGATAACAGATGACATTAAAGAGAAAGGTAAATATATGCTGTTTTGCTAAGTTTGTGCAATGGCCAGAGAGGAAGAAAAAATATGTAGAATGAATGAACACAGACTACCAGCCCACTTAGATAGAAATATACATCCATTGTAAATATATTTCAGTATAGTTGTAAACAGCTATTGTTTGGCACTGAAAAAGTAGGTATTTGTCATCACAGAAGAATTAAGATTATTTTGAGGCTTTTCTTATCCATGTATATCCATGAATAATCACATATACATACATATATTTCAAAATTGTCTTCTATGAAAGATTTTATATATGTAATCCTGTGTGTATATAAATATAATATATATATATATAATATGTATTCTTAATCTTTAGAATATGATTTAGAAATTCTAATTTGGGGTCATAATTAAAAATATGTTTCATGATAAGAATACTAGAGGAGAGAGACATTCATTTTTTAATGCATATATAGAGATGGATAACATAGTCAACAAATATCCCCCAAAACTTGGTGAGAAGAAACTGTTATTTTCCAAAACTTTGATATGATGAGGCAAATAGAAAGCAAAATCCCTCATGGAGGCAGAAGAGGAGGAACTTAACAAATGCCTGTTGAATAAATGAATGAATGTTTGAGCATCTACAATTTTGCAATGAATGTTCAGTTTCTTTTTACACAAAAACATGGCCCTTTCAAAAAGTTACATTCCTGTTTATAAGAGACAAATCTCTCCCCACCCTCTCACTTTCATTCCTTCCCCTTCATTTCTCCCTCTCTTGCTTCCTTCCTTCCTGCCTTCCTACCTGCCTACCATTCTTCTCCAGCAAATATTGAGTGCCTTCTCTGGAGCTGGTATTGTATGCTGTATTATGAATAAGACAGATAAAAGAGGCTTTTTGCCCTTAAGAAACTTATTATACTCAAGAAAAGAAATGATACATTTAAATAAATTTATAAATACATTTAGTGTGTATTTGTCTGGTGAATATTATCTGGTAAACAGTGAATACTACTGTTTTAGTCGGTCAAAATGGCTATAACAATATATCATACACTGGGTGGTTTATAAACAACAGAAATTTATTTCTTATACTTATGGAGGATGGGAAGTCCAGGGTCAGGGTGTCAGCATCGTCAAGTTCTGGTGAGGACACTCTGCTGGGCTGCAGACTTTCCATTTGTTATTGGACCCTAACATGACAGAAAGAGAATGAGAGCACTCTGGGATCCCTTTTATTTTTTTATTTTTTATTTTATTATTATTATTTTTATGATACTTTAAGTTCTAGGGTACATGTGCACAACGTGCAGGTTTGTTGCATATGTATACATGTGCCTTGTTGGTGTGCTGCACCCATTAACTCGTCATTTACACTAGGTATATCACCTAATGCTATCCCTCTCACCTCCCCCCACCGCATTACAGGCCCCGGTGTGTGATGTTCCCCTTCCTGTGTGCAAGTGTTCTCATTGTTCAATTCCGACCTATGATTGAGAACATGTGGTGTTTGGTTTTCTCTCCTTGTGATAGTTTGCTCAGAATGATGGTTTCTAGCTTCATCCATGTCCCTACAAAAGATATGAACTCATCATTTTTTATGGCTGCATAGTATTCCATGGTGTATATGTGCCACATTTTCTTAATCCAGTCTATCATTGATGGACATTTGGGTTGGTTCCAAGTCTTTCCTATTGTGAATAGTGCCACAATAAATGTATGTGTGCATGTGTCTTTATAGCAGCATGATTTATAATCCTTTGGGTATATACTCAGTAATGGGATGGCTGGGTCAAATGGTATTTCTGGTTCTACATCCTTGAAGAATCGCCACACTGTCTTCCACAATGGTCGAACTAGTTTACAGTCCCACCAACAGTGTAAAAGTGTTCCTATTTCTCCACATCCTCTCCAGCACCTGCTGTTTCCTGACTTTTTAATGATCGCCATTCTAACTGGTGTGAGATGGTATCTCATTGTGGTTTTGATTTGCATTTCTCTGATGGCCAGTGATGATGAGTATTTTTTCATGTGTCTGTTGGCTGCACAAATGTCTTATTTTGAGTAGTGTCTGTTCATATCCTTCGCCCAATTTTTGATGGGTTGTTTGATTTTTTCTTGTAAATTTCTTTAAGTTCTTTGTAGATTCTGGATATTAGCCCTTTGTCAGATGGGTAGATTGCAAAAATTTTCTCCCATTCTGTAGGTTGTCTGTTCACCCTGATGGTAGTTTCTTTTGCTGTGCAGAAGCTCTTTAGTTTAATGAGGTCCCATTTCTCAATTTTGGCTTTTGTTGCCATTGCTTTTGGTGTTTTAGACATGAAGCCCTTGTCCATGCCTATGTCCGGAATGGTATTGCCTAGGTTTTCTTCTAGGGTTTTTATGGTTTTAGGTCTAACATGTAAGTCTTTAATCCATCTTGAATTAATTTTTGTATAAGGTGTAAGGAAGGGATCCAGTTTCAGCTTTCTACATACGGCTAGCCAGTTTTCCCAGCACCATTTATTAAATAGGGAATCCTTTCCCCATTTCTTGTTTTTGTCAGGTTTGTCAAAGATCAGATGGTTGTAAATGTGTGGCGTTATTTCTGAGGCCTCTGTTCTGTTCCATTTGTCTGTCTCTCTGTTTTGGTACCAGTACCATGCTGTTTTGGTTACTGTAGCCTTGTAGTATAGTTTGAAGACAGGTAGCGTGATGCCTCCAGCTTTGTTCTTTCTGCTTAGGATTGTCTTGGCAATGCAGGCTCTTTTTTTGGTTCCATATGAACTTTAGAGTAGTTTTTTCCAATTCTGTGCAGAAAGTCATTGGTAGTTTGATGGGGATGGCATTGAATCTATAAATTACCTTGGGCAGTATGGCCATTTTCATGATATTGATTCTTCCTATCCATGAGCATGGAATGTTCTTTCATTTGTTTGTGTCCTCTTTTATTTCATTGAGCAGTGGTTTGTAATTCTCCTTGAAAAGGTCCTTCACATCCCTTGTAAGTTGGATTCCTAGGTATTTTATTCTCTTTGAAGCAATTGTGAATGGGAGTTCATTCATGATTTGGCTCTCTGTTTGTCTGTTACTGGTTTGGAGGAATGCTTGTGATTTTTGCACAACTGATTTTGTATCCTGAGACTTTGCTAAAGTTGCTTATCAGCTTAAGGAGATTTTGGGCCGAGACAATGGGGTTTTCTAAATATGCAATCATGTCATCTGCATACAGGGACAATTTGACTTCCTCCTTTTCTAATTGAATACCCTTTTTTTTTTCTCTTGCCTGACAGCCCTGGCCAGAACTTCCAACATTAAGTTGAATAGGAGTGGTGAGAGAGGGCATCCCTGTCTTGTGCCAGTTCTCAAAGGGAATGCTTCCAGTTTTTGTCCATTCAGTATGATATTGGCTGTGGGTTTGTCATAAATAGCTCTTATTATTTTGAGATACGTCCCATCAATACCTAGTTTATTGAGAGTTTTTAGCATGAAGCGTTGTTGAATTTTGTCAAAGGCCTTTTCTGCATCTATTGAGATAATCATGTGTTTTTTGTCTTTGGTTCTGTTTCTATGGTGGATTAAGTTTATTGATGTGTGTATGTTGAACCAGCCTTGCATCCCAGGGATGAAGCCAACTTGATCATGGTGGATAAGCTTTTTGATGTGCTGCTGGATTTGGTTTGCCAATATTTCATTGAGGATTTTTGTGTCGATGTTCATCAGGGATATTGGCCTAAATTCTCTTTTTTTGTTGTGTCTCAACCAGGCTTTGGTATCAGGATGATGCTGGCCTCATAAAATGAGTTAGGGAGGATTCCCTCTTTTTCTATTGATTGGAATAGTTTCAGAAGGAATGGTACCAGCTCCTCTTTGTACCTCTGGGAGAATTTGGCTGTGAATCTGTCTGGTCATGGGCTTTTTTCGGTTAGTGGGCTCTTAATTATTGCCTCAATTTCAGAGCCTATTATTGGTCTATTCAGGGGTTCAACTTCTTCCTGATTTAGCCGTGGGAGGGTGTATGTGTCCAGGAATTTATCCATTTCTTCTAGATTTTCTAGTTTATTTGCATAGAGGTGTTTATATTATTCTCTGATGGTAGTTTGTATCTCTGTGGAATTGGTGGTGATATCCCCTTTATCATTTTTTATTCCATCTATTTGATTCTTCTCTCTTCTTTATTAGTCTTATTAGTGGTCTATCAATTTTTTTGATCTTTTCAAAAAACCAGCTCCTGGATTCATTGATTTTTTTGGAGGGTTTTTTTGTGTCTCTATCTCCTTCAGTTCTGCTCTGATCTTAGTTATGTCTTGCCTTCTGCTAGCTTTTGAATGTGTTTGCTCTTGATTCTCTAGTTCTTTTAATTGTGATGTTAGGGTGTCAATTTTAGATGTTTCCTGCTTTCTCTTGTGGGCATTTAGTGCTATAAATTTCCCGCTACACACTGCTTTAAATGTGTCCCAGAGATTCTGGTATATTGTGTCTTTGTGTAAAAGAACAGAAATTATAACAAACTATCTCTCAGACCACAGTGCAATTAAACTAGAACTCAGGATTAAGATGCTCACTCAAAACCACTCAACTACATGGAAACTGAACAACCTGCTCCTGAATAACTACTGGGTACATAATGAAATGAAGACAGAAATAAAGATGTTCTTTGAAACCAGTGAGAACAAAGACACAACATACCAGAATCTCTGGGGTCCCTTTTAAAAGGCCACTAATCCCATTCTTGAGTATTCCATTATCATGACCTAATCACCTCCCAAAGACCCCTCCACCTAATACCATCCCATTGGAAATTAGAATTACAGCATATGAATTTGGTGGGTGACACAGACATTCAGACCGTAACAGCTACCGAAATCCAAAGTGGGGAGAGAGAAAGCTATGAGAAGAGTACATCTGAAGATACTTGGAAAAAGTGGTTTCTTTGGTGGATTCAATAAGGTAATGAGTATATGTAAAGGGAAAGGAAGATCATGAAGGCTGGGTAAAATGTAAAACAAAAGCATACATGTACAGATGTATGCAGGGTACTCTGGGGGCAGTGAATAGCTTGCTTTGTTGATGGTACATGTTTCTTATAGAAGAGTCATGAGAACTAAGTTTGAAAGGGCAGAGTGGGGTCATATAATAGAAGTCTTTAGGGATCAGGCTAATATTTGGTCTAAAGGTGAACACAGTTGGAAGCCTATTTAAGCAAGGCAATACAATAAGTAAAGGAGCTTAAGAAGAATTGTCTGTCACTGATGTAGCAAATGGAAAACTTTTTTCACTTACTGGACTGTGATGTTTGAGTTGAAATTAGGCTTCAAAAGAAAGGTGAACAATTGTGTTCTCACACGAAAAGTGGGAAGAATAGGGTGAATATGTATACAGTTTACCGAATCTGAGACCCCCATAATAATGATGAATAGTAATATGAAAATTTGTAACTGTTCAAGTTTGATTAAAGCATAGATAAGAGTCGAAAATAATTTAAGCAACAGAATCACCCAACCTATGTTTACTTCAAAACAAGTAAAGCTTTGAATTTCAAAACCATAGCCAAAATGTTAGTTTAAAAATGCAGCCTATTTAACTCATCCATCACATTCAATTATTTCAAAATATAATATTTTAAATGTTAATTTTGATGATAAAAATCCCATTTAATGAATTGAGCTGTCTCCTAGAAAATCTTTTATTAAGCCAATCACATTCTATAACTATCAGAAAGACTTGGGAATGCTAATAAGAAAAGGAATGTTTTAATGAAATGAAACATCCTAACACAAAGCTACCCAGATTGAGCTACTTAAGAGTCTCAATGGAGAAATGCTAAATGTTATCAAAGGTCTCTCCAAAGCCAGAGCCCTAAGGGCATAACAAACTCCTCCAAGAATTATGTTCTAAATTAGCTAGTGTTCCCCTAGATTGGTTATTAAAACCTTATAACCATATCTTGGAATTAAAAACCATTCATATTACACACTCTGTCAATATTTTATGCATTATATTAAGAAGGAGGAACTTCTAAAATTTAAATTCCTCATTGGCTCTGTCTCCAAAAACACCACTTGGGAAAGTATGACTCAGATTCTCACCTGGCAGGTAGAATACAAAATGTTCTCTTTTCACTCACGCAGACAGCCTGGACTCATGCCAGGAAGATTCTCTCTGGCTAATGTGTGAACATTCATTGATAATATTTTAAACACACACCTTTGTATTAAGAGATGATTGATTTTTTTCTTCTAGATTTAGTGAAAATGGTACTTACTTAGGTTAATCTTACTTAAATGACTTCCTTCAACTTGAAAACTTTGATGTGAAAGTTGTCTGAACTGCCAATGATTGCATCCCAAAGGAAAGCTAAAGATGAAAAATAATGACACATGGAATATTCCAAAGGTAAAAGAGCCTGCCTATTATTGAAAAGAACTCTCAAGGGAATTTATTAATATTCTTCTGAACGCTCCCCTCAAAGTGTTTAATTATTACACACATGTGAATTGAAAGAATGATGATGCTTTTTTCTTTTTACACCCTGTCCCCTCTCCCCTCTGAAGTGGTTACACCAGAGTCAAGGAGAGTACTATTCACCTAGCATTAGCAATTAATGCAGCTATAATAAAAGGCTAGCTTAAGCCTACAAAACAATCTGCTGTAGAAGGAGGGGATGAGAGAGAGGTTGGGAACCTTTTTTTGGTCTGGCCATGACAATCACAAATTGTGAGTGTGCATGAAAGTATGTTGTGTACTGTCTCTGCTGGTGGAGATTCTTCTCCATTTCCCCTTTCCTCCAACATAAATGGGTTTATGTGAGCTCATCATCCAATTCTAGAGTATGATTTCAAGCTCAGTCATCAATGCTAGACTTCAAAGTTTAGAACTACCTGAAACTGAATGTATTAACTCAAAAATAGATGTGGCATATATTACAGGACAAAATGAGATGATGATTTTGTACAGGGACTTCACCAAATATTTTGTTTTCAATAGCCATTGACTTTTTTAAGAGTGGTTATGTCATTATTTTGTTCATTGTTGTAATGGAACTTTACAAGTACCAGTTGGTCTCAAGGGACTCTTTAGGTGCTGTGAAATTAAGAGCAAGTTCCAAAAAGAAAAATTTTCAGATAGAAGTTGAGAAGTTCAGATAGAAGTCATTTACCCATTAATAGAGAGATGAAAGTTAATTCAATTTTTTTTTCTTGACTTGTTTTGACTTCTTTAACACTGTGGGAGATTCCTCATAAGCTTAGACAAGCATGGCTCTCAGCAATGCTACCCAAAAGATTAGTGATATCCACAATGCTCTAAGAAAGGAATTTCACGCCACTGAAGTTTCAATCTCTATACTTGCATGTCGTGTGTAATAAGGAGCATCATAGTATTCTGTGCATCAGATACGTGTGAGATGGCTGAAGAAAGCGAATAAGACCACTGCGGCAGTTATGAAGCTAGAAATAGAAGAAAGAAGATAAAACTTTCCAGAAGAGTATAGGCACATATAATTCCTTCAAAAAACAGCCAACTATTAAATCAGAGAATAAAATAAATATTCTGTTAAATTAAAATGTGTATAGCTTTTTTAAACAATCAACAGCTGACACACACTGAATCCTTTATTTGGGAAGCATCAGAAAAAAAAATATGTCCTGGTAATATCTATTCCAACAAACCACTTCAGCTTTTCACCCTCCTGAGGTATTATAATTATTCCCTGTACACATTGCCTTTAGCCTGTCAAGAAAAAGTGTCTAATATCCTCATTTTAAAAGATTTACGTCATTGCTCTTGCTCCCCAGGATGCTGTCATTTTCATGCATCCATTGTTAAGTGAACACTGTGCCCTCATTTTCCTTTTCAAAGGAAGACTGAACCGGCATTATTAGTATTTTAAATCTATTTTTTGAAAGGGAAAAAGATACCAAAAATCAACCAAATATTTCCCTGTGTTATTAAAAATCACTAGGTCGTCTTTAAATTTCCTGCCTTTATATGCTTCTTTCATGTAAGAAACTTGAGACATATTTTCACTTGGCTTTTACCCAAAGAGAACTTGAGTTGGCTCAAACTTGAACAGGCGAACTGTGGTTTCTTAAAAAAAAAATCTTTTTTCTAACACTTTTTAAAAAAGCATTAATTCAACTTACTATTAAAAAAAACAGGTGAAAGTAGTATGTGGCTTTCTTTACCTTATACATAGAAAAGGACTAAGACTAAAAAATTTATTCACAATCACACAAGCAGCCTAAGTGAATTAATAAAATCAAAAGATATTCTGAGTTGAATAAAAAATGGTCACGAGAAATGTGAAACCAAAAGATGAATTTATATGGCAGACAAGTTGATTTCATCCAGTTTGCCACAAACAATTTGGTGTTAGCCAGTTGTCATACAAATGGGTACTTCAAGACACCAGGAGCCTCTGAGTGAGAATGATGATGACTTAAAAACTCTTCAATATCACTGGGAAAACTCGAAGCACACATCTTACTAGGTCATTAGTTTTAACTATACATGGAGGTTTCTACTCAACATCACCTATGAAAGATTCAAGATCACTGATCCAATTATCTTTTTGATTCAACAACATATTCTTCATTGGAAACCACACCTAATAAAAAATACATGTTTTGTTAGACTTGATATAACCAGTTATTTAAATGCAAATTCCATTTATTTCTATATGCCACATATACAAAGGAGTTTCTAATATTAGCTAACAGAGGATAAACAATAAACATAACAGTTAATTTGCTCTAAAATTGCTGTAGCTTAAGTCTGTGGTTTAACTTATTGAGACAACTTTTATTTTTGTTATTCTCAGTATTCCCTTTGGGAGCTAGCTAAGAAACATGCAGCTTTTTCAATCTTGTATTTATAAATAAAGGGTTTTGTTACCAAGTATTAAATATATTCCTATTCAAATCTGCTTTAAAAATATGTTTAAAAATAGATCTCCTGAAAGAAAAATCACCTTTCTAAAACATATTACATATTCATAGTATATGACTTTTTTGTATGTTCAGACAGAAATTCCTGCCTAGAGGATATGTTCTCTAAAATTCAATATGAGACAGTGTTGGGTAATGAAAACAGGCACTGGATTCACCCTGAAAACAGGCACTGGATTCACCCAAACCTGGGTTTGAACCCTAGCTTTGTCACTTATTACTGCTGTGACTTTTGGCAATTTAACCTTCTTCAGTCTCATCATATAAAAATGAAGATAATAATCTCTATCTTGTCAGGTTCTTGTGAACATTACTATAGCACCTATTACAAGGTTTGGTCATAGGCAGTGCAGCATAGCAATTAAGAGCACAAAGTCTAGAGCCTGACTGCCTGGGTTCAAACCTCAGCGTTGTAATGTATAAGTTTTCACCTTGGGCAAGTTACCTAAATTCTCTTTGCTTTTGTTTCCCCATTTGTTAAATGGGAAAAAATATAGTATCTACCTCATAGAGCTACTATAAGGAATGTTGAATAGTAGTACATGTTGATTATTAAATAATAGACTTGGCATAGAATACATACAATGCAAATATTAGGTGCAATTATATAACAGTCTAACAAATAATAGCTATTCTGATGATGCTGCTGCAGAAGAGGTAGAATGTGACCATGAGAAACTCATCAAATGGCTCCATTCCAAAAGAGCAAGGATGACAGGAAACAACTGCATTGCTATGACAACATCGAAAATAGCTTTCTCCATTACAGTTATCTCTAGTCTCCAGAACCTGAAGAATGTTTTCAAAGCAGTCATAATTCTGCACATGCTTTGAAATTGCCCCTTTCCTATAACCAATGGCCAAATAGAAAATTTTGAAACTTCTTGATTCCTTATTCAGACTATATCTTAACCTTTTAATACCGTTCTTTGTTAATTTCTACACTTGATCTCAGCCAAAAGGCCGAGATGTGATCTTTGTTCATTTCTTTATTTTTGCTTATTCATTTCTTTATTTTTCCTGCATACATCCTTCTCCCCAATCAGATTATCGGTTTCTTGGATGGCAAGGATTTGGTAACTTCATTTGTTCCAAGCCATGAAAAGTGTTGTTAAATATATACGTTATCAAATCTAGACACTTAATAACCTTATGGCTAATATTTTGTATTCCTGTATGAGACACATACTTTTATGACTAATATCAATATGGAATAAATCAATGCTTTATCTAGTGCTTTAATTCAATTTTATGGGAGTTAGCCTGGAGGATATTTTAATCATCTGTGCTTAAACTTTGCTTGGCTTTTACACAAATAATATTAAGCACTATAACTATTCCCAAATTATAAAAAGCTGTAGTCTTCTTGTACAGCCAGAAATTCACATAAAACATCAGGAACTTTTACTTAATTTTACAACTAAGATATACAAGATAGATAAGATACTGTTGTTTCAGTATTAACTAGAAAATAGAAATAATGAATAATTTTTTATCAAAGATAAATTTCTTCTAGTATATCTTTGATAAGTGTTTCATTCACTTTTTATTTGTTTTCTTCTTCAGGGTTTATCTGTTAGCTGAAGGATGGCTCTTTTATTTATCGTTTTGATCTTATCATTTTCATTTTTTTGCATAAGAATATACATTTGGGGAACTTTTCCCAATTTCCTTTACATCACTGATTTGACTTTCTCAGCATCAATTCTGCATTTACTTGACTACAAATTGGGTTTTAATTTAGTTATTACATTGTAATAACCTGTTTAATGTTTTATTTCTCTGCACATGTTGCCATGAACTGAACACGTTGATTTTTAGAATTCAAAATACTAATATGATTTGTAGCTCTTTAAAAAGTGATTTTATCTAATTTAGCCTTACAACAGCCTCTCAGGTTATTGAACTAATCATTATTATCTTCATTTTAAAGAAGAAAAGAATCTTAGGTAAATAACTGGCTGGCTACAAAGATACAAGTTGCATAGGTCATCTCTATATCTCTAAGCAGCTGCTATTGTAGTTCCCCATCAATAGCCTGGTGTGTCTTAGAAAGTCTCTGGGAGAGTATCAGTGGCATAGTAGACATTTTTTTCTGATTGGCACACCCAATGGTGAATTTTCTTTCCCATTTGCATAATTCAAATCAAAGAAATTATAAAACAATTTTACATTTGATACTAATTATTAACAATTTCACATTAATAATTAAAAGATAGACTATATTATAGTGTGTTTCAAGAGGGTGTCAGGGTCTTTGTTGAATATAGAGACTTATAAATCATCATTTAAAATGTACTTTACCTAGTTGCTGCAGAGCTCTTATCACATTTGTATGTATGTAATTATTTTTTGTAATAATTTAAATAAGCTGTGTTCTCTCCATTAGATTATAAATAACATGAGTACAGGGACCAGATCTGTCATGTTTATTTCTATTACCAGAACCTGATGGTATAGTGTCTGACATTTAATACATAATTGTTTAGTGAATTAATCAATTAACAGATTCAAGAGATTCAAGCAATTTAGGGTTGAAATTCAATCTCTAGGTCCATCTTTATATTTTCCAGGTCAGCCCACGAATTTTGTATTTTGACCCTTTTGCTCATTTTGCCTCAATTTGTTTTGAAGGAGAATGATTTATTTTGTCTTTTTTTTTAAGCTACTTGTTATATTGTGTTAGCCTACATTGTCTTTTTCATCCCCTTGGCCCTTCTTCAAGTTACTGCTTCATGTCACAAAGTAGTCCTCATTTCAGGTTGTGGTGACCACAGAATCTACAGAAGGAGAACAGTCAGAAGGCAAAGCCTCCAGGAATGTGATGACCAAATATAAGCACAGGACCTTCTGGTGTAACCAGAAGTGGGGGAAACAAAGGCATGAGAGAGAACTACTGACTATAAATTTTTACTCTCATATTCCTGCAAGAGTTTTTTGGGAAACACTGTCAAAGCTTTACTATATTGAAAAAGTAGTTGTATTATTATAAAAAGTCAATGATTAGTTTAAAAACAAAAGTGAGCATAATTTCCTAAAACCCCAAAATGAAAAAGGCATTAAAGAGGAATAATAAAAGCATATTCGATAATGGAATTATTTTCCTCACGCCCTCTTCACCAAAAGGTAATTGAAGCATCAACGAAAGTACATGTAAAGGGGCTGAGAGACATTTATAAATATATCAAGAGGGACAATCCCACCAAATTATATGTAATATGCTAGAGGACCCTTTCTCTAGCTATTAGCTCCAATTTTGTAACCCTTCAGAAGGAAAACTGAACCACAAGAGAAATTCCAATTTATATACTTTGAGCCTAAGGCATATTCAAGCCCTAGTGATCAATTGGAATGGCTTTATAAAGCTAAGATAATCTACTGATGTCAGTTGGGGCTTTCTCATCATCCTGCATTTTTCCTCCATCAAAGGAAAAGAAAGAAAAGTGCCTGAATGGGATACGGCTCTACCAAAAAAACATCTAACACATAGGAAATGCTATTTCCCCTTGACACACTGTCATTATCCAACAAAAGACCAACTGAAGAGACAGGTGTTTCCTGAGGAATAGGATAGAACAGTGAGGGGCATTCTCCGAGATTTGAATGGGAGTAGGACTTTACCTAAAGGTCTGTGCTGACCTTTTCTTTATTTATTTCTCTCTATCTCTCTCTTCCTTCCTTCCTTCCTTCCTTCCTTCATTCCTTCCTTCCACCCTCCTTCCCCTTCCCCTTCCTTCCTTTCCTTCCTTCCTTTCTTTTTCTTCCTTTCTTTTTCTTTCTTTCTTTCTTTCCTTCTTTCTTTCTTTTCTTTCTTTCTTTTTTTCTTTCTCTCTCTCCCCTTCCTTCCTTCTTTTCTCTTTCTCTCTCTTCCTTCCCTTCTTCCTTTTTTGTTCTCTCTCTCTTTTCTTTTCTGTTCTTTCCTTTTCTTTCTCTTGAAGAGAACCTTAAAGAGTGGTATTCCTTCAAATCTTCCCTGTCTTTGATTCAATCAAGGTAAGAATTCAACTTTAATCTCTCTTTTTTTTAATTGAGACAAAGTCTTGCTCTGTTGTCCAGGCTGCAGTGCAGTGGTGAGATCTTGGTTCACTGCAACCTCCGCCTGTTGGGTTCAAGTGATCCTCCTCCCACCTCCACCTCCCAAGCAGCTGGGACCACAGGCATGTGCCACCAAGCCTGGCTAATTTTTGTATTTTTTTGTAGGGTCTGGGTTTTGCCATGTTGCCCAGGCTGGTCTCAAACTCCTGAGCTCAAATGATCTGTCCACCCTGACCTCCTAAAGTCCTGGGATTACAAGAGTGAGTCACCACACCTGGTGGAAGATGAAACTCATATGAAGAAGACACTCCATGAAGTGTCAGATACATATCTGGAGAATAGGGACAGATAAGCCTCTTAAGTGTTTTTTGTTTTATATATAAATATGCTTTACATCAATGCCAGTTGCAGTCAGCCAAGAATAAGAGCAAACCTGGTCTTCTTCAGTGGTCAGAATTTGAGTGACATCAGCATTCTTATGGGCAGGGAATTAAACTGCAATTATGGCGTGCTGAGGAACATGAGTTTGTTTTCAAAAAATCATGCTGAATTAACGTACTTGTTTCTGTTGAGCTTTTTAAGCTAGAACTTGATTTTTCCCTCCACCCTTCTGGTCCAAGCCTTTCTGCATGGAAAAAGGGGGGAAAGAACCTCTTCTTTCTAATCAAATACTGAGCAGAGGACACTCCACATTTCGGGAACAGGCCCCCAAATCTGGCCATAAACTGGCCCCAAAACTGTCCATAAACAAAATCTCTGCAGCACTGTGACATGTTCATGATGGCCATGATGCCCATGCTGAAGGTTGTGGGTTTACCGGAATAAGGGCAAGGAACACCTGGCCCACCCAGGGTGGAAAACTGCTTAAAGGCATTCCTAAACCACAAACAATAGCATGAGCAATCTGTGCCTTAAGGACATGTTCCTGCTGTAGATAACTAGCCAGAGTCCATCCCTTTGCTTCGGCCCATCTCTTTGTTTCCTGTAAGGAATACTTTTAGTTAATCTATAATCTATAGAAACAATGCTTATCACTGGCTTGCTATCAATAAATATGCGGGTAAATCTCTGTTCGGGGCTCTCAGCTCTGAAGGCTGTGAGTCCCCTGATTTCCCACTCCACACTCTATATTTCTGTGTGTGTGTCTTTAATTCCTCTAGAGCTGCTGGGTTAGGGTATCCACAACCGTGCTGGTCTCAGCACCATATTCCTACTTAGAGCATCCAGGCCGTCCCAGCATTTGGGTGGAAAATCAAAAAGCAGAGTCAAGCAGGTGCTGAAATAGCAGACACAAGGCTGGTGAAAAGCTACGTCCTTCTTCCTGATAAACCCTTCCCTCCAAAGTTGACTTTTCTGGGCAGGGCCCAGAAAACCATGCAGCAAGACATTTCTCTCTTTGAAAATATTTCATTAACCAATTAAACAGGCATAAAGAGAAGCAAAATGTGTGACAATTTTCAAACCAATCTGATCCTTTTGGACTTGAAAATAGTTATTTTCTTTCAGTGTTTAAAGTTATTAAAAATTATAAACCCTTGTGAAGTTTTTGATATAAATCAGTGGTTTTAGTATTGAAAACAACTTTCTTATTTGGAGCTTTGAAAAGTGGCTCAATATGTTTTCTATAATAACTTTACCACTTTCCAAGGCATAGATTTAATATTATACAACTGTCACTATCCAAGACAAATTGAGCTCTTAGAGTAAAACTATGATAATTATAGTATATTCCCATAATGGCATGGAGAAAAATCCAAACTGATATGGATTTTGTTAATCTGATGATTACTGACACATGGGTTGATGTTACCTTTGCACTATCTCTTGAAAAGAGGGCTAAGCACATTACTATAGGATGGGCAAACCCATAAGGAGATTGTTTACCTAAGTATACTCATTTACATACAAATTATATAATTGCAACACATAAGCAGGCAGTTCTGATATATTACTTCCAAATCATTTGTCTTTTTAAGCTTTTCTTAGACAACACTTGGTTAGCATACTGTTAGTAATTGTGAGAACTTCAATAACTTAATTTCTTGGTGGGAAAAATATTCAGATGATGTTTTTTTCTTGACACTTGGATCCAAGAGACTCAGTTTAAATTCTTGGGCAAGTACATTTATGGATTTCACTTTCATCATCTGAAAATAAAATAATCATACTTTTGTTACAGTATCAATGTGAGGATTAAATGGGATGAAAAATAAAACATCTGTCGGAGTGCCTGGAATATGGTAGGTTCCAAATAAAACCTTTTTGAATCTGAGTGTAAACTTTTAACAAAATCTGATTTTCTTTTTCCCAAATATTGTAATTACCAAGGATTTTTTTCTAGAAAATTTATGTCCATATTTCCTTTAAGGGTTCCTTTAGAAACATTCCCTTACTTTCAATGTCTATTTTTAAAAATTATATAGCTCTCTATTAAAATATTAGGCTGGGCATGGTGGTTCATGCCTGTAATCACAACACTTTGGGAGGCTGAGGTGGAAGAATTGCCTGAGCCCAGAGGTCCAAGGTTACAGTGAGCTATGATTGCACCTCTGCACTCCAGCCTGGGTGACACAGTGAGACCCTGTCTCTAAGATATATGAATTTTTAATATACAGGGATTTTTTTGTTACTGTAAGATTCTGTAACCATGGGGATTTAAGGTTGCATACTCTACCCCATTACCTATATATTCACAATCCAGAAAATTGAAGTTCAAGAGCATGCTGGCTTTGGGATTCCTAGGGAGGGAGGAAGAGCAATGAAAAGGTGGAAGAGAATTCATTCCAGATGTCCACAAATTCCAAATACTACCCACGATGGCCTTTGTAGAAATGTCTTTCTTTCACTTGGTAGTGAACAGCTTTTTCAATATGAACTATTAAATGTAGAATTCTTGCCAGCTTTAGTTTCACCAAATTAAGAATGTTCCTTTCACAGAGGTATGCTTCTAAATCTTGGTTAACATAAAGATAGTACTTTGGTCAGTGACAGGGACTTTTAATTACTATAATCAATGTCTGTAGATTATAAATTTCTAAACCATAGAATATTAGGGTTTTAAAAAATGGGAAAACATCAACACAACATTCTCATTTGTCAGAATGAGGAAATGGAGACCTAGAATAATTTACCACCTTGTCAGATATCTAATGGCACTTTCAATTCTAACATTTATGTCTATTGACTAGTTTCTAAGGATCATTTTAACTGCACCATTCTCCCATAAATGTGGTTACTTGAAAAGTTAGCTCTACTCTCTGTACTATACCCTTACAAATAACTACATGAAAAATAGGGCTTTGTCCTTTTATCAAAATGACACCATTAAATAATTAAATGGGATTCTGGTTTTATACATGATCACAGAGACAAGTGAAACCAAAAAGAAAATAGAGAAACAGTAAGAAATACTTAGAGCCAGGATGAAGAAAACCTAGTTTGCATGGATGTTATGTTTTAGTGTAAGATAAAAACTTGAATCTATAGTAGAGAAGGTCACTCCTCATAGTCACCCTGGGAATGCGGAAAGGGAAGAGTGAAAGTGGTGTTTGGTGGAAAACGTAAAAACAACCCCCTTTCCTACTAACAAACAAAACAGCTCAGATCTCTTTTCATGTTTGCCTGCTTGGGAATATTTCAGCTACTTACTCTGAATCTGGTATACCTAGCCAATGTCCACACTACAAATTGAGAGTCAGAAATAAAATCTCTGAAGAAAACAAAATATTTAAAAGAACCTGTAGAGGATGCAGCTGGCTGACCAGCACACACACCAAACCCATCATCTCCTTCAACTTGTTTTCAGAGAGTTGGAAAAACTTCAATATTCAGGAAGGCATCTAAGTTCTCTTGGCTTAAGCCAAGAAGTAACAAAGAAGAGAGGTACTGTTCCTGTTTTAATTTTAAAATACAGCTAGGACACAGCTCAGGAGCCCATTTTGGAAAGCCATAATATATAACCCAAGGCTCCTACTAAGATGGATTACCCTGGTGTTGTTTGATATCTCTTCAATGTCACATTATCATTCCAAACTTAAGTGGCCCTTCAGACTTGCTTCTATACCTACCAAGCTATCATGCCTAATCTTCAATTGTTTCCACAAACCCCCTTGAAAATATTCTCCTTAGAAGACCAAATATCTCTGTAAAGCTTTAGAAGTGAATCCTGCCAATTACTTTCTGTTTGTGTGGTCTGCTGGGAGTAAATTTCATATTGGGTTACCATCTATGAGATTTGAGAGTAATGGGGTGGAGGGATGTACTAAAACACACCACTGTTTTAACCACTGCCTAAAATCCTAGAGACCTACTAGGTTTGCAAATATCCACCCTTTCTGAAACTGATTAATACCTCTTGCGGCAATTACCTTCAGAAAGCAGGGAGATTGATGTAGTGATATGTTAGACTCTAAAAAATGCAACCTAAAATTGTTTGCAAAAATATACTTCTAATAATTTGGCCAAAAGTCTAACTATTCAAAGATTTTCTCCATTCCATGAATGGATATACCTCTTTCATGCCCTAGTCCATGTCCAGTTCTCAGTTTGTAAGTGCCCTACTGTCACGAGCAAACACAGGAGCCACAATGTGGCCAAAAATGGCAAAAGGACAGGCCCACTGTTACACTGCACTTTCCTTTTCATATCCTTGCAAAAAGTAAGATAATCTCAGTAATATCAAGATGAAAAGGCTTAAGGACCCTTCTGAAATCCATGAGGCAAATCTATCTGAACAGCCCAAACACCAAAGAATCTATTTAGACAAAATAAAAATGTATCCCATTTTGGCAAGGAAAAGCAACTGGCATGAATATTGAATGTGTTGAAAACTCTCACATCAGTATTAAAATTCAACCAGATAGTTCTTTAAAGATGACTAGCTTCTGAAATGGAAGCTAAATTGTTGGAATGTATGTCCAATTCTAGATGGGTTCTCTTCTTTCAGGGACAGGAGAGCAAGGTTTTCTGCCCATAGTTAATTCTGAAGATGAGCAAACATTTTCTAAAAGACATTTTCGCTAAAAGACTGACCAGACCACTCTAAACAAACAGAAAGGGAATGAATACATCTCAATCAAGATCTGGTACTGACCAGTTTACCTAAAACATTGCGCTTTCTTTGGATGCCTTCCTGCACAACAGAATCAGGCTTAAAAAGTGCTTTGTACAAAATAGCAACCCTTGCCCAAAAGCTGGATCTGTAACAAAGAAATAAAACGTCTTCCGTCCAGGGAGCAAACCAGTCAGCTTAGTTCATGCCACGAATATCTTTCTTATGCAAAGAAAAGTATGAACTCATTGGTAATGAATTATAATATTAACTTCCCTATTTCTATTCCAATTTCAATAGAACTACACCACCAAGGGAATTAGCTATAATAAGAGAGAGAAAGGGGGCTAAAAATTAGCTATAAATATATTATGAGGAGGACAAAAAGAGTAGATAGAAAAAAATAAACTAAATGGGGACACAAGGAAATACAAAATATGGACTAAACTATACAGAAAAATGTGTAAAGTAAGAAGGAAGTTACTAGCTCCACCCTTCATGATCACTGAAACATTCAGAGTCAATCATGGCCTGTCACACATGCAACATTTTTTTCAACAAACAGAAAATGCTACTCTCAGCCACAGTCAAGTTCTTTGGAAAACCTGAATGAAAAGTCTAAAGAAATCTTTTATTGCTCACTCTTTCATCCTTGGAAAGATAACAATTGTTTGACTCAGCTCCTTGAGAGAGAAGAAACTAATTTATCTTTGTAATTTCAGAGCCTAGTAGAGCACCCAGCACACAGTAGGCTCTTAATACATGCTTGGGATGATTGAGGCATTTTCTTCCACCATATTCCATGATCTTCTAGCCCTGGGGGTGCAGAGAGATTACCTGGCCAAGAAGACTAGGGGTAAAGTACTTTTCTTACCTGGTAAGTGGTTTGGGAGTTAGGAAAACATGATGTCTGGCCAACCCCTTTCCTAAAGGAGTTTATGTATCCCAATGCCCCACCCACCACCCGCCTCCACCACACACCCAGCGTTTGTTGCTTGTAATGGGTCAATACATCAATGAATTGATGAATTGTAAAGGAAAAAAAATACATGCTTGGAAAATGAATTTAACTAAACAAGATTGAATGTAGCCCAGCTCTTTACTCACAGAGCTTGAAGGCTCAACTCGCCACAACCCCCTGGGGAGAGAGGAAAGACATGGCATTAGTTCCAGCGCTGTTAGTGCTAGCTATTGCAACATCAGAAGTATCAAAATTCAACTGTCTGGTGCCAATGGCAAAACCAATGCTTACCAAATACATTATAATAATAAATATAACTTTATAGGTCTCACAGATTTATTTATGTCTGCAACTCTAAACCTGCTCCCAGCCCCCAGTCTCCAGAAACCAAGCTAGCTGGCCTTTTGGAGATGAAAATAGCATCAGGCATCAAGGGTGTGCATTTATGAGCAGGACAGGAGGGTGGACTAGCACCTGAACCTTAATGCATTCCTTAAAAGTTTTCAATGGGAGCATGAGTCAGGGGTGCCACCTGGAGAGAACCGTTCTCAGTAAAAGAAGGACAATGTTTACCTTCAACTACCCAATTTTTTGCTTCCAGGAGATGTAACACACAGATTGCCTGTAACCATGGCAATCAGCTCAGCTGTGAGCACCCTCATTTATTCAAAGCACAGAGGCAGTATAAGAGAGAAAATACTATTACAAATAGGAACAATAAGATTTAATGTCAGATGCCAAAATATGATTGGTTCAGTATTTGATTCCCAGCCATATGAAGCACATTACACTTTCTTGGTTTCATCTGCTCTTTCCTGATCCTCAAGGGTAATATTAATTTCAATTTCTTCCAGAAACAATGATTGACTTGTTTCTAGCACTATCTTGGGAGTGAAATAAAAATTTTGGAAAAATACATTCTCAGCAATGCACTGTGTGCAACAGAGTTGAGATAACCATGCCAAAAACTATAAGGAAATGTCAACATACACTTAAAAAAATAACTTTTGATGGAGTTTTTTTAGGGAGGTATTCAACTTCTCGTGAATAAGTAATAAAGGATGTATACTATATACTGTATTTACTGGTTCTTCTCCCTAATTTCAGTCTCTTTACACTCCTGGAAGAAAAAAAGTATTATGGAGGCTACTTTACAATCTTCTAAAATAGAGTAACAGAAAACCTGTTCTTGATTTTCAAGGAAATTACTTATAACTCATCAAGTTACTAAACTTCAGTTATTGCAAAATTTATTAACTGTATCCTGAGATTTCCACTGATAAAACTCAACTAATGTATTTCACAGGTACACAAATATCCAAGATTGGAAAGAAGAAAGAAAATGACGACAGAATTTTGCAGTCTACAAGGCAAACACTGCCATTCATGTAGTTATGGAGTTCCTACTATGTGCAGACAATGGGAAACTTTACGAAGGTGAGCAGACAGGGATCTCACACTCCTACTATGTGTAGAGCAATGGGAAATGTGTGGCAATAAGGTAAAGGTCTTTTATTTCAAAATATTTTAGCATAGAAGGAGAAATGTCTACTTGAACAATGAACAAAATACCTTATCGAAACAAGTCTGTAGAAATCTGTTTAATTAGAAAAGCATAAAAGTTATTACTCTTAGCTGAGTGGTAACTGATTTGATTCAAGTTGTCTAAAATTTTCATTGCAGATTTTGAAGCTTGATAAAGCCATAATTTGAAGACTACTTCATTTCCTTAATGCTCAACCTATTTATCACTTGTAATTCAGAAAGGATTTTTAAAAGACAAGAAATAATTTTTTAAATGTTATGCATGTGCCTTTTAAAAAATTCCTTTTAGCCTTGTGCCTCCCACTAAAACTTCGTTTCTCAAGTTCCTTGGCCCAGGCTGTAAGTGACAACTAGCAATCCCATTCCTCTGCCTTATAAAGTCTTGGAAGAAAACAAATTCAAGATCACTTTCCCCCCAGCCACTTAAGAGAAAGAGATAGATTTTAGGGTAATGATTAGAGGCATCTAAGACCTACTACAGTATTTCTAACCATGAGAAACCATTACTATTTTAAAATAATGGTGTGTAGAGGATTGGTCACTATTCCTTTAGTAATGAAATTTACTATTGCAAAATTTTCTTGCTAATGCTAGTTATCAACTACTTATCAAGAAAATCAAGTGACAACATTCATACCAATCCCTTTAATTTCAGTAAGCCAAAACCAACAAGACTTATTCACCTGTCACTTGGCATTACTTTCTCCTTCTGTCAAAGAAGCCTCAGGGTTTTTTTCACTTAGGCATTTCCTTAATAATAACTATTCTAATATCCAAATTGCATATACTAGTCATTGTTGGGTAGCTATCCCCATAACCTGAATACTTCCAGGCTTCGTTCCTATGTGAAGTCTTAGTAATGTTACCGTCCAAACTACGGCAGCCCTTTACCCTCCTCATCACCAAACTACGGCAGCCCTTTACCCTCCTCATCATGACTGGAGGAGCTCAGCATGCTCTCAAGCCGCCTTCCATCTGTTCTAGGCATCCCACGGTGGCTTCTCCAGAGAGCTCAGAAATATGTCTGCTCCTGTTCCCATTTTCCTGCTCTTTCCTCCAGGAACCTCGACGTAGCCTGTTCCCAATGCCCTCTGTGGAATCAGCCAGGTCCATGCCACAAGTATGAATTGTTTCCAGTGCGGCAGTCCTGGGAGTGCCTGAGCCACAAGCCAGTGTCCCCTACTCAGTTGTGCCCTGTGGGGACTGAAGCAGGACTATATTCTCACAGGCTCTCCTAAAAGCTGGGCTGCCAGCTTCTAGCTCTACTCCTTTCTCAAAGTGGCCCAGGCCATCTCTCAGACCAAGGGTAAATGCTATGCCAGTTCCACCTGTTGTCTTTGTGTGCATAAATCTCATTCTTTGTGCTTTATCTCAAAAAAAAAATCAACTCATAGGATTATAATCTCCTGAAGAGATTCCACAGCCCACCAGTCCTACAAAGTCAGACATAGAGGGCCAGTTTAGGCATATATATATATACACACACACACACACACACACACACATTTATATATAAACATATATATGTAAACTCTACATGTGTGTGCATATATATATACATACACATATAGAGAGAGTTTATGTTTATATATACATATAAATTATATATAGAATTTCTATAGAAATACAAACTATATATAGAATTTATATAGACATATATAAATGATATGTCTATATAAACATATATATGAACTCTGTCTCTCTCTATATATATATATTTTATATATATATTATATATATATATTTTATATATATGTATTTTATATATATATATATAAAACTCATGTTATATATGACAAATCCCATATATAATAAATCAGTGGTGGGGTATGGTAATTCAAAAAAATGAATATGGTTTCAGATGGAAATTAATTTATATGGCCAAGACTGTTAATTAGGCTTTTGTTGCCTTTAACCTAAGAGTAAGGCCAGCATCTGTGGTTATGAGCAAATACTTAAGGCTATGGTAGCTGCAAACACTTGCAGCCCTGGGTCGAAGGACAAAGGCTAGAATAAATTCCCTACCAAACGCTCAGAAGTGATATTATGCAAAGAAGATGTATATTTTAATAAATATTTGTGGAATGCCTATTACTTGCCAGGAACTAAGGACACAAAAGGAATTAAAGCACCAGGTCAGTCCCAAAACAGCATGAAATTTGCACCCAGGCAGATCTGGGTTCAAGCCCTAGTTCTGTCCCTTGCTATTGCTTCTTCTATGACCTTAAGAATCTTCAAGATGGAGTTCTCAAGAGGCACAAGTATGACAGTGTACATGGAATTACTTGCCATTAGCACAGATGTTTGTCGTGTATTCATTTATGAGTAAATAATTATTGAGTGACAACTATATCCCAGGCATTGTTCCAAGAATTAGAGTTACAGCAGTAGACAAGAAAGAATGTCTCATAATAATGAAATGAAGCTAACTTTATTACATTTATATCACAGTGAAATCAACCAGGTCAAAGGAAATGATTCTTACCCTGTGTCACTCCAAAAGATCTTATCCAAAATAAAATGATGTATTTTTTAATTTCCAAAAATAGATTAAATTAAGTTGAGGTCTCTACCTGTACAGTGGCAGGAGAGATGAATCAGCACCTTAACAATTTATTTTGCTCACCTCCTCCTTCATTCTGTTCTCTACTCTTTCCCTCAATTGGTAGTTTTTGTCCCTGGATGGCCTCTCCTCACACTTTTGTGTGGACAGACATGAATGTTCAGTTTTGTGTGTAGTGTGTGTGTGTGTGTGAGAGAGAGAGAGAGAGAGAAAGATAACTGAGAGTGTGCACGTGTGTCTGCAAGAACAATGGTAGAAATCCATGATCCTTTGAAGAAATTTAACCTGGGTTAATTACTCAAAATCCTTATATTCAGAACCTTCCATATTGAAGCTTCCCTGATCTTTCTCTGCTCCAATAGCTCATAGCAATGCCTGAATGCTTTGTTTCTTAAAGAGGAGTTTATATTTATAGAGAAGTTGTAAAGAGTCTCCATATACCTGCACCTAATTCCCCTGTTATCAGGAATTTGCACTAGTATGGCACATTTGTTATCATTAATGAACCAAAACGGATATTATTATTGGCTAAAGTTCATGCTTCATCTAGGTTTCCCAACTTCCCTGAGGTCCTTTTCTTGTGCCAGAATCCCATCCAGGAGACCACATTACATTTAGTCCTCATGACTCTTAGACTCTTCTTCTTGGCTGTGATAGTTTCTCAAACTTTTCTTGATTTTGATGACCCTGACAGTTTGAGAAGTATTGGTCAGAAATTTTTGTAGAATGTCTACTGGTTGGAATTTGTCTGGGGTTTTTCTCATGATGAAACTGAGGTCATGGGTTTTTGGGAGGAAGACCACAGAGGCAAAGTGCCATTCTCTTCCCATCATACCAAAGGTACAGGCTATCAACATGACTAACTTATCATTATTGATTTTTACCATGAACACCAGGCTGAGATAGTCTGAACATCCTTTTTAACAGAGATTTTTACCAATTATTATATTTGTATTCCCAAACTGCTTCAAAGATATTTATCAAGAAATCTCAAAATAGCCTCTTATTTTTACCTAAAATTCATTCATCCCTTAATTTTCACTGAGAAAATATATTGAGTCTACTATCAAATGCCAGGCACTGAGGATACAGGCATAAATAAAACATGTTCCTACTTTCAAGAGCTCATGGCCCAGTCTAATGCAAGAGAGACTTGTAAAAATGTAAAGAAGGATCCAATGAGTTAAGGGACACTGTTTAAGGAATAAAAGGAACCCTGAGAGGTATAGTTATCATTTCCGTGAGGAGCTAGGAGGAGGGAAAATCTCCTTCCTAGAGAAAGGGACTCCTAAGCTGATCTTGAAAGGTACATAGGATTCTGCCAAGCAGAAGAGAAATCATGTGCAAAGCAGGTGTGTGTTCATGAAAGCTGGTTTTAGAGAAGTGGCGGGGAAGGAGGATGAAGTGGTAGGTAGAGATCGTGGAGAGCCCAGTTTGCATTTTGAATTGTGTGGCTCTCAGGCTGCTAGAGTCAAAGTATTAGAAGGTAAAGGCAGGCTTCTAGCAGGTTCCACATCTGAAGCAGGAGTAATAGTTGGTCAAGTAGTCTTCCCTGAAGGCTTGGAGACAGGGCACTAGAGTAGCACACCTCTATACACAGATAGGATCTGTGCCTCAGCTCTGGCACAGATTTCTCTCTCTCTCTCTCTCTAACACACACACACACACGCACACGCACACACACAAACATACACACACACAGAGGGAGAGACATATTTGCCACATATCCATTCTCTAAGAGCTGCCAACCCAGACTGACAAATCTTTAGAATTTACTACTTTGTCTCTTTTTTCTACACCTTGGCAGTGGATGGAGCAGCATCAGCCATGGCTCAGGAATGCAGCCGCCTACTTTCCTGTTATCAGCAGGCATTCCTGTGGTTACACTATTCCTGCTTAGCTTATCAATGGCCCTTGGGAACACAGAGTCAGCACCCAAAGAGGGCCAGAACAGCCTGCTTGTTGGACGCCCATCCACACCATGAGGCTTTCCTGGATGTAGAGGGAAGTTACTGTTCCTCGGGAAAACCCCTCTTCCCAGCTGGTATGAATGCTTTAGCTTAAGAATCTGCCTCATGTGTTTCATACTCAGAGACACGACCCCCTAATCTTTATGTGTGAAAACTTCCCGTTGATACCAAAAGGAGCTTTTCCTAGGATATCACTGACCCAGGGTAAGACACAGTGAGTGAAGTCTGTGCATTTTGTTAGAAGATTAAATATCCATTATATCCCCCCATATTCTTCCTCACCCCAACATATCTCTTTGTCTCCAAGTTTTAGAACTTCTAGAATATAAAATATAATGTATGATATATAGTCATATAACATCTAGTATTCCCTCAATAGCATTCCATCATCAGAATAAAGTACAAAATCTGCCATCCATCATGAGAGACCTTTTAGGATCAGGATGCTGCCCTGCTCTCTAGCCTCATCTGTCCTCACTACCTGCTTGGCCATTGATGCTCCATCTTCCTGAACTACACCCCAGAAACTCAGCAATCAGGCCATGTTCTCTCTTATAGCATTGCTTTTGACATGCTGGTCTCTCTGCTTGGGTTCCTTTCTTTTTGGGATTTTTCCATCCATCTTTGTCTGGCTAACTCCTGATCTGCCTGCACCATCTTTCGGAACTTTGAGATGGGTGCCCCTCATTTGTGCTATCTTTGCTTATTCTTGAAGCACCTTAGGCTTCCTCTCTCATGACGTATCTAAGTGGCCTGCAGTGGTCTACCTCTTCAACCTCACTCCCTGGGACCATATCTTATTGCAGAGGGATGTGACTGAGTGCAGCAGGCCAGTCATCCTTCTGCTCTACCATGCACAGGGCATGGCCGTTTCTTCCTCGTGCTTGCTACCCCATGATTGCAAGATGGTTGCTGTACTTCAAAGAATCACATCCTCACTTCAGGGTCTCAAGCAGGAAGGAAGGGGGCTATGTTTTCTTTTTAATCAAGGAGGAAAAAAGAAGCCCCAGGAAGAATTCCTCTATGCCATATTGGCCAGAACTGAGTCATATGGCCATGTCTTGCTGAAAAGAAGGCTAAATAGCAAGTATCTGGCAAAGCAGAAAGAATTGTCACAATGGGTTGGATCATGATTCATGAGCTGGTACATAGCCCACTGAGGCAAACTCGGGATTTTGTTAGGCAGAAAGAGGTTATAGCTTTTGACCTGTCAAGTAATAGTATCTACCACATTGAATTCCACTTTAGAAAACATAGATACAAAACACACTCCTGAAGATTGCACCAACAGGAGGCAAAATTTAAGGAGCAAGAGAAACTATACATGTAAGTGATAAAATAGTAATATTTATCTGTTGGGACTCAAATAGGTGTTTTGTCCCAGAATTATCTCAATTCATCAAGACTTCTTTGAAACTCCTTGCCCATGCTTAGCCATTTATTCTAGGTAGAACAGTAAACGAATCTCCATTCTTAGAAAAGGTGGGCCTAGCTTCATAGAACCGCACACAGCCCTATTATGTAATATAGCTTGGAAACTGTATGAGCTAGTAAGTTTGATTTGATATGTTTGAAAGTTTGGCAAAGCCTTAGTGATAGGTTTGGGCAAAAAAAAGATGAAACTCCATAATTATTGTTTCCATTAGCTAAATCCATCAGCTGCAGATTTGGAGAATACTTGTTTCAGGTATTTGGTGAGCGACTCTCTTCTCTGAAGGTATTCAATCCCAAAGTGCACATCAAATCATTTCCACTAAAACGCATAAAGGTCTTGGTCAAATGTGACTCATGTGTATTTATCTTATCCTTTTGCTGAAATGATTTCACCCAAACTTAAAATAGATAGAGGTTAGTTGACTCAGAAAATTAGTGCACAGGATGAATAAAGATAGTATCATGAGCTGGACATCCATCAGGTCAATGCATACTGCTCACTGATAGCTTCCCCACCAACCTCTGTACTATACCATCACTGTTTTGCTATCCTTCATCCATCTGCTATGGATGTATCATTTTTTGGTCCTCAGGCTAACAATTTTCATAGGATTTAGGATAGAAGTCAAAATCGGAGTGTGCCAGAAAGTGAGGATTAAAGGACGCAGGTCTCCAGGATTTGTTCTCTCATGGAAAGAACCCAAAAACCTGTCTCTGAATTTGCTTCTTCCCTGCAAAGTAAAACAGGATCAGGCCCTGGTCCCAGTTAGGAATATGTGCCCCCTCTATCCCCTATCCCCTTAGAAGCCAAGTGGGAACCAGAAAGAGGCAGTGGGAAAGGAGGAACCTGGGACAGCTTCCAGTCTAAGTAGGTGTTTGGGGATTCTCCACGAGGTCCAGGTTAGATCCCCAAGGAAATGCACAGAACTACTGGTCAAAGACACAGATAATAGTAAAGTGCTTGTGTTTGCCACACATTCTCTTCTGTGCATATGTATTCCTTGGAGGTTTTTCAGGGAAGTGTGGTAGGCCAAGGATGGGATCTGAGAGTTTCTAGATCACCTAACTAATTACCATTTCCTACTTTTTCAACCATTTATTTCCAGCTCGTTCCTCCTACAAAGCCAGTAATCTGGCGCTGTATACCCTTGATTATAGCAGGGAAAGACTACAAAGCATTCTGATGTAAAGACACATGCACAGATAATGTAGTAAAAAGAATATAGATTAGCAACACATAGGTCTGGGTTTAAATCTCAGTACAGCTGCTTTTTCATTCTGTGACCTTGGGTAATTTATATATTAGCCTCTCTGAGCCTCAGTTCCCTTACTGAGTCAGTAACACTTACCTCAGGGAGTTAGTATGAGGATTAAATGTATAAATGAAATAATTAACCACTTATAAAATGTGCCAGACATCTAATGTGTGTTCAACAAGTCTTAATCTCTTAAGTGAACATTCTTACTAGAAAACTAACTCACAACTCTATTGATGGTAAGCAATAGAAAGGTATTCCTATAAAAAGACACTCATCTTATTTATACATAAACAATAGGAAAAGATGGCGACAATGACCTTGCATTTCTAGGCTAGTTTTGTCACCATAATATAAATTAATTGAAACAGACAAACTACATTAACCAAGTATTTATTGTTTTTATTTCAGGGTTTTAAAAAGCAGCAGGTTTAAGAGCTGACCATATCTGAAAGACTCTAGAATAGCAGAGGATTGATTAAAGGTCTGTGGCCACAGATTGGATGTGTTGATTTTATTTCCCCAAAGGTATCCACATAGCAACTTGGCAGTACACACATATCCCAAATATATGTACACAGTGTTTACAGAAAATACTAATTGTACCCTTACCTAAAATGTTAGGTCCCATTTTCATTTTAAAGACTCATTATGCTTTTCATGAACTAACACTTTTGTTCATTTCAATTCTGTCATGAATTCGAAAGAAGGACACAGCAAATAGGTACTTAACTAAAGTAAGTGCTTTCTCCCATGGTTTTATCAATCCAAGTCTATGGACATAATACAGAATCAAGAATCCAAGGAAACTGCTCTGAATTTCACTGTAAGCATAGCTCATTTTTTTGACCTGTTGATTGCAGTTAATTTAACGTCACGACCTGCACCTCAGAATCTCTCATGTCCCCTGCAGCTTTGTCAAGATGCTTTGTATATAGCTGGTACCCAGAGAAGGTTTGCCACATTGCACGGAGTTGATCACCCATTTTATTCACTGGATTTGGCTTTGAGCAACTTACACTTTTTTCTCTCCAAAAATTAAGTCCACCCACGAAGGAAAAAGGCAGAAGGATGCTGTGGCAAAAATGCTATCCTGGAAAACAGATCTTGGCCCTGGTCCCAGCTCTCTGTGACTTTGGACACATCAGTTGATCTTTTTAGATCAAATTTCCCCATAAAAGGGGGTACTAGACAAGATGCATGTGCCAGACTGCCAAGGCCAAGGCACACCCTAAGCCACTCATAGTAATATCCCTGGAACTGTAGACCCTTGCAGAGAGATTATAGAAGTGATTTTGAATAATTATTGAGTTAAGTGCTAGCATTCCAGCATGACCGCTTCAAAAGAGGTAATGCATATTTTTTTTTGTATTTTTTTGGCTTTTTTTAAAGTTACATTACTTTAGTGTTATATGTCATATAGTCATTAGGAATTCCAAGAGAGCAAATGTCAACAAAGGTCTGAAGTTGTTTGGCATTTTATCAATCATTATTTAGAGTTTTCTTTTTTTCTTTTTTTTTTCTTAATGTGGTTAGGGACACAGAGGTTCATGTGATGTAATAAGAAAGAAATAAAGGAAGCTTTATCTGCCGCTCTTTCAACCTCATCCACTCAACACTTACCCCGTGACAGACCCCAATACTCTTAATGAATTCCCAAGGTTACGAAAGAACTTGGAAGATCTTACATTCCTACATGGTGATTACAGAGGCTCACATTTTGCCAAGTCATATGCAGGTGGCTGAAAAGTAAGTTTACTTTATCTGCATTTCATATTACACTTGTTCTTTCTTATGAATGTTTCTTTCATAGTCATGCAAAGTACTCAATCAGTAATTCCCCACCAAAATGGTTGTTACATAAGCGGCCGTGCAACAATGCATATGTCAGCTCAGATTCATGTCAGAGAAAGTTCTCTAGTTTATATAACTCACTCCCCAGCAGCCAGTACACAGTTCAAAAAGTGTGGGCCTTTACATTATGGCGGGAGGGAGGTTATTTTGTTTTGTTTGTTTTTTTTTAACACATCACATAAATACACTTCCTTTCTCCTTTGTAACGTATGGGATACATGGAATTCCTAACTCACACAGATCTCACTGTAGACCCAATGAATGGCACGGAGCCGACACAAACACCCACACACTTGTCTCAGTTACAGATCTCTGCTAAAGACCAGAAGTTGGCCATTACTATGAATATACACTTCTGTTGGATTTCTATGGTATTTGGTTTCATTAGATTGTATGTTAAGTTAAATATGTTTTTTAAAGTTTCATTCTCCTACCTCAAGTTACGGTGCATCAAGGGGTCTCAGAGAGAAGTGGAGCTGCCACCTCAATGTCCCGACCCCAGAGAGGAGCCTCTCAAGCCACCCCAAGGCAGCTGAGCCCCAGCTCGCACCAGATCACTGTGGAGCAGAACCAATTTTTAAATGTCTTCATCTGGTCCCTCCTACTTTTATGGTGCTCTGGGGGTGGTGAGAATCGGGATGCACTGAAAGCTGCTGGGACATCTGACTCTTTATTTTCTTGGCTCTACGTGTCTTAACTCTGCACCAATCCTCCCGACTGTGCAGAATTTCACTTTGGAGAGCAGAGGCAAACGGAGATTCACACAGAGGGGCAGGAGCCGTCAATGCTGTCTAGTGAGAGGAGAGAAGAGGCATTGTAAGTCCCCATAGCACTGCTGTTGGGCTACCCTGCCAGTCAATGCCACTTTTCCCACAGGCTCCAGCCTCAACTTCCCCTGGTGCAATATGATGATGGGAAGAAGGGCTCCTAAGAGGAAACTGATTTAAGTATCTCTGTTTTTCAGAAAACACTTCCAATTGCTCTCTCAAGAATGCGTTTCTATTTCATGAGTTGATGTCATATTTTTAGGGGGAGGGATGTATGGAGAGAGAAAACTTTCAAATATCTGGAAATCAGTGGTATGATGAGCCCTGTTCTCTGCTGCTCCAAGTACAATACCAAAGCATGTGGTGGAAGTGATGGGACAGATTTGGTTCCATATTAGAACTTCCTACTTGTATGTTGAATTTTAACGGATGGCTGGGAGTAACATCCACTTTACGGAGGTATATAAGCAAGCTCCAGACAGTAACTTGGTATGGAGACTATGCCAAGGATCCCATTGTCAGAAGGGAAGTATGGTGTTGGGGAAGGATATTTCTCCCTCCCCTCCCCATAGTGCCATCCTCTGCTTATAGAGGAGGAAATAGCTACCCAAGCTTTAGCCCCTCCCGCTGCCCTATGGAAGGAATACATTCCACTCTGAACTAAAGCTGGCATCTTTGGTGCCACATTTTAACAGAGGGTCGAGTTACTGTATCTTGAGAAAGACATGGGTACGTCATGCTTCCTTCCACTATCTGTACCCACTCAAAGTGAATCGTTCCCCACTGTTCTCTTTAAATTTTTGCTTCATGTAGCAGAGATTCAGGGTCTCGCTCCCCTTCTCCTCCTGACACAAAAGGCAGTCAGACTGAACAGTGGGATAAGCCCTGAAGATGGCTGGGAACAGCCACCGGTGGAAAGGGAACCCTTCTTTGCTGCCTTTCTCATTGCCCCAGCACTGCTAAGTGCAGCAGATTGGCCTTTTTCACATTGCAGGGATGAGATCCTCAGGATTTGAGAGGGTTCATCTGGCTTCCAGGATTAAACTGTGTTTTCAAATCGATCTTTTGACAAAGCCCAACAATAGAGTTATTTCTGTTTACCCATGCATTTCTATTAACCCAAGGTGGTGCCTCCTTTCCCACTCAGCTATCAATCTTTGTATGTATAATCAAACCCCCAAATATATCTCCAACCAAACTTTCACAACTACAGTGGCACACTCACACAGAGTGATCTAAATGGAACACGGGTTTTCTATAACCACAACCAAACCATAAACGGCATTTTATATACATTATCATCCAGAAAGCAATCAGATTTTTTCATAGCAAATGGTAAGATATAATAAAAGGAAATTTGAGAATTATCATATAACTTATAATGTCTCTTTTAGCCCTAAGGTCCTAAGATTCAGTGACATGTGGTGTTTTCTCTTTTTCCTACCACTTTTTCAGCTTAATTATTATCTACAGAGATTAAAAACACAACTAAAATTTCTGCAGATTCACAGTGCTATTTCAGAATAGATTTTACCCCTTAGTACCTTCTATTTAATCAATTAATGAGAATACTTTGGAGCCCACTGCAGAAACTATAAATTCCAAATGGTTCCTCAGAACATGTCATCATCAAACCAGTTAGGCTGGCGTTGGTAAATACCACAGCCTGCAGTTGCCATGTGTTACAAAAACAATAAACAGATACCCTTCATACCTCTCCCTTCCCTAAAACAATTATTCCTATAAAAGTCTGTCTCTCCAGATTTTTTGTTGTGGTGTTTCTGATACCAGTACAATCAGAAAGTAATGAAAGTGTTCACTGAAAGGAAGTTTTCACTGAGCATTGCAGGCCAATGAGAATGCAGATTAACTCAAATAAACTTTGGAATGCCAGCCAAACCCATGAAACTTGTCAGCAGTTCATCTACTGAGAGTGGTTATGCTTTTTCAGTAGTACCTTATCCTGAAATAACCTGATGGAAAAGCCAGTGTCGGATGACACATGACATCAAGTGTTCAATGCAAATTCTGCTGGCATACTATCCTGTTTGACTCCCTTGCTCTTGAGCCTTCCACAGTTGGTAATAAGGAACTGAGTACCTTTGCAATCTCCAGTAAAACATGTGTGATGGAAATGTAATTCCTTAGGGAAGCAATTCCCAATGGCATACATAGATTTGATTTTTGGGTTGAAAAGTAGTAAATGACGAATTGAAGTTTCTTTTTCTCTACTTAAAAACTATTCTTGACATTAATTTTACTTGTATTTGTTAACCAGTTTACATTTTATTTTGTTACTGAGACACTCAAAAGTGTCTATATTTTAGTCAAAGCTAAAACTGAAAGACTTTAGCAAATTGACTTTTCTCTTTCTCCCAACAAACATTAACTCAGTATTTTACCTAGCTTTATTTTCAAATATGGAGTTTTATAGCACCTTGATTTATAGCTGGGCGTAAGAAAAGGTTATGTCAGCATTTACATTATAAGGCCATGGTTTTGTGGTTTATAACTAAGCCATAAAAATAATTCTGACTAAAATTTGGAATGCCAGTTTCCACCTTGAAACGCAAGTGTGTCCCTAGCTGTATGACCACACACACACACACACACACACACACACACATCAGAATTCAACAACTGCTGTTTTGTATAATACATTTATTCAATATATTGCTTTGATTAAAAATGAACTCAAAGAAAGTCAAGGCTATGAAGTGAATTCAAACAAAGCTGTCATCTAATGGTAACAACTTATATCCTAAGATATATTTTAGTAGATTTGAAAGTTGATTTAATGACAAAAGAATTTACTGTATAGTTTTCATAGTTAAAGAATAAAGGACAGAAAGATGAAGTGAGACCTCCACACACAAAAAAATAGCCTTTTCTTAATAAGAAATGTTTGCAACATTCTTCCACGCTGTATGGTAGATATTCTCTGAATCTCTTTGCAGATGTGATCTAACGTCCTTGAACACATTTATTACAATCCATCATCTACATGGCAACAGTCAGGGCCATGCTCATAAACCAGAACTGGTGCTAGATCTGGTAAGTCATTAAGCAAACATATTCCTGTGTTGTGCGTGGCGTGCATGCCCACTGCCTGCCTATAAAACGGAAATAAGATTTCTGATTTGCAAATTACCTCCTAAGACATGTAAAGCTAGCTCCTTTAATCCACATTACTCATTTTTGTATTTTGACTGTTTCAAATGCTAAAACAGACCTGAATACAGTTTCCACAGTTCTCTTTATAATTATTGTATTTTTCATTTACATGATCATGAAACCTGTTAGCAAGTGAGAAACAGAATCATTTTCACTGAGACAAAAAATATTGAGAATTAGGGGGAGAAACTCTGAAGCAATATAAACAACAGAGTCTAATCTTATCAAAGAGAGAAGGCAGTTGGTGAATCTGAAAGATCACTTACTTACCACTCAATCATAGAACTTATACCCCCAAATAGGATTTAAGAAAGAAAAAAGCAATTTAGTAGGAACTGGAAGTTATAGGGCATAGGTCTGCTTTAGTTGGTGACAAAAATTATGCCTCAGAGGTTAAGAGCATGGATTAGGGTGCTGGGTTGCCTGGTTTAAATCCTAGCTCTGGCACTTACTACTGCATGGTCCTTGACCAGTTATTTAACTACTCTGTGCCTCGGCTTCCCAGTGTGGAAAGCAGAAAAACAGTATCTCCCTTACAGAGAGGCTTTAAAGTTTAAATGCATTAACAAAGGGAAAATCCTTTCAATGTTGACACATCATGAGTGTGACATAAGTATTACCTATTATTTTTATTATGTGACCAAATGTGGAAGAAAAATTCTATAAGAAAGTAGTAACATTGTTTAGTCTTTCAAAAATCATATATTCTCCTCCAATCCTGGCTCTCTGCAATTCAAGAAATCCTAACAAATAGAAAACCTTTGTACACAGGAGAAAACGGAGATGAGCAAAGGCAATATTTGGCTTATTTGTTATAACCCTAATAAAACAAGACTGCTTGAAGAAATAGACCAAATTGTGGAATGTTTAACATTGATCCAGGACTGGCTCTTCTGAGGAAAAGATATAATATTTATCATGTGGCCAATTTTGTCTGTGAAGATAAGGAGGAACTAATCGGTCTCAACTTCATGATGTTGCTTAAAGGAGCATATAAATGTACGATCATAAGTATCCTTTAAATGAAGGGGTTGGTTTTATGACTGCAGAAGTGAGAAAGAGTAAGGTCATTTAGCCTGAGCAACACAGCAAAACCTTGTCTCTACTAAAAATTAAACAAAACAACCAAAAAATCACTCAGGTGTGGTGGCGCATGCCTGTGGTCCCAACTACTCAGGAGGCTGAGGTGGGAGGATTGCTTGAGCCTGAGAGGTGGAGGTTGCAGTGAGCCTTGATTGCGCCACAGCACTCTAGCCTGGGTGACAGAGCAAGACTGTCAAAAAAGGAAAGAAAAGAAAGAAAAGAAAAAGAAAGAAACTAAAACAGAAAGAAAAGAAAGAAAGAATGGGAGAGAGAGAGGAAGGAAGGAAGGAAGGAGAAAGAAGAAAGAAAGAAAGAAAGAAAGAAAGAAAGAAAGAAAGAAAGAAAGAAAGAAAGAAAGAAAGAGAAAGAAAGAAAGGAAGGAAGGAAGGAAGGAAGGAAAGAAGGAAGGAAGAAAGAAAGAAAGAGAAAGAAAGAAAGAAAAAAAGAAAGAAAGAAAAAAGAAAGAAAGAAAGACAAGAAGGATGAAGTTTGAGGTTATTCTACTCTCAAAAGAAGTTCCTAAGCTGTTGTTGAATGTGATCCTGGTTACATAGGAAAACAGAGACCATTACCCTTCTTTTTCTGGACACGGAAAAGGGAGGAATGTAAGACTGCACAATTCAGTTAAGAGAATAACTCAGGATGATTTTGCTGCCATCCAACCTAGAAGCAGCTAGGAAAGTAATACTTTACCTGTTTCCTGACTGCAGTGGTTTAGTCTGACACATGCTTTTGATTCAAAAGCATGTACCAGACCAGAAGACAAAACACAAAGTAATTTGATCAAAGTGATCCCTGTGGAAAAAAGCTCTATTAGTCAACTTAGCATGAAGACATATTTGGATTATTTCCTTCAACAATGGAGCTTTCCAGACATAGAAAAACAAATCTTACATGGTTCTCCTCCCATATTTTCCTATCAATCAAGAGTCAAGTTGGGAATAGGTTTCTGGGTGCTGTCACTAACCACTACCAAAGAAGTTTTGGTTGCCCACTTCAAACAAATGGAACTCCTTCCAGGGAGGAGACCAATGATGTTTAATTACTGCCACAATATGGATCACTCCACCCATGAGCTACACTCCACCTATAAAACTGAGCCTTATGTGTGTAAAGCCACTTGATATATACCTTCTTCCCCAAGTTTTTATGACCCATACTGAATGAGTGCAATGGCAAAAAGAGGCAAGCTTTCATTATTTTCTGTGTAATTCCTAAGCTTGTTGCATTAAAAAATAAAGCTGTGGTTGCCCCCCACCCTCAATCAATGTCCTTGCATGTTTTAGCATTATTCAGTCCTTTAGCCGGGCATAGTGGTGTGTGCCCCTATAGTCTCAGCTACTCAGGAGGCTGAGGCAGGTGGATTGCTTGAACCAAGGAGTTTGAGGCTGCAGCAAGCTATGATCACCCCGCCACCATCAGTCCATCCTGAGCAACAGAGCAAGACACTATCTCTCAAAAAACAAAAAAAAAAGGATTCAGTTCTTTTCCCATCTCTGCTGTTTTATTAGAAAATAAAGTAATTACAGTTAGAAATATTAAAGCCCTGTTTGAGGCTAGGATATGGCTGAAACAAGTTCTACTCCTGCAGAAGAGTCAGGATGTCTTATTATATCTCTTTAAACATCAGATGTTATAAGGGGAATTCTGTGAATCAGTCCTCCTGCACTTATTTCTCCAGTTGATGTGATGTCTGTAATAGCAAGCTTCCCTTTTCATTTCCTTTCAGCACTAAATGATATCAGCTGGTCAATGTATCAATGAAGCTTCTCCTGCAAAAAATGTCTCCCTTATTTTGGTTTCATTTGATGCCACAATGGTAATATTAGGAGAAGGGGCTGGGTGTGGGGGCTCACACCTGTAATTCTAGCATTTCGGGGGATGGAGCTGGGAGGATCGCTTCAGCCTGGGCAACATAGCAAGACCCTCATCTCTAAAAAAAAAATTAGCTAGGCATAGTGGGCATGCCTGTATTTCCAGCTACTGGGAAGGCTGAGGTGAGAGGACCACTTGAGCCCAGGAGTTTGAGGCTAGAGTGAGCTATGACTGTGCCACTGCACTCCAGCCTGGGCAACAGAGCAAGACCCCGTCTCTAAAAATTGTGTGTGTGTGTGTGTGTGTGTGTGTGTGTGTGTGTGTGTGTGTGTGTATTAAGAGATGGAAGATGTACTAGGAATTTGGCTCCACTTCACTTCAGATGGTCTGAATACCAGCATCTGTATCACCTGTCTGACTCTTTGGCATGGAGAAACTTAGGCACTACCCCAGACCTACTGAATCGTAGTCTGCATTTTAACAAGAACTGAGGTAATTGACATGCGTATTAAAGTTTGCGAAGCACTGGTTAAAATAGCCAGGGGTTCCACTAGAAATCGTAACAAGGTAGTTTCCCAATACTGGTTTCAGCAACAAATCAAGATCATTATAATTAAATTTAAGTAGAAAATTTTTTAATAAGTTACTTTTTTTTGGTAAGTCTACATTATATGCTAATTAGTTTTGAAGATGTTTTAATGATTTTGATAGCTATGATATAGAACTTCCACAGAATGTGTAAACTCGGAATTTTAAGCATTTGCTTACACATAAATTATAATTAGTTTTAAGCACTGTTGGCAGAAAAACTGAAATCTACAGATAATTCTTAATTTGGCATTCTTCTAAAGAGCATTTTCATCCTTCATTCAAAGTTTGGATATACATTACAGACTGATAATAATTGAGGTAAATGTTATCTTGCAAAGTTAACTAGTGAATATGAACTTTTAGTTTATTTCTATGAGTGATACATGTACATATACAAGGTTACCTGGCTTTATTCTATATTTTTCAAATGTTGATTATTCACTCATTTAACATGTGCTAGGATTGTTCGAGGCAGGGACATTCAGCAGTGATCAATAAAGACAACATTTTTCTCCCTCTCTATAGGAGGGAAGACAGGCAATTGATAAAAATATAAAAGTAAAAGCTACAGTGTGTTTAATGGTGATAAGCGCTATGGAGACAACAAAGCAAGGGTGATATACAGATTGCTGGGGAAGAAGGGGTTTGTGATTTTAAGCAGGTGGACAGGGAAGGCCTTGTGGAGAAAATACCATTTCATCAAAGTCCCCAGGAAGGTGAGGGGTCCAGCTTTGAGGCTGTTCAGGCAGGGAGAACCAGCAAGTGTGATGGTCTGAGGCAGAAGTATGTCTGGTATGTTGCAGGACCAGCAGGAGGTCAACAGGGTGGGGCAGAGAGAGTAAGGGCAGAGCAGGCAAGGTCTGTGAGATAAAGGGTGACGGGGCGATCGGGCAAGTCTGATAGGCCATTGGAGGAGCCATTCACCTGAATTGAGACGGAAAGGGATTGGAGTAATGTGAGCTAGCTTATGTTTTAAGAACTTCAGCATGTCTGCCCACTGAAGGCATACATGCCTCAAGCTACAGGGGCAAGGATAAGAAGCAAGGGCATGTACCTTCCCTATTTCCTCTCTCCAACGATAT
Source organism: Homo sapiens (assembly GCF_000001405.40). Lineage (NCBI taxonomy): Eukaryota > Metazoa > Chordata > Mammalia > Primates > Hominidae > Homo > Homo sapiens. Next base: position 148,782,207 of record NC_000004.12, on the reverse strand, counting down.
CAGATTCCCACCCCTTCCCAGTCACACATGCACTTCTCATTATCATTATGTTCATTTCTTCTAATCAATGCATACAGAACTATAGACTTAGAGTGAACTGAAAGTCTAGATAATACAATGCCTCATTTTAGAGATGAGGAAACTGAGGCGTGGAAATCGGTATGATATTCTCAGCTCACCAGCTGAGATTGTGGCCCAGATCGAACTGGATATGTTGCGACTTCTATTCCCATTCAGGGGCTCAGCGTGCAGCAGTTAAATGGCAGGGGCTTTGGCACCAGAACAACCAGGATCTCAGTTACATAAACTCTCCAAGCATCAGTAAACTGGAAATGACAAGAATAGTGTTTACCCTTAGGATTGTTGTGGTGATTAACTATATGTAAAGCAAACCAGTAGAGTATTTGAGAGATAGTTGGTGATCAAAAAAGCAGAGCTTTCATTCTGCTTCCCACTATCACATCGTCACGTGACAGCTACTAGAGGTCAGAGTCTGTGTTGTTCGAACTGGTCAGTTTAGCCCACTGTACAATGCTCATGACAGTACTGATATTAACAGACAACTCTAAGATTGAAATAAAAAAGTAATACATTCACATACTTAGCCATTTTGCTCACTATCCACCTCTATATCTGTCTAGAAAGAGGCTACTGAGGAAAGACAGACACCACACAGTGGTTGATTTTATTTGTTAGACTATGCTTCTATATGAGATGAATTATGAATTAAAATTGTAATAATAGTAGCTACTATTGAGTTAACTCCTACATTTCAAACACTGTACTAGGTACTTCATATACATATTAAATCATTTATACTCCAAACGAAACCCTACAGGTGGGCATAAAATATGCTCATTTGACAGATGGAAAAACTGAGGTTCATACAGATAAAGCCACCCATGCATGTTGACAATAGTACATGGTAAAGATGGCAATAGAAACCAACTGTGTCACCCAGAGGAAGCTACCTCTCTAGGGATACACAAAAAATAGCTAATAGTTACAATTTATTAAATGCTGATGTGTGCCAGGCAGTCTGTTTGTCAGTTTACATACTACTCCATTTAATCCTCACAGAAATCGGTACTGTTGTACTTTATAAAGAAGGAAATGGACTGAGAGGGGGATTAAGTAGCTTGACGTGAGTCACTCTACTCCTTGAGCTGAAACCAAGATTTGAATCCATGCTCTCTGACATGGTTTGGCTGTATCCCTACCCAAACTTCATCTTGAACTGTAGCTCTCATATTTCCCATGTGTTGTGGAAGGGACGGGAGATAATTATCTCCCAGTGGGAGATAATTGAATCACAGGGGCGGTTCCCCCATACTGTTCTCATGGTAGTGAATAAGTCTCATGAGATCTGATGGTTTTATAAGGGAAAACCCCTTTCACTTGGCTTTCATTCTCTCTTGTCTGCCTCCATGTAGGACATGCCTTTTGCCTTCTACCATGATTGTGAGGCCTCCCCAGCCATGTGGAACTGTGAGTCCATTAAAACTCTTTTTGTTTATAAATTACGCTGTCTTGGGTATGTCTTTATCAGCAATGTGAAAACAGACTAATACACTCTCTGACTCCAGTGCCCTAGGTTTGGCCTACTGTTGTGTGACTCATAGGGCCAGATCTCCTGTGGCCATCTCACCAACTAACTATTCTGCTGATTATAGCAGCCCAAAGGGGCACCTGGGGAGAACAGCTATGACTTTTTGGGTCTTATCCCTAAATGTTGCTTATATCCCAATTTTCTCAGTACCAATTTAATGCTCAGTCATTAAGAAATGAGGAAAATGCCTTTAGCAACATTCCAGAGAATGTTCTTCACGATCTTAGAGTGGTGGTAATTTAACAACTTTTCAAGCAAAGGACAGGTCAGATATGTTTCAATCTGCTCTTCTCACTTGTATTTCCTTTGTAGAGCATTTTAGTCCATATTTGAATGGGTTGCATTACCAAACCCAGATTAAGCAGTTCGCCAGATGGGATCAGCCCCACCAGGGTCCCAGTCCCCAGCCCGTGGCTGCTTGTTCTAGTGGACAACCTGAGCCATCACCATTGTCCCTGGTCCTCACACCATCAGCATCTCAGTCTCTGCTACTGCAGTGGCAGCAACACTGGCGCTTGGGACCAGGTCCAAACTGAACTGACATATAAATCTATAATTCCTCCAACATTTCCAAGCTTAAATGATGCCCTACACTGTGGTATGCGCGATCTGTTTCCTAAGCGATTTCCTGGAGGGGCAGGTAACAAAGTCCAAAAGTATAATGCCTCATTGGGTGAACTTTGGCCAGTGAGAGAGGAGAGACAAGAAGGAAAAGCAAGTAAATTTTTCTCCTTTTCTCTCTAGGACAGGGATTATGAAACAACAGCCACAGGGCCAATCTGGAGCACCTCCTATTTTTATAAATAAAGTTTTATTGGAACACACCCATGCCCATTTATTTACTTATTGTCTATGGCTGCATTCATGCTATAATAGCTGAGTTAAGTAATTGTGACAAAAACTATACGCCCTGCAAAGTCTGAACTATTTGCTTGATGATGCTTTACAGAAAAAGATTGCCCATCCCTGCTCTAAGGGACTACTCTAGGGCAACAACTGTCTGGAAAATACTGTGCAGAACCAAGCAATCAACTGCTTTTCTGCTGATGCTATGGCCAACTTGCTTATGTACTTTTTTGTGTTTGCAACTCCTCCTTCGTGCCTCGCTTTCTTTGCACTTCATTCCTGCCTTCCTGAGATTGTATCTACCAATAAAGCCTGGGTATGTAAACTTTGTCAAAGGCTCCACTTTCTGGAGAACTGGAGATGAGGAAAGCTATACATCTACAACCCATATTCATGAATTTTGTTCTTCCAGATGCCTTTTTTAATAAGTTGCATTAATTCGTCAAAAACAATACAATCATGTGCCTCATAACGACATTTAAATGATGGAACATGTGGACTGTTAAGAGTATAATGGAGCTGAAAAATTCCTATCACCTAGTGTCAGTGCAATGCATTACTCACATGTTTGTGGTGATGCTGGTGGAAACAAATCTACTGCACTGCCAGTCAAATAAAAGTCTTAGCATATACAATGATGTACAGTCGTTATGTACATAATACTTGATGATGATGTTACTGGTTTATGTATTTACAATACTATACTATTATCATTATTTTAGAGTGTACTCCTTCTACCTATTAAAAAAAAAAGTTACCTGTAAAACAGCCTCAGGCAGGTCCTTCAGGAGATATTCCAGAAGAAGGCGTTGTTATCACAGGAGAGGGCAGCTCCATGCATGTTATTGCCCCTGAAGACCTTCCAGTGGAACAAGATGTGGAAGGGGAATACAGTGATACTGATGATCCTGACACTGTGTAGTCCTAGGCTAACATGTGTGCTTATGTCTTTGTTTTTTAACATAATATCTAAAGAGTAAAAAATAAAAGTAGTAAAACTAGAAAAAAACTTATAAAGATATAAAGAAAGAAAATATTTTTGTACAGCTGTACAATGTGTTTGTGTTTTAAGCTGTGTTATTACAGGCGTCAAAAAGTTTTTAAAAATTTAAAGTTTATAAGGTAAAAAAGTTACAGTCCTGCAAGCTCCACTCATAAGTGCCCTACACAAGTGTGCCATTTTTTATCTTTTATACCATATTTCACTGTACCTTTTCTATGTTTAAATATGTTCAGTAACACAAATCCTTATGATTGTGTTACAGTTGCCTACAGTATGCAGTACAGGTATATGCCATACTGTACAGGCTTGTAGCCTAGGAGCAATAAGCTATCCCATATAGCCTAGGTGTGTAGTCAGCTATACCACCTAGGTTTGTGTAAATACATCCTATGATGTTTGCACAAATACATTCTATGATGTTTGCACAATGACAAAATCACATAACACATTTCTCAGAATGTACCTCTGTCATTAAGCAACTCATATCTGTATAATCATTTTCTAAGTTCTGCCATATTAATTTGAATACATTTTATAAAGCCATCATATTTGTCAGATCTCTGGGGAGTATACTTTGAAAAATCAAACCAATTTTATCCATATTATGTATATCTTTGGGAGTGGTTTTGCAATCCAGGATTTCTCTTGCCCATAGTGTCATTTACTTGGCAGCACACAGTTGGGAGTCACTTGTGCTTTCCATGGTCATATTTAATGAGCATATGGATGGCAACCTTCATCTGTCCTGGCTCAATGTCATCCCTCAATGTCATCCCTCCTTCTTTGTATTTTGATGCCCCAATAACTAAGTCTACCTACTCCTGTAAGTTTCTCTGTTCTTATCTGCTATACTTTTTTCTATCAGTTGCAAAGATTTAATATACAAGTTCTATTACAACACCAACAAAACACTCATTTTCAGCCGAAAGAAAAGCATTAGCTGCTGAGGCTGATAAGTAATTAAATGCAAATTACAGAAAGCTGGCATAGCCAAGGAGCCTTCAAAAATGCATGTTGTCATTTGCAGTGTTGTCCCCAATACCCTGCTAACTAAAAAGCTTCTCTAACGCCAACTGGAGTTTGAGCTGAGCTGTCAGTCTTCTTAAAGCCAAGGATGAAAGAAATAAATTCTGTAGGTATATCAGATATTTAGTCTAGGTCTTCTCTCATCCCCTCTCTGTATCTCTGGTTAAGATAATCTAGATGAGATCAGATCAGAGAATAAGAAATTCACCCTATCAGGACCATTTGTTGAGTCTGTCTTCCAAAGTGCTAAAGTAATCTGAGACTTCTCAATCAATTTCAATCTTGAGACATTTTTGGAACAAAATTGTGGAAAAGGAATTGATTTGGTTCCTTCCTCAAGTTCTCCTCCAGTCTCTTGAGCCAAAATGATCTTTCATCCAACTATTGAAAGAACAACTTAACAGTTCTTTGTTATCCTTTCCACTTTTTTAGTTGTAGGTGACCACAAAAGAAATCATGATTGCACTAAGGAAATAGAGATTAAAGTGAAATGATGGCAGCTCTACAGAAAGCAGTGACTGCACTTCACTTTGCAGTGACTGCATTCCTTTGAGCCTTCTCAGCCTTCTCATCTGCTGCCTTTCATGCTTGGGGAAATTCATTTGTGAGTTTGGAATGTGAAACAAAATCTAAACTTCACTAAAATGTTATAATGCTTTGGTTTAGCCAGCGAACGTTCTCTTTCACTTCAATCCTGTTTAAATATCCATAGCAACTCTACCTTCGCAAATAGAAACTAATTCACAGATCACTGCCTTAGCTTGCATGGAAGCACAGCCTTAAAGAAGCCATAAACATTCTAATTAATAAATTAAAGTATTCCTTTGGTGTTATTATCAACGGTATACATCTGCTTCACTTACAAAAGCAAGTTAGCAATAAGTATTTACAACATTTGAAAAAAATCTGGAAATGTGTAATGCATTTGGAACCAAATGTAAGCCCTTGAAATTTGGTTAATTTTGTTCTCACTGTGTGAAATCCAGTAAAGGTCAAATCAGATTTGGGGGAAAAATTATACAAATTGGCTTCCCTTGTGATTATGCATAGTCTAGAGAAGCCCATACAAATCATGCAAAAACACATCAAGGGATTGTTTCCTTTTAATCTTGGTATAGCAGTAGTTACCTCTATACTTCCTGGGCTTTAGAATAATCTGTTAGAGGTCTAGTACAGGACCTAAATATCTAGATTATTACAGACAAAATATTCTGATGGTTTTCAAATACTCTCATTTTATCTGGATGTTTCAATAAGTATTAATACAATCATAGGCTTATCGTCCCCAAACTAAAAGAAAACAAAAACAAGGAAAAAGCCATTACAATTTCTCCTGGACTTCATTTTAAAACTACTTATTTACATGTCTCTGAGCCCTTTCCAGTATGTCCAAATCTGCTGTAAGTTTTAGAAATAATACTCTCACTAAAATCAGTATTAAGTGTAGCAAGAAGAAAATTATCATTCCAATCAAGGATCTATTATTAAACACAAAATTTCCCAAAACAATATGATTGTAGTAGTTATAGATACTTATGCAATTAGAAACAAGACCTTATAAACATCTTAAAAGACATTTTACTTATGTTGCTGACTTCTATAATTTGTAAAATAATTTAGGCCATGTAAATTTCTAATATTTCACAGTGCTTTACTTGTGTGAAGAATCTAAAGAGATCAGATTTCCAGAATCTCAGAGATCTGGTCCCACCCTATTATTTTACACTGTGCACTAAGACAAACTGTGTCTTGCCAATATCGCAACATTGGACTGGAGTCCTGCACTCTTTAGGCCCCAACTTAGTGGTCCAAAATTACTGAGGTATTGCTACTAGGGCCACAGATTCTGCTTCCTAATAGCGGGTGATAATGGAGCCATGTTTACCCTTCAACACCATCATACCACATTTCAACCTGCAAAGAAACCCTACTCCTGTGAGAAATAGAAGAGACAAGTGTGATGCCATATTTGACTCACCAGTACTGTCTTGCAGGCCCCTGAGCAGCGTGCTCTGGCAACGAATTACTGCTCCTTTATGTTGGAGCTTTCTCACCGAACAACCGACATGGTGTTCACTCTGAATCCTTGGCCCCAGACACCTACAATTTGAGAGAATCTTCCACAGGTTGTTTAGCTCAGAGGTCCTCAAACTCAGTGTGGAGAGAAGCCATATTGAAATATCTAGAGAAATTTGAAGGCAATGCAGACTCCTATGATGGGGAGAGATTCATGCTTTTCTCTCACTAATTAAAATGCTGCCCAGCCACATTAAACACCATCTATCTATTAAAGAAAGCCTTAGGAGCTTTATCATGTAAAGATATGTTAGGTTAGACAACATGGCAAGCTCTCAGCATTCACAGATTTAACATTCTTGGTTTTACCAACAGCAAGTAACTTCGAAGGGGAAAAATTTGAGCTGGACATGATGCAAGTGTAATGCTTATAACCTCATCATCCACAGCGCAACTTACATCTATTATTCTCTACTTGTGCCAACACAGTACAGATCAGATCATGAGGTGATATAAATTTTGTTTTCCTGTGAAAAAATATTCCTCAAAAGAGAGGGAGTTGCTAGTGCTAGAAGCAGAAATGAAAGAGAATGTGGAAGAATCTAAGTTCTGCATCTTAGACTATAAAAAGTTTTATGGGAGAAATAATTCATTACTGTGATATTCATCAGTTTGAGTATTTACAAAGCCTTCCCATGTCTTCCTCTTGAATTTGAAGAGTCTGTTGTAAGCCTAGAATTTTATAATCATCATATAATACCTCAAGCAAACTATTTATGAGACTGAAAATTTAGGAAACCAAGCACAACCAATGCAGTCACCAAGTCAGCAAAGAGAACAGTCACAAAAATCAATGTTTTATGAGGGAACCACCACATAGAGATGGGATATCAGTTCAGCCTCATTAAGCATTGGCTTGATTTTCACTTATCACAAAGTTTTGGAATGTTGTATGTTAATACAGGTAAAGAGAATGGACTTTGGGTAATTTTCATCGAAGAAAATTATTTTACATTTTGATATATTTTTAGATGCACCTAGAGAACTCCAAAGTTTTTTAAGTGAAAGAGAAAAACAGCGTAAAATCATCATACGATCTGATTGGTTTATGTTCTTTGGCTTGAGTGATTACTGGGTGCCTTATCTTTTTTTATGTACTATCAAAAGAGCAACTGTCTTTAGACATACAATGTATAAGGTTATATAAAATTCAATGGTAAGTCTCAGACCTGAAAGGTCTTGCAGACCATTACAACTGAAGATAAAGAATGGAGGAATTATTTGGAGGACTGAGAACATTTCATTACTCTCTGGAGTGCAGCCATAGCCAGCCAATATAAACCCTTTCGTGAAGCGGCACCCATCTGGCCTTTATAGACTGGCACTAAACTTCCATAGGCAGTGTCATCCATCTGGCTTTTATGAATGTGTGATGTACTGGGTTCAACTCAAATGATAACACCTGTCTCTATAGATAAACCAAAGCTAATTTATACGTATCTCTATGAATTACATAATGAGAGACCTGGCTGGTAAAGGTTATTGGTGGCCATGTTGCCCTACCACCCATCCTCCACCATCTATAGTTATTTTAGTGGTTCCTCTAAATCTTCATAAATGCTTCAGAAAATTTATACTATTTTATCACTGTGGGTGTGTGTGCATGTGCAAAGTAAATCTTTATGATTGTTTTCACCTGTTCAGTGATGGTTCAACTGTTTCTAATTAAACACATTTTTAAAAATTTGAAATAAGAGGAGGTTAACCTTCCAAAGTCTATGCTAATTTTCACCAATTCTTCTGGAAATACATAATGCTGCAGAACCTGCTTGGCATGTAATATTGAGATTCTTTTCATCAACTGGTATGCTACACACACTGTCAAGAATCTAAATCTTTCCAATTTATATGCCTGAACACTTGAACAACTTATCAAAGAAGATGCTCATTTCCAAAGCAAGAAGTGATTAGTCATATTAAACATTCAAGACATTGAATGAAACAGAACACTTTAAAAATTATAAAGTAAACACATCAAGAATAAATTCTTATCCCTCCAATAGTTTAACTACAGGACATCAGGGCTTTCATCAGAAGTGAAACGCAGTGTTTGCTTCAGTAACTAAACCAATGGTTTTGCACTTATAGAACAGCTACAATGTCAGGTAAGATTAACCATTTGCTGGGGCACTGATCTGGATTCTTGCGTAACCCTCTTGAATCAGTGTCCAACTCCTCCTTGTCTTCTCCTCAGCCTCCATTCAAAATAGACTCTAGTGGGTAGCCTAGAGTTTTCCCACATAAAAACACACTGACCCCAAGATACTAAAATAAAGCATTGGTAACAACAAGCAGAAATGTGATCTCAATGACAACAGTCCAGTGTATCCAAGAGACACTGCTTCAGCCCTCTAACCAAAGTAGATCTTCTCTGAGACTACTGATGTGAGTGATGTGGTGCACTCCCTAGTTTTCTCCTCCAGAGTGGAGAGAAAACCAGGATGCCAACTGCTCACAAAATACTGATCTTGTCTTAAGGACACACTATATGCTTCATTACTTCTCCATACTTACTAGAATTCCTCATCGCCTCCCAGCTATTTATTTTATTATCTAGCTATTACACTCTGCTAGCTCTCTCAGAAGAGTTTTTGTAACAAAAATGATAAAGCAGAAGGGTTTACTTCTGAAAGTTATTCCTTTCATTACCATTGAGTCAGGGTAGGATCAACTATATTTAGCATATAGAAAACCACAGGAAGAAAAGTGCAGCCCTTCCTCCTGGAATTTCATTGTCTGGGAGAGTCATTGTCCTGGTTTCAAATCCATTTAGAGAAACGATTGTTCTGCCTTGGTGTCCTTTAACATCACTGGTGAGATGAGGAGAGAATCATTTTCCAAATATATTAGATATTTCAAAATTACTTTAATTATCCATTAATTTACTTCCAGGAGGCAATAATGTATGTCATATAAATTAAGCACACACACAAGCACAAACACACACATACATACACACACAAACACATCACAATAAAAAATATATATATAACTTTTTTTGAGACAAAGTCTCACTCTGTTGCCCAGGCTGGATTGCAGTGGTGCGATCTCAACTTACCACAACCTCTGCCTCCTGTGTTGAAGCAATGCTTGTGCCTCAGCCTCCTGAGTAGCTGGGATTACAGGTGTGTGCCACCATGCCCAGCTAATTTTTGCATTTTTTTTTTTTTTTGAGACAGAGTCTTGCTCTGTCACCCAGGCTGGAGTGCAGTGGCACAATCTCGGCGCACTACAACCTCCACCTCCCAGGTTCACCCCATTCTCCTGCCTCAGCCTCCCGAGTAGCTGGGACTACAGGAGCCTGCCACCATGCCCAGCTAATTTTTTGTATTTTTAGTAGAGGTGGGGTTTCACCATGTTGGCCAGGCTGATCTCGATCTCCTGACCTCAGGTGATATGCCCACCTGAGCCTCCCAAAGTGCTGGGATTACAGGTGTGAACAACTATGTCCAGCCACAAAATAAATTATATTTTGAATACAAAATTCTCATTCCACACAAGTGAAAATATTTTCCAAGTGCAGAACAAATAATGAAAAAGGTCCATAATATAGTCTGCTGCTTTCAGATGCAAAAGATAGAATTTCTTTTCTCATTATCTCACAAATTCCTCTGTGGCTACTGAAAAATGAAATAAAATTTCAATAGAGTCCAAATCTCTCTGTAAGATCACAATATTACAGATGAGCATGATATAATTTTTAAGACATTAGAATAAATGGGCTTTAGTTACAAAGAATAAAGCCAAATTAGCTGTGGAAAGAGCTTTGGACTTGAAGACATGGTTTCTAATGTTCATTATTTAGCTCATTAGTTGTATGACTTTACTAAGTCATTTTACCTCTCAACTTTATATATTATAGAAATTATACTTATGATATACAATGTTTGTGAAGATTAAATTAAATAATGCATATGGGTTAGCCAAGCAGAGTGTGGATGCATAGTAGACACTCAGTAAATATTACCTTTCCCCATTTATCTGAGGTTTTCTACCCTAAACATGGTTGCTGCATAGCCTTCTAACAGCAATAAATAAAAGCCAATTTCAACTCTAACACTTAAAATAGAAGTTTATTTCAAAATATCAAAATGAGAGGTGAAGATTGCTTCTGATTTACTATTACAAAAACAACAATTTGCTCCAATTACTGTCTAGAAGGAGAAAAAGAAGTATTCATTTCAGGTTTGAGGGATTTCAACAAAGGTTTGCAGCATTTTGCAACACAAGGCTTCTTTATGCTCAGTGGGCGGCTGAGCTCCTCAACAGGGGAAGGTGGATGAACAACTCTGCCCAAAGAAAGAACCATGCCGTCATCTTGAATCTTTTAATGTTAAATTCTGATAGGAATGCTAGGCTGAGCGCACACAAAAGAATCATCTTATTCATTTACTAAGATCACTAAGTAAAATTACCTTGATTTCACTAAATCAAGACAATTTTCATATTAAGAAAGCCACAGAAAAATGATCATTTAGTATACCTATAATCTTGGATGAATTGACCTAGCCAGGGTTTATTTTGCTGGGCAAGTCCCATAATTCTTTTATTTTGAAATGGGAAATGATGATGTCATTAATCCTGGGAAGCTGACTCAGAGAGGACTGAGATTTGCATGCACACAGTTAACTGGGGAGTGCCCTTGGGATTAACATCCATGGAATAGTAAAAGAAGTAGGACTGAGCAAAGAGAGAAGGTGGGAATCTCCAAGCCTTCAGCTAATCTCACAGGAGCTATGAAGTTAGGATTGTCAAGAGCAGAGTTTTCAGAAATGGGGCAAAGGAGCCAGCCTTTCTATCCTTCTCATCAAGCATTAGATCAGGTTCCCCTCAGAAGGAGGAGTGACCCAAATGTTGAAAAGATAGAGCCCAGCTTTGCACTGTTGGCCTCTAACACTCCAAACAGCTGGGAGAATGAGAAATGCAGTCCAAGGAAGGAGAAATGAAAATGGGGAGCTGTTTCAGAGGCTTTTGCTTGGCATCCTTCATTAAGATTGCTCTTATCTCACAGGCTTAGTGGGGCTTCTACCCACTACATTGAATTGTACTTTTGGAGACTAGGGAAATAACCACCAGGTGGCTCTCAGAACCCCTTGAGTCTAATCTGGGCCAGGATTTTATTTTCTATTCCTCATAAGACCTGTGTCCAACATTGCTCAAAATAGTGGGGTATTCACCTTTCCCTACTGTATAGTTATTAAATAAACACCCATAGATTCCACTGTGGAAGCACTGGGGGGATTATTACCACATATACTTGTCATGATTTTACTGTGTCCTTTCTTTGGGGGATCTGGTCTCTCCTTTAGTGAGTAGGTTCTAGATTGATAAACTGGCTCCAATACAGAAAAAGGGTAAGAGATTTCGACACTGTATTTGCTTAGCCTATTGATTGTCTACTCTTCATTATCTTAATTGTGTGGTACCTTTGTTGACTTCCCATCTATCTTGCTCCTAGAGATGCTGTGTTCTATTCACCATGTTGAGAGAGCCCTCTGCATCTCATCTCCCATCTGCCACTCCAGCCTTTCTGCTCATTATAATAAGTGTGCCCAACTGGCTTCTGACATTTAAGCTATGTCTATTGGCCTCTATCATTTGAGAATCTTGTCATTCCGCTTGCTATCAGGGCACCCGGTTCTGTAAAGGCATTTCCTAGCATCAACTCTGGCCTATGGAGGAGCACAGCCACCAAGGGGCCTCTCTGTGATGTTGGTACCACTCTTGCCTAAGCATTCCTTATTGTTTTGATAGATGGGGCTTCCTCTGGATCTTCTTTTAGAACATAGTCATCAGGTGGGTTTTCCAGATTTACATTGTATATCTACTTCCTTGAGCCTTTTGACTCCTTCTTCAGTGTTGGTTCCACAGGCATTCTATTTCACATAATGTGGGTCATCATTTTCTCAACCTCCTAAGCTTTTCTCAAGAATACTATGGCATTCACTCTCAGGATCCTTTATCCAGAAGAGTTCTACCATATCGATAAATTTTCACTCAGGCAACTTCATTCTTTGGATGCACACCACACATTTGAGAAAATTTGAGAGCAACCAACAAACAGAGGATACTGTGCTATCAGAAAATTCCTCCAAATCATATGACTTTTTACAAAACAGATTAGAATCCTTAAAGTAGAATAGCCTTGTGAGAAAGGCATTCTGAGTTCAAATAATAAAATGATTTGTAAATCTAATGCCATCTCAAAAACATGGGTAAGATAGAGGAGAAAAATATAATTCGTTCATACCTATTTTTTCCTATCATTTTCCTACCTTCAGATATTTTTTGCTTTCTTTTACTCCATAGGATAAGAGAGAAAACTGGCCCTACAACAGTTTGCAGATGGAATAACTAACCACTAGACCAACACCCATCTGTGAAGGCTTGTAAGGCACACAGTTTCCAACAGAATCTGTTGCAATCGAATGAAAAAAGAAAGTGTGCAAAATATGGTTATTTCAGTTGAAAACTAAGCATTTTCCCAAGTTTTCCAGGGGCTATATCCATGGAGGTAAATCTGCATTGATACTACCTGAGAGAGCCATTCACAATGGTAATTACTTCTTAAGTCCCATCATAAGCATTCCAGTTTTCCTTCCTTGAGGCCAGCTGCCCCTACTGCCACATAGCCCAGACTGCCAGCACTGCCTATCTTTCTCAAATTCTAAAGAACTACAAAGCAAATATGGTGGCGAAAAGGGGGAAAAAGTCAGTCTTCTAAAAGCCAACAACATCAAAAATTAATCCTTCTGAACTTGAGTCACCAGATAGTTTCTCCATGAGCAAAGCAAGTACAATTAGTAGCCTAAATCATCAGAACAGAATTGACCCTTTGCCACATATTTGTTAACATGCAGCTGACCCTTGAGCACCAAGGGTCCACTCATGCATGGTTATTTTCAATAAATTTATTAATTTTCTTGATGGGGATGGCATTGAATCTGTAAATTACCTTGGGCAGTATGGCCATTTTCACGATATTGATTCTTCCTACCCATGAGCATGGAATGTTCTTCCATTTGTTTGTATCCTCTTTTATTTCCTTGAGCAGTGGTTTGTAGTTCTCCTTGAAGAGGTCCTTCACATCCCTTGTAAGTTGGATTCCTAGGTATTTTATTCTCTTTGAAGCAATTGTGAATGGGAGTTCACTCATGATTTGGCTCTCTGTTTGTCTGTTATTGGTGTATAAGAATGCCTGTGATTTTTGTACATTGATTTTGTATCCTGAGACTTTGCTGAAGTTGCTTATCAGCTTAAGGAGATTTTGGGTTGAGACAATGGGGTTTTCTAGATATACAATCATGTCGTCTGCAAAGAGGGACAATTTGACTTCCTCTTTTCCTAATTGAATACCCTTTATTTCCTTCTCCTGCCTAATTGCCGTGGCCAGAACTTCCAACACTATGTTGAATAGGAGTGGTGAGAGAGGGCATCCCTGTCTTGTGCCAGTTTTCAAAGGGAATGCTTCCAGTTTTTGCCCATTCAGTATGATATTGGCTGTGGGTTTGTCATAGATAGCTCTTATTTTGAAATACGTCCCATCAATACCTAATTTATTGAGAGATTTTAGCATGAAGGGTTGTTGAATTTTGTCAAAGGCTTTTTCTGCATCTATTGAGATAATCACGTGGTTTTTGTCTTTGGCTCTGTTTATATGCTGGATTACATTTATTGATTTGCGTATATTGAACCAGCCTTGCATCCCAGGGATGAAGCCCACTTGATCATGGTGGATAAGCTTTTTGATGTGCTGCTGGATTTGTTTTGCCAGTATTTTATTGAGGATTTTTGCATCAATGTTCATCAAGGATATTGGTCTAAAATTCTCTTTTTTTGTTGTGTCTCTGCCTGGCTTTGGTATCAGAATGATGATGGCCTCATAAAATGAGTTAGGGAGGATTCCTCTTTTTCTATTGATTGGAATAATTTCAGAAGGAATGGTACCAGTTCCTCCTTGTACCTCTGGTAGAATTCGGCTGTGAATCCATCTGGTCCTGGACTCTTTTTGGTTGGTAAGCTATTGATTATTGCCACAATTTCAGCTCCTGTTATTGGTCGATTCAGAGATTCAACTTCTTCCTGGTTTAGTCTTGGGAGAGTGTATGTGTTGAGGAATTTATCCATTTCTTCTAGATTTTCTAGTTTATTTGCATAGAGGTGTTTGTAGTATTCTCTGATGGTAGTTTGTATTTCTGTGGGATCGGTGGTGATATCCCCTTTATCATTTTTTATTGCATCTATTTGATTCTTCTCTCTTTTTTTCTTTATTAGTCTTGCTAGCGGTCTATCAATTTTGTTGGTCCTTTCAAAAAACCAGCTCCTGGATTCGTTAATTTTTTGAAGGGTTTTTTGTGTCTCTATTTCCTTCAGTTCTGCTCTGATTTTAGTTATTTCTTGCCTTCTGCTAGCTTTTGAATATGTTTGCTCTTGCTTTTCTAGTTCTTTTAATTGTGATGTTAGGGTGTCAATTTTGGATCTTTCCTGCTTTCTCTTGTGGGCATTTAGTGCTATAAATTTCCCTCTACACACTGCTTTCAATGTGTCCCAGAGATTCTGGTATGTTGTGTCTTTGTTCTCATTGGTTTCAAAGAACATCTTTATTTCTGCCTTCATTTCGTTATGTACCCAGTAGTCATTCAGGAGCAGCTTGTTCAGTTTCCATGTAGTTGAGCGGTTTTGAGTGAGTTTCAAGCTACCATTGACTTTCTTCACAGAATTGGAAAAAACTACTTTAAAGTTCATATGGAACCAAAAAAGAGCCCGCATCGCCATATCAATCCTAAGCCAAAAGAACAAAGCTGGAGGCATCACACTACCTGACTTCAAACTATACTACAAGGCTACAGTAACCAAAACAGCATGGTACTGGTACCAAAACAGAGATATAGATCAATGGAACAGAACAGAGCCCTCAGAAATAATGCCGCATATCTACAACTATCTGATCTTTGACAAACCTGACAACAACAAGCAATGGAGAAAGGATTCCCTATTTAATAAATGGTGCTGGGAAAACTGGCTAGCCATATGTAGAAAGCTGAAACTGGATCCCTTCCTTACACCTTATACAAAAATCAATTCAAGATGGATTAAAGACTTAAATGTTAGACCAAAAACCATAAAAACCCTAGAAGAAAACCTAGGCATTACCGTTCAGGACATAGGCATGGGCAAGGACTTCATGTCTAAAACACCAAAAGCAATGGCAACAAAAGCCAAAATTGACAAATGGGATCTAATTAAACTAAAGAGCTTCTGCACAACAAAAGAAACTACCATCAGAGTGAACAGGCAACCTACAAAATGGGAGAAAATTTTCACAACCTACTCATCTGACAAAGGGCTAATATCCAGAATCTACAATGAACTCAAACAAATTTACAAGAAAAAAACAAACAACCCCATCAAAAAGTGGGCGAAGGACATGAACAGATACTTCTCCAAAGAAGACATTTATGCAGGCAAAAAACACATGAAAAAATGCTCATCATCACTGGCCATCAGAGAAATGCAAATCAAAACCACAATGAGATACCATCTCACACCAGTTAGAATGGCAATCATTAAAAAGTCAGGAAACAACAGGTGCTGGAAAGGATGTGGAGAAATAGGAACACTTTTACACTGTTGGTGGGACTGTAAACTAGTTCAACCACTGTGGAAGTCAGTGTGGCAATTCCTCAGGGATCTAGAACTGGAAATACCATTTGACCCAGCCATCCCATTACTGGGTATATACCCAAAGGACTATAAATCATGCTGCTATAAAGACACATGCACATGTATGTTTATTGCAGCATTATTCACAATAGCAAAGACTTGGAAGCAACCCAAATGTCCATCAATGATAGACTGGATTAAGAAAATGTGGCACATATACACCATGGAATACTATGCAGCCATAAAAAATGATGAGTTCATGTCCTTTGTAGGGACATGGATGAAATTGGAAATCATCATTCTCAGTAAACTATCGCAAGAACAAAAAACCAAACACCGCATATTCTCACTCATAGGTGGGAATTGAACAATGAGATCACATGGACACAGGAAGGGGAATATCACACTCTGGGGACTGTTGTGGGGTGGGGAGATGGGGGAGGGATAGCATTGGGAGATATACCTAATGCTAGATGACGAGTTAGTGGGTGCAGCGCACCAGCATGGCACATGTATACATATGTAACTAACCTGCACAATGTGCACATGTACACTAAAACTTAAAGTATAATAAAAAATAAAAAAATAAAATAAAATAAAATAAAATAAATTTATTAATTTTCTTTGGAGATTTGTGACAATTTGAAAAAACTTGCAGATGAACTGTATGCCCTAGAAATGTCAAAACAAATAAGAAAAGGTATGACATGAATGCATAAAATATGTGTAGATACTAGTCAATTTTATCATTTACTACCATAAAAAATACACAAGTCTACTATAAAAAGTTAAGATTGGCCGGGCACTGTAGCTCATGCCTGTAGTTCTAGCAGTTTGGGAGGCTGAGGCTGTCAGATTGCTTGAGCTCAGGAGTTTGAGACCAGCAGGGGCAACATGGTGAAACCCCATATCCACAAAAAAAAAAATACAAAAATACAAAAAATTAGCCGGGCGTGGTGGCATAGGCCTGTGGTCTCAGCTACTCTACTCAACTACTCTACTGGAGAGGCTGAGGTGGGAGGATTGCTCAAGCCTCATGAGCTGTGATTGTGCCACTGTACTCCAGCCTGGACATCAGAGCAAGACTCTATTTCAAACAAACAAGAAAGTTAAGATTTATCAACACTTATGCACACACTTACAGACCACACATGGCACCATTTGCAGTTGAGAGAAATGCAAACAAATTAAAGATGCAGTATTAAATCATAACTGCTTAAAATTAACTGCAGGACATACTGTACTACTGAAATAATTTTGCAGCCACCTCTTGTTACTATTGCAGTGAGCTCAAGTGTTGTGAGTATCCACATAAAACACATGTGATGCTAATCATCTCATGAGCAGTTCACCTCTCCAGTAAATTGCGTGTCACAGTAAAAAGTGATCTCTTGTTCTCGTGTATTTTTCATTGGGTTTAATGCAATACCATAAATGTTGAATAGCCCTATGGGACTCATATGAGGTGCCACTAGTGATGCTGGAAGTGCTCCCCAAAAAAGCAGAGGAAAGCCAGGACATACAAGAAAAAGTTGAATTGCTTAATATGTACCACAGATTGAAGCCTGCAGCTGCAGTTGCCAACCATTTCAAGATAAATGAATCCCATGTAAGGGCCACTGTAAGAAAAGAAAATTGATAAAGCTGTTGCTGCAGCTACACCAGCAGGTGCAAAAACTTTGCATTTCTTGTTAAATATCTTTTATCTTGCATTGAAAAGGCAGATTTTAAGTGTGTGCAGGATTGCTATAAGAAAGGCATACCTATAGACTCTAATACAATTTGAGAAAAAGCAAAGTTATGACGTTACATGACAACTTAAAGCAAAAGGGAAGTGAAGGATCTAAAACTGGAAAATATAATGCCAGCAAAGGATGATTTGATAGTTTTAGAAAGAGGTTTGGCTTAAAAAATGTCAAGACAATGATTTCATATCCTGAGACTTTGTTGAAGTTGCTTATCGGCCTAAGGAGATTTTGGTCTGAGATGATGGGGTTTTCTAAATATACAATCATGTCATGTGCAAACACAGGCAATTTGACTTCCTCTCTTCCTATTTGAATACGCTTTATTGCTTTCTCTTGCTTGATTGGCCTGGCCAGAACTTCCAATACTATGTTGAATAGGAGTGGTGAGAGAGGGCATCCTTATCTTGTGCCAGTTTTTCAAAGGGAATGCTTCCAGTTTTTGCCCATTCAGTATGATATTGGCTGCGGGTTTGTCACAAATAGCTCATATCATTTTGAGATATATTCCATCGATAGCTTGTGTATTGAGAGTTTTTAGCATGAAGGGCTGTTGAATTTTGTTGAAGGCCTTTTCTGCATCTATTGAGATAATCGTGTGGTTTTTGTCATTGGTTCTGTTTATGTGATGGATTACATTTATTGATTTGCATATGTTGAACCAGCCTTGCACCCCAGGGATGAAGCCGACTTGATCACGGTGGATAAGCTTTTTTATGTGCTGCTGGATACAGTTTGCCAGTATTTTATTGAGGATTTTTGCAATGATGTTCATCAGGGATATTGGCCTGAAATTTTCTTTTTTTGTTGTGTCTCTGCTAGGTTTTGGTATCAGGATGATGCTGGCCTCATAAAATGAGTTAGGGAGGATTCCCTATTTTTTACTTTTTGGAATAGTTTCAGAAGGAACGGTACCATCTCCTCTTTGTACCTCTGGGAGAATTTGGCTGTGAACCCATCTGGTCCTGAACTTTTTTTGGTTGGTAGGCTATTAATTACTGCCTCAATTTCAGAACTTGTTATCGGTCTATTCAGGGATTCGACTTTTTCCTGGTTTAGACTTGGGAGGGTGTATGTGTCCAGGAGTTTATCCATTTCTTCTAGATTTTCTAGTTTATTTGCATAGAGGTGTTTATAGTATTCTCTGATGTCAGCTTGTATTTCTGTGGGATCAGTGGTGATATCCCCTATATCATTTTTATTGTGTCTATTTGATTCTTCTATCTTTTCTTCTTTAGTAGTCTGGCTAGTGGTCTATCTATTCTGTTGATCTTTTAAAAAACCAGCTCCTGGATTCATTGGTTTTTTGAAGGGTATTTTGTGTCTCTATCTCCTTCAGTTCTGCTCTACACCAATAACAGAGAAACAGAGAGCCAAATCACGAAAGAACTCCAATTCACAATTGCTACTAAGAAAATAAAATACCTAGGAATACAACTTAGAAGGAATGTGAAAGGCCTCTTCAAGGAGAACTACAAACCACTGCTCAGGGAAATAAGAGAGGACCCAAACAAATGGAAAAACATTTCATGCTCATGGATAGGAAGAATCAGTGTTGTGAAAATGGCCATACTCCCCAAAGTAATTTAAGATTCAATGCTATTCCCATAAAGCTACTATTGACTTTCTTCCAAGATTGGAAAAAACACTTTAAACTTCATATAGAACCAAAAAAGAGCCCACACAGCCAAGACAATCCTAAGCAAAAAGAACAAAGCTGGAGGCATCATGCCACCTCACTTCAAACTATACTATAAGGCTACAGTAACAAAAACAGCATGGTACTGGTACCAAAACAGATATATAGACCAATAGAACAGAACAGCAGCCTCAGAAATAACACCACACATCTACAACCATCAGATCTTTGACAAACCTGACAAAAACAAGCAATGGGGAAAAGATTCCCTATTTAATAAATGGTGTTGGAAAAACTGGCTAGTCATATGTAGAAAACTGAAACCAGACCCTTTCCTTACATCTTACACAAAAATCAACTCAGGATGTTCAAAGACTTAAATGCAAGACCTAAAACCTTAAAAATCCTAGAAGAAAACCTAGGCAATACCATTCAGGACATAGGCATGGGCAAAGACTTCATGTCTAAAACACCAAAAGCAATGGCAACAAAAGCCAAAATTACTAAAGAGCTTCTGCACAGCAAAAGAAACTATCATCAGAGTGAACAGGCAACCTACAGAATGGGAGAAAATTTTTGCAATCTATCCATCTGACAAAGGGCTAATATCCAGAATCTAAAAAGAACTTAAACAAATTTAGAAGAAAAAACAAACAAACAACTCCATCAAAAAGTGGGCAAAGGATATGAACAGACACTTCTCAAAAGAAGACATTTGTGCAGGCAACAAACATATGAGAAAAGCTCATCATCATTGGTCATTAGAGAAATGCAAATCAAAATCACAATGAGATACCATCTCACACCAGTTAGAATGGTGATCTTTAAAAAGTCAGTAAACAAGATGCTAGAGAGGATGTGGAGAAATAGGAATGTTTCTACACTGTTGGTGGGAGTGTAAATTAGTTCAACCACAGTGGAAGACAGTATGGTGATTCCTCAAGGATCTAAAACTAGAAATACCATTTGACCCCACAATCCCATTACTGGGTATATACCCAAAGGATTATAAATCATTCTACTATAAAGACACATGCACACATATGCTTATTGCAGCACTATTCACAGTATCAAAGACTTGGAACCAACCCAAATGTCCATCAATGATAGACTGGATAAAGAAAATGTGGCACATACACACCATGGAATACTATGCAGCCATAAAAAAGGATGGTTTCATGTCCTTTGTAGGGACATGGATGGAGTTGGAAACCATCATTCTTAGCAAACTATCACAAGAACAGAAAACCACACACTGCATGTTCTCACTAATAAGTGGGAGTTGAACAATGAGAACACATGGACACAGGAAGGGGAACACCACACACTGGAGCCTGTCATGGGGTGGGAGGCTAGGGGAGGGATAGCATTGGGAGAAATACCTAATGTAGGTCACCCGTTGATGGGTGCAGCAAACCACCATGTCATGTGTATACCTATGTAACAAAACTGCACATTCTGCACATGTACCCCAGAACTTAAAGTATAAGAAAAAAAAAATGTCAAGACAAGAGAAGCAGCTTCTGCCAACCAAGAGGCAGCAGACAAGTTCCTAGACACTATTAAGAAAATCACAGAAGAAAGGATACCTGAGCAGATTTTTAATGCAGACAAAAGTGCCCTATTCTGGAAACACGTGCCACAAAGGACATTATTCATAAGGGAGAAAAGTGAGCACCAGAATTTAGCACAAGAAGGGATGGGCTAACTCTACTCTACTGTTTTGTGCAAATGCAGTTGAATTTATGATCAAGACTGTCCTCAGCTATAAAGCCACTAACCTCTGAGCCTTGAAGAAAAAAGATAAACACCAGCTTCCAGTCTTTTTATTGTTCAACAAGAAGACCTGCACAATGAGAACACTCTTTCTGGATTGGTTACATCAATGATATGTCCTTGAGGTCAGGAAGAAGCTTGCCAGTAAGAGACTGCCTTTTAAAGTTCCTTTGATATTGGGCAAAGTTCCAGACCACCCAGAACACCATGAGTTCAACAGGAAAGGTGTCAAAATGGTCTACTTGCCCCAGCACAATGTCTCTAATTCAGCCTCTAGATCAGGAGATCATAGGAACTTTAAGGCTCATTACGCATATACTCTATGGATAGGATTGTCAATGCTGTGGAAGAAAACCCCAATTGAGGGAACATGGAACATGATGAAAGTCTGGATGGATTACACCATTGAAGATGTCATCATTGTTATAGAAAAAAGTTGTGAAAGCCATCAAGCCTGAAACAATAACTTCCTGCTGTAGAAAACTGTGTCCAGATGTTGTGCATGACTTCTCAGGATTTACCAGAATGAATCAATGAAATCATGAAAGAGATTGTGGATACAGCCAAAAAGGTAGTCGGCAAAGGGTTTCATGAAACAGATCTTGGAGAAATTCAAGGGCAACAAGGAAGAAGACACAGAAGAAGCCATGCCAGAAAACGAATTGACACTAGAAAATCTGGCAGAAGGGTTCTGATGATTCAACACTGCTTTTTACTTCTTTTACAGCATAGATCTTTCTATGATACAGGCTAATATGGTTTGGCTCTGTGTCCTCAGCCAAATCTCATCTTGTAGCTCCCATAATTCCCATGTGTTCTGGGAAAGACCCAGTGGGAGATAATTGAATCATAGGGGTGGGTCTTTCCCGTGCTGTTCTTGTGACAATGAATAAGTCTCACGAGATATGATGGTTTTAAAAATATGGGTTTCCCTGCACAAGCTCTTTTTGCATGCTGCCATCCATGTAAGATGTGACTTGCTCCTCTTTGCCTTCCACCATCATTGTGAGGCCTCCCCAGCCACGTGGAACCGTAAGTTTATTAAACATCTTTCTTTTGTAAATTGCCCAGTTTCAGGTATGTCTTTACCAGCAGCATGAAAATGGACTAATACACGGGCACCAAAACTAAAGCAAATGGTGCAAGAAGGGTTGGTACCATATAGACACATTTTTAAAGAAATAAAAAAGCAAAACTGTCAGATAGAAATTACCATATATTTCCATAAATTTACAACAAGTGTGTCTGTCTCTCTTGCCTCCCTTTCCACCTTCCCCACCTCTGCCACCTCTGAGACAGCAAAACCAACCCCTCCTCCTCTTGCTCCTCCTCTTCAGCCTACTCAACATCAAGACAATGAGGATGAAGACCTTTATGATGATCCACTTCCACTTAGTGAATAGTAAATATATTTTCTCTTCCTTATAATTTTCTTAACAACGTTTATTTTATCTAGCTTACTTTATTGTAAGAACACAATATATACTGCCTATGACATATAAAATATGTGTTAATTGAGTGTTTCTGTTATTGGTAAGGTTTCTTGTCAACAGCAGGCTATTAGTCATTAACTTTTGGGGGAGTCAAAAGTTATACATGGATTTTCAACAGCATTGGGCACTCAGTGCTCCAACCACCATGTTGTTTAAGGGTCAATTGTGTATCCAAAATGAATTAGATTATTTTTATTTATTAGGTCATAGAGAGGTCCTTTTCCTTGCTTTGATACTTGAGACAGGTAAACACAGCTGGGCCTGGGGACCTTCCGCATATTAATCCGAAATTTTTAAATATTTCATAACAATATATTTACACAATTATTTTTCTTTTTACTTTGCTTGATTTTTTGAGAAATTCAATCTATATGCTTTTGAATCCTTTATACTTAGATTATTTAAAAATGTTTTGTAAGATCCATTTGCCATCCGAAAACTCTAGAGGTATTTCTGTTTTCTCTTCAAGTTCATTATTAAAGCATACCCACAAAGGAAACTATGATTTGCCAATATAAACAAGAATAGACACCAAATGTCTCAAGTAGACTTGGAAACCTGACTGTGAAATACAGAGTAAAATTTCATCCTTGGTTCATGCTAAAGATATGTCCATACCCATTCCTGCCAGATTCCTCCACTGGCTTCTGTAACATAATTGCTGTTTTTTCATCATGCACCTTTTCAGGTTCCAAGACTCACATACAGAGAACTTCAATCTGGCTCTTTCAACCCAAGAAGTCACAGTCTTCTTCCACAAAAATAGTAGCTCTGCCGTCAATCATGGCTGAAGAAAGGGAGCTATACACATGTGGGAGCTCTGTCAGTGAGGAGATGCCAACTGATAATGGATGGCACTCCCTACCACATGAACCTTCTCTCATTCTTATTTATCACAGACATTGTTTCTATTTCCTTCCTTCCCTTTTTTTCCTCTTACTTCTTTAGATTTTCTTGCCTTTTCTTTCTTCTTTTTTTTTTTTTTTTTAACACACTGCCTTTCTTATGCCTTACTTCTTAGGAGAACAACTCAAGACATTTGAGATCCTGTCATTCTCCTTGTTATTTACAAACGGCCCTAGATCTACAAAATGGTTTTGGTATGATTGAAGGGAAGTCTCACAAATTGATGGGAACAGGATGTCACCTCAGCTCCTAATGGCAAGACAGAGCACCAAGGCTTCTGGGTTCAATCCCTGAGGCATGTCAATAGTTGTCCTTTTCTCTCCCAAAGAAGAAACTGCTCCTGCAGTGGTCCTTTCATCATGCATCTAAAAGGCACTCCACCCAACTCTACAAGCAAACACAGCTAAAATTTTGCCTTCAATTACCTTTGTGTGGGGTTGACCAGGAATCCTTAGAAAACTTTACAGAGAGCATATTATAAACCTCTCACTTCAAACTACCATTGACCTTCACCTGGATGACAACAGGAGCCTCTTAACTCTCAACCCACAGCCGCTCCTTGCCCCCTCCATTCCACATTCTATACAGCATTTGGACAATGCTTTTCAGAATGCAAGTTTGATCGCATTGCTTATTTCCCCCTTATAAAACTTATCAAAACCTTTGAATGGTTCTCGGAGTGAAAACCAAACTCCAGCCCCCTCTTGTGTCACTCTCTCCTTACTCTACACCCCCTACAGTTGCCCTTCTTTCCATTCCTCAACCCTCCATGCTCCCTCCTGTGACAGGGTCTTTGCACTTACGGCCCCACTCTGTGTACATGTCTCCCTATCTCCCACCCTCACTTCCTATCCCTATCCTCACCCCCTTACAGAGTTAACCCTTACTCACCCTTCAGCTCTCAACTCAAGCATTCTTTCCTAAGAAGAGTTTTGGTTCCTTTGTTAACTATTGTCATTGTACAATATTGCATGACTTCTGAGTCCTTATCTCAGTTTCAGTTATACATTCTTGTGATATAAATCAGCACTGCATCACAGGAATAGGGCCTAACACATAGGAGTCACTTGATGATTATTTGTTGAATAAATAAATGACTTTATTACAACATGCCCTCAAACATCTTGTTTTGTCATCAGCTATTAGTATCTGTGTCATTATCTGTACACCGAATTAGATATGGGGACTATGGTTTCTACAGACTTTGTAGTTTAACTGCTAGCTTGATGATGGTCTTTAGACCATACACAGCAATGTTTTTCCTCTGACTGCGCTCATGGCATTGTTAAAATTATGTTCAGAAATTTAAAACTTTTGCTTTGTTAAAACTCATGTGAAGAACATGAATGACAAAATAGAGACTGAAAGAAAGTATTTGCAAGCAACATATCCAACAAAGGACTAGTATCTAAAATATATAAAGCACTCTCAAAACTCTACAGTAAAAATACAAGCAATTCAATTAGAAATGGGCAAAAGAATTAACAGGCATTTCACTGAAAAGGATATAGATGGCAAATAAGTGCAAGAAAATATATTCAATATTAAAGAGTTAGACTCTTTAATCAAGAGTCTTTATAGCAAAGACTCATTAGCACCTAGGGAAATACAAATTAACACCACAATGTGATATCACTATATATTGATCAGAATGGCTAAAATAGTTGACAAAACCAAATGCTGACAAATACATAAAGAAACTGGAGAAACCAGATCACTCACACATTGCTGGTGAGAAAAAAAGATGGTGCAGTTGCTTTGGAAAACAATTTCTCATGTCTTTAAAACCTAAGCACACATCTCTCTTACAACCCAACAATTGCACTACTGGGTTTCTGTCTCAGTGAATTGTCAACTTATGTTCACACAAAACCAGTACATGAATGTTCATAGCAACTGAGAACATTTGGCTGTGTCCCCACCCAAATTTCATCTTGAATTATAGTTTCCATAGTCCCCACATGTTGTGGGAGGGACCTGGTGGGAGGTAATTAAATCATGGGGCCAGTTACCCTCATGCTGTTCTTGTGATAGTGAGTGAGTTCTCACGAGATCTGATGGTTTTATAAGGGGCTTCCCCCTTTGCTCGACACTCACTTCTCTGGTTTGTCACCATGTACCACATTCCTGTTTCTCCTGACACGATTGTAAGTTTCCTGATGCCTCCCTAGCCATGCGGAACTGTGAGTCAGTTAAACTTCTTTTCTTTATAAATTACCCTGTCTCAGGTATGGCTTCATAGCAGTGTGAAAATGGACTAATACAGCAATTTTATTTGTAATAATCAAAAACTAGAATCAGCCTAGTTGTCCCCAAGAAGTGAATGGTTAAGCAAACTCTCATCATACATACTATGGAATACTACTCAGAAACAAAAAGGAATGAATTCTTGATACCTGCAGCAACTTAGATGAATGTCCAGGGAATTACACTGTGTGGGGGGGGAAAAATACAGTCACAAAAGCTCATATGTTGTATAATTCCATTTATATAACATTTTGAAGTGACAATATTTTAGAAATGGAGCATAGATGAAGGGTTACCAGGAGTTAGAGATGGGGCATAAGAAGGAAGGAGGAAGGTGGTTGTGGTTATGGAATTCCTGTGGTGCTGGAACTGGTCAATATCTTGAGTGTGGTGGTGGATACACAAAATTACACAGATGGTAAAATTGTATAGAATGTAATCACACATGCACACAAACAGTACAAGTAAATCTGAGAAAATCTGAATAAGATTGGTTGATTGTGTCAATGTCAATATCCTGTGATATTATACTATAGTTTTACAAAATGTTACCATCAGAGAAACTAGGGAAAGTGTATACAGGATCTCTTTGTATTATTTCTTACAGTTACATGTGAATCTACAACTAAAAATGATATCCAGAGATTTTTATAATTTTACTTATTTCATCACAGATGAGCAGCCACTCTGTGCACATTATGCTGGTAGGCTCTACAGACCCAGTGAACCAAAGGTAGACACAATCCTAGATGCTATGGGGCATGTGTTCCCTGTGCATAGAGTCTGGCATGCATGAGACACTCAAATGTCTGTTGAAAGAGGGGAAAGAAAGAAAGAGAAGGAAAGAAGAAAGAAAGAAAGAAAGAAAGAAAGAAAGAAAGAAAGAAAGAAAGAAAGAAAGAAAGAAAGAAAGAAAGAAAGGGAAAGAAAGAGAGAGAGAGAGAGAAAGGGAGGAGGGGAGAAGAGGAGGAAGGGAAAGGAAGGAAGGAAGAAAGAAAAAGAAAGAAAGAAAAAAGAAAGAAAGAAAGAAAGAAAGAAAGAAAGAAAGAAAAGAAAGAAAAGAAAGAAAGAAAGAAAAGAAAGAAAGAAAGAGAAAAAGAAAGAAAGAAAGTTTGGTTTGGATAAAGCATTAAGACACAAAATCTCTGGAAGGGAACTCTATTTTTGGTGGTTGTAGGAATAGGAAGTGATGAAACATACCCTTAACTAGTTTAAAGGAAAGTCTAGTCAGTGCTTAAATAAAATACCTTGCCAACATTGTAACTTAATATTCTACCAGTTGAAAAGTCATAGTAATTGAGTCCAATAATAAATAATAATAATGTTCATCTGCAAAAGAATGTTATCTGAAATATACACTAATAATAATGTTCTTAAAACATGTTTACATATTTTTTCATTGACATAATTTTCATGATATTCCACCTTCTGATCCTGATGGCAAGTCAAGTCTACTACTTTGATTAGTTTGTCATCATAATATGACTAGGGTAATTTCATATTGTGTCCATTTAAAAATAGGCACTTATACTGAGTAGAAATAATCATTTTAAATCTCAGCTCAGGCCTGGAATCAGACTGATGTTGACTTCTTTTCCTCCCTTTGTACACTTACTTTGTAATATTGGGTAAATCTGTTAACCAGATGGAACCTCAGTTTCATCATCTATAAAGGAGGATATTAACACCTACTTTGTTGGATTCTGAGGAAGATTAAGTAATACAATGAGTTTGGATAAGTCATGCAAGTATATAGCTCATGCTTTGCATTCACTAAAGGGAAGAATGGGGAGAGGAGAAGCAGAAAGATAAAAAGAAGAAGAGAAGAAAGAAGGAATCTGTCTTCCTCACCCCAGGAAGCAGGTGAGTCCCCAGAGAGGAGGCTCCACTGGTAGAAGCACTTGCCAGGCTGAGAAGGGGCTCTGCCACAGCTAGATGGGGGCTTTCAGTGGCAAGATGTCTGGTAAGGATGGAAGAGGAAAGAAGACTGACACTTTCAGAAGCTGGCTCCATGACTGAGTGGTTTGGACTTAAGAGTAGGTGGAACTACTGCTGCCCCAGAACCCTCTGTAGCAAGTTTCATAGCCTTGTGACTTCAAATGTAGGCAGAAGTATTTCTAGGTATTATGGTAGGGACAGGGCAAGACTTCTGATGTCAAAGGAAATAGTAGCTGGAGGAATAAGCCAATTAGAGATGGGGAAACTGAGGGGGGGTTGGCTCTCTATAGACCTACACAGCAAAGGAAACGGAAGGGGAAAGAGGGTGGAGAAGGTGGGCATTTATATATTAGGCTTGATGGTAGGGTGGCTGTAAATTTCACCTATGTACAGCTCCATACAGCCTCATCTGCTGCAGACGTGTGTATGTCTGTGAGTAAATTTATAATTTACATAATAGTAATCTGTATCTGTTTTGGCTTTGCTAACTGTCTTAACATTTTGATAAAGTGGTTGCGGCTGTTGACATTACAGTTCGGCTCTTCCTCCCCTCAATTAAAAGCAGGATGGTGGGGTTTAAATATACTACAGGGAGTTTTAATAAGGTACCACCAAAATTATCATGAGATCTCATTAGGTTTACTAAAAAACTTTAAATATCTGAGATAATGCTTCTCATAGGCTAGATTCTAGAATAATGCTCAAGGAAATTTGGGAGTTTACCAGATAGTGCATCAGCAATGAAATCGCCACACTTAATTACTGGACAATGATTAATATTTTCTTTACAGGTGTAATTGCATGACGTGAAAGTTGATGGTGTGTTTTTCAGAGAGGCAAAAAGATAATAAATGCTGCAGAAAAGCTGACAGCAAGACTGAGCCTATCCAAAATGATGCAGAGAAAACATGCTAATTAGCAACTCACTAACAATATCTCACCGAAGTGCTCTCTGAAACAAAGCTGCACTTTTTTTCATAGAGCATCTGAAGCCCTATGGGTACAGACTATGAAAATGAGGTTAAGGAAGTTGGCAATGGGCACACAATGATTATGATGTCACATCCATAAATATTAAATGATAATAAAACACTAAAGCGGCAGGGTGATATACACGGAGCCAGGACGGGGATTTGATTTCTCAAGAGTCAAATGAGAGCCAGTTGGAAAAAATGCCCAGCCCTGGAGAAAAAGACAATCATGAAAAGGGTATACTGTTATTATACTGAAAGAAGCTTTCCAAGTCACTCCATACATTCACTGCAGAAGAATCAGGTCACTTCAGGAAGGAGGCCTATGATGAACCTTAGAGAACTTAACTAGGAAATGGATTTAATAACTGTTGACTGTAACCCTGGTGGATGCTTCAAGCTCCCTCTGTAATGAACCTAGCACACATCAGGTAGAACATCCTGTCCCAAGAAGCCAGCAATCTATTACTTCACATACAGCAAACGTTTCATGAAAACCTGCTTTTGTTTTCACCATGGCACCTTTGCCAATTTCCTCTAATTGACCGGGATTATAACGTTGATCCTAGAAGAAGAATCTAAGCAGTCAGAAGGCCTACGTTTCTCTTCAAAGATCATCCTCAATTCACAGACAGAAACAGGGTCCAAGCCAGGTCATGTAACAAGTTTATGGAACATCTAGTTATCCATGAGACTCATGGCTGTTACACGTTGGATATTTTATCACATTTCCCTGGCTTGAAACTGACAATTTTAGGACATTTTTTTCCTTCTTTTTTCCTCCCTTTTCTTCCACTCTCATAACTCCATTTTGACATTTGCTTTGTTGCCCTTGTGTGAATCAAATCTGATACAGATTTATCCACAGAAAGGCTATAGCTGAATAAAATTTCTGATTCTGTTTTGTCAAATATCATTACTCAGTGACAGCTATCATGGTATTCTGCTTTTTGTATGGTTTTTCTTTCTAGAAAATCATACACATGGGCACAAATGCATAGACACAGGTGTGCAGACATGGGCAAAGACAAGGCCCCATGCATGTGAACACACACACACACACACACACACACACACATACACATATTTAGGGCTTCATAAAGTCCATGAACGTGGAAAAAATACTGACAGTTTTTGCACTTTGATTTGCCACTAATTTAAATATTTGCTTTAGTATTCTTTGGTCCTAGGGATTGTAATAATAATATATCATCTCCATAGAATTTTCTAGAATCATGATTTGGCAATTTTGCCTATAGCTGAAGAAATTATGTTTTCTTTTCTCAAGTCCAGTAGTAATCTTCAGTTTTTTTCAAGCACCTGTGATTCTCAGTCTTAGTATCCTGGAGACTTCTAGATTGCTGTGTGTTAGGGAGGACCCAGTACCCTATCTTAAAACAAGCTATTGTTCTTGTTTATATATTAGTATTAAATTTTTTTGGATTTTTGGCTTTGAAATTGCTTAAATATTCATAAGATGCAAATGACCAACATTATGTTCTTTCCTTAGAGCAGGTATTCATGGGCAACAATTTAGGAAATGATACAGAAAGAAAGGAAGGCTGGAAAGACCAAAGAAAAACAGCTACAGTTTTGCCAAGAACCAGCCCCACGCTTCATGAGAATTGTGATACATTTACATTTGGCTTTTAATTTCTGTATCAATTTGGACTGTGTTTTTGTGAAAATGAGATAATATATGTGAAAGTACCTAGCTGAATTCTTGGGATATGGCAAAAACCCAATAAATATAAGTTTTTACTACTGTGTTAAGCATCTTCTTGTCGTAAGCAGAATTTACCCAGTTGATAAGGAAAAGATAAAGCTTAGTTGAGCCAATTAGCATAAAACATTTCAAGCTGAGAACACACACTTAATGTTACCATAAAAATTTGAAACCGGAGCCAGGCAGGGTGGCTCACACCTGTAATCCCAGCACTTTGGGAGGCTGAGGCGGGCAGATCGCTACGTCAAGAGATTGAGACCATCCTGGCCAACAAGGTGAAACCCCGTCTCTAGTAGGAATACAAAAATTAGCTGGGCATGGTGGCGGGTGCCTGTAGTCCCAGCTACTCTGGAGGCTGAGGCAGGAGAATGGCTTGAACCCGGGAGGCAGAGGTTGCAGTGAGCCGAGATTGCACCACTGCACTCCAGCCTGGTGACAAAGGTAGACTCCGTCTCGAAAAAAAAAAAAAAAAAATCAAAACCAAACCATCATCCAAGAATATCATAGTCAATGCATTCAGCTCCAACAAACCTAAGAATTTCCCTTTTCCCATCTCTAACTCTCACTAAGAGAGTTCCAAAAGAAGCCAGGCAAATTTTCAAGTCCTTTTAATTTTATTTGTCCCAGGTTGTGAATCTGGTTGTGAACAATAATTGTTAAACCAACCTAATATATAATCTCTTAATCATGCACATTTTATCTATAAGGAAATCTTAGTATA
The DNA here is from genome assembly GCF_000001405.40 of Homo sapiens. Classification (NCBI taxonomy): domain Eukaryota; kingdom Metazoa; phylum Chordata; class Mammalia; order Primates; family Hominidae; genus Homo; species Homo sapiens. The sequence goes on along the minus strand of NC_000004.12, from coordinate 148,750,822 downwards.
CTAGCAATTATGCTTTAAAAGTAAAGTTCCATTTTAGAAAATGTGAGTGTAATGTTTGGCATTTATATACACCATCAGTGGCCACTGACAGGGCTAGTGAAAACCATGTGTTTCCAATTTCACCATTAGTAGAGCAGGAATAATTACCCGCTTCTGAGGGCTTCTGTGTGAGTATCTCTTTGGGTGCTGTTATGCAATAGGTGAATTTGTCAAATTTTTAAAAATGGAACCCAGGACTCTAACTCCCCAGCCTGTGACAGGAAACATTGAACACATGTTAATTCATATGTTCTACCAGTTTATTTAAGAGTAAAGCATCTACTGATGCTATAATAAAGTTTTTCAGCAATGCACTGAGAGGTCTCTAATATTTGATTTATTATATTTTTATTTTCTTTTTTTCTTTTTTGAAATGGAGTCTCGCTCTGTCGCCCAGGCTGGAGTGCAATGGTGCAATCTCGGCTCACTACAAGCTCCGCCTCCCGGGTTCACGCCATTCTCCTGCCTCAGCCTCCCCAGTAGCTGGGACTACAAGCGCACACCACCACGCCCGGCTAATTTTTGCTGTATTTTTTTTTAGTAGAGACAGGGTTTCACCATGCTAGCTAGGATGGTCTCGATCTCTTGACATTGTGATCCGCCCACCTCGGACTCCCAAAGTGCTGGGATTACAGGCGTGAGCCACCGCGCCCAGCCTATATTTCTATTTTCTTATATTCTTATTCCTTATAATCCTTATGCTATATTTTAAAACTTTCAACTTGTTAAATATCTGTTGTATTTAATTCTGGTGTATGTTTTAAAATCAGTCTTTATAGGTCTATGTCTACATATAATTATATGTGGAAATTCAGTAATTGTTATACAAAATGTTAAATATATGTAAAGACATTATAAACTACATCACAAAATCATTTTTTACCTTGGAAATGTTTTCAAGGTGTCATTTTTGATTTTACATCCATTCTGCTTTCAGCCAATTCAATCTTAAGTAACCCATTATCTTGAGATTACAGGTGAGAACTAATCATCCCTATCACTATGAAAGAAAAGTAAGTGACATTTCCTAAAGCTTACAAAGATACAAACAAAATCTGTAGAAAGTACTTTACGCATTTCCTATGTGTTTTTGTCTGTTTGTTTGTTTTGAGACAGAGTCTCACTCTGTCACTCAGCTGGAATGCAGTGGTGTGATCATGGCTCACTGCAGCCTCATCCTCCCCGGGCTCAGATGATCCAACCACCTAAGCCTCCGGAGTAGCTGTGACTACAGGTGCATGCCACCATGCCCAGCTTGCCCAGCTAGTTTTTTTTTTTTTTTTTTCTTGTAGAGTTGAGGTTTCACCACATTGCCCAGGCTGCTCTTGAACTATTGGGCTCAAGTGATCCACCTACCTCAGCCTCCCAGATTGTTGGGATTACAGATGTGAGCCACCATGTCTGGTCCTACGTGGCTTTTTTATATGGCACTAATTTGATACACACACTAAATCTGATAAAATATTTATTTTTTAGATCAAGTAAATTAAGACCTCAATATCATATATTTGTTCAAAGAAATTATTTCTGTGACTGAAAAAAAAATTTCCAGCTCTCAATCCAGACACCCAGCTTCATTCATTATAGGAGACGACATAGCTTCTAAGAATCCCTTGGAACATTGAGGTCACAGGGTCAATCTCTGCCTTGTTCACAGTGATTTAAAGTCATTAGCAACTAATGATTATTTGTGTTGTACAAGAGTCCAATCATGCTACAAGCTGTCATACTTCATACTAATTAACAGCCTTGGTAGCAGCAGCAAGTTCAGAAATTGAATAATCCTACCAAGTGCAATCTCAGTGGGAAGTTGCCTTTCCCATCCCTACCTGTTGTGGGAAGGGAGCTCTGATGTCTGGAAGACTGGCCACTGTGAAGCTTTAATACACCTCCAGTCATTTTTACAAGACTAGGACAAATGTAAAAGTGAATGAGAGAAAGAAGAGTTAAGATCGTTGCTCTTAATATTCAAAAGTATGATTCAAGAAAATATTATCCAAGAATAATTGAAGGCTTGGTTTAATCAAAAGCAGATTAAATATGTCACTGAAAGCACAGCACCAATATCCAGTTATTAATAGGCAGTGCCAAAAATAATAATAATGTACCTTGATGTATACAGTAGAGGCATGCCCTGCAGGTGAATCAATGAGTAAATTTGAAAGCCCCTGTATAAATTAGAAGTGCTAACATTTTCTGAATAATGAATAATTGATTCTTATGATTCTATAGAAAAAAAGCAATTTATCTGAAGATGTTATCTCTTATTCCAATATATAACTCTCCCTGACATTTTGTTCTGATATTCAAAATTATGTCAGAGCAAATGAACTATTATGGGAAAAGTTGTATTAATTTTACCCATTGATATAAGCAAAACATATTGCTTTTGATTTTTATGAATAGGTAATTTTGTTTTTCACAAATACATAATGAACTCTGTTTTTTTCTTCCATGAGTGGAAAGGGGCTTTTGAATACATAAGATATCCACAAGAATGCCAATCTCTTTTTGTTTATATCTGTTCAGCCAACACATTTGAAATGTTCTGAAGCTTTTTTCTTTTCACACGTAACAAAGTCTGTCACTAGCACAATGCTGACAAGATTCACAATTGACCTACCCTTTGTATTACAAGTCTTCCCCTTTAACCCAGGCATCAGTAAATAGTTTGTGATTAATATCAGATTTGAGACATTTTTGTAGAAATGCATTGTGTTTAGCAATAGTATCATTTCTTGTTCTTGCTATTATGCTGGTCTAACCAAGTAGGAAAAGCAAGAATACAAATAGCAACATCATTTCAGGCATTTTCTTGTCTCACCATTATGAAAGTGAAAATGATATTTCAGTTGTGTTCGCTCAATGTGAGGTGTGCTTATGAATCTACGATCTTGAGGACTTTTTTAAGGGGAACAACAGAGAGGATGGCCCTTAAGAAGTGTTTCTCCATCCGACCACTCAGCACTCACTTCACTTCATCAAACCAAGAAAAGTTTTTTCTTCAGCAAATTATTTTAAGATGACATGTGATAGGCTGTCTACATTTGGTCATTGTGAAGTTACTTCAAAAAGTAAGATAAGAAAGGCGGTGGTCGGTACCAACCTGGTAATTAAATGATGCACTTACCATGAACTTATTTTGTTTGTAATTGAATATTCTTTTTATATTTTACTTTAAGTTCTAGGAATATTCTTTACTGAGAATTTGGAATTCTTTTCAGAGAAATGAGATTTCTCTGAATTAAATACGAGGAATTAAAGCATCCAACCCATTTTCTCCACTAAAGTTCAATTAGGTGAATAGTTTTATTTTTCCAGTGTATGTATGAAAAAAGGCAGCCTTTTAGATAATGACTTCTGAATAGTACTGCCCACAGGCAGAAAAGTATGCACATTTAGATTGATGGATCTATAATTTGGCCATTCATCAATTTTAAAAAAACTTATATTTAATATTTATTATGCCAAGTGGTGTGCTTAATGCTGGGAAGACTCAAATGGAGAGAGGAAAATGCTCTGAAGGTGCTCAGTTTAGAGGAAGAGATGATCAAATAGACCAGTCAGTGGGGCTCTTGCTGTGATAGAAATCTAACTAGCTAATCAAATGATATTTTCTATAACTGGAATTTATATTAAAATCCCTTGGATAGTGCTCACAGAAGCTACTCAATAAATACCTGATTGAATGATATAAATTTAATTTTACATGGAGCACACAGGTAAGCTTATTAGCGTTTATTTTTTTGTTAGAGATGATTTGTTGTTACATTGCCCAGGCTGGCCTTGAACTCTTGGGCTCAAGCAATTCTCCAACCTCAGCCTCCCAAGTAACTGGGACTACAGGCACACACTACAGCACCTGGCTAGTCTTTAAATATATTAAAGAAATATTTTCTAGTTACTTATTTTCTTGTTACTTATTTTCTCATGCAATTACTAGTATACATGATATTCATTGTCTGCTGCACAATTTTTTGGTCAACTTTCATGTCTACTAAATCCAATGCAACTTCTATGCCTTATGCATACTGGGTACTTGGAGAGTGTTAAGATATCCACGGAAGGCACAACATCACTTAAAACTCTCGGCCTCATGGGCATCATAATCCTAATAAAGACTGAATAAACAAAATATCAATAAGATCAACCCCATCACAAAACAATGCAAGAACTCACATAGAAACATACACTCTCAAATGTGGATAGCACCCAATTCACAAATTGTTTGGAGGATTAAAAGACAACCCAGTCTTTCTTAAATAGTTGATGTTCTCTAAGTATTGAATAAATGAGTGAATGGCTCTCTATACAAAATAGAATGGCACTCTATTTTTAAAGAAAAATGAACAAATTCTTTAGGCTTTGAATTCCAAGTCATATGTTATGGAAGATTAAGTTCAAGGTGTGGCAAGAAAATTTATTCCACTTCATTCCTTGTAAATAAATCAGGGTTTATCAGGTACAGTTTATGAGTTAGAGATAACTGACTATCCCACCCCTGAACCAATTTGTCATCTGGTTTTCCTCTAATGGTCATAGATCCAAGCAAGCCAAATAAGGGAAATATTTATAACTGCTCTCTAGAAGTGCTGCACCCAGACTGGAATCAGCCCAGAAAACAACCAGGTAAGAATTAAAAGAATTAAAGAATCCCTTTCTTGGAAAGGGTATGCTATTTTGTAGCCAGAACCAATTGGCTAATAAAGCCAGTTATTGCTAGAGCTTGTTTTACCATCTCTAGCTACCTCAATTCAGATTAAATAGTCCTATTCTTCTTCTAATTGAATAGTTAGATTTATAAGTGTGTCAGAGGTTAATTCGACTGGCATATCATCTAAATGATAAATAATAGTGCCATCTGGGCAAACACCTTATTAAATGAAGGATGGATACTCCCACATATGCTTTTGAAGAGAATAAAGACCTTTTTCTCTCCTGAGAATTCTTTGTATGGTTCCCAAATATGTTGAGAAGCTTACAATCTAGCCTTTTTCAGAAACACTGTTTTACACTGGTGTAAGATATGCCCTTCAGAAATTGGGAGTTTATAAAAAAAGCATGCACTCAAAAAATTATAAATTCTTCCACCTTCACAGAGAGAGACTGAATCCCTTAGTAGTTTATTCAAGTTACTAATTACAGCAGAACGTCAGTCAAAACTCTTTCTGACTACCAAACCTAGGGAGTTTGAAACAATGAATAAACAACCCCATCAAAAAGTGGGCAAAGGACATGAACAGACACTTCTCAAAAGAAGACATTTATGCAGCCAAAAAACACATGAAAAAATGCTCACCATCACTGGCCATCAGAGAAATGCAAATCAAAACCACAATGAGATACCATTTCACACCAATTAGAATGGCAATCATTAAAAAGTCAGGAAACAACAGGTGCTGGAGAGGATGTGGAGAAATAGGAACACTTTTACACTGTTGGTGGGACTGTAAACTAGTTCAACCACTGTGGAAGTCAGTGTGGCGATTCCTCAGGGATCTAGAACTAGAAATACTATTTGACCCAGCCATCCCATTACTGGGTATATACCCAAAGGACTATAAATCATGCTGCTATAAAGACACACGCACATGTATGTTTATTGAGGCATTATTCATAATAGCAAAGACTTGGAGCCAACCCAAATGTCCAACAATGATAGACTGGATTAAGAAAATGTGGCACATATACACCATGGAATACTATGCAGCCATAAAAAAGGATGAGTTCATGTCCTTTGTAGGGACATGGATGAAATTGGAAATCATCATTCTCAGTAAACTATTGCAAGAACAAAAAACCAAACTGCATATTCTCACTCATAGGTGGGAATTGAACAATGAGAACACATGGACACAGGAAGGGGAACATCACACTCTGGGGACTGTTGTGGGGTGGAGGGAGGGGGGAGGGATAGCATTGGGAGATATACCTAATGCTAGATGACGAGTTAGTGGGTGCAGCGCACCAGCATGGCACATGTATTCATATGTAACTAACCTGCACATTTTGCACATGTACCCTAAAACTTAAAAGTATAATAAAAATAAATAAATAAATAAATAAATAAAAAACAGTATGACCCAAGGATAAGATGAATCCCGAGGATATGGTTCAAAGAGTCCCACAAAATCAGAAAACCCCTTTCAGGCTCAAAGTACCCAGCCACTTCTGCTCAGTCTATTTAGGAATCAATAAAACACTGGAGAGCACCCCCAAGCATGAGATGACCAAATGTGATTGGGTTTCTCTGAGTTAACTTTGCCTTTGTGATGATAGTCGTCAGCCCTCAAGGACAGTGGGGCTTTTGTTTGTGTTTTGTTCCATAATTCCATAATTCATTCTCACTCATTTACCAGGCTTGATTAGTATCCCCTGGATACAGTATTTTACTGAGAGCTGTTTTAACATACTACAGCCATCTGTCTTCTCTTGTAAACCCAGAGAGATTAGGGATACTAACTCTAAACCTGAGCTCCTTCACTCCCCAAAGCAGGCTTGTCAAATTGCCATGGCTTAGGTCAAAGCAAAAGACTTCTTTGGGATCCAACCAATTTAACCTTTCCACTAAGAAAAAAAAAAAAAAAAAGAACGAGTGAAAGAAAAAAACAAAGAAAGAAAAGAACAAACTTAAGTTGTTCATGGAAATCAAAAATTAACATTTTATCAAGACTTTCTGAATTATTGTCATATAATTGTTCTGCACACTGTTTCCAAAATTTTATGTTTGTTTCTACAAGTTATTTTCCACTTTTTAAATTTGCAACTTACATCCATGTCTCTTGATTGCTTTTGACAAAAATTTTATTAGCCTTTTTAAAAAACTATTTTTTAAAATCTTTCTTGTTATGATTGCTTTTGCTGTTTTTCATTTATTGATGTCTTTCCTTATCTTTATTACTTCTCTTTTTGTTTTCTTTGGATTTATTTTGACGCTATTTTCAAGCTGCTCAAGTTGAATATTTAGTTCTTTGGCTTTCATATTTTTGTTTGCCTTTTGATAAATATATCTAACATCAGAAATGTTACTTTTGGCAGTGAATTCTCTACATCCACAAATTTTAATATGCGCTATTTTCATATCTACATACTTCATAATTTTCTACATGATTTTAAAATTGAGTTATTTTATGGTATGTTAATTGTTTCTGATACATAAAACATTTTAGCTATCTTTTTGTTATCAGTTTCAAAATTTATTCTTCTCGAAGTATATGATATGTGTGATAACAATTCTCTGGAACATGTATTGAACTTAACTTTCAAATTAGTATCTTCTCAATTTTTGTGACTTTGTTACATATGCTCAAAAACAATATATTCAGAGTTGGTAAAAAATTTATATGTGCATATGTGAATTTACATATAATGTGATTCTATTATTTCAATCTTCTATACTTTTTTTTCCTTCTGGATCTCAGTTAAAATCTCCAGCTACAATTATTGGTGTGACCATTTCTTTAGTTATAATTTTGTTGATGTCCATATTTTGGGGCAATATTAATAGGTACATATATCTTCATTATCATTTTATCTTATTTTGCTTGTCTATAACATCCCTCTTATTTTCTTTTACATTTTAATTCTTAAATTGTATGCGTCATTTCTAAAATTGCTACTTCACTTTCTTTTTATTCTTACTTGCCTTTATATTTTTTTCATATTCAAACTTATTGTTTTAAAGTTTTCTCTCTTTTCTTATTTTTAGGAAATGTATTTCTAGATCTTGGTTTGTTTTCACAGATTAATCTGAATCTTTGTCTTTGAATAGTAAGTTTAACCTATATACACTTAGTTTAATTACTATTAAATTAGACCTTATTGGTGCCATCTTTTTTATGTTTCATTTTATAATACTTTTATTGCACTTCTTTTTCTGTTATTACTTTACATTAGCTAAATCCATTTTTTTCTATTTTAATATTTATACATTCTATTCTTACTCTTCTGGAAGGCACCATAAACATAAAACTCATGATGATCCACCCAGATAAGTCTGCTAAAGCTTATAAACAAATATATCTTAGCCATGAACAAGATAAAATATTATATAAACTAATACCATATTCCTATTGAGAAGTCTGATGCCAGATTCTTATTTCTTTGTAGGTGATCTGCTTTCTCTGGAATTTTACTTTATGCTTTATGGTATAAAAAGTTTACTATAATGTGTATGTGTTAGAAGGAGTCCCTCATCTATTCTACTTAGCACTCTCTGTACCCTTTCTAGCAGAAGTTTCATAAGTTGTTTTGTTTCTAGGGAAATAACAGTATTATTGTTTAAATATTGTATTCCCTTTATTTTCTTTTTCCTTCTGACAAATGTTAACATTTTATCTTCCATATCTGTTAGCTTTTCTCTCATTCTTTATCTCATTTCTTTTATCTCTTTATTGAGGCTTTAAATTTCTACATAGATTTAATTATTTGTAGATATCCATTCTGTTATTTAAGCCATCTTTTGTGTTACACTGAAAATTAAGCTATTTCGTTTCAAAATTTCTCACTTGTTTCTTTCACATAACTCTTCTTCCCGCATCTACTATACTTCCCTATCTCTCTCAGGGTATTTATTAAGTTCATTTTCAATATCTTATTATTTTTATTTCTTCTGTTATAGGTTATTCTGTGTATTGCCTTTTTTTTAAACAATGCTTGCTTTCCACAAAAGCTTCATTATTTTTTCCTATGCATTTATCTTTTATTCCCTTAGGAAAACCAGATACCCAAGCTAATATAATAGGCAACATCTATTTAAACAAAGCACCTGAAAATTTCACTCTATTTCCTCTGAAAATTTTACAGGTGTCCACAGCATGCTGTGTGTTTAAAACGAATAAGCTATTCTCATGCCCATGAACTTCTGGTGCCACCAATGGAGCACAACTTTCAACATCAGTTTGCTTTGTGCCCAAACCTATTTGTGTCTGTTGGTATTGTTATTGAACATAATTGGGTTAAATCTTTTTTAAATTGACGACACACAAATGAGAAAAGGAAAAAAGTGTATTCCCATGAAAATAAGTTTTTGGGGGAAAAAAGGCAATTTTGAGTTTTTAAAAAAGAATTCAGCCAAAGCGACAAGATCTGTTTCTTTAGAGACAGGGTCTTGCTCTGTCACCCAAGATGGAGTACAATCACACAATCACAGCATTCTGCAGCCTCGCCCTCCTAGGCTCAAGTGATACCCCTGCCTCAGCCTCCTGAGTAGCTAGGACTACAGGTGCTTACCACCATGCTTGGCTTTTTTTTTTTTTTTTTTTTTTTTTGCGGGGTAGAGACAGGGTTTTGTTATGTTGCCCAGGCTGGTTTCAAACTCCTGGGCTCAAGCAATCCTCCCACCTCAGCCTCCCAAGGTGCTGGGATTACAAGTGTGCACCACTGCCCCCAGCACTGTTTACTGTTTTTAATAATGGGAAAATATCACAAAAATCTAGGAGGAATCTTTTTCAGATTGATTCTCAAATGTCTTACAATTTTAGCTCCAATTTAAAGAACCAAAAATGAGAATAATAGATATGCATAAGAGTATGATTTATTCAAGAAAAATGGTGGAACTTTAAGCTGGACACCCCTCCTCAAAGGAGAGGCCTTGATCTTGTATCACTACATTGGTTTAACAAAATATACCTTTGAGTATTTAATTAATGATATCTTTGAGATACACAGGTAAATTTTTATGATTCCTTTCTTTAACCAATTTTTTAAAAACAACTGAATAATGGTTGAAGACTTTCTTGTAGGTGCCACAGCCACAGGGTAGGTAGGCTGGTGGGGCAAGGAGGAAATGCTCCTCAGCAGCCCAGCCCTGCACTGCCTGTGCTGCTGCTCCTCACCCAGCCAGGCCCCAGCACTGCCAGGGCCATAGTGCTCCCTGTGCCTGGCTGGCCTAGCCACTCTTCTGTCCCACAGGAGAGGCCTTGGAACAAGACAAGCAATGACTTGCTCAGAGGAGCACGAGTCATAAGAAAGGGCACAGCCTGGGAGTTCTTTCTCAGCTAATACCCTTCTAGGGCCCTGGCTGCCTCTTCCACCAGCCCTACATTTGCCACCTCTACACCAGATCCCAACTATTTTCTGCCTCCCCACAGGTTTCTTAAAGTTTCTCTTTTTGTGTCTGAGGACAGTTCTAAGGCCAATAAATCTCCTTATATCTTCTCTGGCATGTTTGGGTTTATCTGAGGGAAGGATCCAAGAGCCTGTACTGGTTCACCTTCTTGGCTAATTATAATACTTGTTTAGTTTTAAAAATCTAGTTAATTGTTTTAACGACATACCCTCATCTGTGTTTTCTTGACATCCATAGCTATTTTAAATGTTTTCTAAGGACTGGAAAATCTCAATACATTTACTTATCCCCCATAGTATGTAAATCATTAGATCTACTAGAAAGAGTGTTTTCACTTTTTGGAAGAGATTCTTTGTATATCCAGTGACCACTCCCAGCCCACCTGCCTCCTTACCCAGCCCAAGGGACTTTGCTCACTCTATTTGCCCAGTCTGTACCTTTTTATGGACAATTTGCTGTTCCATATAGAACTGGCAATGTTTCCCTGTGACTCGACTCCAATTTTGAACTTTTAAAATGACTCCCACTACAATAAGATCAAATATCATGGCCACGAAAAAATATTTTTACAGAGAATTTGAAAGTAGAGTAGGGTTTTCGAACGGCTGAACTACAAAGACAAATGTTGCAAGATGTAGAGATATCATTAATTTCTCTTCCCTGCAGACAAAGCATTTGCACCTAATGAGTTGTTACTGAACTTGATACCTCTCTGCTTTGAAAACTCTCTACATTTATCAGCACTTCCTGCCAGTGAGATCAAATGTTCTAACAAATCAACTTTTAAATGCTGACTTCAGGTACATATATAATGTAAATTATCAACATTCTCTACCACATTTTTATGGGATATTAAATCCTTCATAATCATCCATACTAACATACTGGGTTCAGGGTATTTTCAAGTAGTCATATCAATATAATCAATCAATTGGAAAGAACTACTCAAAGTAATAAAGAGGAATCAATTTATCATTTTATATACAGTTTGTGAACGTACCAAGAAGTCAGGTTATCTTGTCTCTTTTAAAATAAATTTTCAGATTAAAATAAAATTTAATCAAGATTCTAATTTGGACTTTCTTGTATGGAACTTCTGGGGTCCCTCATAGAATCTAGCTAAATAATTCACAAAAAGCAGAACACTCAATAAATGCTTGTTAAGAAAAACTGAACTTATTAACCTGGTAGATAAATTACTAGACATTGAAGATTCCGCAACCCCTAACAATTTTACATTTTTCATATTCCCAATTTGCTTGCATCAAAATATTATCTCAGGCTACCGCAGAAGATTGTTGGTCATTGTTTGGTATTTGATAGATAATCTGGGTTTTTTCCCCAAACTTAATGGAAAGAAATGTAGGAAGGAGTAACACCTGTGAATTCTGAGTGTTGCGATGTGAGTAGTTGCCCAATCCCAAACCTGCTTACACTTGATATCAAAACCTTTCATTGGTTCTCTGTCCATCTCTGAATTAAATACAAATTCATAATTCATTTTCAATCCTTTGAAAAATATCTAAGTATCAACCATGTGTCAGTCACTCTGATTTCCTGATAATTAAGACATGAATGAAACACAATCCAATTTGAATGTTCAGGATTAGTTAGGGAAAAATATGGCTCATCAGAGAGATACATATAGTCCTAATGCAGAGCCAACCTCACTGCCAACTACAGGAATCCTAATAGAGTTCTAGGGTCCCCAGGAGATAGAATAGCATACAGCAGCAGTTCTGGGCCCATCCATTCTCCACAGAGCCCATTTGATAGATTGATTCTGCATCTATCAACTCTGAAGGAATAATACCGCACAAATATTCCTCTCTCCACTTCTATATTAATCTGTTCTCAGCCAATCTTCACCCCCATCATCCCCGGGCCGTGCCACCGTGACCCAGTGAGAAAGGAACAATTAGGATTGTCAATTTGGAAGGAAGGGCAAAGTCATGTCTTATATGGCAGCAGGCAAGCGAGTTTGTGTAGGGGAACTCCCCTTTATAAAACTATCAAATCTCATGAGATTTATTCACTACTAGGAGAACAGCATAGGAAAGACCTGCCCCCATGATTCAATTGCCTCCCACTGATTCCTTCCCATGGCACATGAGAATTATCGGAGCTACCATTCAAGATGAGATTTGGGTGAGGACACAGCCACATCATATAAACTTCTTATCAAGTTTGTCTACAAACACCAGTGACTCAGCCATAAATGAAAAATAGTTTAATTCCAAAAATTCAGTCTATATGGTCTTTCCAAAGGGTCTTTAAATTTGTTTTTCAGACTTACGCTTTACCTGATGGTTGTCTTCCAACCCAAAATAGCTGAAAACCCAGAATATCGTGGCTCACTTAGAACCCCTTGACAGTGACCCAATGTGTTCAAACACACTGACCAAAAACAGCAATCCCAAATGACCTCATGCCCCCTGCTATTAGACAAACCCCAAAAGACTTATTTATTTGTAATTACATGCAGGGAAGCTCATTTCATCACCATCGTGTCTCACTCAACCTGCAATAAAAACACCCCTAAATACAATAATTAAGTAATATTGTCTTAGGTGCTTCTCAACTTTCACATCATCCTCTAACACATGCCCACCCTGCCCTATCCACTTGTGAAAAGATAACTATCAAGGCAGGAAAATTAGCATCTAAGATCTTTGATCTGCTTCCAATTTTGCTCTTTCACAAAGCCAACTAGAGTGAGAAGAGAATCGTGGGTCACGAAATGTGCGCTTGGCAGGAATTAGGCAACTGATGCTCTATTTAAGCCAGGTATGACCTTGAGCCAGGTGTTAACTCCTTTGTTTCCAATTTCCTCATATGTAAAATTAAGGATTAGAGTAAATGATGAGTGAGCTCCTTTCTAGCTCTAGAATTCTAAGATTTTAAGTAAGACACTAGTTATTTGTCTTATGAGAATCCTTGGCTATTAACACACTCATTTACTCAATGACATTTTAATTTTGGCCCCAAGTGTTAGAGATTTTTACATGTTCAACAAATGGTACAATTCACTAGCTAAGTGCTTTAGGTTTGATCATAAATTGCCAGAAGTCGGTTATAGCCCTGAGTCTGTAATGAGAAGACTGGGGATTTATAACTGAAACAGACAGCACGGCTTCTGGAGTGCTACTGGGGGAAAGGAATCTATTCCAAGATGAAACAGGCATGACTGGCTTTCTCAGAAAAATATCCCAAGTCTAAGTGGCCAGCCTATTAGGAACTCTCCTCCCTCTTGCCAATTTTTCTAGTGACTGCTTTTTGTTATCATGGTCTAAAAAATAGAAGCATATTTTCTTTTTCTTTTTCTTTTTTTAACAAAGAGAAAACAAGATGGATTTGGTCATCAAAAGCAACCCTTTCAGAGAGGGCAATCCAGTGTGGTGGAGAGCAAGCACATGCCTGTTAAAGCCACAGTTATTCCCTCACTTGCCAGTCTCTGTTATTCCAGAAACAGCTGCTCTGAAGGTTGGCTGAGGTCTTGTTTAGAGAATCAATTAGCCAAAGAAGTTGGGGCCAGTGAAGAATGTCACTCAAGTATAGAAAGTTTTGGAAAACACTTCTCCTTTTGTGTTTCCTGCACATAAACTCATCCACATTCTGCAAAACTAATATAACATGTGCTTCACAGAGAAATGAGTCAGTCTAAAATGGGTTTCATGGATGACTTTATTAGCAAAGAAAATGCTAACCAAACCAATATGGAGCCCAGTGACAAACAACAGTCCAGGCATTCATAGGAATACATCACGGTCTTCAGGATAGGCTTTTGTTTTATTTCTACTTTCTTTAAAAGAATGAAATGTTTAAAAGTTCTAATAGCAATATAGACCTTTTCATTCAATAAGGCAGTATATGCCAAGCAGCTGAGATCTTATCCACATACATGATGTACACATTCTTTCTAATGACTCCTTGATGTGGTTAAATTATACGGAAAACATACATTTTACTTTGAGAGAAAGAATAAGTTTTATTCAGTTTTTAAATACTTAATTCTACACTTTTATCATCATCATGTTTATCATTCTCCTCCTTTATAAGAAACTGATGAAATATATTCAAATGCGTGTGATATGATTACACTGGCAACTATGTAAAGAAAAGTTTGGAGATATTCACGCATAAGTTACAGATGACAACGAAGAGGCTATTCTGATAATTCACGCAAAAAAAGGTGAGAGACAGAATTAAGTTTTGGTGGTAGGATTGAGTTCCATATGGTAATTACCAATTATTTAAAACAACACTTTATTTCTATGTTGCCTTGCTTCTTTTCTCAATAGGAACAGATGGCTCCAAATATATTTTATATTCCAAGAATTAAACAAGTTTGGGAATATACTTCCTGTGGTAACTAAAGTCATGTAACTGGAGAGAATATCAGAAGAGAAAATGTAGATAGAGAAGACAAGAGAAGGGAAGGGAACAGAAGAGAGAGAGGAGGAGAGAGAAAAGAAAGGGAGAAGAGAGGAGAGACACACTCATTCAACAAATAATTTGGCTCCAGTACTTAAAATTCTAGGTGCTAGAAATTTCTCAGACAGCCAAAGAAAAAAAGAAAAAAATTTTTCCTGACTTCTTGGAACTTTCACTCTTTGTTTCAAATGAGCACATGATATAGTATGTCAGGTGTTCATAAGTGCTTTGGAGAAGCAGGAAGTTGAGGTAAGGAGTGAGGAGGTGGTGACGATTTCAGATATGACTGATATGGAAAGTATCTCTGAGGAGCTCATTTGATGGAAGTGAAAGAATGATACCTGGGGGGAGGATGTCCGGGCAGAGAGGACAGCAAATGCAGAAACTGGAGCACACAGCAAGCTGATGAGTATGGCAACAGGGAGAAGGAAGAGTGGTGAGAAATGAGGCTGGCAGATCATCTTGCCTCTTGCAGGGCACTATAGGGAGTTTGGATTTTGCTCCATGTTTTCGGAAGGCAACGGAGGGTTTCGAGCAGAGAAGTAACATTATCTGTTTTACTTTTTAGCAGGATCACTCTGGCTGCTGTATTGAGACAAGGACTATAGGAAAGCAAAGATGAATCAGGGGCCCTATTGTTAGGAGACAGTCATAACAATCTGAGAGAGAGATCACAGTAGCAGGGAACTGATGTGACATGGTTAAGTTCTGGAAATATTTTTAAGGTAGAGCCACTAGGGTTTGCTGATAGATTTGGTGTATGATGTGAGACATAGGAGTTAAAGGTGAGATTTGGCTGGAGTGTGAGATAAGGAAAAATGCATGAGGAACAAATTTGGAGTGAAAGTTCAATGGAAGTTTAGGAAAAAAATTGAGGTCATTCTTGACACATTTTCTTTTTTTGAGACAAGGTCTCACTCTGTCATGAGGCTGCCCACCGCAGCCTCAACCTCCTCCCACTTCAGCCTCCTGGGTAGCTGGAACTACTGGTGCATGCCACCACACCTGGCTAACTTTTTGACTTTTTTGTAGAGATAGGGTCTCACTTTGTTGCCCAGGCTGGTCTCCAACTCATGCGTTCAAGCAATTCTCCCACCTCAGCCTCCCAAAGTGTTGGGGTTACAGGTGTGAGCCACCATGCACAGCTGGACACATTTTTTATATGCCTATTAGATATCCATTTAAAGATGTTCAATAGGCAGCTGGAACTAGGAGTCTGGAAAGAGCTAAACCTGCAATGATACATTTGAGAGTCATCAACATAACTATTGCCATGAGATGAAAAAGATGGTCAAGAAGGTCAATAAAGACAGAGAAGAGAAGAGACAAGGACTGACCACTGTGCACTCCAACGCTAAGGTGTCTGAGGAATGATTATGAGGAAGAATTGCAAAAACTGCTGAGAAGGAGCAGCCAAAGGAGGATTCTGAAGAATGTGTCCAAGAAGCCAGGCCAAGAACTTCAAGAACGAGGGAGTCATCAATTCTGTCAAACGGTAAGTCAAGTCACACGAGGCTGAGATGTGTGACCCCAGAGGTCAGTGGTAGATCAGATCTGGTGCAGGCAAAAGGTAGACTAAAGAGGTTTTGAGAGAGAACAGAGAAGAGAAATTAAATCCAAGTAGAATGGGAAAGCTTTTCAGGGATTTTATGACAAAGGTTGATAACTGAAGGAAGAAATGAGATCAAGAATTTTATAGAATTTACTCACATTCATGTGAGAGTTCTTTCACGATCTCCCTTCTGTTTTTCTATAAGGAAACTATTCAGTCCCCTTGAATATTTCTGTTGATCTTCTGCTTCACAAGATGAAATAACCAGACTAATGTGCAGCATCCCAGGTATTGAGATATCAAGGTTTGATTTAGATTTGTTCTACTTATTCTTGCTTTAAAAGATCAGGGAATTATTAGGAACTCCAAGTTTCATTTGGAGGAGAAACGGTGTTTACCCTCAAACATAGATGATTTGCTCTGTTCTTAATGGTTCTATGCTAAAAACTAAATGATGACTATCGGCTTTAATTCATGTAACAAATACCAATTGAGCACCTGCCGTAGGTACTATGGAGACAACACAAATATTTATCGGTCAGATATATTTCCCTTAAGAAGTCTTTGGTTTATTAGAGAAGATAAGACATGTATCTATATAACTATGATATAAATGCATATATTTTCTCAAGATAAAAGTTGTCAACAGTCAGGTTAATCTGATTTTGTTCTCATCACCACACTGAGAGCTGGAATGGCCGAGGTATTTAACAAGGTATTTAACATTCCATTCTCCTGGTCCCTTTCTTCTTTTTTCACATCAATAAATCAAATGCCATAACATTTTTTATAACCTCAGGGCTTTAGGGAATGGTATATATTTACGTCTCAGTAATGTCCTCCAAGAGAGAAATAGGATTGAGTGTTCAGATTGACTAAGAGAGTGGATACTATAACAGGTGCCTGGGAGGTTTCTGGCCAGAGGAGAGAGTAGACATGAGAGTGTACACAGAAACTGTGGAGTCCTTTCAGGGCTCTATTTCCTTAGGGTCCATCTTTCCATGAACCATTCTGGGTATGGGAGTCCATTTCCCACCACTGAGTTAGAGGGTTTGTAATACAAGTTCTGCAGTGGTATTAGTTACACCAATAATCTTCTGATACTTATTTAATTACATAACATGCATGAAGCTGGAAATTACTGTGAGTTTATTCTCCAGTGAAGAATTGTGACTTGGTTGCATATGTGATACTGGGAAACAGCTGGAGAAGGCTGCGGGAGTGTCACCAAGTCAATAAAGTGCTCCCAATAATAGATCTTGCAAATGTCAACAATAGGGAAATTTTCTTACAAGACATATCATAGAAAGTCCCTTTGCTTCAAAGAAACCTGATCTATGTGCCTCTATGGACAAGCCAGGATATTCAATAAAGCCATGACAATACCAGTGGCTTGAGGTTTGGAATAGAGCATAAACTTTCATTTTATGGAATTAATTTTTTTGGAATTAAGTATTAAATAATGTGGGGCAGATATCTGCCTACTAAATCCTCTGCTCCATAGATTTAGCTTTCTTTAACAATTAATTGGAGTAAAACCTATAATATATACTACAAAAAAAGTTGTTTAGTGTTTAGTGGGTAAGATGTAAAATAGTCAGAAAGACTCATTATTTAGTCCAAATTCTAATGGGCCCTAACAAATAGCAACCTCTGAGTACTGAGATTGTCTCTTTGCGTCAAGGCTTCTCCCAAGGTCTTCAGATAATCACACCTACCCTTAAAATCACATTTACTTAACCATACTTAAAATCCTACACCTGAAAACTAATGTGTGCTATTAGAAGTTAGGACATGGGCTGCCCTTGGTGGAGGCGGGGTCGATGATGAGAAGGAATGCTAAGGTAACTTCTGATGTGCAGATTATGTTGTTTCCTGACCTGGGTGTTGGTTACACAGGTGTGTTCAATTTGCTATGTGTGTCTCCTGTGTGTGTGTGTAATACTTCAATAAAAAGTTAAGAAACAACTATGTCTGATGTTCAAATTCTTCTGAAAATAATACTGCTGCTTTTTTTTTTTTTTTTTTTTTTTTTGAGATGGAGTCCCACTCTGTCACCCAGGCTGGAGTGCAGGTGCGATCTGGGCTCACTGCAATCTTCGCCTCCTGGGTTCAAGCGATTCTCCTACCTCAGCCTCCTGAGCAGCTGGGACTGCAGGCATGTGCCACCATGCCCAGCTAATTTTTGTATTTTTAGTAGTGACAGGGTTTCACTATATCATCCAGGCTGGTCTGGAACTCCTGACATCATGATCCACCTGCCTCGGCCTCTTAAAGAGCTGGATTACAAGCGTGAGCCACCATGCCCAGCCAGCACTGCTGCATTTTAAGGAAAGAGTCTTAGCCTAGCATAATATGCACTTTGCATTTTATAACACAATTGGAATAATGGGTGTATCAGTCAGGGTTCCACCAGAGAAACAGAACGAGTGGGATATATATCTTAAGAGATTTACTTCAAAGAATTGTCTCATGTGATTGTGGGGTCTGGCTAGGCAACGTTTGACATTTGTAGGGCAGGGCAGCAGGCTGGCAACTCCTGGATGGGAGCTGATACTGCAGGCCACAGCTGGAATTCTTCAGGGAACCCTCAGTTTTGCTCTTAGGGTCCTTCAACTCAGTGGGTGGAACCTATATGATTGAGGGTAGTCTCCTTTACTTAAAGTCAATGGATGGCAGATGTTAGCCACATCTACAAAGCATCTTTGCAGCAACAGCTAGATTATTGTTTGAGTACTATTGCCCAGCTGTATTTGACACATAAAACTACCTATCATAAAGGATTATGTGAGGACTATGTGTTCTTGTGGAAACTCATTCTTCATTTTGTCAAGGCTAAGTTGTCTCATTGGAAGTTTTGAAAGGAGTACATGAAATAGCAAATTATGGATGAGAGGAAACTTTTTCTTTTCCTCATGTGCACAAACTCAGTACTTTCTAAGCATCCCCCAGCATGACCTTGAGGAAGAAATTCTTCATCCTTATTGTCTTCTCAAAAATAATTATATTTAGAAAGGCTGAAGAAATCTGTTCAATCGTTTGGAGTGATAATAACATTCCAACAGCAAAAGCGGGTTTTTTTACCAGCATCAAAATTTGCCAGAATTTATGTGTATGCAAAAAATTAGAGTTTGAATTTTAAAATTTCCAACTTGGCACATGTATTTCTCCAGTGAGGCATGTGGGTTTTACAAGTTTTCAGGGGCAGGGATGGGGGAGGAGGACTTCACTTGGAACTGAGAAACCAATAAGAAAAAAACTGAAGTTTCTGTTTAGGTTACCAACATATGAGGACATAGTGGTATCACCCTTCTCCTCCTCCACTTCCTCCTCCTCCTCTTGGTTTTCCAAGATCAACCCGAAGCAACAGGAGGGGATGCTCCTGTTCATTTGGGATCATTGTTTACAGCCCCATCCATCGTGCATTCCTTCCCCAAATTCCTGCAATGTCAAGGGTACCAGCCAAACAGCACCTATTTCTTTTCATTGTTTATCAGCTTAATACTTTAATAACAATTCTGTCTGAGTTGATAATAATAACAATAACTTATAAGTACCGAGTACTTGCTATATGCCAGGAACTGTTTCTCAACACTTTATATATTTACTCATATAATCCTCTCAACAACCATGAAATAAGTATAATTATTTCCCCTTGTCTTTTAATTAGAAAAATCGAGGCACACAGAAGGAAGGTAATACGTTTCAGATCACAGGTTACTTAAGTGGCTGGGCCGGGATTGAAACCCAGGCAGCCTGACTCCAGACACAGGCTCTAAACCACTAGACTAATCCCCCGGAACCCTTAGGAATGTACTTGATACCCAGACACAAGCTAAAAAGTTGTTATTCTCAAAACCATTCAACTGTTAAAATAGCTTCCATTTTTTTCACCAACAAAGTTAAAATAGAATCTCTGTAAGATATTAACACACCCCAAAATTTAAACTTGACAATGAAATCCACCCAAACTAAGGCACTGAATGGACACTAGCTAATAATATCTACCAATCAGATTTGGGGCCGACTTGTTTTGAGTTTTGAATGTGTAGGGCTTCATGTGACAAGGACAATTTACAATGTTTAAGTCTTTTATTTGGATTTTTGCCTGAAGGGAATTACCTAGGATTGCCACTGGGTAAATAATTACCAGTTTCTTTATTCCAAAATCCTTTGAGACAAATAGGTAGGGTTTTTTTTTTCCTAATCCATTAATTTTTATTGGTTGACAAAAAGCTTTAGGATAAGATTCTGTAGAAAAGAATTCACAGCTTGTTTCTTGGTAAAATTCCATTTTCTCCAATATTTTGTCTCTAGCCCAACAAAAAGAGCAGTGATAATATCTTTTCAGAGGCAAAATTGGTGTGGATTTTTTTTTTCCTCTTAGCAAAACTTTAGACTCTGAAGAAGTATTTTGGTATGCTTATTTAAAGAACAGGCTAGATTTACTGCCAAATAGCTCTTCATGAAAGACATATGTAAATACAGCAGAGTAAACGAGATAATTCTATTTCATTTGAAAAACACTTTCTTAATTATGTGAACTTGTTTGAAAGAAAATGAAATGCTCTGTATTCAGTTCTGTAAGAAGTTTGGCTGTGATATTTATGATGAAATCATAGCCAGGAGTTGAAAATTATATTAATATTGAATGCAAAACTATTTTCTTTTCTCTCTTCTTGTATTTTTAATAAAGGAAAATGCTAATTAAAAAATTGATTGCAAAAAATATCCTCTCTGGCACTAAGTACTGCCATTTAGCTTTATTTTATTTGTAATGTGTCAGAATTTACATTTACAATGTTCTAGAAGCCAAATTATTATATGAAAAAAATTGAATTAAACATACTTTTACTCAAAGGTGACATTAAATGCACAAAAGGCTAGTCTTATTTATATCATAGGGTAGTATATCAGAAAATTTTTGCCCCAAATTTGCAGTTGCCAACAAATATCTAATATTTTGTTTCTCATCATTTCAGATACAAAAGCAGCATATGGAAGCAATTTTATATCAGCTATCTAGTTCACATCTTAAGACCCTGTGAAATAATTGAGAGATGATATTATCTATCATTTACGAACAGGGAATCTAGGAACCAAATGACTAAGTGCCTTGCCCCAATCTTGCTGTTAATGAGTACAATCCGATCAAAGATATTAATTTCCTGTCTTCCAAAGCTAAGCTCTTCTCACTCCAGTGTGCTGCCAACTCAACCCTGATTTAAATACTGATCTTGGTAGTTAATTTTCCCCTTTCATTGCGCTTAACAACAGCATATCATAACCCAAATAGTGTAAATCGGCAGTGCATGCTCACTAAAAATGTAGCTTATTTTGTCCTTGGAAACATTTTTGTTCCACTAAAGTTAAAATTATCATTGCCTACATTGAAAATCATCTACACAAAATTACTAATGAAATCCCAAAATTGAACTCATGATGTTTGCTCCATACCCCAGCCTGGACAAACCAGTCTATCACACTCTTTGACTCTGTAACTTTTACCAAATGTGTAAGAATCAACCTAAATTTTTCCCTTTCCCTTGCCCTCTATTCCAATCTCAAAGTCTTTTTCATTTTTCCTCCTAAGTATTTCTGGACTCTGTATGCACCTCCACTTTACAGATGTGGCTTTATTAGGTCAGGCTGTTATCTTTTTCTTGCCTAGAAGATTGCAATGACTTCCTATGTGGTCTCCCCACCTGGAGCCTCTCCCTAGTCCAATAACATTCTCGTCAAAGAGATCTTTCTGTCCCATCACGTCACAAACCTGCTTTAAACATTTCAATACCTCCATCAGGATAAAGTTAAACTCCACAGTCAGGTATATATAGAGACAAATCTCCTGACCTTCTCCTCAGCCTCAACTCCTCCCATCCTTCTATATATACCCATCTATACACAGCACATTCAATCTTCTAGCAGCCCCCGGGCCCACAATGGCCCTCCCACCCATTGGCCTATACACATGTGCTCTCTTCTGAGAACACTGTCCCCACTCTGACACCACAGAAAGAGGTGCAAAATTGCAACAGTAACACCAAATAGCATGGCAGGATAATAATTTTGAATATTAATCCATGTACGCATCAAATGTCCTCACTAGCACCCAAGAGAATCTATTCATCTCCCTTTCACATCAGGCCTGCCTGCATTTCTTCTATTCATAACAACAATTTCAGTAACATATAACAATTGTCAGATTTAAGTGGTACAGGGGAATATAAGGCCAGCACTAAGAGGGACAGAGACGATAAGAACTTTAAGAGCAGTTCAGGGCATTGAGGTGCACTATTTATATTTTTTTCTTTTTAAAATTCCAACTTTTATTTTACATTTAAGGAGTACATGTGCAGGCTTGTTACATGGGTATATTTCATGACGTTAAGGTTTGGGGTACCATTGATCCTGTCACCAAGGTAATGATGCATAGTACCCAATAATTAGTTTCTCAACCCTTTTCCCACTCCTCTTCCTCCTCCCTCTAGTGGTCCCCAGTATCTATTATTGCCTATATGCACTGTTTCTAACACAGGAAGAAATATAAAATGCCTCAAGTTATTCAGGAAAAAATTATCCTCCTTAAGCACGGTATAAACAGTAGGAGATTATAGTTCAGCAGAGCTGATGCTACCTGAATTACCACAATCCAAAATCAGGCTAATACTTTTACACATCATCCAAATACTAGCTTAAGATCTAACAAGAGACATTTAATCACAAATAACTAAATGGTTTAATGACAAACATTGGGCTTGAATCAATCTCTTTCATTCAAGAATGGGTAAATATAAGGCTGGGCGCAGTGGCTCAT
This sequence comes from Homo sapiens, assembly GCF_000001405.40. Lineage (NCBI taxonomy): Eukaryota > Metazoa > Chordata > Mammalia > Primates > Hominidae > Homo > Homo sapiens. Next base: position 148,727,911 of record NC_000004.12, on the reverse strand, counting down.
GCCTGTAATCCCAGGACTCTGAAAGCCCAAGGCAGGCAAATCACCTGAGGTCAGGAATTTGAGAGCAGCCTGGCCAACACGGTGAAACCCCATCTCTACTAAAAATACAAAACTCGGCCAAGTGCATTGTTGCGCACCTATGGTCCTAGCTACTCAGGAGGCTGAGGCAGGATAATCACTTGAACCCAGGAGGCCGAGGGTGCAATGAGCCGAGATTGCACCGCTGCACTCCAATGTGGGTGACAGAGCAAGATTCCAACTCAAAAAAAAAAAAGAATGGGTAAATATGAATTAATAATAATAATAGAAAACTTCAATGGATTCTACACAGGAAAGAAGAAAAAATACACTCACAGGGCAGAAAACTTACAGGTATAAGGAAGCATTGCTTCATGTTATCAGAAATTTCCTGAAAGCATGCACTCTATTAAATAAGAGAAACAAGTGAAATGATACCACATCAACTGAAATAAAACTGAGCACATCTCAAAAGTACAGAGAGAGAAGATCCAGGGATAAGCCTTGAGTTGCATGAAGTAAGGGAATCATGTGGGGAAATTAGCAGTTCCAAAAAAGAATTAAAATCCACATCAAAATCAGTATGGAGGAAATGAAAAGTACAGAAAAATCAAATCAGCAATGAGGTGCACAAATCTGCAAAGATAACTCCGAATGCAATGAATCAAAAATGAAAATGCCAAGGAAAAAAATTAAAACAAGAAAAAAATATATATGTAATTGTAGAATATCGTTTGAAACTGAGGTGCAAGCACACTAAACGTGTGGTAATGCAATCACTCTAAGTGCTGCAGGAAATTTTAACGAAAAGATGCCAATTATCTAAACTCTCTTGTAGGTTTTGCATTACAAAAACAACAGGTATACAAACAGAAAAAATATGCTCAAAAATAATTTGGAAAGTCTCAGATGTATATTCAGGGACAGAAAATGTCAAAAATAATGATCTAATTAATAATTGTATATGTATCAAAATAGTCATTTTACAGGGGTGTAACAAAATAATAATCCAAGATAGGCAATAGATAAGACACAAAAACATGCTCCTCCATGATAAGATAAATGGTATACTAGAGCCATTGGAGTAATGAACCAAAATTAAGAATTATACTAAAAAGTGACATGTACAGATATTAAGGGAAAAGTTTTATATCACCCCAAAATCTATACCCAGCTAAGATATGAATTTGTATACTAGCAATAGACAAGAGCTTTAGATATACATACAAGTGTGTATTTATGTTTATGTGTATGTCTGTGCAGGACCTAATTAAGAAAATTATTGATGGATCCTTTGCAAAATAAAACATTCTTCTAAGTCTAATGTGAGTCCGCTAAGAAAAGATCAAAATCTAGAGTCTTTTACCTCTAGAATGCAGAATATGATATCTATTGTGGCAAGATAGTGCCTTGAAACTACTTAAACATAATTAAAACTAAATAACTATTCCTGATATAGTTATGGAGATGAATACATATGCCATAAATAAATGTTTGAAATGGGAATATAATACCAATTCAAAACAATTTATAGCTATATCCCAAAAATAAGTGTTCAGGTTAAGTAGTTTTGACAAATAGAGCTATTTTAGAAAATTGCATTGCTCAAAAACAATGTTATCACGAACCAAATAAAAAAGTCAAATTAAGAACTGAATATATTGTATAAAATGTTTTTAAAATCTTCACTGATCAAAACAGTGTAGAGGCATAGAATTAAATCAAACAGGAAAGGGTGTCTGTGTCTGCAAACAGACCAAATGCTAACACACATAAGAATTCAGTATGGGATAAAAATGATGCTTCAAAGTAGTGGAGAAAAAACAATTCATTTAATAAATGGAATTGGGAAAAGCAATCTATTATTCGGGTGAAAAATTGAATTGCTATCCTCAAACCATATCCCCAATCACATTGCAGATTGGCTAAGAATTTATATTAAAGTAATAAAACAAGATGTTTATTATTATAGGGGAATATTTACATAAATTTAGCATACATACAAGTTTTCTAGGCATGCCATCAACTCATACAGGCAAAAAAAAATAAGGAAAATACGGATATATTTATTATACATATATTTAAAACATAGTTTTTGTAACTAAAGCTATATTAAAAACTGAAAAAACATTTTAAACATAAATGCCAAGTAAATGTTTAATATTCAAAAATTCTTAGAAATCAATACAAAGACAAAAAGACAAAAATTTCAATTTAAAAATGGCAAAATTATAAAAAACCTATAAAAGCATATGATTTCACTATTAATGAAGTGTACATTTAGAAAATAAGGAAACAACATTTTTCACCTAACAAATTGGCAAAGATTGTATTTATTTGTAATACCTAAGTTTAGCAATGGTGTGAAGAAATTGGCTTTTTATACATTGTTGGTAAAATTATAAATAAATTCATCTTTTTCTGGGTAACAAGTTTGCTCCAGCTCCTTATGAATATGTGCCTACTTAGACCCAGCAATTTCATGTGTAACAATTTATCCTGAAATTATCATGGAAATGCACAGGTACATATCTATAAAAATAATATAAAGCGATCTAACACTCACCCATTAGATACTCTTTAGAACTTGAAATACCAGTGCCCTGTAGCGATATTTACTGTTTATCAATGCTATCACCAAATATTTGTGTTCCCCCTAAAATTCATATGTTGAAGTCTAATGTCCAATGTAATGGTATTTGGAGGTGGGACCTGTGGGAAGTAGGTCATGAGGGTGGAGCCCTCATGAATGGGATTAGTGCCCTTAAAAGAAGAGACATGAGGTGGTGCATGATGGCTTATGCCTGTAATCACAACACTTTGGGAAGCTGAGGCAAGAGGATTACTTAAGCCCAAGAATTTGAGACCCAGTCTGGGCAACATAGGGAGACCCCGTCTGGGCAACATAGGGAGACCCCATCTCTACAAAAACTTTTAAAAATTAGCTGGGCGTGTTGGTATGCAACTGTCATCGCAGCTACTTGGGAGGCTGAGGTGAGAGGACTGCTTGAGCCCAGGAGATTGAGGCTGCAGTGAGCTATGATCACTCCACTGCACTCCAGCCTGGGTGACAGAGCAAGACCCTGCCTCAGAAGAAAAAAAAAAAAGACAAGAAGAGACACGAATGCCACTGTAAGAAGCACAACATGAGGATACAATAAGAAGACGGCTGCCTGCAAAATAGGAAGAGTGCCCTCACCAGACACTGAGCCTGCCAGAGCCCTGATCTTGAACTCCTTACATTCAAATCATGTTGTGTTCAAAATCCTGCTGTGTAATTACCCTCAGAATGCCTTCAGCCAGAGAAATCCGCATGAAGAAAGACAATGAAACACCAAATGACTGTGTTGGCAAATTTTTAAAAAGGATAGTGGATTTACTTAATTTAAAAAAAAAAAGAGTGAGTTTTTTAAAAGGATGGACAAACTGACCAATCTGGTACCCTTTTCCCACCTTTGCCCAAAGAAGAAATTAACTATGTTGGAACTGTGCCCCCTTTCCATCGTTAATGAAGAATCAAAAACATGATGGGTTCAATGTAGTGGGTGTCTCTTGCCCATCCTGGTTTAAATCCATGTATCCACATCTTCCCCAAGACAAATGACTATGGAAGCCTAGTATTATTCAAAAAGTTTGAATCTGTGTGCAAAGAGAACATTTGCAGTTTTCAATAACAAAACAATACTATAAGCTTTGAAGGGTGCCTTATCTGTAGGTTCAAGGTGAGGAAAAGTATGCTGGGTTTTGTATTTGACTGGTGCACTTAATTAGCGGACCTCTTTTTTATGAACCTGCTTGTCAAATATACAGGCATACCTCATTTTATTGCACTTTGCTTTATTGTACTTTGCAGATATTGTATTTTTTACAAATTGAAGGTTTATCGCAACCCTTTGTCAAGCAAGTCTTTTGGCACCATTTTTCCAACAGCATGTCCTTACTTTGTGTTTGTGTTACATTTTGGTAATTCTCATAATATTTTCAATTTTTTCATTATTATTATATCTAGTATAGTGATCTGAGATCAGTGATCTTTGACATTACTATTGTAATTCACATCCATATAAGATGGCAAACTTAATTGATAAATGTTGTGTGTGTTCTGACCACTCCACCAACTGTCCATTCTCTCATCTCTCTTCCTCTCCTCGGGCCTCCCTATTCCTTGAGACACAAAAATATTGAAATAAGGCCACTTAATAACCCTACAATGGCCTCTAAGTGCTGAAGTGAAAGAAGTCCCACATCTCTCAGTTTAAAACAAAAGCTAAAAATGATTAAGCTTAGTGAAGAAGGCATATAGAAAGCTGATATAGGGCAAAAGCTAGGCCTCTTGCACCAGTTAGCCAAGATGTGTATGCAGAGGAAAAGTTCTTGAAGGATGTTAAAGTGCTACTCCAGTGAATGTATGAATGATAAGAAAGTGAAACACCATTACTGCTGATATGGAGAAAGTTTGGTCTGTATAGAAGATCAAACCAGCCACAACACTCTCTTAAGCCAAAGCCTAATCCAAAGTAAGGTCCTAACTCTTTAAGGTTCTATAAAGTCTGAGAGAGGGAGGAAGCTACAGAAGAAAGGTTTGAAGCTAGCAGAGGTCAATTCATGAGGTTTAAACAAAGAAGTCTCCGTAACATAAGGGTGCAATGTGAAGCAAGTTATCTAGAAGCTCTAGCTACGATAACTGATGAAGGTGGCTACATTAAACAACAGATTTTCTGTGTACACAAAACGGCCTTGTATTGGAAAAAGATGCCATCTAGGACTTTTCCTAGCTAGAGAAGAGAAGTCAATGCCTAGCTTCAAAGCATCAAAGGACAGGCTGACTCTCTTGTTAGAGGCTAATGCAGCTGATGTCTTGAAGTTATAGCCAATGTTCATTTATCATCCTGAAAATCCTAAGGCCCTTAAGAATGATGCTGAATCTATTCTGACTGTGCTCTAGAAATGGAATAACAAAGCCTATACGACAGCACATCTGTTTAAAGCATGGTTTACTGAATATTTTAAACCCACTATCGAGACCTACTGCTCAGGAAAAAAAAGATTCATTTCAAAATATTACTGTTCATTGACAATGCCTTTAGTTACCCAAGAGCTCTGACAGAGATATAAAAGCAGATTCATGTTATTTTCATGCCTGCTAACATAACATTCATTCTGCATCCCATGGATCAAGGAGTAATTTTGACTTTCAAGTTTTATTGTTTAAGAAATACATTTTGTAAGGCTAGAGCTGCCATAGAAAGTGATTCTCTGATGGATCAGGGCAAAGTAAATTGAAAACCCTCTGGAAAAGATTCATCATTCTAGATGCCATAAAAATATTCGTGATGCATGGGAAGAAGTCAAAATATCAACATTAATGGGAGTTTATAAGAAGTTGATTCCAACTCTTGTGGATGACTTTGAGGGGTTCAAGAATTTAGTGAAGGAAGTCACTGCAGATGGGGTGGAAATAGCAACAGAGCTAGAATTAGAAGTGGGTCCTGAAGAAGTGAATGGATTGCTGCAATATCATGATAAAACTTGAACAGCTGAGAGTTTTCTTTTCGGATGAGCAAAGGAAGTAGTTTCCTGAGAAAGAATCTACTCCTGGTGAAGATGCTGTGAACACTGCTGAAATGATGACAAAAGATTTAGTATTACATAAACTTAGTTGATGCAGCAGTGGCAGGGTTTGAGAGGATTGACTCCAATTTTGAAAAAAAGTTTTATGAGAGTAAGATGTTATCAAACAGCATCACATGTTACAGAGAAATCTTTCTGGACAGGAAGAGTCAATCAGTGCATCAAAATTCACTGTTGCCTTATCTTAAGAAATTGCTACAACCACCCCCATCACCGCCATTATCAGTAATTACCACCCTGATCAGCTAGCAGCCATCAATCAACCTCAAGGTAAAACTCTCCACCAGCAAAAAGATTACAACTTGCTGAAGGCTAGATAATCATTGGTATTTTTAAGCAATAAAGTATTTTTATTTAAGGTTTGTACACTTTTTAGACATAATGCTATCACATACTTCATAGACTACAGTTTGGTGTAAATATAACTTTTACAGGCACTGAGAAACCAAAAAATTTACATGACTCGCTTTATTGTGATATTCACTTCATTGTGGTGGTTTGGGGCCGAGCCTGCAATATCCCTGACATATGCCTGTACTCGTATTGCTCAGTTTCCTTCAAACCAGTAAGTGCGTTGAGTTGTTACTTCTCCCTGATTGTAAGTTCAGACCTAAGCAGAATTGTTCATTATTATAACAGACATGAGTCACTCTCTTGAGATTTCCTACATTTGGGAAAGTTCACTTCTTAGGAGTTTTGATAACAGGTAAGCTGAATTACCTCTAGAGAGGTAGATTCTCTCAACATCCTACAGACATTATTCTGGTTCATTCTATTAATAATATAACTATAAGCTGTACAGAATGGAAAATAGTAGAAGCCTTAGGTAAGACATACCTGGGTAAAATTTATATCTAGCAGAAGATTGGAGATAAAACCAAAAAAAATAGAAGCCTCACATTAACTTCTTTAAAATATATTTTTAGGGGGACTTGGTCTCTCTCATGCAAAGGGAATGACAAGGTGGAATAATTTGTGCGCACTACAGAAGGGCACAACACTTGGACTATTTTAGTTTCAGGAGAGAAAATATAACTATTTTGCATATACCATCTGAGCATTTATGAGATATGCTAACAGGTGCCAGTACTGAGTAAGGTCCCAGAGGAAGAGAAGGCGCTTCAGCTGATCAGGCTGTACTAGAAGCAGCTCCACTACTTTGCCTTCTGCCCAGAAAACCCAGTGATATTCCAATGGTTGACAGCCAGCTCCAATAGGATTATCACAGCAGAAACCATAAATCTTTGTGAGCAAAATCTTTACCACTTTCTCAAGTGTCATGCTTATTTCGAATAACAGATCCTGGCTTCTCCCAGGTGCCTGTTTACAAGAAAACATGTGATCATGGACAATGGAACTCCACATTATAAGTTTGATATATAGTCCACTTGTCTATAAAGTCAGGTGTGCCCCAGGGGTTCCCTTTTCAAATAGAAATGAGCACACAGAACTGAACCTGATTAGGTTCTGAAGGCACAAGTTAAGTTTGGAGGCTCATTACCATCCCTTCCTCTATTTTTACCTAAGGTTATCATGAAGAGCTACCTACAATCAATTGACTGAAAAGGGGCAAATCCTGGATTACAGAAGGTTCTACCCAAAATACAGGCACTAAAAAAATCCAGCTTTCCATCTATGAAACTCTGGGTGCGATGGGTTTGGTTGTCTTGGTAGCCAAGGCAGGAATTCTTATATCAGAGATATTTAATACAACAATGGAACCTGGAATTGTAAGTGGACAATGCCACCTGGCCAGTTCAGCTTCTTTATACATCTAAGTGAATAGGGGATAAAGGGAATATTGGTGTTGACTTTTGAGATTGATCCTGACTGTCAAAAGAAATTAGAAGTACTGCTACGCAATTAGGAAAGTAAGAAATATGGATGGAACTCAAAGAATGCCCTGAGATGCTTCTGGGTACTAATGTGTTCATTGATAAAATTAACTGGGAGACCACAGCATCTGTGTAGAAAAGACAACCAAAGGTTAAGATTCGTCAAGAATGAATGTTTGGGACACTCCATCAGGTAAAGAATCTTGAAGAGTTGAGGTGTCAGCTGAATAGAAAAAATAGATACATGAAAGGAATAATAGAGTAGAAAAGTTATACTTAGCAACTTCAGCTTTATGACCAGTTACGGAAAAGAGGATTGCTACAACTTGCATTTTCTTTCTTTCTTGTGTTTATATAGTTAACTTCTCTCTTCTTTCCAATCCTTTTTTCTTACTATTTTATGTAGGACATGTTGGTGCTGAACAACTTTTCAATTTGGCCCATAGGATTAAAACGGATTACAAATTAACTAGAAGAAAAATGAGCTTGTCGATGTAGTGATGAGTAAGATTTTGTGTTGCTCCCCTTAGAGGGAAGAGGCAAATGCATTTTGGATACATGCAGGTTAGTTGAATTACTTTGCATGAAGAATTTTTTTTAATTATTGAAAAAATGGTTTGAGTTGATGTTGCACATGCCAACATGGATTGCAGCAGACATCTGGCACTCTTCTTCACTTCTCAGTATCCAAAGAGCCTTCTCAGTGAGAGACACAACCTATCTCTCATTATAGAAATGAAAACTGCCAAGTTCTCGCTTTTCCCTTCTCCCTTGCAGGGCATGAGCCTGTGACGAAGGCTCCACCAGTCATACTCACCAACCCCAAACTCAGGAGGCAGTATCAGAAAGAAACAGGACCAAGAGAATCCTCTCTGGCAATCACGGTCTCTTAAACAAGAATAGTTCCTGGGGCAATTGCAGCAGTGGTGCCGCTATGACCACTGACTGTTGGTGCTGTGGGATCAGCATTTAAGGGTTGGAGGTGGATTTGTTTTCCTCTTTGGACAGATTCTACAACATTATTTTGATGCTTTCCACAGCTATTTAGACCCCATAGAGCCATATAGTACTTTTTTTCCATTTTCTAATATATTTTCTCTTGTTTTTCAGGGTTTTCACTTTTTAATTTGAGGTAATTTTCTATCGAATACCTTTAATAAATTCTTTTGCTGTTTAAATCAGCTAGAAAATGTTTCTGTTGCTTACAACTAAAAATACTGCCTATACAGTTATTAATGTTCATCACAGTACTGTTAATAAGAACAATAATTATAAGTTGATCAAGCATCCAACATATAGTATTGGGGTCCAGTGAACTTTATTATATTTATACCATAGAATACTAGTACTAATTTTAAAAGAATGTTACAGCATAAATTTAATGAAATAAAAAAGTGTTCATAATATACTGAATGGCAAAGCTTGTTACAAGTTGAGTAGAAGGACACAGATTTGTAATTGATACCTTCTTTATAACTTACATATCTATCATTTATTTATCCTATATTAGTTATCTGTTACTGTAAAACAAGTTATTCTAAAGCTAAGCAGCTTAAAACAACAAATATTTCTTCTCTCCCAGTTGCTTTAAGTCAAGAATCTGGGAATAGCTTGGCTGGGTGTTTCTGGTACACGGTTTCTTATGAAATTATAGTCAAGTTGTTGGTCAGGGCTACAGTCCCTGGAGATGTGATTGAAGATGAGGGAACCTCTTCCACACCCAGGAAAATTACAAAAGACTTCATTTCTTCACCATATGGACCTTTGCCTAGGACTGTTTACAATCTTCCTTTCCCCAGAGAGGAGAGAGAGAGAGAAAGAGAGAGACGACATGCTTAAGATACAAGGACAGCCTTTTATTATCTAATATTAGAAATGACATCCTATTACTAGAAGCAAGCCACTAAGTCCAGCCCGTATTCAAGGGAAGGATAATTAAGCTTCACCTCTCAGGTGGAGGAGTATAGAAGGATCTGTGGATATATCTGTAAAACCACCATATACACATATGTATACATATAAAAATACTTAAAGATACAAGAGTTTGTATAGTAAACTCTTCCAGAAAAATACATGGTATAAACATTATACATATTATAAAAATTATCCCATAATTATAAGTAGGTGTGGGTGTTTGTGTGTGTGACAAAGTACTGTCTGTGCCAACCCCTCTCTTAACAACTTCTGGTAAATTACCACAGGGTGGAGTCACCTCTGGGAAGGGGTATATTGTGAACTGTGTCTACAATTGGGTTGCACGCAGGTACAGATATAACTCTCAGACTATAGGAGGTGAAAGGGTGATAATGCAAAGTCCAGATTTCAGGGAAAGAGTATGGATCCCTGAGAGAACCCTAAAGAGAGAAGGAGCTTGGTAAAACAAACTGTATCAGGCTCCCAGCTGGATAAAATTAGCGGTTCTGGGTCCTAAAGGATAATGGCAGCCAACATTACCCCCACCTGCCAGGGTCTCTAGAGGAGCGTGGCTTATTAGGTCCTCTCATCGCAAGCGTGCACCAGACAGTTGTTACCAATAGATGAGCGAGTAGTGCAAGTGAAATCTATCGATGTTCCAATGCGAGGAATGCCTATAAATAATCAGAGTGAGCAGGAATAGGAGAGAGAACTTTGCAGAAGTCTGGTGTTCTTTAGCTAATAAGATTTGGGTGTTGATACTATTGTAATCTCATTTCTATCCAAACACTGTTTGATAGATTCAGACTAGATAAATACCAAAAAGTTAATATTTTATTGCCAATCTATATCTCCGAGGCTTTTTTATAATTGATACATATTATTTTATAATAATAAAAAGTTAGTTTCTTAAAACATTTCCTCAAATATGAACAAAAATCAAAGAAAGATCAAAAGAAAAAAGATAAAAATATAACAGAAAGTAAAAGCAGGACACAAAACTATATACAGTAAGAATCTCATTTATTTTTAAATGCTGATATATGATAATACGAAGTATTAATGGGGTTAAATGTGCTTTATGTGCATATATATATACTTACATATATATATTAAACTATCTCGATATCTACATCTATCCATTTCTCTATATTTATTGAGGAGGAGAAAACCCAGAAGGAAACATACCAAAATTCAAGTAGCTATTTTTCACAGGATTACAAATTATTGTCATTATCTTCTTTGCACTTTTCTGTATTTTCCCAAATATCTATAATGAGTGTGTATTACCATTACAATCGAATTTTTAAAATGAATATTTTAAACAAGCAAAAGGGGAAATAAATTATGACACTTTTATGTAATAAAATAATATGTAAGGATTTAATATGACATTTTCAAAAAGATACAATGATATGATTAAGTGCTCATGATAAAATTATGAGTATAAAAGGGTTAAAAATTACATCATAAGCAATGTGAAATCAACTTTGTATGTGTGTATATATATACATACATAAATATACATATAAACAGGAATTTGAATAGAACTCTTCCTGTTGTCTTAGAATTTTGGCTGAAACCCCAAAACTGAAAACAATGGGTTATAAATAACCCGTATTCTAAAGAGAGATGTTAGACCTATTCATGAAGGATTCTAAGAAGAGAGCAGAACTGGTCCAGCAGTTATCAACTCCCACCACCTCTAACCTACTTAAGTGAAGTCTAAAGTTCAAAAGTTGATTAAAGAGCACCTTAAAGAGAGAAAAGTAGTCAACTTTAAAGGGAGTACAATAGCAGTTTCTCTCCCCTCAAGCCCTTCCTTAAATGCTCCAAAAAGAAACACACATAGAGAGGCAGGATGTCCACAAGACTGGGAGACAGGCATCCCTCAGAGGCCCAACCCTGTGGAATGTAGGCCCCATTGTTGCCATAGGACTGAAATAAAGTGAAAGTTCATGACAGAGCTTGATGTGTTTCTCTTGGAATCTGAGGTGACTGGAGCCTGATTTCCAATCAGAAAACAAAGCAGTTAATGGTTTGGAGTCACTTGAGTTAGCAAAGTAAGGTCAAAGGATAGTCATGGGGCATAGCTTGTACTTCAATTATTTAGCAAGGCAAGAAAGCCTGAGATTCCTGAGGGCTGCTTGGTACTGTGGATTGTCCCCACCCAAGAGAGACAGTACAAGGCAGTTGGGGGTTCTGATAAGCTGCTTTTGGTGCAGAGAGGAAGGACATTTTAAGAAGTCAGCCAGAGAGAGGTCTGTATTAGGGAGCAATTAGAACAGAAGTTAAAAATGTGTGTCTATCTGCATATGTGCATGCAAAGGTGTGTGGGTACACACATGCAGTTGCAGAATGGTTCTAACGAAACAGAATTCCATCCCAATCAGTATCAATATTTGGACACCTTCCAAAATGGAGAATATGGCTAACAACCAGTATTAGTCAAGACAGAACTAAAATAATACTAGACATCTTAGATTTTGTCTCTTTTCCTCTAATCTCCCTTCCTTTGCTTGAATCCTAAGATGCACAGGATGAGAAGAGGAGATGGATGAAGTCATGCTCCCCTTCCTCATTCCAGGTCCTTGTAAACCAAAAATAAAATTCTAAACCCCTCAGCCAAGTGAATGGACACCTCCTCTAGGCCAAGGGCATTCCAAAGTTAACCTGAAAAGCTAGTTCAGGCCATGATGTGAAGGAGGAGTCAGACATGCCTCATTATACCTTCTTCCCGTTGGAATTCAGGCACAGCTGACCCACATTAACACAAATAGAGACCTTAAGACTGACAAAACGGACTCTTTATAGTAATAAGATATCAATATGACAGACGGCAGGCCCTGAAAGAAATCAAAGTATTTTACCTCAAAATATATTTCTTTGACACATTTTGAAATGACCCTGCAAAGCTGTCTCTTGTGGGGAAAAGATCTACATTCTGTAGAGAATCCTCTTCCCTTTGCAGGTCTTTTTCCTGATTCAGGAGAGAATTAACTAAGAGTCTGGCACTTTTTTTAAGTCTGATGAGAAATATTTACAATCTATTCTCTCTGAAGCCTGCTACCTGGAAGCTTCCTCTGCATGATAAAAACTATGGTCCTCACAGTCCCTTATATTAACCCAGACACACCTTTCTAGTGATTCCCAGTCTTCAGATAACAACTTAACTCTTCAACCAATTGCCAATCAGAAAATCTTTGAATCCACCTATGACCTGGAACCACTCTAACCCCACTCCCCTTCAAAGTGTTCCACTTTTCTGGACCAACCAATGGACATGTAACATGTATTGACTGATGTCTTATGTCTCCCTAAAACCAAGCTGTAGTCCAACCACCTTGGGCACATGTTCTCAGGATCTCCTGGGGCTGTGTCATGGGTTATGGTCCTCACATCTGGCTCAGAATAAATCTCTTCAAACATGTTAGAGTTTGACTCCTTTCATAGACATCTTTGAGCCATAATGGGTCAAAATAGGTAGAGTGGATGGGAGAAGCTTTGGTTTGAATGAGAAATTGAAGTTTTGATTTAGACATTAGTGGACTTTTGGGACCTGAAAGGGAACACTACTTTTCAAAAAGGAATCTATAATTATAATAGAGAAGGTACATAAAGCCTTCGAGCTAGCCAAGAATATTCTTTGTATTCTTTTAATTTTATGCATTTAACAAAATGGTTGTGTCTGTGTGTGTCCTGTGTGTGTCTGCATATGTGTGTTGAGAAATGGGTGGTTAGATGATGAACAGATAGAAAGATAGATAAATGTATATGTGTCTCAATATATAGATCTCCATGTTCTCAAAAAAAATAATTTGAAAATAATACGTCAAAACTTTTGCAATCGTTATCTCCAAAAGATAGTATTAAGAGATGTAATATTTTCATATGCCTTGAATATTTTTATCTTTTCCTGTATTTTCCATTAACACTATGTATTCATTTTATATACAGTACAAGTAATTATATAAAAACTTCTCATAAGGAGACATTGTACTATTATACTAAATTCCACTAGACTGAAAACTCTATAATGACAAGGGACTATTATTGCCTTATTTACCACTCCTTCCCCAGCACAGTATCTGGTACAGAATAGGCACTCAACAAATGCATATTGAATTCATTAATGAATTAGCTACATAATTAGGTTCAAACGCCTTCCATAAAAATTAAAGTGGAAGAAGTGTGGGGTTTTTTTTCCATGCTACTTAATAGCCATCTCTCTGTGCCCATTAATGAAAAGCAAAGATTGTCAAAAAGGGATGGCAAATACATTTTGAGCCCAAATGTGCATTTAACATAGGCCAGGGATATTTGTAATGCTTCCTTACAATCAAACTACTTACACAGGAACACAGAAAATTATTTAAATAGCCACTGTTCTCTATAAGAAGAATTTTTTTTGCAAGATGTAGAATCTGTCATGAGTATTTGCATCTCAATTTATTTAATATTCTGATTTTATCTTGATATTAGTTGATATGGCTTTCAAAATTATATTTCACCCAGTTCCAGAAAAGAAGCTTCTATCCATGCTCCATCCCTAAATTTACTTTCACCACTCATGCTGATCAACATATTGTATTACCATGCTCCTTACTGCCCATCATGTTTCCGTTCTTAGAGACTCCCTCGTTGACCTGCTTGAGTGCCCCGTTTGAGAAGGTGCTCTCTTTATGCTAAAGAAGGACTGGATGTAGCAAAAAGGTTTCTGTGCTGAGAGCCAGAAAGTTGCCCTTGAAGTATCAGCAATGAAGGAAGAGCTAATTTTTTTTTTTTTTTACCTCCCTTGTTCTCAGTTTCCTCATCTGATTCTGTTTCTTTGTTTCACACTGTCATGTTCGGAGGTTCCGAGTGATACTAGTAAACACACTTCCCCAGGGGTGACCTCTTCCTTTCAGTTTGATTTGAACCAAAGATGAGTCTTAGAGCACATCTGATGCTCAGGTGGTTTATTCTTTTTTTTTGAGATGGAGTCTCACTCTCATCACCCAGGCTGCAGTGCAATGGCGCGATCTTGGCTCATAGCATCAAGTGGTTTATTCTTGGTAGCACACTTAAAAGATGGATAGCAGGAGCTGGCCGGTAGCATGAGCCAGGGACAGCCAGGTACCATCATGGGGTCAGATGATGGACTGACCTGGAGAGTCTCCCTCCAGCGACAGTTCTCATGGTTTGGGGGATCCTTTTCCCTCCCCTATACCTGTATTCAGTGCAAGTCAGTTACCAGGTGTTTCTTTCATAAAGGGAGTTTAGACCATTCTTGTAAGGGTAAGCATTGTTTTAAGGTTTATAAAAGTTACATCTGTGCTGAGGTGGCCTTGTCTCCTGGAAATTCCCATGCCAGGGTTAGAAACCCCCAAGTCAGATTGCATGACATTGCTAAGTGACATGTAGTATAGGCTCTTCAAGATGCTTAGTGGGCCTTATGGCTATCATTGATCTTACAGCCATGATATGTCTCTGAGAGTGTACTATACACACACTCCTCACCTGAAATCCCACATTTAATAAAATTACTAGACGTGTGTTTCTGCTTGCTAAGCTTTCACTTTCTTCTATTTTGTTGAGGCTTTTCCTTAATCGACTTCCTTCTAACAGCATTTTACAGTAAGTCAATGTTCTGTAGTCCCAGCACTTTGGGAAGCCAAGGCAGGTGGATCACTTGAGCTGAGGAATTCGAAACCAGCCTGGGCAACACGGCAAAACCTTGTCTCCACAAAAAAATAGAAAAATTAGTTGGTTGTGGTGGCTTGCACCTGTGGTCCCAGCTACTGGGGAGGCTGAGGTGGGAGGATCACTTGAGCCCGGGAGGTTGAGTCTGTAATGAGCATCGTACACTCTAGCCTGGGCAACAGAGTGAGATCCTGTCTCAAAAAAAAAAAAAAAAAAAAAAGTCAGTGCTGCCTCTCTGGCTTCAATTTTCACAGATGCTGAAATTTCAAAATGTTGAAAATTTAGGTCTTCCTGAGTCAACATTATGGTCTCATTTTGCATTCCACACACTAATCTATCTCCCCAAGAGCTATTAGATCCTCTGCACACTGGCAGAGCTCTTGTCACAAAAGGGAAAATTGGTTTAGGCTTCATAAGTGGAATCAACATGAAGTTGAATTCAGCAGTAAATAGTGAAAATATAATTCATGCACATATTTCATCTGTTTGTTCTCTCCAATCATAAAAAAAGAAACGTTTTGCCTTCACCTAACATCAAATGACCTATCACAGCTTCCCTCAGGGTATATCACAGTACCTTTTTTTAAAGTCCTTTACCTCTTTTTCCATGTAACTTGGAAAGGTCTCAACAGCTTCACTGGGTATTACTATTCTCCAATTTAAGTTGCATTTTCTTTCAAGTGAAAACCTTGACTTTCTGGGACATTAGTTAATGGTGTCAAAAAACAAGAGCCACCATTCCTATTCACATGACAAACACCTGCTTCCACCAATTAGTAAAAACACAATGGGAATTCCAATAGCAACAATTCCTTGAACAGAACTTACTGGAGCTTCTTATTCCTAACCTAATGAAAACAGCCCGTAAGTGAAGGGAATTTGTTCCTTCTGGTGGATTTTTGGAGCTAGCAGAATATGAAACATTCAAGGAAAAGCTCCTGTACTAATCTTCTGTAAACCAAAAATAAAATCCTAAGTCCCCCACAACCAACTGAATGGACCTGCTGTGGGCCAAAGGAAACCTGAAAAACTAAATTCCCAGCCTTGACAGGAAGGGTGGTCAGATACACCCTGATATACTCCCTCCCTTTTGGAATTTAAGCACAACTGACCACCATTAACATTAAAATAGAGGGTCTAAGACTGACAAAAAAGACTCTTTGGCAATAAGATACCAAATTTCAACCTGTCTCTGGTATAGCATCACATGACAGATGGCAGACGCTGAAGGAAATAAAAATATTTTACTCCAAAATATATTTCTTTGACACATTTTGAAATGGCCACGCAAAGCCATCTTTTGTGGGGGAAATGGTGCATCTGTAGAGAATCTTCATTAACGAAGGTAATCCTTTCCTGGATCTAAGAAAGATTAACTAAGACTTTGGCATCTTTTAAGGTCAGAAAAAAAGACCTTTACCATCCATTTTTTCTGAAGTCTGCTATCTGGAGGCTTCATCTACGTAACGAGAACCGTGGCTTCCAAAATCTCCCTTATCTTAATTCAAGCATTTCTTTCTACTGACTTTAGGTCTTTAGACAAAGCTCAACTCTTTCAACCAGGGGCCAATCAAAAACATCTTTGAATTCACCTGTGACCAGTAAGACACCCCCCCCTCCCGCCAAACAACACTCCCTTTGAAGATGTCCCGTCTTTCTGGGCTGAACCAATGTATACCTTACATGTATTGATTTAAGTCTTTCCCTGTAATTTCTGTCTCCCTAAAATGTATAAAACCAAACTGTAACCTGACCACCTTGGGCACACTTTCTCAGGACCTCCTGAGACTGTCCCACAGGCCACAGTCACTCGTATTGGCGCAGAATAAACCTCTCTAAATATTTCACAGCCTTTTATTTCTTTCTGTCAACACTTTTTTTTTCTTTTTTTTTTTTTTTGAGATGTAGTCTCGCTCTGTCGCCCAGGCTGGAGTGCAGTGGCGTGATCTCAGCTCACTGCAAGCTCTGCCTCCGGGGTTCACGCCATTCTCCTGCCTCAGCCTCCCAAGTAGCTGGGACTACAGGCACCCACCACCACGCCCGGCTAATTTTTTGTATTTTTAGTAGAGACAGGGTTTCACCATGTTAGCCAGGATGGTCTCCATCTCCTGACCTCATGATCCGCCTGCCTCGGCCTCCCAAAGTGCTGGGATTACAGGCGTGAGCCACTGTGCCCAGCCTCTGTCAACACTGTTGAACCTCTTTTTTCTCCTCTAATTTTCAAGAACTTTAAGATTCTCTTAAAACAAATAAACAGAAATGCTCTAACATCTTACCCCAGGTCTTCACTTTCTGAAAGAATTGTATTTACACTTAAGTGAATAGCTTTGTTAGAACTGTATATCTACTATGAGTGAAACCACTGTCTGTATATCATGCATACATATTTATTATAATAAAAATAGCTAACATTTTATGCTACTTTTATTCCTGAAAAACTATTTGATATGTATATTTAATTCCTAATAATCAATCAAGCTTTCCTTAAAATGGCTACATTGAATGCTATATGAATTATTCATGAACAAATAGAATATTTTGTGCAGGAATACCCCTAAACTAGAGAGAATGTCAGTACTGAATCTTTGTGATTGTTTTAAAAATTGTACAGGCTATAGGTATTTTTAAAAATGCAAATAATACAGAACTATATAGGTTACAAAGTAAATACCACATTTCACTTTCTGTGTTGCCCTCCTCTCACTCCACCTCTTTCATTGAACCTCCCCAAACAGTAATTAATGGAAATTTTGTTCGTGCTTTAGTGTATGTATTTACATACAGAAATATGTATAGATTTTTTATAAATAAAATTATGCTATTCACATTGTTCTGAAGCATTATTTTATTCTCACTTAGTAATATGGTGTATAAATATTTCCTAATTCTTTTTAACTGCAGCAGAATATCTATTATGTAAAATTTCCATTTGCTGGATGGGATAGCTCACACCTGTAATACCAGCACTTTGGGAGGCTGAGGTGGAAAGAGCTGAGTTCCTAAGGCTTGGAGTTTGACACTAGCCTGGGCAACATAGTAAGACCCTGTCTCTGTGAAATTTTTTAAAAAATAGCTGGATATAGTGGGGCACATCTGCAGTCCTGGCACCTCAGAAGGCTGAGGCAAGAAGATTCCAGGAGATTGAAGCCATAGTGAGCTATGACTGTGCCACTGTACTCTAGCCTGGTAAACAGAGCGAGACCTTGTCTCTAAAATAAATAAAACTTCCATTTAATCATTTTATTATTGATTTACATTTAGGCAGTCTCAATTACTCCTGA
This sequence comes from Homo sapiens, assembly GCF_000001405.40. Classification (NCBI taxonomy): domain Eukaryota; kingdom Metazoa; phylum Chordata; class Mammalia; order Primates; family Hominidae; genus Homo; species Homo sapiens. The sequence goes on along the minus strand of NC_000004.12, from coordinate 148,709,550 downwards.
TTATAAGTTCTGTTGCACTGAATATCCTAGCGTTGCCAAATGCAGGTTCACCTGCTCACCGCTTGACAACCAATTAGCAATTAGCAATTCATAGAAGGAGAATAACTTTATTATGAACGAAACCTAGCAATGGCGAAAATGGTCCAGGCTCTTGCCTTCATGGAACCACTTTAAATTTCCAAGCTCAGTGCCAGAATTTTGAAAAGGGGAAGTTTGGGAAAGGGAGGATATGCAGGGGACAAGGCAGTGCTGGTCTATGCTGTGACTTGGTTCGATGACTTGTCTTGCGTTATTGCCCCATCTGGTGAATGGGCTGGCATCACCCTAGGCTCAGTGGGGTTGTAAATTAACTGTAGCCTTGAAGCAATCTCCTGGTGCGGGAGATTTCCACAGGTGCTTGCATTGTTTCAAGATTTAACCTCTGGAACTTTTAAGCAAACGTATAATCAGATATGCTACCAATGTGAGGAGGTGCCTAGTGGTTAAGTGAACACAAAGAAAAAAAAGGAAAAAGGATAAAACTTTAAAAATTGGGCACTTGGTTACACCAGTACGTAAGTCAATACTCATGTGCACAGAAGTTGAAATTTGGTTCAAGAATTAAACTCATTTTAAAAATCTGATAGATTAACCAGAGTCTTTACTAATGTGTATTTCTACAAACAGTATATTCAGAGTTACCATTTCCCCAGTTTCACCAAACCTGTACACTATTAATTTTTTTCACTTTTTTTAAATTATGGGAGAAAACATTTTTATTAATTTTATTTCCCCAGTATTCATAACGGAGTTAAAATCATTTCAGAAGTGCATGCATCAGTGTTTCATATTCTTTGCCCTTCTCTTTATTAGTTTAATTTTATTATTAACATAGAGATGGTTTTGGATAATAGGATAATTCTTTTTTATACACACATACACATATTCATTCTACTTTACTGCTTGTCTTTTAAATTTACCTTTTATCATAACCAGTTTTTTTGTTTGTTTGTCTCATTGAGTTTTTTAGAGTCAAATCCCTCAGGTTTTTTCCTTCTTAGATTGCAGGAGTTCTGCTTTGTTGAGGAAGTCATTCCTCAAGTAAACTGGAATGCCACCTGTATTACATTTTAAAGTTTCATATAATCATGAATATATTTCTAGATTCCATTAGAGTCTCATTGCTCTATTCTTTTTGCATCAATGATATTATATATGTATATTCACATTACATATATAACATATAACTCTGTAATATATATTGCTATTTAATATATATATTTACATAATATTTCTATTTCTTATATAAGTAATAGAAACATGTAGCTGGGTGCAGTGGCTCATGCCTGTAATCCCAGCACTTTGCCTGGAATCCCAGCACTTTGGGAGGCCAACGCGGGCAGATCACCTGAGGTCAAGAGTTTGAAACTAGCTTGGTCAACATGGTGAAACCCTGCCTCTACCAAAAATACAAAAAAAATTAGCCGGGCATGGTGGCATGCGCCTGTAGTCCCAGCTACTCAACTACTCAGGGGGCCGAGGCAGGAGAATTGCTTGAACTCAGTAGGCGGAGGTTGCAGTGAGCCAAGATGGTGCCACTGCATTCCAGCTTGGGCAACAGAGCGAGACTCTGTCTCCAAAAAAAAAAAAAAATAGAAACATGTAAATTATTACACATTGTATAATATAAACAATATTATAAAATATATACTTTATATAATTTATATTTTTTAATTCATTGAATTGAGCAAGACTTCTCTCCAACGTAGACTATTACCAGTTATAGTGAATATTCTTGTCTTGTGCTTAGCTATAATATAAATATTTCTAATTTTTTAACATTAAGTATAATCCATGCTTAAGATCTTTCATAAATACACTATAGTTAAAGGATTTTTTCTTTATTTCTATCTTTCTAGGAAATTGTATTAGGATTAGAGATTTTTCAGTATCTATTGAGTTATCATCCCCTCACCCTTTAAATTTATTAGTAAAATGGGCTGGGTAATTCCAGCACTCTGGAACTCCAAAGTGCTTTGGAATTCCAAAGTGCTGGAATTACATGGCTCACATCTGTAATCCCAGCACTTTGGGAGGTTGAGGTGGGAGGATTGCTTGTTGAGACCAGGAGTTAAAACCAGCCTAAGCAACATAGTGAGACTCCATCTCTACAAAAAAAATTTAAAAAATAGCTAGGTGTGGTGGCACTGCTTCTAATCCTAGTTACTTGGGAGGCTGATGTGGGAGGACTGCTTGATCCTAGGATGTCAAGGCTGCAGTGAGCCATGATTGTGCCACTGCACTCCAGCCTGGAAGACAGAGCAAAACGTCCCCCCCCCCCCACCAAAAAAAAAATTAGTAAAATGCATTACCCTGGTAGCTTTTCAAACTCCTGGGCTCAAGTAATCCTCCTACTTCAGCTTCCCAAAGTACTAGGATTACAGATGTGAGCCGCTGTACCCAGCTTTGTGGCTTTCCTAATGTATCAGTCTGTTCTCACACTGCTATGAAGAGCTACCTGAGTAATTCATGAAGACAGGAGGTTTAATTGCCTCACAGTTCTCAGGTTGTATAGGAAACATGGCTGAGAGGCTTCGGGAAACTTACAATCATGGTGGAAGGCAAAGGGAAAGCAAGCACATCTTACCACGGCAGAGCAGGAGAGAGAGATAAGGGGGAAGTGCCACAGACTTTTAAACAATCAAATCTGGTGAGAACTCACCCACTATCAGGAGAACAGCAAGGGGGAAGGTGGAAATCTGCTCCTATGACCCAATTGCCTCCCACCAGGCCCCTCCTTCAACACTGAAGTTCATAATTCAACATGAGATTTGGGTGGGGACACAGAGCCAAACCATTATCACTTAATATTGAACCACACTTGCAAACCTAAAAGAAAACTCACTTGGTCATGATGTATGATGACTTATATACTGCCATTTCAATTTGCTATTATTTTATTTAAGACTTTGATACCTGTCTATAAGTGAAAATTGCCTTTAGTTATCATTTGCAGGCTATCTTCTTTTGAAAGCAACAGCAACATTTTGCCATCCTATAGAATGAGTTGAAGAGTGAATCAGTTCTAAGTCTCAGAATAGCTATATTACATGGCAATTATCTGTTTCTGAAAGATTTGGTAAAATCTTTATATTTCCCTTATTTTTATAAAATTAATCAAAGTTGCTGAAATGATAATCATATTAATATTTCAATGGTGTAACAAAAAAATCAACATTGTAGAAATGCCTCTGGTCAGTTTATTTTGTTTTAGTGGGAAAATTCATATGCATGAATATAAATCACAAATACCTAGTCATGTTATGTTTTAAAAAATGTCTCATGGTTCCTGAGCCATTCACTGCATTATGACATGAAATTCAACCAAGACTGAGAATACTTGCTCTGTGGTTTAATCTACTCCACAGAATTATCAATAATATTACAGAAAAGGCATTTAATGTGGAGATATTGAAAAGATAATTTTAAAATTACAGAATAATGGTACTCAAAGTATATACTGAAAACTGTAACATTACTATACATTTCATTTAAATGTATAAAACATATTATACAATTAGCTTACACTATTTACTATGCAATCCTACCTGTCTAAGGATTGATAAAATCTCTAAATTAAGTGTGGCTAAATGTTATATCATGGACCCTAGACATTTATAAACAAACTTCCTGGCTACATAATTTCTGCGATTTACTGTTTACTCCCTAGATTTGTTAGAATAATGTTCAGATGTGACTATCAGAAACCCAAAATAACAGTGGCTTAAACAAGCTAGAAGTTTGTCTTTCAGGCACAATTTTAGAGGTAAACAATCCAGGAAGACAGTAGAGCAGCCCTGTTTCACAAAGCCCTTAGGGACCCAGGCTCCTTCCAACTTTCTGTTCTGGCATCCTATGGATTCTGTCCTCACTCATGGTCTGAGATGGAATTGCAGCCTTACATATATGCTGTGCCAGTTAGAGGAAAAGGGAAACAAGCATTCATGGGTACCTACAAACTGACTCACATTGAAGGATCCTGGAAGCTGTCACAGGATAATTCCACTTATATTCCATTGACCAGAATACAGCCACATTTAATACTTCACTACAAAGGAAGCTGGCCAGTATATTTTTATTTTTCTAGGAAGCTGGATTTCTAGCTAAAAACCCTATCGTAATGGAAGAAAAATAGAACAGATTTTGGAAGAAAACTAGCCATCTCTGCCACTACCATCTCACAAACACTCACAAGTAACACTCACATTTCCTAATCTCCTCCCTTTCATGAATGTAATCCCCTAGTGACAAATGGCATCTAGGAGTAGAGATAGATCAGCACTGATATAGAAAACAACTTAAAGAGCATGACTTACTGCGAGTGGGTCACTGGTGCTATTCTGATAAACAAAAAGCAGAATACTCCTTGAAGAAATAGTAACCCATTTTTTTCAATCAGCCAACATATGCTGGGCAACGGTGATGTTAACAGCACTGTTTAGGTGCCATGCAGGTCATAACAAACTTGTTTTGGGCATTTTACAATGCAATTGGAATGATGGCATATACACATAAAATGTCATACAATCCAATAACTATTAATAACAAAGCAAGAGATGTGACAAGTCTGCATATGATTAAGTGATTCACTACTAGTATAGAAAGAAATGGAGATTTATATTTCAGATACTATGGTGGCTGGGAATTTGGAGGGATGAATTAACCTTTTGAAAACAACTAAAATACTGGGTTAAATATAAAATGTCATGTTAAAAATATGTATGATATGAAAAAATAGTAACGTATTATCAATCAAAAACTAAGTGGAAGAGAGAATCTAAATAGTGAACAAAGGACTAAAGCTGCTTTTGTCATAGACACAGTTTCTAAACCAATAAACTTGATTTCCATTTTCACAGCCTCATGGACTCAGGTGGATTAAAAACAAAGCAGAGTTAACCCAGGTGAGGAAGCCTATAAGAGACAATTCCCAACCAATAATTTGAGACCCCAAGTGGCTACACACTCAGTGAAAGTGAATCAGAAGTAAGCTCTTCCCACCTTCTATTTTCCCTACCTATAGGGGGCTCCAAGGAAACATGTCTTGATACCAGTGATACCAAAGAGAGCAAAAGGGATAAATCTTCCCTGAAAGGTTATAATCATAAGCCAACCTTGGTATAGATTTATAGCTCTAATTCATATCACCTGTGTGGTCCAAAAGACCTTAAACTGTAAACTTAGTTTACAATGATCCTAGGCACAGCTCCCTCGGATATTTGAGAGAAACAAACAAAAGTCATCTCTGGACTTTATCTTTATTTTCATTTTTATCCCAAGGACTCAAAGTATTCCTACAAATAATTTCCCAAGAAAAATGAGCAACTCGGAATTAAAACTATGTACCCACTGAAACAAGGCACCATGAGAAGAAAAGAAGCCAAAACAGATTGAGACTTAAGATATTAGAATCATTAGGTATATATTATAAAATGCTTATTAAAGAGGAGAATTAATATATCTATGAGGAGTTATAAAAAGTAACCCAGCAAATCTGAGAAAGGATAAAGCAGATATTCTAGAATTTTAAAAAATATTTTTATTTACATTTTAAAACTCAGTTGATGTGTTCATGAGCAGATTAAACACAGCTGAGCAGAAAATTAAGCAGCGTAAAATAAATTAGAAGAAACTGATTCAGCTGGTCATTTGGGGTGACAAACGTTTCATCTTAGAACGATGGCCCAATTTGTCCCTAACTTTGTAGTGAAGGCCTCAACACTGGTGAATGCTGCTATGACTTACTTGAAGGTTTGATTGGCCACATTTTGGTATGACACCAAGGTTGAGCTGGTTCCTCCACCCCCTGCTAATATACCTAGAACTATTCAGCGCCTTAAAAAATAGTAGTGCTCAAATTGTTAGTTTCAAACAGCTCACAGTTAAGGAAGCTGTGCTGAATGGTTTGGTGGCCACTGAGGTATGGATGTGCTTTTATATTGGAGAGATCAGAGGCAAGTGTGTCATCATTGGCTATAATGTTTAAAGACCAAACTTTAACATTTAATTATATTTGATTTATTATTTGAGTGTTCTTGGACTATGTGTGATCAGATTGCTATCTGAATAAAATGTGTCAAAAAAAACTTCCTTATGCAACATAAAGAAACAAGTAAATGGGGGTTGGGGGATAGACAAAGGAAAGTTAAGAGAAATTAAGGATAGAATTAGAGTTAGCACGTATAATAAATTTTTTATCAGAGCCCCAGAAGGAGAAGTAAGAGAGAATGAGGCAGAGGCAATATTTGGGAAGATAATGACGAAAAATATTCTAGAAGTGATAAGAGACATCAATCTTTAGATTAAAGAAGTCTAACATATCCCCACCCAGGAGAAATGGCACATTATAGTAAAGAAGAACAACACCAAAGACAAAGAAAAGATATTAAAGAAGCCAGAGAAAAACAAAAGATTACTTTCAAAAGATCAATAGTTAGACTGATAGCTAACTTCTCAAGAACATTAGTGAAACCAAAAGATAATGGAATAATACTTTTAATGGGCTGAAAAGATTGACTTTCAATCTAGAATTCTATATCCAAAGAAACTATATTTTTTCAAAAGGGGGAAAAATGGCATTTTTCTTGCAAACAAAAATTAAGAAAGTTTACCAGTAGCAGATCTTTACTAATAAAATTTTAGATTATATTCTTCAGAAAAAATGAAAGTGATCCCAGTGGAATGTCAGAAAAGCAAGAAAAAATAAAACAGCAAAGAAATTAGGAATTATGTGAGTAAACATAAATTAATTTTTACTATATAAAGCCAATAATAATCATAATGCATTATTGGGGATAAAAATAAGATGTGTAGCAAAATAACATAAATCAAGAGAAGAGTAATGGAATTAAGACATTTTAAGACTTGTATTGCTTGGGAAAGAGGTAAAGGTATCTTTTGACATTAACGTCTGATGTGTTAATTATTCACATTATAATTTCTAAGAAAGTGACTAAAAGAAAGGAAACATAACGTCCAACTTTCAAAGTACTAAAGGGGAATAATGGAATAATCAAAAATACTCCTAAAAAGGCAAGAAAGGAGAAAAAAGACAGAACAATTTGAAACACTAGTAATTTCATCATCTATATGGACTAATAGTTCTATTTAAAAAACAAAAAAATTATGATAAATTTTTGAAATTCCAACAATTTATTAGTTATAAGAGATACCTCCTTTGCCCACTTTTTGAGACATTTATGCAGCCAACAGACACATGAAAAAATGCTCACCATCACTGGCCATCAGAGAAATGCAAATCAAAACCACAATGAGATACCATCTCACACCAGTTAGAATGGCAATCATTAAAAAGTCAGGAAACAACAGGTGCTGGAGAGGATGTGGAGAAATAGGAACACTTTTACACTGTTGGTGGGACTGTAAACTAGTTCAACCATTGTGGAAGTCAGTGTGGCGATTCCTCAAGGATCCAGAACTAGAAATAACCATTTGACCCAGCCATCCCATTACTGGGTATATACCCAAAGGATTATAAATCATGCTGCTACAAAGACACATGCACACATATGTTTATTGCGGCACTATTCACAATAGCAAAGACTTGGAACCAAACCAAATGTCCATCAATGATAGACTGGATTAAGAAAATGTGGCACATATACACCATGGAATACTATGCAGCCATTAAAAGGATGATTTCATGTCCTTTGCAGGGACATGGATGAAGCTGGAAACCATCATTCTGAGCAAACTATCTCAAGGACAGAAAACCAAACACCGCATGTTCTCACTCATAGGTGGGAACTGAACAGTGAGAACACTTGGACACAGGGTGGGGAACATCACACACCGGGGGAGAGGGGAATGGGGGAGGGATAGCATTAGGAGACATACCTAGTGTAAATGACGAGTTAATGGGTGCAGCACACCAACATGGCACATGTATACATATGTAACAAACCTGCACAGTGTACACATGTACCCTAGAACTCAAAGTATAAAAAAAAAGAGATGCAACATAACAGAAAAGTTAAAAATAACAGCATGTTTTTCATATATTTACCATCATTTGTATGTCTTCTTTTGAGAACTGTCTCTTCAGATCATTTGCCCATTACTTAATCGGATTGTTTGGTTTTTTATTTTTTTTCTTGCTGTTGAGATGTCTAAGTTTCTTGTATGATTCCCTTCTCAGATTAATACTTTACTAATATTTTCTCCCATTCTTTAGGTTGTCTTTCCACTTTGTTGATTGTTTCCTTTGCTGTGCAGAAGATTTTTCATTTAATATAATCTCATTTGTTTATTTTTGCATTTGTTTCCTGTGAGCAACAATTTTTGAGGTCTTATTCAGAAAATATTTTCCTAGACCAACATACTAAATCATTTCCCCTATGTTTTCTTCTAGTCGTTTTATAGTTTCAGGTCTTATCTAGGTTTTGGATTCATTTTGAATTTATTTTTATATGGAGTGAGAGGTAGGTAAGAGTCTAGTTTCATTCTTCTGCATATGAATGTCCAGCTTTCCTAGAACCAATTATTGAAGAGACTGTCCCCAGTGTAAGTTCTTGTTAGCTTTGTTGAAGATCAGTTAGCTGTAAACATGTAGCTTTGTTTCTGGATTTTCCATTCTGTTTCATTGGTCTCTGTGTCTCTTTTTATATCAGTACCATGCTGTTTCAGTTACTATGGCCTTGTAGTATAATTTGAAGTCAGGTAATGTGGTGCCTACTTTATTCTTATAACTTGATTTTTTTAATTAAAAGAGCTTTTACCACTATTATAGCACTTCCTTGTTAAAGCGAACTTTCAGCTCCTCTCTCTAACCAGGTACACATGGGACATTCTCATTTATACTTTACAGGTGCAGAAGCAGGGTTCAAGCTACCCATGTCAAATATAAAGGATGTCTAGCCTCAGTAGTGACACCAGTGGTCAAGCCTGAGGGTAGAGCACAAGAATTAGGGAACAACTCTAAGGTCTGTGGGGTTTGGACTGGACTTACTGAAGTAAGACCTATAACTAGGCAAATTTCATGAATGTGTAAACATCACTGGGGATTTCTGAAAGTCTGGGAAAATGAACTTAAAAAGATTAGACTTCCGGTTTAAGCAAATATAAATTAGGATTCATCAAGATTTGGCTAAATATGTTAATGAAATAGCATCTGTGTTCACCAGCTGATAGTGCCTTTACCAACTTCCCTAGAATGTATTTGGAGAGACCCCAAATTATACAACTTAAAACTATGTGATGAACATGTAGCTCAGGCTGCTTGAGCAATTAAGGTGAAACATGTTTGATTCCATTTTTTAATTGGGATAAAAGGTTTGTAATAGGAAGCTAATGCATTTTAAGGTTGTTTTCTTAAAACATGTTCCCCTGACATCCTTTCAGTTCCAAGCTGGTGTGATGACGTTTACAGCTGAAAAGCAAAAGCACAGGTTAGGATTAAGCAGGTGGAGATAGTAACATAAACACTGATAGGAAGGCAAGGAATGGCAGAGGACATTTAAACTAATACATGGTTCAAAATGCTTAAAACACATGGAAAAGCAGGACTAGAAAGAAATGGAGCTACAAACATAGAAATAATAGCCTAGTGTAGTAGTTTGGTTGGTTGTTGGTTTTTGTTTTCATTTTTTGAGATGGGATCTCACTCTGTCATCCAGGCTGGAGTGCAATGGCACCATCTCAGCCCACTGCAACCTCTGCAGTTTCCCCTACTATTAACATTTTGCATTATTAACAGTAGTATGGTACATTTGATAAAATTGAAGAGCCAATATTAATACATTACTATTTTTTTTGAGACAGAGTCTCACTCTGTTGCCCAGGCTGGAGTGCAGTGGTGTCATCTCTGCTCACTGTAGCCTCGACCTCTTCAGCTCAAGTGATCCTCCCACCTTAGCCTCCCAAGTAGCTGGGACTACAGATGCACCCCACCACACCGGGCTAATTTTTGTATTTGTTGTAGAGAAAGGGTTTCACCATATGGCCCAGGCTGCTCTCAAACTTCTAAGCTCAAGTGATCCACTCACCTCAGCCTCCCAAAGCACTGGGATTACAAGCATGAACCACCACGCCTGGCCCATGTAGTAGTTTTTAAACTAGACTTCACTAAGCCATTAGAGTTTTGTCATGAGAGAACCACTGTGCAAAGTAAGACTGTTCCCCATCCCCACCTCAACCAGACAAGTGGTCTATCTGCATGGAATTGCATTTTAAGAATGCCTGTGCTGCTTTTGAAAAGATTATTTTAAATTTTAAAACCATTTGTAAGAAGTAAATAGGTCTAAATAATTCTTAAATTGCCCCCAGTGATTCACTGTGGAACCTAAATAAAATTGCACAGAACTCTTAACAACCATTTCTTTTTCTGTTCTAAAAAATGTAATGTAATCACGCATGACCATGATCTCAGAAAAAATATTGTGTCTCTCAGTATGTGCTAGAACCCCTGCAAGTACTTTACATGAATGATTACAACAAATATTCCCAATAGTATTTGGATACCAATATCATCTTTACATTTTACTTATAGATAATGAAACTTAGGCTTAGTGAGTTTTCCAGATTACCCTAGGTGAAAAGATAATAATTGTCAGAGTCAGAAGTAGAGTCCAACTTCTCTCCCTTCAAATTTCAGGCTCTTAGCAAAGTGACAATACTTGAAAGCAATAAGCAGTTGGTTTATAACATCTAAAGCATCTGAGCTACAAAATAATCTATGATCCATCCTGTCATTTATACCAGATCATGAATATAAATCTCGCTGAAAGAACAGCAAGATTATGGGGTGAAAAAAATATGTTTTTGAGGAAAAAATACAACATACAAATCTTCATCGAAATTCTAGACTGCTTACTAGTTTGTTTGTTTTAAGGTTACTATGTCATTGTGTATTTAGCCACATTCTTCAATTTCCTTTTTACATTTCCAAACACTCAAAGAAACTAATAACATGAAAAAATGGTCAAAAGTATGGAAATGAACAAATGAAAACTCAGCTGGAAATCTGAATGCTGTTTTATTGTCTTCAGGGAGGAAAAGGAGGGGCTTCCAAAATGCTAATATTAGTATAGCTTTCTGATTCATTCCTTTATCCCCCATAGCACCTGGTATATTGCTTTGCATATGTACATAATCAATATTCAAATGAATGGATGGATGTATACGAAGGTTAGAGTTCCAAAATGCTGTATTTCAATTCTCTCCCTCAAATCTAACACCATACATTCACTATGTTTTTGAAACTTGATCCCATTGAAATAAAAAACAGAATTTGGGCCTATTAAGGGCATAAACTGTTTAATATTTTGAGGTTTCCTATAACACATACTGCATCTTTATGTGAACATGTTTGTATAAGTCACCATGTAATTTGCTTATAAGGCTGTTCTATTGTATGTAATAAGCTATCCCAGAACTTGGTGGCTTAAAACAACAATTTATTATTATCTCTATGATTGGCGTTTCTTATGTGGTTTCAGTCCAATAGCCACAGGCAGCCTTGACTGAGCTGGTCATCCAAGGCTGGCAGTAGATAATGGTGGCCAACCGGGGCTCAGCTGGGGCTGCCAACAGGGGCTCCTACACATGGTTTCTTCATGTGTGTGGATTTCTCACAGCTCAGCAGATGGATTCTGAGAGGAAACATCCCAAAAGATCAACAAAGAAGCTATGAAACTTCTTATAACCTAGCCTTGGAGGCTCCAGAGCATCATTTCTGCCCCATTTTATTAGTCACACTAGTCACCAAGGCAAGCCTAGATTCAAGGAGATGGAAATAAGACTCCATCTCTTGGTGGGAAGAGCAGCAGACATGTACAGGGAAGAGAGGGATTGAGGTGACCGTCACTGGAGACTATCCACCACAAATGCCTGCTACTTATAAATGTTTAATAGATTACAATTTGAACTGCTACATCTGAGGGTTGTGTTGTATTTAAACTCATCAAGAAGTCTTCCTGGCACAATTATGAACTGGGTATTTGCATGGTAAAAAATATACATTTTGGTTGTACACAATATTTTCAGGGGGAAAAATACAATGTTCAAAACCAACTCCACTCACTGAAATAATTTGTCAAACTAGAGAGTAGTTTCAATGGTTAATACAATTTCAAATGAGTGTACTTTGATTACATCTGAGAAAACATGTTAAACAATACCATCATTATCTCCTAGTACTAAATCCCATTTCTTCAGATTGACAATCTTATATATTAAAAATGTAACACATAGTCATACTATTTCTCACGGATCTTCATGGAAAACAGTAAAGAATAATTTGCTTTGTCCTGTTAATATACTCACTAACTAACATTAAGGAGGAAAAGGCTGACACTTTTCTACAATTTGTCATAATCGATTTGCTTTGCACATTAATTTAAACTTCATGAAACCCAAAATAGGTAGATACGATTAGCTCTGTTTTGCAAATAAAGAAACTGCAGTTCTTAAAGGTTTAGAAACTTGCCCAAGTTTAGAAATCTTTAGGCTTTAGAAACTTACCCAAATGGAAGAAATAATGGTAGGTTCCTAATTTTTTTTCTTACACTTCCTTGTCTCATGAGGCAAAATGCTTGTGTCACACATATATGTACAGATGGTTCCCAAACTTATGGTGGTTCAACTTAACCATTTTTCAACATTAAAAGGGCTGGGAAAGTGATAGGCATTCCATAGAAATCATACTTCGAGTAACCATACAACCTGCTGATTTTCACATGCAGTATAATATTCAATAAATTATGTGAGCCATCCAACACATTATTATAAAATAATAAATTATCGTGTTAAATGATTTTGCCTAACTGTATGCTAATGTAAGTGTTCTGACTATATATTTAAGGTAGGTTATGCTAAGCTATGATGTGCAGTAGGTTAGGCATATTTAATGCATTTTTGCCATATGATATTTTCAATTTACAATGAGTTTATTGGGATGTAACTTCATTATGTCAAGGATAATCTGTGTGTGTGTGTGTGTCTATACATATATGTGTATATATATGTATATATGTATAGACACACACATACTTTTCCTCTCTCTCTCCATAAAGTATCTACGTATTATACATATAATACAAACTATATGTACACACACACACTTTCCATAAAGAAGGAGGTAGTACAGCAGGAATATTTGCCAATATAAAGAAGAAAAAATTTCTTGAAAAGGAAAATGTATTCTAGTCACACTCCATTGGCTCATCTGATATATGAAAAATGAAAAAGAAATAACTATATTCATTTAAAAATCCTAGAAGGAATGCCTCACCTTCAGTTATTTGGGGAATGGGAGTGATTCACATAGGTGAGGAAGGACATGAAACAAATTTCTTTATAAGAACATATTAGATGCTGTGGTCAATCTATACTCCTATCAAATATACTGAAAGAACAATACAAGTAACGCCATATTATATTATTTGCCTTATGTTAATCATGAGGCAAACTAAGTCTTGCTCTAAACTGGTCAAATAAATAACTCAGTAGGAGAATCTGATATAAGATTTGCACAATTTCTTTAATTGAGCAAAGTTTGGAGCAATACTCTCACCTTTCCAGAAAAGAGAAGGATTAGATACATTTCAAGCTTTCAATAAAAGCCTAAAACCAAAGAAGACCAAAACATTGAATCAAAGTCTGAAAGATAGATGTATTGTGTTATTTAAATATTGGCACAGACGCACTCTTGAGTGTGAAGCATTAAATTTTAAGTTGTTTATCTCTGAAACAGATTTAATTTAATATCATGCAAGGCAAATACACCTTTACTTATTCTGGTAAAGTAGTGCTGAATCAATTATAGCTACTGCCTATTAAAAAAGAATAAAAAGAAAAGAAAAAATGTAGCAATAATAATTTCTGTGTGTCCAAAGAACAAAGAAGATTTTACATGTTCATGAAATCATTTTTTTTTAATTTTGTGATTAATAACCTAAAAATATGCAGTTCTCTTGGGTCTTTGCTGTAACAGACCAATATCTACATGCTTTAGAATAGGTAATGAAGGCTGACATAGCAACTAAGGTCAAATAATCCTGATCTGTTTTGTACAATCTGTCTCACTAGCAGTGTTGTACTCAGTAAATATGCTTTTTTTTTAATGGTAGAATTGTTTTTCTCCGTAGCCAATCCATAGTCACAGCTTCAATGCCTGACATAAAATAAAGACTCAATAGATATCTTGGGATTGAATTGAATGTATAATTTTCTGTTCTATATGAGGCCCATATTAAACATACACAAGGCCTCCTGCTTAATTTCTGGATGCTTTGTGAAGTGTACATACCCATATAATCCGTATACTATGTCAATATGGGAAATTTACACAAATAATTTGACTATTTTGACTCTAAATCAATTGAATCCCTTAAAACAGTAAAACTGGCTCATTTAACAAAATCTTACAGATTAATGTCACTATTTCCCTTAATAACTTGCGTAGATATGGCATCTTACTGTGACTATAAGGCTTTTCCTTGAAAGTTGGTTTATAGATAAAAATCACAAAGTGTGTGGAAGAATACCTCCTCTCTCTTCCTTGTTTAAAACCCACACAGCTCTATCTGATTGCCACGTTTTATGAGCATCCAGCAGTTGGAGAAACAAGTCTTGTCTTTTAAATAAATCTCTTATCTCGGTCTGCGTTCAAGATTCAGGTCTGCTGCAAAGGCTTACATCTAATGCACAGTGTCACAAACACTAAAATTGGAGTCATTTAAAAATTTGCCCACGCCCTCTGGGAGATAAGAGATTGGCAGTGTTAAATTTGTAGATAACCATTAAGGTAGTGATCCCAAAACACTATGTTTCTAAGTAACATCTATTAAAGTAGGGTGGCATTTGCTATACTTGAGCTAGTCCACCTAATCAAATGTCCTGCCCCTTATAGCAATCAGCAAAAGGTATTTCAGAGGAAGGGATCTAACTTTTTTCTTTTTTGCTTCTTAAAAAATAGTATAGCATAGCATAGCATAGGAAAAAGCACTGCATGGAAAAGACTCTCAATCCTAATTCCCAGGGGCAATAAGCTCATATTCAGAAGCCTTAAATAACCTTTCTCTCATATCTCCACTGACCAGGCTCTAAGTGGCTAGTGGTGATCATAAAATTATCCAGTACTTTTGAAAACCCAGACACAATTGCCTCAATAAATCTCACTCAGGTCATACAACTTGCACTCCAAGAGCAATTCTTGCTCTCCAAGAACATTTCTTTCTCTTTTTTAATCCAGTTTTGCTTTCTAAAAGATATTCTGGGCTACAAGATGTGGCTTCTCAATCTAATGGGGTGCCAATTTATTCTTCAGCTTGACTCATGCCTTCTTCACATATGAAGCAAAACAGTGGCAACCTTTTCTTAAAGGACAGTGGTTGATCCCATGTACTTTGGTCAGATGCCGTAATCTGAAAACTCCCTTATCTCAGACTAAGCTGCAGATGCTCTTTGGCTCTGGCCTTGGAACGTCACTAAAGAGTTCTAGGGTACTGCAGATGAAGACATCTGAAATTGAAGGTCAACATATGGGTGATAGGATTGACTGTTTGCCAATTTAAAATATTGAAGGGGCATTTCTACAAAAATGCTTTCCTTTTATAATCTGATAATATATCCACTGAATTCTTTATATAAATAAAGAACTTCATGGCAGTTTTACCCATTCTAGCACAATATTACATACAAGATATTAAGTAAGTTTTTCTTTTCAGTTGAGTTACATTGTGAGGGTTTTTTTAACCATTCTAAAGGAGACCCAAACAATAAGGAACCAATCAAGCTTTTGAATGGTAAATTTAAGTAAGGTTTAGCACATTTTGTTTTTCAAAACCCAGGATAATCTCCTAAAATTATTTCATTAAACTTTATCATTTATGGATTTTCAAAAGTATTGGTAAAACTAACAGAAAAAGGACCTGTGCTGTTGTTGCTTACATGAAATTGGAATATTTGTGTATTTATTCAATTCTTCATTAGCTATAGAATTACACGAGATGTTTCAACAGAAAGAACTTAGTGGCACTGAACAGGATTCAGATCCCTCCTGTTCCACTGCATAGAATACTTTCTAGTATTTATTAAAATGACAATACCTTGCATCAGGATTATGGAATTCAATTAGAAAATGTATGAAAAGTCCCCAGTAATATGCCTCACACATAGTGGATCACAGTAAGTATTTACTGATCTGCACATAACCAAATATGAATATGGGAGAAATATTAAACAAAGATTCCTCATCCAACCCAGATGATGAGACCGAGGGCTTAGAGAGCTTACCTAGTTTTATAAACCAAAAGATTTGCACCATGTTGGTTTTTCCAAAAGAATATTCACCACAGATTGAGAGATCGGTGAGCATAAACTCATTCATTCATCCTAAAAAAATGTCTTTAGGTTTACATCACTCTGAGGAAACATTAAAATTTAATATTTCTTTCTGAAGTCTTATTTCTACTGAGTTAGTGAACTTGTCATCTGTGTATAAAGAAGACTCGCTTTCAAGGAGAATGAAAAATTGTTCTCTTCTATAATCAGGGACTCACCGCTTTACCTTCCCTGGTAACATCAGCCATTATGACTCTGTCTCCCTAGCAACCATGTCTCTATATCAGACAGCTTTACTTGAAACAATCTTCACTGAAGAAAAGGTCGTCGAAAAAGAATTCACATAAAAATAAAAATAAAACACGAAATAACCATGAGAATAGGTATAATCAATGCTTCCTTGGGATGCAATTTTCTTTGCATAATTTTAACAAAAAATTAAAATTAAAAGAGCAGAGGTTTGTCAGAAAGCTGAATACATATGTATTTCATCAGGTAAAAACTTTGTTTCAAATGTTATGCTAAAAGAATATGATTGATAAGATATAATAGAGCTGTAACAGAAGAAGAGGAAATTTTGTTCACACTAGAAAGTTCTAAAAAGCAACACGGCAAATATTTCCTGAGAGTTTTGTGTTACTAAACACAATTTTGACACAACAGTCTGTACTTTGAGTCTTTCTGCCCCGCAGTCTCTGGGTGAGCTAATTTCTATATTGAGTTGGTTCTCAGCGCCAAAGGTCTGAGGGAACACAGGAAAGTTTAAGCAAACAGTTCACTTTATTTGAAACGGATTTAACACTGTCATCAGGAACACTGCGTCCCTCATGGCCTCATTTTATGGCCCATGCACCTGATGGGCTAGTTCCTGCCAAACTCATTCCTCGGTACCTGCCAAGGCTTCCCCCACAGGCGCTCTATGCAACCTCCATCCCACTCCTCACTTCAAATCCAGGATTTTCTCAGCCCAAGTCAGTGATCATAAATAGTCAAACATCATTTTCTGATTGCCGGTGGAGTAACTTATGTTCATATCTGAATGAAGAAGATACAAAATAAGTATCATACAAAAACTCATTGATATTCTAAACCAGGAAATGTCTCATATAGAAACTAAGCAAACAATATTAGCTAAAACAATTATATATCAAGCCTTAAAATCTTGGCCTACACATTGGGATATGGTATCTTAGGGAAAAGATTTAAAGATAAAAGCTTTAATAATAATAATGTGTTTACAAATGTTTAGCATCTTCAACTTTTTAAAGTATTTTACTGTATCTCATGTTGTTATCTTAAAAAGCTTTATGCAACACAAAAAGGTAAACTTTTATTACCCTCATCTCATAAACAATGAAACAAATACAGTAATCTGTTCAACATCAAGTAGTACATTTGTGACAGAAACAAAACTATACGCAAGGTCTCCTAACTGTAAGCTGGACACTGAGGGAAATTCTGGGCCTTTTCGAATTAGAGTCAACTCGAGCAGAAAGACCTTTAAATTGTGCTTCAGTCTTTCTGGGTCCCAGGCCACTCCCATCTTAATTTATGTTATCTCTCTCCTTTCAGGCCAATCCTGTTGTACTTGCCCCCAACTCAGAGAGAAACAAGAGACTATGCTAATTTTAAAATCTGGCTTTGCAGCCCTACTTGCAAGGAACAGAGAATGACAGAACCATCAGATGTATGCCACTAATCAAGATATTTATTGAGGGGCCCAACAATTTAGTCAAAATTTAGTCATTCAATAACTTCCTAAGCCCTCACGCACTGTTCTAGGCATTCGGGAAACAAAAACTGAGAACAGACAACATCCTCCACCCTCATGGGGCTGACATTCCGGGAGGAGAAGATGGATAATAAATTATAAATATAATATGTAGGTAAATTATATAGAATATTAGATGATGATAAATGCCAAGGGGATAGAAATAGGGCCAGGTAGGGAGCTTGCTAGAGGGTGGAGATGGGGGTGGGGGTGCAATTGTTAAGTTGGGTGGGCAGGGTATGGAACAGTGTGGAACAATAGGCAGTACAGTCACTCTTCTATCCAGCAAAATCTAATGAGGGAAAGGGAACCAGAGAGAGAAGGATTGACAATAGACAGATTACTAACAGACACCTGCCATAATGAACATATCTAATACTAACAAGATACACTGTGTCTACACACTGAAAAGTCTAGGGAGACCTAACATATACAAGCTAGTTTACATCGCCCACAATTTCTGGGGTTATGTCCTTCCCGGGCTGACCTATCAGATCGTAAAGTATGTTTGTTTCCCTGCTCAGGCCTAACAGCTTCCCGTGTTTCATCATCCTCCTTATCATAGCTTGCTCCCTCCTGAAGATCCAATTCTTGGTGCAAGAAACTCCTTCCTCAAGGTATGTCCTTGCAGTTAGCACCTACCAAGCTCTGGAACCAGGTTTCGGTTGATTCCAGATCAACTGCTGTCTCTCCTCACCATTACTGCTGGACTTGTCAGCCAGGCGCTCCTGGGTTGATGGGCTTTAATTCTGCTTGCTCGCCATCCGAGGCTATTTTACCCCAAATCACAGTGCTTTCCAGAGGGAGCCGGACACTAGAGCAGCTTAGTGCAATTTTCTCTCTCCCTACAACACCGCCAGTATATAACCAAGCTCTTGTCTTTTTAGGATATGGCTTCCTTCCTCCTCTAGTCTTTTTTCCCTCCTCCCACCAATCTGCAGATTCTGTTTCCCATAATAATTTACAAATCTCTGTTTTCTCTTCCAAATTTATCCAAGTTGATCAGCACTGCTAAATGCTTCTACTAATGCTGTTTGAAACATGATAGCTCTTGGATACAAATTGCTTCCTAGTAGGAATTACTTCTCCACAATCAAGAACGTTCTCAACAGCCAAGCTAAAGCAGAAAGTCAGGTTCCAAGGTCGCAGATCCTTCAGCTCAAAATTCAGCTTCTGGAAAGTTAAAATGGACACAACCATTAGCACAGCACCTAAATCTGGTTTAAACCTCTACTGTCCTTCGATTGCTCAGTCACCATCCAGAACGCAGAGACTGAAAAGGTAAGTCGAGCATAACTACCACAGAAGAAAAGAGAAATTTAACCAGGAGGCAAACATCCCACGAATGGAAAATAACACAATAAACTATGATATATCTCGAATTCTTGAAAGGCTTGGTTTTGAATATATGAACAGCAACCATATATATTCAGACAAGGGCTCTTTTTTTTCAAAAGGAACCAGAAAAAGAAAGCACAAATATTCACAAAACTTATTTTAAACATGTTTTTTAAAAACATCAAAAGTAACAAGTGAAATTTTAAACATGACAGAATTCATATTCCAATGATAATATCAATAATAAAATTAAACTGATATTAAGAAGGAAAAAATCATATAAAGCAAACTACACCATGAAAAAGTTCTGCCCCATTGGTCATCATGCTTGGGTCTAGCTCTGGTCCTGCCACTAACTAGCTGTGTGATGGGAAACCTTTGGGCAAGTCATGGAATGTCTCTTAGTCATAGCTCCGACCAATATAAAATTAGTTTTTTGAAATAGATCTTCAAGTTCCTTCCAATTCTGAAGTTGTATAAATCTTCAGATGGTTTCCATCAGAATATAGAACCACAGATTATAAGTTGTTTAATCATTTTATTCCTGTCCCATTGGTTCTAAAACTCTAACAATTTCTATTATGTCAATTTGAAGCAGATCATCATATAAATTGAAACACTGGTCCTACAAACTAAAGTATAGAAAATGAATTAATGTCACTCAAAACAATGTATCTGACATTCAAACTCTTTAATCAAACACATTAAGTAAAAGCCAGTCTTTCTGGAAAAACCAAAATGATAATTCTTTTCACTATAAAATTCAACTTTGGCATCCCACAAATTCTCTATACAATTTATCTTATAAACAATAATAGGCTTCTGTCTTGTCTGAAAAGAAAATGAAATATGAATTCTTTCTTCTCATTACTTTTTCCCCCATGTTCTAAGAAAAATTTTAATGAAAACAAATTTATTTTCTTGCTTAGGGCCAGAAACAAAGCAAAACTACCTAATTCTAATTTCTACAGCTGAGATGAGAGAGTTTAAGCAGAAAAAAATTTAATCATCCAAATGTATTGAGTATTGTCAGGATCAGAGCAGAGCTCTTTGAATAAGGTGACCATACTGAATTAGAAGAATGGCAGCAAAATATCAACTGGATTTTTTTCAAGACCATAGCGAACGTCTTTTTCTACGTGCACCAGTTCTCGAAGTGTTGCATATCAGAGATCTATCAAAAATTAACTATTGGTAAATTAGAAAGCATTCTTCTAGTCCTTACACTTTGTTTTACTTGCTGGATGTCCTTAGAAACCATCCGAACTCAGCTCACTCTTATTTTTACAGCCAAATCATAGCAAATCTGGGATAATTCTAACTTGGATAGTCAGCAAGGGATTATTTGATATTGATTACTTCTAGCTACTTCCAAACAATAAAAATAGCCAACTCAAGAATCTCTTATGGAATATTTTCATTGCTTATTTCATCCTTTATTTACAAATATTTATTGTTTGCCCTCCAAGGAGGCACTATTTTAGACATTTGGGTCAAAGATCCTTGCCCTTGTGCCTTTGAGAAATCTTAAATTCTAATTCAGAAAGACAGACAATAGACAATACACATTATGAATGAGTAAATCATATAGTGTGTTACGAGATGATAAGTGCTATGGGGAAAAGAAAAAGTCAAGTAGGGTAAGATAGAGAAGGTAGACCAGGATGGTGTGGGCCAAGGTGATATGGGGATTGCTGGAAAGATGGTGCTGTCATCAACTGGTATTGAAAAGGCGGAGAAAATAGCAGGTTGCTGCCAGAGGGGAGGGGGGTGGTAGGGCATGTGGCCTGGGGTTTGGATATCAGCAGTTCAGCTTTGGATATGCTGAGATTGAGATGTCTATTAGAAAGGAGCATCTGATTATACATTTCATGTTATATCACATTAACACAGAGCAGTAGAGTAATTTTTGTCACACTCACTCAGAGGTTAGGGAATAGTTGGAAATCCCTAAAGGAAAACAAAGAAACAGATGTTCAAATGAGCCATTAGCCTTCTAATGAAAAAGATCTGCAAATATCTTAGGTTTTGATACGAATGAAGTTAAAATATTTTTGTCTAGTATGGACACATCCACATAAAAATAGTTGTACTAGCTTTTCTTTTCAGAAATGCAGTAAATTTTGAAGGAAACAGACACTTGAGCCCTAAAGGAGAAAGGCACAAACTATAAACCACAGGGAGAGCTTTTACAAAGCGAAGACATGAACTTCCCTGGGAATATGGAAATCTAACACAAGCTAATTTTCCCTCCCTGGTTGCACAGATTCTTATTGTCCAGAGACTCAGATTCTAAAAGAAAGAATGCTACAACCGAGAAAATGTCAGCAATGACCATGACCTCTTGCTGAAGAACTAATTGAATCAAACTCAGGAAAAGAAAGTTGCTGATTAAAGTACTACCTAAAAATCTCTGATTTTGTGAAACCAGATAATATCTACAAAAATAGCTGTGTAAGCTTTAAAAAAATAAGTATTTTAAATTTACATAATTAAATGGATAATATATTGGCATTTTTTCAAAGAAGATCTCCCAGTAAACTGAGTTGAAGACTTTTAAGAAGTGAATGAGTAAGGGGTTGCTGCTCCCATTGAATACACTAGAACTTTGTATACCTAGAATATCTCTCCCTCTATATCACTTTCAGAATGTCCCAACTCAGATTCTCCTCATCTCTATCTTCATCTGTGCCCCAAACCAAGTACCTGAAGGTCACACTACACAAAAAAATCCTCTCATATCATCCCTGGATTTCACACTTTTAAATTACCAGATTCATATTAAACAGCTTTTAAAATCATAATGGGTTGGAAAAAATGTATATACACATAAACATTCACGCAAATACCTGTACTATATGTATACATATACACAATACATATACAAATACCAGTATATATGCATATATACATATATATGCACAAACTATGTATATTTATATACACTATATATATACACACACACACATAGACACAGTATACACACACACACACACACACACACTTAGGTGTGTGTTTAGTATCTACTCAGTTCCTTAGCATCCTTATCTAGATGCATCAGTAGAGACTTGGCATATGTTGCTAATCTATTGATTGCTACAAAGAGCCTCTGAAGTTCAATCTAACTATTGAGATGGCATTTGGGATAATTCATCCCCCATTTCACTATTCACCACAGGAAAATGACCAAAATGTTGGAAGTGAAAAAAGAGATTAATTTTAAAGCACTTTTAAGAGTTACTTCTAAGTCTGTTCTTCAATAACCATAAATGGATTTTTAAAGATAACAAAAATGTAATTAGAAAAGAAAATTCTATTTGCTTCATAGCTACAGCCGGACTGAATCAGATTACTCGGATTTGGTCAAGATTTCTGCTTAATTAACATTTTATGATTCATTTAAAACGTCATATAAATTCTAGAGCATTGCTGAGCCAAGCCAGATTTGATGTGTTGGCATTTTATTACATCTGACAAACCATAATTTCATTAGTTTTAATTTCTGTAGTGTTTAACTAATGTAAAAAATTATGTTAACTATGAGTTATCAAAAGAGTTATCATTACTTTGCTTTCAGCCTGTTTATTGGAGAGTAATCCCATTCTCTAGCTTTTAAGGAAAAGATACAACTGTCTCAGTTAATTACTGTTTCATTGCTAGTACCCCAGAGCAAGCACAGTTAAGTGTTCAGTGTTCCAAAGTAACTGGCAAAGACTTAGAAGAACCAGGACATACAAATTTGCACTAATAAGTTAATTGGCAAAATGGAAATAAATACAAGAAGTTAGTGATTGCCCCACACTGAAATGAAAGGAACAGCTGACAGTAAGCACAATCCAAGCATACAAGTTCAACCAAACTTGTGCAAGTGACAAGACACTTTCATTGGGATTTCAAATGAAATAGTGTGCTCAGATAGCCTCTGTTTAATAAATCTGCACACATCCCTGAAAACGAAGTATCTGTATCAACAAAGTGCCGCAATAAATAGCAACTCTTTATATGTCTTCACTTTTTCTAAAATATACACTAGTGAAATAGAGGAATCTCTCTGTGAATATGGAAGAATGCTTCAAAAAACATGATTTTCCTACACAAATTTGAAAAACTGTCACTGTGACATTGAAAAAAACCCTAATCTACAGCACAATACCTGAGTGATGATACATTATGGAGAGATGTTTCTGCCTATTTGATAACCAAACATTCATATGCCAATAAAATGATAAAACCCCACAGATCACTGGCACTACTCTAAACGTTGCCACAAGTTTTATTATTGTTAATTATTACTATGTCTTTAGCTTGGTTGCCTAAAGTCATTAAATAGGGCATAGGGCATATACTCTTCAGAACACAGCTATTTTGGGGTTTTTGTTCTCTTGCAAAGTTCACCCACAGCAAATCATTTTTAAAAGAAGTTGCTGCTTGAAAATCCGGAGGTGGAGTTCAGTAATAAACTGAAACAGATGCTTTGCAGCAAGGGAAGGACAGTGCAGTGAGGCCATCAGTGTTTGCAGGGCAAACACCACATCCGAATGGTAGGTGCAGCCTACATATTTGACGGTAGCTCTATCATACATGAAAAATTCCCACGAAGCAAACGGTAACAGAGAATTCATTCAGAAGGCCAATATCTTAACTTTACCTTTTTCTTATTTAAATGTACATCAATGGTATACTTACCCCTAACTTCCATTTTATCCCTTACCCCTTTACTCCTCTTGAATCCTGGTGAAGTGCTATTGCTGGCCAGGATGGTGATAGGCTGTAAGGTCTTGAGGACCCAGTCCCTCATTTTACCTTTCCAGACCCATCTTCGTTCCTCACTCACCCTGCCTCCCACATTTCCTATGTCCCCATCACTGCAAGCTGCTCCCCATTTTCAGACCCCCATATGCCTTTAGGACTTTTTTTCAAGAACATCTGTGCCTGGCCTATGCCTTCTCATCCTAGACCCAGCTCAGTTGTCATCTCCCGTCTGAAGTCCTCCCCCATTTCTCCTCATAAAGAGTGGTTTAGAGCAAGAGAGGTATGCTTGAAAAGCCAGTTCTGTCACTTACTAGGGGTATAACCCTTGTTCGACAGATGAACTCTGTTTTCTCAATTATCAAATGAGGATACTAACATGTGTCTTTCACTGTTAGCTGACTCTCAGAGCTCTCATTAAAATTTGATCTTTAGCACAGTGCCTGGCACAAAATAAATATTCATAAACTGCTGCTATAATTATTATCTCTCCTGTTCTCCCAGAACACTTTGTTCTGCAATAGTGTTTATCAGATTGTGAAAGAACTGTTCCTTTGTCAGTCTCCTCAATGAGATAAACTCTGCTCAGCTTTGTGTCTCCAATGGCCATTATATGATCATACATGTGTGCTTAATTAATGTATGAACAGTAAAGCCATCACCCCTTGGTCATAGTTAAAGTCCTTTACATTCATGTTTTAAAATATTCTTAATTTAAGCTTTCAAATATGGCTGTTTCTTATCCACAACTATATGGACGAAATGAAAATAGAAGAGTATAGTTTCATGGGATAGTGCTTCAGAAATCAGTAGCACCAGGCACTTCTGGAAGTAGAGAGGAAGGCAGGTCTGAAAATAGGAAGGTACAAGACAAGGTCTGTCTTGGGGAAACTGGGTCCCCCTGAATGTTGCGGCCCTTAGGCAAAGCATGTGGTAGTTTTCACAATAGGTAAGGTCACAGTCAGACATTACAGCAGAAGAAAACAAACCAGCACAGAAATGAATCAGCTGATACAGCAAACAGCATAATTCACAACCTAAGAGTTACAGGAAAAATCAACCTATGAGTGTTTTCAATGCTGAGTTAAATCAATGAAATTATATAATTTGTAAAGCAAAAATAAGACAAGCAGATTTTAAAAAGCAACTAAACAGAAATACTAGAAATAAAAACTATAATCAGTAAAATAAAAAATCTTAGTGGACAAATTAAAGAATGGTTTGGGCACAGGTAAAAAAAGAATTAAGGAACTGTAGAACAGATATAAGAAAGAAAATGACCAGAAATATATCTGGAATCTCTAAGCATAAAGATCATTGCACAACTTCAATACTCAGAAAGGCAGTAGGATACACAGACATGCTGAAAGTAAATTAAATATGTAATAAATTATCTAGTCAGATTGATTCTTTTCTAACACCATGTAATATTACATATTCAACAACCACCAGGTTATTTATTGTATCTGGAACAGAACTATATAAATTGATCCTAACATCTAATATTTCCATGAAAGAGTTATTTATATTTTGCCTAATATTAAAAATAATAAACCTTCATAATGATATATGATGATTACAAAATCATTTCAGAACTTCAGGAGGATATATGGTTAAGTCAGGCCGCCTCAAAATCACACAGTGAACATAACTTAGAAACTTTAGGCAACCATATAAGTAATCTTACACTTTGTGATTTCTAGCGTAAATTGTGAAGAAATCATAATTAAATTTGACCTTTCATGCTGGAAAAACTTTAAAGCACACATGATAAAAGAAAGATTTTCATTCATTTCCTTAGACATACAACTAAGAAAATTTGGGGGCCAGGCGCAGTGGCTCACACCTGTAATCCCAGAACTTTAGGAGGCTGAGGCTGGTGGATCATGAGGTCAGGAGATCGAGACCATCTTGGCTAACACGGTGAAACCCCGTCTCTACTAAAAATACAAAAAAATAGCTGGGTGTGGTTGTGGGCGCTTGTAGTTCCAGCTACTCAGGAGGCTGAGGCAGGAGAATGGCATGAATCCGGGAGGCGGAGGTGGCAGTGAGCCGAGACTGTGCCACTGCACTCCAGCCTGGGCGACAGAGTGAGACTGCATCTCAAAAAAAAAAAAAAAAAAAAATTGGAATCAGAGAGAAGGAAAGGGACCTGTTGTAGTCATTTGGACTTTAGATAGGGGCCGAGGTTCCCAAGTGATTTCCTGGTTGCAGAACAGGGCTACATACACACCTGTGGGATGGTGGTATCAGTTACAGAACTAAAGCATCCTCATGCAGCTTCAGGAAGAACATAAACTTCAAGAGCAACTTGTTGGAAACACACGATGACCCAAAATGACAAAATGACAGAGATGGGAACAGAAAGATCCCAATTCAAAGGTAAAAATAAAGGAGGGGCTGACTCCAGCCCTTTTTCCACCAATATCAGAAATGCTTTTCATATCAACATGAAGTTAGAGAGGATGTAGACATTTTACATTATCTAACATCAGTTTTAAAAGAAAACACTGGGAAATGTTCTCCAAGACTAAGTGTGATGCAATAATAACAAGTATAACAACTTCTTGCATTTAGGTAACATGATTAGAATTGGAATTCCATTTTGTCATCTCACTTCCCGGTGGATAGGAGGGGCATGCTGCTTGCCACCATCTTACAGGGAAAGAAGCTGAGAAACCTAGTGGTTAAGAGACTCGTCTTGTGTTGCCCAATGAATGAACCAAGCAGCACCTTTTCATTTAACCATTAATGTGGTTGTTTGGAAATAGCTCTTGCTCCTAGGAAAGATTGGAGGCAGAGCAGGAAAACTCACTTTTGTAAGACGAGTTCTCAGCTGGAGTTGGGACAGTCTCATTCTCTCTGTGTCCGGAACCGAACTCATCAACTTCCTGCCAGAGTTCACAATCTATCTAGCTGCTCAACTTCGACCTCTCCTTCTCTCTCACTTCTAATCTAGCACCAACTCCTGGCAAGTCTACTCTCTAAATGTCTCCCAATACTTCTCCCCACCCCACTGCCATCGTCATCGCTAGAGACCCATGATCTCTTGCCTGGATTACAGGCATCCCAGCCTTCAGACTCGCCCTCTCCAATCTACTTTGTAGTCTGTTGTGACAGTAATTCTTCTAAAGCGACATCAGATAAAGACTGTACTTACTTTTCTATGTCTCCCTCAATGAAAGTTTGACCTCAGCATAATGCCCACTTTGTGAAATGGCTTATAAAGGAGCCCTAGTTTATCTATCTGTTTTCCTCTTCCATCCCTTGCTCCCTTACTCACTATGTCCCAGTCACACCACAGTTTGTCTGTTCCACCTGCCCTTTCATCCTTCAGAACTATGTCCATGCTGTTGCTGCTGCCACTAACACCCTTCCTTTCCCCAGCCCTTATACTAGTCAATTCCTATTCACACATCAAAGCTCATCTTAGCTGTCATTTTCTCCAGAAACCCTTGTAATACTGTATTTGCTCTAACTTGCCTGTATTCCCAAACTGACTGTATATATTATAAAGGGAGGGTATGTGTCTGACTCATGTACCACTGAATCCCCAGTGGCTTGCAGTGCCCAGTAAATATTTCTCTTTATTTAGTTTTTAAACTTGTATTGGAATATAGAATAGCTACAAAACATGCCCAAATCATAAGAAAATAAGTCAATCCATTCTTACAAATTGAATACACTCTGTATCTAGGACCCATATTAGGAAACAGAACATTGCTTATACCCCAGAAATCCCCTCATGTGTCCCTTCCAGGCAATACACCACCATGGATAATCACAATCCTGATTTATAACAGCATACATTAATTGTATTTCCTTTTACTTTACAAAAATCATATAGTACAATTTGCTTTTGTGTCTGAATTATTTTGTTCAACATTAGGTCAGCAAGATTCATTCATATTGTTGCATGTGGTCATGCATTTTCCTTGCAGAAGTGCCCAATAATTATTTATTAAGTGAAGATAATGAATGAAACAACAATCACTAAAATCCAAAAGAGGAGAAAAGTCTCCACTTGTCACAAAATGAAGGAAATGGGTCAACTCCAATCTTCAACCTGAATCCCCCAAAGTAACAAGAGATATAAGAAATGGTATGGTAATATGTGTCCCAGGACCCTTTCCAATGTTATAATAGTAAACTGAAACATCAGCAGCAATAGGATCACTCATTTTCTCTTGTTTTATCTTTAAGGTGTGTCACTTCTATAATCAGAATCACAGAGCCAGGTGCAAAGGGCATCATTTGAATTATAGGATGGTGACTAGAACACACCTTCCTGGATGTTACAAGCAAGGAATACGGACGTTAAATTCTGACTTACTTCCTGTTTTTGTGCTTTACACTATCCCTTTTAATATGCCAAATGGTCTATGAATCCCATCTGTCAGGAATTAAAGATGTACAATGCAAGTAAAGGAAGTAGCAAATTAGAAAGTGATAGAACAGGGGCAGAATACAGGGACAGAGGGAGGATGCATTGAGAACATCAGGCAGGGATCCTTGAAGGATTGTCTTGGTCTTCAACTCTGGCTTCAAATGAAAATCACTTAGAGGAAATGCTGATGGCTGTGCTCCATCCCAGACCAATTGTTTCAGGATCACTAGGCATCAGTATTTTTTCAAGCCTCCCCAGGTGGTTTGTACATGCAACCAGCTTTGAGAACTGCTAGTTTAAAGCAAAGACCAGAGGGAGACAATAAACAGACACACCTGTAGTTGTTCCCAAACTTTATTATAGGGAAAAGTCACCTGGAGAACTTGTTTAAATTGTGGATTCTCCCAAAACCACCCCACCCTAGCCCCAGAAGATCAGATTCAGTTGATCTGGATGAGCCTAGGGCTCTACATTTGCCACAATCTCCGCAGTGATCCTGAGGGAGGAGAAACCCCAGGGAAAATATGGCTAATGAGGATGAAAAAACAGACAAGAGGTGGAACTTCAATGAAGAGGAAAACTCTTCCTAGCCTTGGTCGAGAGCGAGCACACTAAAACTCTGCCCTGAAAGAGGTAACAGACTTTATTTTTTTCTTAAAATGAAGCTTTGTATAGATAACAAAAAATATGAGTACTTATTAAAATTTCATTTGCCCTTAAATTTAAATCTCTCTGAAATAATGTGAATATACTGAATGGGCACCAATTTGCCTCTTCACCTTCCTTTCCTTTGCACAATAGTAAACCCACCATGCCAGTCCGAAAGGGACCCAGTATTGAATAGTTTCTAAAATGCATAACTTATAAAATGGCAAGCTCTATAACCATGAGTGTGCTTTAATAAAATGATTCCATGATAATAAGCATCCTTTAAAATTAACAGATAGCTTTTAGGAAAGCCAGTGCAAAGACTTTATTTTTATAACCAAATGTGGAGGATACATTAAATGGCCTCTGAAGTTCCTTCAATTGTAAGAGATGAAGAATTCAATTTGAGAATTCCAGGGGTTTTTTCCCCTTGACACCTGCTAGATCATTCACTCATCTGCTTCCACATTCCAAGAGACTGCAATGTAAAAATTAATACAAAGAGCAGCTACTACACAAGACATTATTCAACAAAATTTAAGTGAAGGGTACATCCTTGAGCATGGGAAGAGAGTCCCAGCCAGCTAAATAAGGACCAGTAGGCAAGTCACATTGCCGACCCCTGAGTGGACCTCAGCACATGGCTCGGCTGTTCTGGATCCCAGTTTCACATTTTCCTAGCCTATAAAATGAAGTGACTAATACCAGCTACCATACACTGAGCTCCTGTGTACTAGGATTTTTGTGTATACCTTTTTGCAATAATTCTGTGAGTTATTATTATCCCCATATTATAGATGGAGAAATTGAGGCTCTAAAATAGTTAGGTAACTAACCCAAGGTCTAGTTCTTGAGTGGCAGAACAAGAAGCCAGTTTCACTATTCTTAAAGCCCTAAAGTTCCGGGCCCATATCTGGCTCATCATGGTAGCCCCTAGGTCTTGCCCACGCAGCACAGTGCCTGGCACACTCAAGACATGTCTTCAGTCCATGAATCAACTCAGCTCCGAAATCATTTTCTTTATCCTTCCAGTTATTCTATTATATATGCCTCAAGAAATGGATACTGGCATGAATATCTCAAAATAAATTTCCTAGACCCACGATTAGAAACATTTGAAAAGCTCAGTATTTGGTTTCAGGAGAGTTAGAGGGGGAGGATTGCAAAGGTTTTGGGTGGCAGTTTGCTGCAGTAACCAGAGAATAGGATGGAAAGAGCCTAGATGGACTCCCTTCCTTCTTAGTTTTGTGACTTTAAGGCCAGTTAGCTAATCTTCATTTCCTCATCTGTGAGAGGCAATGTGAATACAGTGATCCTTGTGGCTCATTCAAACTCTAAACTTTTATTGTATGCGGTCCTTTTTATTTTAATACAACGCTATCCACCACCCGTATTTCACATGTCCCTGAACATTCACTCACCTAGGAGAAAATCTGTCTGATGTGCACAGGAGTGTCTGTAAACAAAGTTGACTATTCAGTCATTTTGCATATTATATTTATCTGAGGATCTGCAGTTATTTTCTACTGTATTTTTAGTCTGTAGGTAGTCTCTTTTTCAGATGACAGGGAGGGATAAATCAAATATTATATTTAGAGTGAGCAAAATACTCCCATTTCACTCAACACTCCTTCAGTGTTCTTTTTACCAAAATCAACCCACAGTGCATTTGGAAAACTATAGAAAACTGTGCAAATAGAAGTTTTGTTACACAGCTAGCACGTTCAGGAAATGGGAAGGGCCAGTGAGTCAAAAATTACTACAGATTTAGAATGTTACACTTAATAATTATGGTCATGGGGTAGCTACAGCATAGTTCTTAGAACAGTCAGATAAGTAGACATGGAGATCTGGAGCTGCCTACAGACCACCTGGGAGAGAGGGAATAGTAAACCAAGCTTAGGTTAGAGGTAGCTTTTTTTGCAATTGGACTTGAGAAGGTAGCAATTAGTTCTCTATCATCCGCTGGATGTTCTCTTTTTTTCATTCCACTTCTCCTTTCACTCTTTCAGTTTATCTGCATCACACACCTACTATATGCACAAAGTAATAAAGACCAAAGAAACCATAGAAAAAGGGTCAGCTTTTTTGGAGGGGATGTGGGGAAGACACATACACGCAATCAAGTAGCATAAAATAATACCAGCACTAAAAACTCAGACTTTGGAAACAAACATATCCGGGTTTTAATCCCAGCTCTACTAGCCATGCAAACTTGGGCAAGTTATTTATACTGAGTAGAGCTTCCTCATCTGCAATAAATAAATAACTGGTGATGACAATATCTGTTTCATAAACCTGCTGTAATGACTTAAATAGATAATATGTGTAAGGGAGGTTATGGTGCCAATTATATATTTGATCCTTCCAAAAGTGGTAGCTGTACAACGTGAGCAGAGATGAGAGGGTAATCCATTTTAACCAGGGCTGCAGTTTAGGCTTCCTAGATTCTTAACAGGCTCCACTGCCTTTGACTCCAAAGACCATTCTTCTTAAAACTCACTTGATTTTGCTGCAACTACAGTAGACTGATTCAGTGTTTCTCTCTCAAACTTTTCACAAATCCCTTTGATTCTTTGACTCCTATCTCTCTTGTCTCTTTACAACTCTTCCCAAGTTCTAGTCCTCGATCCTTGCATCTCCTGTCTTAACCATATTGCCTCCCGTGGGTCACCTGCCACACCTGTGTTTCCGATGCTTTCATCTCTACCTTCAGAGCTGACTGGAGCTCCAAACTGGAAAGGTGAAGCATGCAAAAATCCAGACACAGCAAAAGCCATAACATGCTCCAGAGAGCAATGTGCTGGGGGTGGGGGGTCCAAGAATGTTTGAGATCATCCCAAGTACAGGTCCTCTTTGCTAAGGTTGGCCTCTCCTGTCAACTTCCCTGCATGGAAGGAAACACTGCCATGAATATTTTCCTGAAGCATTGCTTTTATTTGTTTTCTTTCCCTCTTCTGGGTCTCCCTGTTACCTACTATCTCAAACATGGCCTTCACTGCAGGGTCCCTTCTGTGTACTCAGCCATATATTAACCACCTCTCCCCAAAGCTACTCTCATCAAGCCATCTCCTTGCTGACAAATTTGGTAGCTTGTTTTTTCCAAAGCAATAATACGTGTAAAAGTGTCTAGTACTTTGCCAGGCACAAAAACAGTGGTGAATAACAGCCCCGTATCAATCCCAGGTTGATTTGGGGAGACCATAGGAACAGTTTTGTCAGTTGTATGATCACACAGGTATGGTGGGTGGGTGTCTGTTTTTGCCATTTCCAAGTGGTGACTCCACATTTTCCCTGCTTCCTTCCCACAGAAGCTCCCAGAGAGGGAGCCCTCTTTTCTTTCCCCTTAAAAAAGAAGACTTCTGACTTGTCTCCTCATAATCCCAAGAATCTCTAGACACAAGATAGAACCCTAAGAGGGGGAAAACAACTATCACTCAATTGTAGGTCAGGATATTTATAGAGTGTAATATACAACCTTAATGGAAACCTGTGGGAAGAACAAGCAATATTCGAAACAGTGACTTGATCCTTTTTGTACAACAGAGAGTTTTTTTATTATTCCGTAGTTAAATCTGGGTCTTTTGGTTGGAAGGACAGTGAGATTTATGCTTCCCTGGGAATTATATCTTCTCAACTACAAATCTTAAGACCTAGCTGGCATTCACAGAGAGGGAGAACTCATCCTTTCACTCACTGAATAAATATGTCATGTTATGTCCACAGCCCTAAGGAAAAATTTTCAAGAAACTTCTATTAAAAAGACTATCCAAGTATGTGCATTATGGAAATAATCAACTTCTGGTAAAACATAAAAGGAGAAGTATATAGCTAGCAGGGCTGAAGCAAGCAGGAGATTGTATGTATCCAGAGATCTCTCAATATCTCAATAACAGATATACTGCTATTTGAACTGGAAAGATGGGTAAGATTTTTGACAGCAGGAGAAAATTTTATAGTCAGAGTTGCATGAGCAGAGAAGGGACATGAAGCCTGCGTGGGGGAACAGTGAATATTCTGGTCTAACAAGGATGTACAATATATTTGCAGGAGTACAATAAGACAAGGCTGGAGGGGGAGGTAAAGGTCAAGACATGAATGACCTTAATTTTCAAGCTAAGGCATTTGGCTGTAGTTTAATGGTAAATGCAAACCCACTGAAGGATTTTAACAGCCATGATCTGCACTGTGCTTTACGAAGCTTAGTCTACCAAGTGATTTTAAAATCTTTGCCTATGAATTAGTTAAGGTCCTCACCATTGTTTGTGGGAATTATTGGTATAGTAAGCAGTCTCCCATCCAAAACCAATTACATGGGGGTATACACAAATAAGTAGATGGTTTGTTGTGTGATATCTTTCTTGCTTAACCTACCAAACTCTGTTGTAATCATGTATTTACCTAATTCTTCCTTCTATTAGACTGTAAGTTCCTTGATGGCAGACCAGTACCTCACTGGCCTGTGTATCCTTGCTTCTAAGCACAATGTTGACACACAATAGATTGTGATGTTTTGTTCATGCAGTGAATGAATGAGAGCATGCAGGCAAGAGGACCAGACAGGAGGATATTGGAATGAACCAAGTGAGAGATCAAGG
This sequence comes from Homo sapiens, assembly GCF_000001405.40. NCBI lineage: Eukaryota > Metazoa > Chordata > Mammalia > Primates > Hominidae > Homo > Homo sapiens. The sequence goes on along the minus strand of NC_000004.12, from coordinate 148,675,718 downwards.
CTTGAGCTAAGGTTGCAGCATTGGGAGTAGACATGAAAGACACTGCAAAAATAGGCTAAGTCCTGAAACACTGTCTAAAATAATAGTGAAAAACATAATCCCGTTTCCTCTTTTGTGAGTTATCGGCCGCCATAGTAAAAAACGACTTGTAGAAAATATAAGAAATATTTTTCTACACCTGCCTCATGTATGCACACTTAGGTGCGCATTGCATACACAAGCATGCATGAAAGCACACACACAGCATCCTTGATTCCTGGTTTTACTACAATTAAAAAACAAAATAAAAGAATAACAATGACTCCAAAGAGCAATGGGAACCAAAAGAAGCAATCAGGTACCAGGTTCTTTCAAAACAGACAAGGACCTAAGAAATAGTAATGATTAATAAAACATATTTACAAATAGTCATGATGGAGCCACTGATCTAATCTTTTCACCACCAGAAAAGAAAAAGGTTGGGTTATCATCAGTAGTGGAAAAATGATGCTAGAATGGCTAAAATCCAAATACACTGACGAGAAATGCTGGCAAGAATGTGGAGCAACAGGAACTCTCATTGATTGCTGGTGAGAATGCAAAATGATAAAACAACTTCAGAAGACAGTTTGGCAGTTTCTTACTAAACTAAACATACTCTTAGCATATGATCCAGTAAATGCATTCCTTGGTATTTACCCAAATGAGCCAAAACTTATGTCCACAAAAAAGCCTGCACATAAATGTTTATAGCAGCTTTATTCATAATTGCCAAAACTTGGAAGTAACGAAGAATGTCCTTCACAAGGTAAATGGATAAACAAACTGTGATACAGACATACGATGGAATATTATTCAGCAATAAAAATAAATGAGCCATCAAACCACAAAAAGATGTGGAAGAAACTTAAATGCATATTGCTAAGTGAAAGATGCCAATTTGAAAATGATGCATACTGTATGATTCCAACTATATGACTTTCTAAAAAGGCAAAACTATGGAGACAGAACAGGAGTTCAGAAGGAAAGAGGGAGGGATGAATTGGTGGAGGACAGGGAATTTTTAGGGCTGTGAAACTGTTCTATGACACTGTAATGGTACGTACACTTCATCATACATTTATCAGAACACAGAGAATGTAAAGTACAAAGAATAAACCCTAATGTAAACCATGGATTTTAGTTAATGATAGTGTATCAGGTAAGGTGTGGTGACTCACGCCTGTTATCCCAATACTATGGGAGGCCGAGGCTTGTGGATCACTTGAGCTCAGAAGTTCAAGACCAGCCTGGGCAACACGGCAAAATTCCATCTCTACAAAAATTAGCCAGGTACAGTGGCATATTCCTGTAGTCCCACCTACTTGTGGGGCTAAGGTGGGAGGATCGCTTGAGCAGGGGAGGTCAAGGCTGTAGTGAGCTGAGATGGCACCACTGCACTCCAGCCTGAGTGACCGAGCAAGACCCTGTCTCTAACAATAATAATAATAATAAAAAGTATAATATTGTCTCTTCAATTTTATCAAATGTACCACACTACTGTTAATAATGCAAAAGGTTAATAGCAGAGGAAACGATACGTGTGTGGAGGAGTTGGGTATATGGAAACTCTCTGTACTTGCTGCTCAATTTTTCTCTAAACCTAAAACTGCTCTAAAAAAAATGAACTTCATTAATTAAAAAAAATACAAGAGACAAATAGAATCAATTATATACTATTACATCACACTGTCCAAACACTGTCTGAAACTGATAATAATCTGTCAATCTGTCTCAATCTTGGTCTGAACAGGAAAATATAAACCACTGCAAGTATTTAAACCAGAGAAAATTTAATATCAAGAATTGTCTACATAGGTAAGGGGGAAGATGAGAAATCAAATAGATACAGACAGGCCAACTAGGATAGGAGGAAGCTGCTACTTCCCTAAGCTGAAAAGACAAAGAGAGGAAGACATGTTATAAAAGCCAGGCACTTGGGCCATAGAGAAAGCTGGAACTATAGCCACAGACAAGGCACTGACACCAAACTAGGTAACATCTGAGGAAGCGCAAGATGAAAGAAGCACCATGTTTCTCCACTCCATCCACATTTTAGTCTCTCATAGGTGCTGTTTATTAGTGAACCATGCTATCATCGGAGGCTGGACAATGGGCATCCAGCATCGACTGCCCCTGCGATGCAGACCAGAGTAGGATAAGGCAAGGGAAAGGATTGGGGCCATCTGTCCCAAGACTAGCATGCCATCACACACACAAATAATAAATATAAGAATAAGGCCTCTCGAGGCTAGCTAATCTGATTTTTAAAATGCTTTAACTTTGGCAGTACATTAGGAAAAAGAAGACAAGCACAGAATAGATATTAAGGCCCAAATTCGCAAAGTAGTAAGAGTCATTTACTCAAACTACCAGTCACTTCTCCCCAGCCTCCACGTCATTTCTTATACTCTTCTCCCCACCAACCCCCAGCCCTAGGAAGGGTGACTTGATTACATGACACCTGAGCCAATCAGAGTCTCTCTCCTAGGGAATGGCAGCCAAGGAGACTAACTGAAGACATTCTGCCTATAATGACAAGGAGAGGGGAAACAAGGAAAAATCAGACTTTCTAGCTCCCAGAGAAAGATCATGAGATGCACGCCATCTATTCAAGCTAGTTTTAGTGGGTTTCTGTTTATGCTAACATCATCCCTAAGATAATTAGCTATGAAAAGAGCTATTTCAAATTTTCAGATTGAAGCTTTTCCTTTACCTGTGATAACAGATAGGAAGTCTTATTATAGCTTAGCATTGCTTGGACCCAAATCATCAGAGTGCATATTGTATATGCTTGCACGGGATTCAGAATAACAGAGCTTGGACATTGGTTGCCATCAAAACAAAGTTCAGAAGAACATAATGAAGTAAAAATTAAGGCTACCGGCGGTCTCACAACCAATACAAACGTTTTCTAAGCCAGTTGTGAGAAACATTCAAAAGCACAGGTGCAAGGAAGATGTCCAGGCTGTAGGAGGAAATGTTGAAGCTATCCAAAGGCAATTTTTAAAAATTATTCACTGAAAAGCCCTATGTCAGTCTTTTTTCAAGTGCCGGGGCTTAAAAGGGGCTGTTATTTATAATATAATAAATTATTTCAATAGCAGCTTATTATCCTCCACATTTTTCTATTTCACTTCCGTTAAAATTTTTCCCCTTCATCCACAAAAGAAATTCTAGAATTGAGGGGAATAACTGAGCCCCTCAGTGCCTATCATGTGGCTTCCATAGGGAGATGTATAGAAACACATGTTTGCATCTGTGTAAGCCCGTTAGGCCAGGATTTTCATCTGATTCTATCTTGGGGTAGAATATGACCTTACTCATTTGTATACTTCAATTTAACATTCAATTCCCCATAACTATAACATCATAAAAAAGCATTTATTTTAAAAAAGTCAAAAGGAAATTATTATTGGAAAGATAAAGTTGGCATGATTATGTGATGAAAGTTCAGACTGCTAGAGCAGCAAGTGACATGTTGTATATGTTGCAGCAAGATACATTGTATTTTGCTTTACAAGATATACAAGATATATTGTATTTTGCCCACCTGTGAACAGTTATTAAAACTATTACAAACAGTGCATATGCCTTTGAAAAACCAGACACACACACAGTGGATACAGCACATCTATTAAAACAAACTCACTGTCCATAGAGATGAGAGTAATCAACTGATTAGGATTAATTATATCACATCAGGAAAAGTTAATTTTTCAAAAAATGGTTCTCTTGTGCAATGGTTTTCAAACCTGGCTAATCAAGAGAGTTCTGTTCTTCAGTAGGTCAGGGATAAGCCTGGTTTGGGACTAATGACTTAGAGTATCTTCCAATTGTAGGCTAATTAATAGTAAATATATTAAATCAGGAAATCCTACAGAATCATCAGAAAATACTGGTGATGCCAAAATGAAATTTAACATGACTTAATCAAGCAATAGCTTCACCTTCTTCCTGACTGCATGGGTGTTTGGAGGTAACATATCCCCTGTTGAGCGCTGTTTACAAACTGCAAAATCTTATGCTTATAGAGAGACATAGAAATCATCTGACTGCTTATTTCATACATGAGGAAATAAAGTTCAGAGAATGTTGAAATGAACAAGTGCTTTGAGCATCAAAGTGAACATAACATACTCTAGAACTGAACTTCAAATATGTACAAGTCTGTCTTTTACCCAAAAGAGACAATGTTCTTTATATCCCATGAAAATTAGCAGCAGATCCTCAATCTCTTGTCAAATTGGAGATCTGTTGCTGGATGAGTATATATCTAATAGAGAAATTCTCCTTTTTATCCCTGTCATATATAACACTCCTAAAAGAACTCTTGTAAAAATAAGTACTATTCTTTTAAAAGCTATATTACTTTAATCAGATTGCATGTGTACTGCTTTCCTCTTGTTAGAAGAAAAATACCCAAATTAAGAGTTCTTCTTTCTAGAAGATCTTAACATAGAAGTTTGGTAGCTAAAGACATTTTTACACTCTCTGGACTGCATTTTAACAGGAAGCTATTTTTAGAACAGTGCAGTATTCTATAGTCTGTCAGGTATTTAGATCATCTTTCAACAGATGTCATTTTAAAAGTCACAATTTTGTATACATTATCTCATCTGATCTTATTTAAAAACCTTTGAAGTAGGATATTTTAATCATGTCTGCAGATGAGTACAATGAAATTTCAGAAAGCTAAAGCAACTTAGACTAAGAGACTCTGAGAAATGACTAAATCATCAAGGCCTACACCAGAATCACTCAGTGGGTGAGGGGAAGTTTAAAATTCAGATTCCTGGGCATTGCCCAGTGCTGCTGAATCAGTCTCTGGGGGCACAGTCCAAGAACCACTGAGATTATCTAATCATTCCCAAGCTACTTTCTGTGTCCTGGGGCTCTGCAGAAGTGGCTTAGGGACTGCTGGAGAAGAGAGCTTAATGGCTGTCCCAACTCAGCATTAAATCTTATATATATTAGGTTTCTACTTATGATTTCATTTGGGAAAAAAAAAAAAAACGTAAGGAGAGTGTTCTACTGTTTAAAAAAAAAAAAAAGAGGCATCTAAATTTCTCAAAGAACCCAGTCTCTTAAGGGACCATCAAACAACTCATCAGGACCAATCCAGGTTCCGATGCTTTGATGCCTGTTCCAGGGTTTTCCCCATATGCTACAGTCAATCTTTCTGCTGTCTAGAAATGTGCTCAGCCCAAAGCCTCTGCTATTGCAGAAGATGTACAAATACCAGATGCATTCACGTCAATATAAAATTAGCGTTTTAATGGAGCTTTTCAAACCATAGTATTACAGTTTTCACATGAACCACTAGGTGAATTAGGCAGACTGTGGGAACTTCAAAGCAGGAAGACGAAGACTTGATGGTTTGGGTCCCTGACCTTCACTGTTCCATCATTAGAACCCTACTCCAAAAGTAGCTGGGCCTCTAGCAGTATCTTCCCTCTTGCCCTGCTTCCCTGCATCCCTGTTCCCTTGAAGGTACAGAATGTCAAGGACAAGATCTTCTTTTCCCTTTTCATTAATTTTCTACAGCCTGTTTGGAACAAGAGGGTCCATGAGTTCCAGTGAAAGTCCACAACAGCACCAGGGTCAAGCTCAGTGTTTAGGTTGTCTTTTGCTAGGGATTCCAATCTAGGCAACTGAAAATAATTAGCTAGGTGGAGGAAATCCCAAGGAAAATAAGACTCACCAAATATTTCTACATTTCTATACATGCCTTGATCAACTACAACAAGCATTTGATAAGTGGAGTTCCTTGATTCTCTCTCTCTCTTTTTTAACCACGGATTCTTCACACCCCTCATTAAAACTGTAAATGAAACCTCCTTAGGTGTGGTGATGTGAAGCAACTGTATACATTGAGATCCATATTCTGTGACTGGATTGCATAAATATATTATAATAATAAGATCCAGCTAAGGGATTTACAGTAAATACCTTTAGAAAGTGGTAATGTGTATATATATCCACTTCTTATCCCTAGTTAAATATCTAAGTATCTAAAGTGCATATTTGTACTAGAGACATAAGGAGCTCTGTATAGCCTCCATCAGCTCCTTAAGCCAAGGGAGCCATGGCTTGTACTACGTGACCTCACAGGCACCTATGTGAGACCAGGTGCATCAAGGTAGACATCACCGCAACCTATGGGTGGGTGGTTTCTGTTGCATAAAGATACTCTGAAGATGAAGTCTTGACATGTAGGGAGACACTGCAATGACATTGAAGTCAGGAGGGAGTAGAAGCTTTAAAGAAACGGAAGAAATCTTCTAGAAGGAAGAAAGCCAAAACAGACACCCAGAGAAAAGCTAAGATTCCACGAGTGAGATTAAGAAAAAGCAGTTCAGAACTTTTCCTGCTCAATGAGTTTCCTCTTCTAGTTCCAGAAAACCTCTATCTTTCCAATAAGCCCCTATTGCCTGCTTTGTTAGAGTGGTTCTCTATTCCTTTCAACCAAAACAAAAATGCCTAATATTTAGCAAGAAGAAAGAAATAGCAAGAAATATTTAAATTGTGTTCAATTTTACAAAAGAGCCTTAAATTTGGAAACTCCTGACTTTACAGTGTTCAAATGATCTATTTAAAGATAAGTTTGAACTTTCCATTGAAATTAAATTATCTGAGTGTGGTTATGTTTTTGTATGTATTTGTGCGATTTTAAAAGAAAAAATGATGCTACCTGAAACAATAAAAATCGGGGCCATGATGCTTATTGGTGATTTCCATTAAAAAAATTAAAATTCACTGGCCAAAAATGTTTAGATCAAGCTTGTCCAACTCACTGCCCGCAGGCCATATGTGGCCCAGGATAACTTTAAATGCAGCCCAACACAAATTCATAAACTTTCTTAAAACATTATGAGATTTTTGCTATTTTTTTTTTAGCTCAGCAGCTACCATTAGTCTTAGTGTATTTTATGTGTGGCCCAAGACATTTCTTCTTCTTCCAATGTAGCCTAGGGAAGTCAAAAGATTGGAAACTCCTGATTTAGATTATTCAACTATTTTATATGTTTTCCCAACAAAATAAGGAGTTTAATTTGAACTAAATTAAGTCACCAGTTCAGCAGGTTGAGGGTTAAATGAAAGCTTAAAAAGTCTATGAGTTTTCCACATTCTTTTCTTCTTTAACTTTTCACTAATCTGATGTATCTGAAAAGAGTCTGCCCAAATTTTTCAAAATAAAATTACCTCTGGGCTTCAACCATGCATTTTTCAAGCATGGATAATTTAAATCTAAAGCAGATTATTTTGGAAGGCTTTGAATGGCTGAAAGGAAAGGCTTATAATGAAAATTACTTTCTCTGTCTAACACAGCATTGTATTGTAATATGGAATTCTCACATACTCAAATGTAGCTATTTCCTCATATGCTCCCACACAAAATAGAATCTAACTCAGTTTATTATGGTTCCAGGGACTGGGCACTGCAAGCACAATCAGAGAGCTCAGGATGTACTCTGTTTCTAACACTCTACATGCTCTGCTTCTAACACTCTACATTACCTGGACCTATGTTATGCTGATTCTAATTTTATTTCTGTGAAAAGTATGGAATTGATTAAATCGACGGCCACTTATTACACTTAAAATGACATTTGCCTTTTAGCTGAAATTTTCTGGAGGCTCATTTGGAGATGGGAGTCATTCAAGGTACACTATGTAGAGCAGCTAAGCTTTCTAATGAACTGTATTCCCTTTCCATACCATGGGCATAATGGGAATAACCCGCTTAGAGCACCAGAGAGGATGATTCTTTATCTACTATAATAAATAGGGACTACTATTCAAAATCAGCTCTAAGGCCACTTCCTGCACAAAATGATATGATTTGAACTCCAAATATACAAAAGGCATCATTGTTTCCCCTATCAACTGACACATGGAATAGAAATTGGAGTTTTGACCCACACAATGTTACAGCAAAGATTTGTAGTACCTGATAAAATGGCAACCAGGAGGGTTTGAGGCTCTCGAGTCTGAACTTAATCCTGGAGAATACCAACACATAATACCGAGGGGATGGTGGGTAGAAGGTGGTCATGGTAAGCCAGAGGTGGCTGAGGGTTAAAGGTGTGCAAAAATACTTCTTTAATTCAGAAGGAAGATAGGCTATAGAAACTTAAAAATTAATAAAGAAAAATAAATTTAGTTATGAGCCCTAATTGGCCTGGTGTAACCTCCAGAAGAAAAAAAAATGAAAGTATAACTTTAAAGTCAGAAGAAAATGCAACCAATAGAGTAGAAAGCAGGAAAAGAAGCAATAAAGCAAACACAGCATACAAGATAACGTGAAAGAACCTAAAACATTTTCACAGAAACTATGATCAATGTAAATGATGTAAATGTACAAGCCAAGAGAAAGACTTTTAGGTTGGACTAAAAAGGACAAGATTTAGCAGTACATTGAGTATAGAAGGTACACTAAGGGCAGTCAGATATAGGAAAGCTAAAAACAGTAGAACAGAGGAATATGTATCAAAAACGTAAGATGAAAGATGAACCTTAAGTTTCAGCCCCAACTTTAAAAGAGCCTGGATGTCATCAGTCCCATCCCCACAAGAAAAAGCCAAGCAAAGAGAAAATCAATAACTTTTCTTGAACTCATCAAAGAACTGAGTTTGCAAGGCAAACTGCCTTTCGAAAATCTAGAGAGACAAATCCAGAGACTCACAGCCAAGATCTACCTACCTGGGGTAAAATCCACTAGTGCCATAAACTGGTAGGAATACTTAAATGGCAATGTCAGTGAATTGCTGGAGGCTGAGTGTGTACTAGCTTGGAAGAAAGAATGGCCTGGGCCCCATGGACTTTACCTCAAGGTGAAGATAAACCACATTCTGGGCCATAATGTACATCTAACCAAACTTAAAATAATAAGAGTTATACAAAGTGTGTTCTCAGACCACAGTGGAAATGAACTAGAAATCAACTGATGAAAGATAACTGGAAAATCCCCAAATATTTGGCGGGTCTAACAGCAGAAGAGAAACACTAATCTTTAAGCAATATACCCAGAGCCCTCTCCATTAATAAAAGTCCTACTCTTATGAAGAAATACTTTATCAGGACCTTGTCCAACGGATGTGAGGGAGGAGATTCCTCTCACTTCAGCCCCCTTTAACCTTCTTAACTCACCTAAGTGGGTGACTATAGTGTGCGCCTGAAATCCCAGCTACTCATGAGGCTGAGGCAGGAGAATCATTTGAACCAGGAGGCGGAGGTTGCAGTGAGCTAAGGTCGCACCATTGCACTCCAGGCTGGGCAACATGGTGAGACTTTGTCTCAAAAAAAAAAAAAGAATAAATGTTTGTGAAGGTCACCAGCCAAAGACCCAGACTACTAAAAGATTACAATTGAACTGGAATATTATAGAATGTTCTCACGCCTTACCTCCAGACCTACAGGGTTCCGGGAGCATGATAATGGATTACAGATAAAAGAAATGCAAGAAATAAACTCTTTCTGATGAGGAATACTTAGAGAAGCTAGAAGTCAAAAGGGAGATAAAAATTAGGACATGAGAGGAAGCGGAAGTCTCTGGCATCTATAGCTACAGTAAACATTAAACAAAGACTAACTCCTACCCAGATGAACATAAATCCTTAAACTAGAGGCCTAGTTACTTAAATTTCTATAACCAATTACAACATGCCCAACTTTCAACAAAAAATTGCAAGGCACACTAAAAGGCAAGAAAAAACACAGCCTGAAGAGACAAAGCACTCATTAGAATCAGACTGAGATATGACATGTATTTTAGAATTAGCAGAAAAGGAATTTAAAATATCTATGATTAATATGTTGAGGGCTCTAATGGAAAAAGTAGGCAGCATAAAAGAACAGATGGGTAGTATAAGCAGACAGATGGAAGCTCTCAGAAAAAAATTAAAAATAAATGCTGTAAATCAAAAACACTGGAAGAGAAATGAAGAATGCCTTTGATGGACCCATCAGTAGACTGGGCACAGCTAAGGAAACAATCAGTGAGCTTAAATGTATGTCAATAGAAACTTTACAAACTAAATCGCAAAGAGAAAGATGAATGAAAAAGATGGAACACCCAAGAATATTGGAGCAATTTCTAAAGGAATTTGTAGTGAATTCCCATAATTTTATATTGCCTTGGCATCCATTTTGAATATAAATTGAATTTTCTCATACCAAAGCAGGGCTTAGTCACTGTGAACACAGCTTCCAGTTCTCTACCTCCTATCAGTTCCTCAGTGTGGTCGTTCCAGACATCTGGCCTATACAACCACCTCCTGGTGACCACATGCCCATGGGACACCTGGATAGTACTTAGTTGACTCACACCACTGACCCCTACATCCCATGTGGACTATGCAGATATAACACAATGGCCACCTCTCAGTCACAGTGTGACCTCCTAGAACTTACGTCTTCTTCTTTTAAACCCATCAATTAGAACTTCCCTCAGGAAATGAGGTTGGATAATGCCTTGGACCTCAGTAAAGGCTTCAATGCACAGGTTCTTCTCTCTTGCTCCCACCAAGCATGCTTGTCATGCTTGGCTCCGTATTTCTCCCATCAGACTTGAGAGATGTGGCACCCTCTTTTCTCTGGGATATGTAGGTAATAAGCTGCTTCTGTTATTGCATGTGTCTTAGTGAGTTGCTTCTTCTGTGTCTTACTTGACCAACGCACCAGAGCCTAACTTCTTTCCCGATCAGGTCTCTTCTAGAGAGTGGCTGTCTTAGTAGGAATAAACTGGACACAGGTCAGACAAGAGCCACAAGGAGATTGTCATTAAAAACAAGTTTCCTGTGAGAGTGTGAGAGGGACACCTGGTCATAGGTCAGACATTCAGGCATTAGGCAATAAGCCAGGATACCGACGCATAGCATGAAAGGCACATTGTGGACATCCACAACCAAATCCCCTATAGTACCATCAGGACAGCGCTAAAGTTTATAGCCATTTTCCAGAAAGAGGCCTCAAGAACAAATCAGAAGAAAATACCACAGACTTGGGTTACAGAAAGAGAACAAAGAGAAAGCAGAGCAGCAAAAACATTTGAAGTAATAATGGGATCCTCGGAGAACACAAAGTAGAATAAATATCAAAAACACCTATAAATGTTAAAATGTTTTCAAGCAGAAGGAAATTCAAATATAAATAAATATAAACATATTCCCATATAAATAAATGAAGAGCATCAGAGAAAAAATAAAGGTAAAATTTTTTTTTTTTTTTTTGAGACGGAGTCTCGCTCTGTTGCCCAGGCTGGAGTGCAGTGGCGCGATCTCGGCTCACTGCAAGCTCGGCCTCCCGGGTTCAGGCCATTCTCCTGCCTCAGCCTCCTGAGTAGCTGGGACTACAGGCGCCCGCCACCATGCTCACCTGATTTTTTGTATTTTTTTTTTTTAGTAGAGACAGGGTTTCACCGTGTTAGCCAGGATGGTCTCAATCTCCTGACCTCGTGATCCGCCCGCCTCGGCCTCCCAAAGTGCTGGGATTACAGGCGTGAGCCACTGTGCCTGGCAATAAAATATTTTTATTTGTCGTAATTGATCTGAGAATAACTGTTTAATAATGGTAACAACGTGTTGCAGCATATATACAAATGAAGCGAATGATAGCAATGTCACGGAAGGAAAGCAAGCAGGACTAGAAATACTCTGTTATTAAATTTCTGCATTGTATTTGAAGTAAAACAGTGTTATTTACAGGTAGATTTAGATTACTTAAAAATGTATATTATAAAACTTAAGGTAACCAGTAAAAAAAAAAAATTAAGAACTATACTTTTTATACTATGAGAGAAATTAAATGGAATCATATAAAATGTTCAATTAAAACCAGAGGAAAAAAGAAGTCTCTGTCAACAACTGTAAAACAGAAACATGTTTTATATAAATCCAAATATACCATAAATTGCTTTAAATGTCAATGGTCTAAATACAGCAATTAAAAGACAAAGACTGTCATCACGGATTAAAAAAACTATATTGACTCATCCAAGGGGAAGCAGAGGGCAACTATACATTGTCTACAATAAGCCCACTTTAAATATAAAGACACCAGCAGATGAAAAGAAAAGGGTGGGAAAATAAAATGAGTCAAAAGAAACTGGAGTATCTATATTAATTTCAGACAATGCAGACTTCAAAATAAGGAAGATTAGAGATAAAAAGCAGCACTACATAATAGAAAAGAGATTAATTATCCAAAAAGACATAACAATGCTAAATGTGCATATACCTAAAAACAAAATGTCAAAACACATGAGACAAAAACTGATAGAACTGAAAAGAGTAGACGAATGTACAATTATATTTGAAGAATTCAACATCCCTCCCATCATTAATTGATAGTTCAGGTAAGCAGAAAAAAAAAAAAGATATAGTTGACCCAAAATGGCACTATCAGTCAACTTGATCTTACTGACATTTACAGATCACTCCATCCCTCAACAGCAGAATACACATTCTTCTCATGCTCACATGGAGCACACACCAAGATAAACCACATTCTGGGCCATAAAGCACATCTAACCAATCTTAAAAGAATAAGAATGATACAAAGTGTGTTCTCAGACCACAATGGAAATGAACTAAAAATCAATTGATAAAAGATAACTGGAGAAACCCCAAATATCTGGAAATTAAACAACACACTTTAAAATAGCACATAGTTAAAAGACATCTCAAGAGAAATTTTAAAATATTTTTAACTAAATGAACATGAAAATACAACTTACCAAAGTTTGTGGGATACAGCAAAAAAAAAAAAAAAAAAAAAAAAGGTGCTCAAAGAGAAGTGTATAGCATTAAATGCGTACATTTTTAAAATGAAGAAAGATTTAAAATCAGTAACCTAAGTTTCTACCACCAGAAATTGAAGAATATTTAAGCCTAAAAGCAAGCAGAAGGAAAGAAATTATTAAAATTGAATCCAAAGCCAATAAAATTGTTATCTGCATCTGATACAATACAGAAAAAAAATGAAGTCTACAAAATTGAAAGGCCTGGCACAGTTGCACAAGTCTATAATCCCAGCACTTTGAGAGGCAGAGGCAGGCAGATCACTTAAGGTCAGGAGTTCAAGACCAGCCTGACCAACATGGCAAAACCCCATCTCTACTAAAAATATACAAATTAGCTGGGCATGGTGGTGCACACCTGTAATCCCAGCTACTCAGGAGGCTGAGGCAGGAGAACCCAGGAGGCACTTGAACCCAGGAGGTGGAGGTTGCAGTGAGCTAAGATCACACCACTGTACTCCAGACTGAGTGACAGAGATCAACCCCATCTCAAAAAAGGAAGAAGTCTATGAAACTGAAAACAAGAAAACAATGGAGAAAATTAATGAAACCAAAAGCTGGTTCTTTGAAAGGATCAATGAAATGAATAAACCCTAGCCAAGCTAACCAAGAAAAAAATTGAAGCGAATACACAAATTACCAATATCAAAAATGAGGCCGGGCGCAGTGGCTCACACCTGTAATCACAGCACTCTGGGAGGCCAAGGCAGGTGGATTACCTGAGGTCAGGAGTTCGAGACCAGCCTGGCCAACATGATGAAACCCAGTCTCTACTGAAAATACAAAAAATTAGCTGGGCGTGGTGGCACATGCCTGTAATCCCAGTTACTTGGGAGACTGAGGCAGGAGAATCGCTTGAACCTGGGAGGTGGAGGTTGCAGTGAGCCAAGATCGTGCCACTGCCCTCCAGCCTGGGCAAGAAGAGTGAAACTCTGTCTCAAAAAAAAAGAAAAAAAATGAAAGAGAGGTCATCACTACTGACCCCTTGGGCATTAAAAGAATATAGGAATGCTATTAACAGTTCTATACTCAGAAATATGATGACTTAAATGAAATAGACCAATTTCTGGAAAGACACAAATGACCAAAACACACAAAAGGGGAAATAGATAGCCTAAATAGCTCTCTATATATTAAATACATTCAATCAATAATTAACAACTGATCACTTTCTAAAAAAGAAAATACCTGGCCCAGATGGTTTCACTGATGAATTTTACCAAACTTTTAAGGAGGAAATGATATCAATTCTTCATAATTTCCTCCAGAAAATAGAAGCAGGAAGACTACTTCTTAGCTCATTCTATGAGGTCAGCATTACCTTACTACTAAAATTAGACACAGTCATTTATAAGAAAGGAAAACAACAGACCAATATATCTCATAAACACAGACATAACAAATTGAATTCAACAATGTATATCAAACATTATACACTGCAACCATGTGGGATTTATTCCAAGTATGCAAGGCTGGTTAAACACTTAAAAATCAATCAGCATAAATCACTACATCAACAGATTAAAGACGAAAATTAATGTGATCGTATCAATTGTTGGAGAAAATAATTTGACAAAATTCCACACCTATTTATCATTAACAGTTCTTAGCAAAGCAAAAATAGAGGAAAATTTCCTCAATTTGATAAAGAACATATATAAAAACCTACAGCTAACATTCCACCTAATGGTGAGAAAATGCATGTGTTTCCCCTAAGATCAGAAACAAGACAAAGGTGTCTTCTCTCACTTCTATTCAACATTTTACTGGAAGTTTCTAACTAGTGCAACAAGGCAAGAAAGAAAACAAAAAGAGTATCAGTTGGAAAAGAAGAATAAAACTTTCTATTCACAGATGACATGATTGTTTATACAGAAAATCTCAAAAACAGACAAAAACAACCTCCTAAGAGAATAAAACAAAGTCACAGGATGCAAGGTTAATAGAAAATTGTTAATACAAAAGTCAATTGCTTTCCTATAATCTAGCAATGAACAATTGGAACCTGAAATTTAAATATATTCTATTTACAGCAGTACCTAACAAATGGAAATACTTAGGTATGAATCTAACAAAATATGTAAACAATCTATATATGAAAAATTGTAAAAAACTAATTTAAAAAGTCAAAGATTTAAATGAATTACATAATATAATTTATGCAAATAAAATTAGATTTAATGCAATCCAAATTATAAATTATATATATATAAATTATATGGATATAATGCAATCCTATAAAATCTCGGTAAGCCCTTTCTTACCTGATAGACAGACTGATTTTGAAGTTTACAAGGCAAGGCAAAAGATGGCCAATGGTGGGAGCCAGGTTTCTCACTGTTAGAGGTTACAGATAAGCAAGGGGAAGATTCTAGGATGATTCAGGAAGGACTGTGTTAGAGTGGGAGACATCGCTCTGAACTCATGTTTAGCATATAGATACAGATGGTTAGTTACATAGAAATATTTTAGATATATGTATATGCATGGGTTAGTAGTACACAGTTTCCTTGCTCTGTCAGCTGAGATGGCCTAGAAGCAATGATAGCCATCACTGAGAACACCTAGCACCCAATCTTGGTTCCTAATACCATTCTCCCATCAAAGGAACCAGAGATCCTTGGAGAAATGGTTAAGGAATGAGGCAGGAAATATACAAGATAAGCCTGGAGCATCTTATAGCTCTAGAAAGTAAGAAAGTACAAAAAAAAAAAAAAACCCTACAGTGATGGAATATGTCAAAGGGATACAGGAGCCAACTAAAAAGGTTCCCAATGGCCAAAGTTAAAACAATTTTAGCAACAAAATAAATAAAGGCATATTGGATTATAACCCAAAGTATAAATATCCCTCAGTCCATTATGATATGAGTAAATAATTTAATAAACAAATAGGAGATAATAAACAGAATTTCCATGCAGAAGAATTTCAAATAATGTATGTTCTTATTCCTGCCTTAAGTAAATACAACATAACTCTCCACTCCTTCAGTGTGGGCTGCATTTAATGACTTTCTTCTAAAGAGTACAGGATAGAAAGGGAGAAAAAGAAAGAGAAATTTTGCAGTGGAGAAACTTGACAAACACTACTATATGCCAAATGATCAAGACGAACAACATTGATAAGTCATATTGATGGTAGGTACCCTTGATCTGATGTAATAAGAATGGCCTCTTACCTTCGTGGTCTTCTCAGAAACACATTACTCAGTCTAATCATAAGAAAACCTCAGGTAAATCCTAACTAAGAGACATTCTACAAAATGCATGACTAGTAGTCGTCAAAAAAATCAAGGTATTTGAAAACAAGTAAGGTCTAAGAAACTGTCACAACTAAGAGGAACCTAAGGAGACATGGTAACTAAACTTGGATGAATTCCTTGATTGAAAAAAGGATATGAGGAGAACATTGAGGAAATCTGAGTAAAGTATAGACACACAAGGCACAGGCAACTGAAGAAAAATATACAAATTAGACTTCATAAAAATTTAAACTCCGCTGGGCATGGTGGCTAACACCTGCAATCCCAACAGTTTGGGAGGCAGAGGCAGGTGGATTATTTGAGGTCAGAAGTTTGAGACCAGCCTGGCCAACATGGTGAAACCCTGTCTCTACTAAAAATACAAAAATTAGCCAGGCTATAGGCAGGCACCTATAATCCCAGCTACTAGAGAGGCTGAGGCAGGAGAATTGCTTGAACCCAGGAGGCAAAAGTTGCAGTGAGCCAAGATCATGCCACTGCACTCCAGCCTGTGTGACAGAGCAAGATCCCATCTCAGAAAAGAAAAAATTAAACTATTTTTGCATCAAAAGACACTATCAACAGAGAAAAAGGCAACCCACAGAATGGGAGAAAATACATGCATATTATACATCTGACAAAATATTAACCTCCAGAATATACAAAGAACTCCTAAAATCCAACAACACAAAAACAACCTGATTCAAAAATAGGAAAAGGACTTGAATAGACATTTATCCAAAGAAAATATACGAATTGCCAATAATCACATGAAGAGATGTTCAACATCACTAATCATTAGAGAAATGCAAATCAAAACTACAATGAGATACCACTCACACCCACTAGGATGGCTACTGTCAAATAAACAGAAAACGAGTATTGGCAAGGATGCAGAGATATTAGAACCCTTGTGTACTGTAGATAATGTAATATGATGCAACCACTGTGGAAAACAGCATGGCAGTTGCTCAGAAGATTAAAATAGAATTACCTTATCATCAAGCAATTCCATTTCTGGGTATACATCGAAAAGAATTGAAAGCAGGGTCTTGAACTGATATTTGTACACCGATGTGTATAGTAGCATCATTCATAATAATCAAAATATGGAAACAAATCATGTATCTACCAACAAATGAATAGACAAAAAGACTAGTATAAACATAGAACAGAATATTATTCAGCCTTAAAAAAAAGAAATTCTGACACATGCTACAACATGGATGAAGCTTGAGGACATTATGCTAAGCTAAATAAGCCAGTAACAAAAAGACAAATACTATATGATTCCACTTATATAAGTACCTAGAGGAGTAAAATTCTTAAAGGCAGAAAGCAGAATGGTGGTTGCCAGAAATGCAGGGAAAGGGGGATGGGGTATTATTGTGTCATGGGTACAGTTTCAGTTTTGCAAGATGAAAGGAGTTCTGGAGATGGAGGGTGGTGATGATTACACAGCAATATGAATATTTTTAATACCCCTGAACTATATACTTAAAAATGGTTAAGATGACAAATTTTGTTATATGTATTTTACCACAATAAAAATATTTTATTTTAAAAATTTAAAAGTAAACACTTAAGATAATAAAAATACCACATGAGCTAATAAATAATTCATCACAATTACAAAATAAAGATTAACTTATAAAAATGAAAAAGGTTCTTCTATACTCCAAAACAAACTAGAAAATAAGATAACCATTTGTAATAGCAATAAAAACAATAAAGTATCTAGTATAAACACAACAAAAACAATAAAGTACCTAATAAAGGATGAAAAAAGACCTTTAAGGAGGAAAAGCTTAAGCTCTTTTAAGGACGTAAAGTGAGAAGGACTAAATAAATATATAGTACGATGTAATATTGTAAAGATACCAAAACTGCACAAAATGTTTTTTGCATTTAACACAATGCTAATCAAGATTCCAGTAAGATTTTTTTTTTGTAAATTTGGCAAACCTTTTCTAGTATTTTGATGGAAGAATAAAGATTTATAAATAGTTGTCAGGTTTTGTTTTTTCCTTTTACAATTGATTTTTTGTATTTATTTCTACAATAAAAATCTCTTCATTACTTTCTCCTGATTATGTAAAAGAAAAACATGGTCTTTGTAAGAAATTAGAACAATATACAAAGACATAAAGAAGTCAGAATTTCACACTTCTCTATAATACCCACCTTTGACACATAGTGATAATCTATTCTTTTTTTTTTTTTCTTAAGAAAAGGGACCTCACTATGTTGTCCAGGCTGCATAGCACACTGCAGCCTTGGGCCTGATTGGGCTCAGAGCAATCCTAGGACTTGGGCCTACAGGCCCATACATAATTTTACATAGGTATGATCATACCATACATTCTCTCTTTATTATGGACACCTTTTCTCCACTGTCTTCCCCAATTCCATGTAGCCATGTTAACATTCTATTTCTCTATAATTGTATGTCCTACACATACATATATGTGTACTGTTCTGAATCATTCTCATGGCTATAAAATACTACATAGCATTTGAACCATAAGTCTGTTATATTCACTTCATTAGGCATATTCTTTACTTTCAGTTTTTGGTGACTATAAACAATGGTGCAATAAAAATCCTTGTATGTTATAAATTCATACACATTTTTTCTTTAATTTTATGGACAAGATCTCTACTTTTATTTCTATAAGAGAGATTTCCAGGAATAGAAGTGTTGAGTAGAAGAGAATATGTATTTTTAATTTCTATAGATATTGCCAGATTTCCTTCCCAAAATACTATAAATCTCGACATTCTCACCAGTAATATGTATCATACTACCCTTTCCTCTGCGTACTTGTGCAATGAGCTCATTGTTATTATAATGTTAATTTTTCTGTCTTTTTTTGAATTTGTGCATCTTTTCACATTTATTGGCTGTTTTCTGGATTCACATCTATATTCATTTTAATTGGGTTGTTCATCATGGGATAATGTAGAAATTAATGCTTTGTTATCTGAGTTGAAAATGTACTTTTCTTGTTCCATTAGTGCCTATTGATCTTTATGTGATGTCTTTCCATATAAAATTTTTAATTTTTATATAGTCAAATATTTTTATCTCATATTACAGATTTTGGATTTCCTGTGTTGCTAGGAAGATCTCAGAAATTCAACTACTGTGTACGTTTTCT
The DNA here is from genome assembly GCF_000001405.40 of Homo sapiens. Taxonomy (NCBI): domain Eukaryota; kingdom Metazoa; phylum Chordata; class Mammalia; order Primates; family Hominidae; genus Homo; species Homo sapiens. The sequence goes on along the minus strand of NC_000004.12, from coordinate 148,656,496 downwards.
CATAGATTTTTAGCAAAGATTTTTATTATTTCTAAGTCTTTATTCAACATATTTTTCTTTTTTTCCATATGAATAGCCAGTTCACTATTAGGTCAATTTTACAAAAAAGAAAAACAGCTGAGGACTTAAACTCAGATATTAAGGCATGCCACAAAGCTACAGGAATTTAAAACAATGCAGTATTGATAAAAAGACAGATCAATGAAACAGAACAGAGAGTTCAAAATAGTCCAATATTCTTGTGATATGTGACTTGCTACATTATAAGGTTGACACCAAAGAAAACTGAAAGAAGATGAAAGATGGCTTATTTAGTAGATAGTCTTAAAGAAATTAGTTTACATGGAAAAATAAAGTGAAAAACAAAGGTGTATTTCAAATGGGTTAAAGACTTGAGTATGAAAGTTGAAACAAAGAAAACAGAAGAAAACGTAGAGGAATATCTCGGTGATCATAGGGCAAAATATATACATGTATATATAGAAAACGTGTATATATATATGTTTTTCTATATATGTGTATATCCATATATACACATATATAGGGATATATCCAGATATAACTATATATGTGTATATGTATAGAGAGAGAAAGTTGAATAATACCAAGTTTTGAAGAGAATATAGAGAAATAAGAGCTTTTATGCAAAACTAATATGAGTGAGAGTCATAAGGTTTTTCTGGAAAGCAATCCTATTATACTTAATGAAATTGTGAATTTTTATATATGAATCTCACTATAAAAATGATTTCCAGAGCAACTCTTAAAACTCCTATAAGAAACATGTACAACCAGACTATTCACTATTGCTGCTTTATGTATTTGTCACAAGAGGAATCAATAAATACAATGATAACGGGTGCGTATTATGGGATCCCACATGTACAAAACATAATGTTTCATGAAAACAATTTTTAATAAAACAGAATGAAATCAGTAGCATAATACCAGTTGCAAACAGTTGAGTGTGTATATATGTATATACACACATTTATATATGTATGTATGTATATGTATATATGTATATGTACACATACACATAAAATCATACAATATATTTTACATATACAAAAACATGTATCCAAGTATTATATTGGTAATCTATGGGATTAAAAGGATGGGAATGGAGATTAGGAATAAAATAGAAAATGAAATTAAACAACAAAAGGATCTTGTTTGGAAGCATATTATGAAGTACTACACAGGGAGGTGCATAGTTAAACCAATTCTGTAACTCAGATCAATTACCAAAACAATAAACAAAAATGATATAGAATATAGACCTATAAATCCTCTCATTTTTCAACTCTGGAAACAGACCCTGAGAGATTAAGCTCCCTGCCCAGGTCATTTAGCCAATTAGTGGCCATACCAAGACAAAAGCCAAATATACAGACCACTTTACCCCACTGCCTCCTTTACATAAGCTTTAAGCAATGGGGATATAACTATAGCTTAAAAGTTGTCAAGGAGTCTCGTATGCCGAAAATTTTAAATCAACTTAACAACAGCATAGATTTGGGGCAGTGGATGTCTTGGGTTTTCTCTGCCCAACCTCCTTTCCTTTGGGACTTCGTCTTCCCTAGCTTCATATGTTTCTGGGGGACTGCTGGTCCCAGGAACCCCTGCATAGCCACCACCACAACCACCAAGATAAGTACCTAATCCAAGCTAATTTAATTATGCTCTCTCCCAAGGAATTGACTCTTGAGCAGAACACAGAAACTGATATGGGTGATGGACCCAACCAAAAGAGAAAGCCCCGAACTCCTGCTCATCAGATGGGTGAAGCAGATGTTCCTGTCTTTCTCAAAGTCTGCTAGTTCAGCTCTTTCTTGGATTGTGTGGGTTGCCCAGCCTCTCCCCAAAATGTTTTTGTTGATTAAATTAGTCTTTGTTGTTGTTAGCCTGTCTAAATGTAATATGCTAATTACAATAAACTTGAAACATTCAATAAACAGTCATTTTTTCATGGTGCTTTGGAATGTGACTGGGCTGTGTTGGGGGTTGATCTGGATGGCCCATGTTTCTTAAAACAGATTTTCATGAAAGTATAATTTTTACGGCTTTTTATTTTGTAGCAAACAGAGAATTTCAAATCCATTGGATCAGTCACTCCAAAAGGGACATTTCAATATCCTAATGCCTGGAGGCACATTCAGCATTGCTGAGTGTTAGGAGATCTGGAATTACCTGAATGTGAACCTCTCTGACTTCTTTCTTTGCTCTCTTCCTTCACTACCACCTCTCCCACTTCTTTCCTCATGGGAAAGAAAATATAAATCACAGTAGCGTACTGGTTGTATGTAGACAAGGGTGCAATATTTACTGGATGATTGTATATTTTCTGAAGAAAAAATTGTTTAAACACTTTCTCTTTTTTCCACTGCCGAATTATGTCCCATATGCAGTCTGCTACAGAAATTAATGAAGTGAATAAATATATTAAGAAGTAAAATCCTGCTCTAGCTACCTAGAACATAAATCATTATAGCACAAATGCATTTGCTGTTTGTGTTTCTGGAACTCGAAATATTTCACATATTATCTCAGTTCCTAACATCCCCATGAGATAGGTAGATAACCGTTGGTATGCAGCACCTTTGACCTAGATGTCTAGAACATTCTGTGCACACTTTATCCTCCTTAAATTCTTATGAGTCAGCAAGATGGCAAGGGCTAACCTCCTTGCTTTACAGTAGCGGAAACAGACTCAAGAGAGACAATGACTTGCCTGATGTCAAACTGCAGTTTGGCCGCAGAAGTAGGTATTGTGGTATCCACAATATCTCAATATCTCCCATAAAAATCACTTAAGAAGGTGAGAAATGAGATGCTTGGGTTGAAAGAAATGAAAAGTAAGACAAAAGAGGGGAGAAAGTGATGGTCACCTCACTTCAAGTTAGTAAACTACTCTCATAAAACAAACTAGAAAAAAATCTCTTGGTAGCTAAGACAAGGTCAGGTTTCCAGGAGAAGTAAGTCTATTTTATCTCCTTCTCTGCCCTTCCACCTGCAGTGAGCAAGGTAGGAAGGAGTGAAGATGGGGGAAGGGAAGAACACCAGACCCCAAGGCAATTGTCAAACTGCTTTGAAAGGTAAATCAGTGCTGATTTTAGGGGTTTTTTTTTTTGTGCAACTAAAGGCAGGAGAAGATGACCATGCCTCTCTAGGATGGAAATGACTGTCATGCTCTAATTCAGGTTGTCAGTTGACCATGGCTTGGCAATGCAATAGTGAAATGTTTGAAGCTACAAGTGCCTTCAGTGGTAGTAACAAATACTAGCTATTACCTTAAGATCTCTGGCATGATATTTTCTTCCACCAAAATTTGAATTTTTTCAGAGGATACTGGAGCTCAGAATATAAACCTTGCCACAAAAGCAAAGCCAACATGTTTAAACTACTTCTCTTAATCTTCCCAGCAGTTACTCAAATAGATAAAGGAGCTTTGGTACCAACTGACTTCTCATTTTCTTGATAAAGAGAAACTAATGATCTAGAGATTTCTGTGAGTATTTCTGAGCTAAAACATTATCATATGCATTTATATAGCTTCTTTATTTTTGTACCAACACATACCTTAGCAAGGCAAAGATAAGAAAAGTGGCCACCCATAACAAAAACAAAACTTTGTGTGCATCTGGAAAACTTCTTTTGAATGAGAAAAATAGTCACTTGTCAAATGTGATATGGAAGTTATTTTGGTGAATCACATACCTATTTCTACTAGAGAAACACGTCACATGGAATAGTTTGTGCTACAACAGGAAGGGAGCCTCTCTAAATAAAAATGGAGCAATAAAGAACATTTCCTTCTAGCCATCTAGTATGTCACTAAATGCATTTCTACCTGGTTTTGTCTATAGAGATAAGACATTTTTAACTTTCCAACTAAGCAACAAATGTACTATAAGTAGCTGGATAGAACATTGTTTGTGTGGACTTTTGGGTCAGAACTGGAACTGACATTAGAGAAATTTGGAAATTGCAGTATTTTCAAAGAAGAAGTAGAATGCTGCAAGGGACCTGTAGCATATTGTTGGTGATCCACTCAGATCACTTTGGATCCCTTGTACCATTTCTGTGCCAACCCACTTCCACCCCTCGCCCCTCACATTCATCCTTTTGGCTTCTAATGGCCAATACCGCCCCCACTACTCTGCCCTCAGAAACCTGCCCCCAGGCAACTGGAAGCAGGGCTTTGCCCAAATATGGTAAAAGGAAGTTCCTGGGAATATATTCTCCTTGCCCTCTCCTCCTCCCCCTACCCTCACTATAGCCCTTAGCAAAAGACTAGCTGTTGCTGGACTGTGGGCATCTCAGTTTCTTTGCCTAGGGCCAAGACATACAGAGATGTGACTAATATCCCAGCCCTCCCCTTTGGGATCAGGCTAAGGCCCAGAAAGATGTCATCTGAAATTCCACCTTTGCTAGGCCTGCCCCATCTCCCTTGCCAGCTTTTCCTCCTTAATAAATCACATGGCCACAAATCCTCTCTGAGCCTGCTTTTGGAGAAACTAACCTAAGACAGTAGCTGAAAACAACTGATAAAACAACACCATCTGCATTCCCTACTAATCTATAATTAGTACTGTATGTGTATCTATACTGTTCCAAAACAGAAGTTTCTCTGAATTAGTTTATACTAATCAACTTCAATTCCACATAGTTTACTAATTACCTTCCTAAACCTCTCCATCAAAGGGAATATAAAGCTAAATATCACCCTATTGCATATGACTATCAAATTGAAAATTGGAAGAACACAAATTAGTGGAGATTTAAAAATCACATTTAGCTTTGTAGCAGTTTTGAAGATGTTTTGATGAAAAAACTTAAGTCAAATGCCTTTCAAATAACTTTTTAAAAAATGATCTATAAATTATTTCTTTATGCCCTTTCAGAGAGATTTGTCTACTTTCAAATTAAGATAGCAGTTGTTTAGCTAATAGGATTTAATTTTGAGAGAAGACAAACTATGAAAATATTAGGGAGAAAGTCATGATAAATCAGGAGCATTTTTTAAAATGAGTAGTAAATGTTTTTTGACCCACTTCCAACTCATTAAAGTATTTCTGAATCCAACCTAAATCCTTGCCTCAGAACCTTAATAGCCTTTAGTGAGAAAATTGAATTAACTTTTTGAATTTAACTTACAAAGGTCAAAAGGAACATATTTTGGATGACATAGGAAATTAAGTATGTGCTATTTCATTTTCTATTGTTTAATGTATATCATTTATTTGAAAACAATCAGGGAAAAAATCTTTTTATGCAGAATGATGTTCATTTTCTAACTAGAAAAACACGATCGTACTCATTTTAGATTAATTTTGTCTCTATTGTTTGAAACCAGAAAAAAAATCCATATCTGATATGGGTTACATTTTGAATAGTAAGTAAACCTATATACAACCAAGAGTAAACTAGAGAACAGAAGCAGTATATACGTACCTCAAGACAAATCCAAAATCAAGGTAAATCCATTCATTCCATAAATATTTATTGAGCAGCTAATATGTGTCAAACACATATATGCCTCCTCCCCTCATGGAACTTAGTCCAGAAGTTTTTCTTCTCAGGTTTTTTTTTTTTACCTTTTGTGACTTCTTTGCAGGGTTTGACACTGCTGACCAATGTCAAATACTAATCCCTCCTGGCTTCCTCCTGTTTTTCCTCATTTCCTTCAGCTCCTTTCTTTTGTTCATCTCCAAATGTTGATTTTTCTGAGTCAGTTCACATCTAGCCATTTACTCGGCTTGATCTACTCTGCACAAGTTGCTGACACCAGATAAACTTTTCTAATTTCAATTAGCCTTCTGTGGTCTAGATGCATACTTTTAACTGTCCACTTCACTGCTCTACCTGGATAACCCAGATACTTCAAACTCAAGGGTCCTCCCTCTTCTCACCAAAAAACAAGCAAAGGAGAAAATTATCCTTCCCTGTCTTCCCAGTCCCCATGAAACACAGAACTCCACTAATGGCAAAACCAACTTAGCTGCCTTAGATTAGAAAACCTATTATCTGGACCTCTTTAATAGTCCTTATCTGATCTTTTGGTTTCCAATCTCTTCACACTTTTCCACTGAATCACAATTCATGTAATACCATTAAAGTTATCAATTATAAATCAGATATGAATAATATTAATCTTCACTTTAAAATCTGCATAGCCATTTTTAAAATCATAGTATAAAAGCGAAACTTCTAAATAGGGTACACAATGCTCTTCCAATCTAATCTCAGCCTGCCTTTTACACCTTAATCTCTATCCAGCCCTATCACAGATCCAACAGTGCTGGTTTATCACTGTTTCTTGAAATCACCAGGCATTTTCAAGCCTCTGTGTTTTTGCTTATGCAATTCTCTCTTTCTGCAATCCTCCCTACACCACCTCATATCTGACTCATCCACATAACTGAAAGCATCTTGAGTTTTATTCATTTCTATACCTTCAGAACATAGCTTATGCTTAGATTCTCATGGATGTTCAATTAACATTGAATTCAAAATCCTTTCTAATGTGGTTCCCACTTTCTTTTTCTGTCTTATCTCTAGCCTTTCACCCAATTCAACAAATTTTCTAGTTAGATAAATTATTCATCATGACTGAACCTATGAGGCTATTATGCTTTAGCCTCTTTGTTAAATCCTATTCATCCTCTAAGAGTCAACTCAATCTAGACTAATCTTTACTCAACACATGTTCTCATTTGCTCTGTGAAGGTTTTCCCAACTTCTCTCTTCAGACACATCCAAGTGAAATTATTCACCCTCTTTCTCAATAACTAATTATCCAAAATATAATACTTACCAGATTAAATCATATATGTGTATGTCTTAGTCTCTCACACTGAATCATGAGATACTTATCTTGTTTCATTTATTATATATGCAGAAACTAGCATAATACAAGGTACTCAGTAAGTGTCTAAAATTTTGAATGGAATTGATCTGAATTGAAAAATAGACCAGATTAGTTGGGGCATAGGATTCTTATATTCTCATGGTTCACAGCTGTAGCTAACATTAAAATATCATGGGAAGCTTTTAAAAAATACTAACGCCCCTGTCCCATCTCAAGATAATCTCATTTAATTGGCCTAGGGAGGGTCCAGCACCAGTACTGTCTCCAATATTCCATAGGTAATTAGAATGTTGCAGTGATGATGGCAGGCAGCACTGGAGGAATGAGTAAGGGTCACATTGCAGAGTTCCGCAGATGCCAGCCCAAGGAAACTCAGGCACTAACTTGCTCTGGGGCCACATCCCTCACCATGGATTTGCTGGTTGAACAAGGGTCTTAGGAGACTTGAATGAGTGTTAATTTTCCATAATGAAATTATGCAGTGTCCTGAGAGCTACTACCATCTCCATGCAAGATACACAGAACTAAAAATTTCTCTCTCTCTCTCTCTCTCTCTCTCTCTCTCTCTCCCCTTCCTTCCCTCCCTCCCCCTTCAGCTCCTTGAAACTAAAACAAATATCCTCTGTCTACCTCTTGGTTTACATGAAAAGCTAATATTATAATGGTGGAACACTGTAAGCACCAACATGGGTTCTCAGACTCCATTTGTACCTTGGCTCATAGCCGTCGCTGGTGAGCCCCACAACTCAGACCCTCCTCAGCTTCTGAGTCATTTTGACAGAGACAGCAAAATTTACAACAGCTTCAGCACAACACTTAACAGGATCTGGCATCCCATAAAGCTGCCAGCCAGAACATTAAGTTCCAGGGACGTGACTCCAAGACTGCCTCTGAATCCCAGCACCACTTATGGTTCACGTTTCCCCCAAGAGGTGGTCACCCTGGCTATATTACCTGGTAGTGCCTCATTTGCATAGGAAGGACACACAGATCTCATGATATTACTGATCCTGCATCATCCGTCCACCCTCAAACACCACCATATAGACCCTATGTGTGCCAGGTCTTATCCTATGGTCTCTCAACTTCAAACCCATTCTATACTCTGCTCTGTGATGCTGAAACTGGGACACTGCAAATCACATTTCAGCTTTGCTGGCTGGCTCTGTTAGACTCTTTTAATAGGGCTGTTAGAGGGAGATTGCTTCTTTCTGTTCACTCCTGTGGGCTTCCTGTTCCTGGCAGCACTGACCAGCAATGCCTGTTCTTCACCCTGGTCATGTCAGTTAATTCCAGTACTAGCTGTTGAATCCAGGTTGCAGGTTTTTCAACTACATCGTGTTGTCTCAGAGACACCAGCAGTAGCCAGTGTCCCCTCTTTAGAAATATGGATCTTAGGCCCACAGGGCCCCTCCTCTGACCATCAAACACCACAGCAGCAAAGCAGCAACCTACTCTTTCTCAGAGGTCTGAAATCCAGCCCTCTTGGAGGCCCCCTCCAAGCTTTTAAGTTTTAAAGACTCAAACCACTTTGTGCCCTCAGCCCCTCCCAGCCCTGGGAGTGATAGTCACCTTCTACAGTTGTTAACTTGGATATTTTTTTGTGTTCTCTTTTTCCTTTTCAATTCTTCACTGATTAACTAAAAATTCTTTATGCTAAATTCTCACTGTTAAAATAACTGGTGGAGTTCCTTCCTTTGATTGCACCCTATTATTCTAGGCCTGGCTCTAACAGCAATGTTGGCCCAAATTATGTCGCAACTACTTTTGTTTTTTTGAGATGGAGTCTCGCTCTGTCACCAGGCTGGAGTGCAATGGCACGATCTCGGCTCACTGCAACCTCCACCTCCCAGGTTCAAGTGATTCTTCTCCCTCAGCCTCCTGAGTAGCTGAGTAGCTGGGATTACAGGCACACACCGCCCACATCCAGCTAATTTTTGTATTTTTAGTAGAGATGGGGCTTCACCATGTTGGCCAGGATGGTCTCAATCTCTTGATCTCATGATCTGCCCGCCTTGGCCTCCCAAAGTGCTGGGATTACAGGCATGAGCCACCGCACCTGGCCCCACAACTACTTCTATACCTTGAATCTCTTAGCAGTCCTCAATGGAATCTCTCTCTGTAACCACAGCCAGAAATAATTGAATCATGATGTTTGATCCACCACTGATGTAGTATAGCCACAAGTTATGGACTATTTAACATGAATTTTATTTACTTACAAAATAAGAATGATACTAGTAGCCTATTCTTTTAGGAGTAATGAATATAACCAGGAGATCTTTAGCACTTATAAGGAATGTTTCCACGGCATCTTTGGAAATACTATCACCTACAAAAGCACCTGGCTTCCTTTCCAGGGCTCTCAGTTGTACCAGGCATCAAAGGTAAAAGGACAAATTGCAATGAGATGGATGCTAGGGGAGGATAAGCTCCCTCTCTAGCTAAACAACTCACTCTCATACCCCAGTTTCACAGACACATAATATAAAATGCTGTCTCAACATGCCTTAATATGATGTTGATTTTTAGATTAATCCCAAGGCAGTTGAATTTTTAAATAGATAAACTTACAAAGTGTTGATATGTATGAGACTATCCAAACTGATATTCAGGGCTTAATGCATGTAAGCATCAATGTAAGCATGCATTAAGCCCTGAATATCATGTAATCTATGCTTACATTTTACATAAACTATTTTAATTAATTCTTACAACAATTCTATAAAGTAGATTATATTATTATGTCTCTTATTGCAGATGAGAAAACTGAGACACCAAGAGGCAGAATAACCTGTTCATATCTTTCTGTCTCCCATCTGTCACCTTCCTAGCCCTGAGAAGAAGCCTATTTCCCCTCTTAATCTTAACTCTGGTGCCCTTCTCTCTACATCGTTGGCTGGCGCCATGCCTGTCACTAAATTTATCTGATAGGCTCATGATTCCCAACTTCTTCCCTCCCTTTTTCCTATGGGACAATATAGTCTGTGTTGATGATGGAGTGTAATAACTTATAAGCAGCTGAATTGGACTTCCGACTACAAAGTCCACAACTGCTTGCCACCCTACTATTTTTGTTCCACATATCCACTTTGTGAATGTAGCACTTACATTAAAGGCTCCATATAGTTTGTCTTTACTAATGGTCAGATGAGTGATTACTTTTAAAATAGCTTAAGGAATGATTATATTTCACTCAAATCCACTCCATAACTTCCATGATTTGGGATTATAAGCATGCTTTTCTATATATTACAGTTCTTACCTTATGAACTTATGGAAGTTCATTAGCAAATCATGCTAATTGAATATAATGTATTTGTCTGTGGGAATTAAGTTAGACATGGTGGTAACGTTCTTAGGTCAGTCCACAAAAAAAATGTGCAGTTGCTCATCATATGCCCAGAAAACTGTGACTTAGTAGTACAGTAGAGAAAAAAAACAGAGTTACATTTTGCTTTTAAGATTATAACATAGATTTCTAAAATAATCTGTATTAATTTTTAAAGGCTATAGAACTCAGCAGAGGTATGGGAAGGCCAAGTTTTGGGGGAAACACACAGAGGAAATAGTAGAAAACAGGAATGAGCCTGACCTCAAGCTTCACCCAAAGGGAAAATAGCGTTCTGTTGTTTCCTATCTGCCTGTCTACACAACCCACAATCAACACAGACTATGTGCTCTCATAGGAAAAAGGGAGGGAAGAAGTTCAGGATCATGAGCCTATCAGATAAATTTAGTGACAGGCATGGCACCAGCCAACAATGTAGAGAGAAGGGCACCAGAGTTAAGATTAAGAGGGGAAATAGGCTTCTTTTCAGGGCCAGGACAGATGGGGGGCAGAAAGAAAATTCCTCTGAGTGACAGCTTTGTTACCAGAAGTCAATGTGGTGGGTCCCTATCAAAGAGTGAGAAGAGGAGATCTCTTTAAGAAAAAAACACTTCACTGTGATACCATCACAGGTCAAAGCCACGTAATAAATGAGCCACAGGTAAACTAGGCATATTGTTGAGGTCATTTCTATTCAAGAATTTCAATTATTCTTGCCTTCTATTATTTAGTTGTTTAGATAAGATTATAAATAGACCTTGTTTCCAGGGAGAATCTATTACTCAAAGACACTTTTAGCAAAATCCTACTGATAAAGAATAAATCCCAACTGTTTAATTCTGAAGAGATTTTACATTTTTAAGCTCATTCATCTATTCATTCAGTCAGCAAGTATTGATCCATACCATGTGCAGGGTACTGACCTGGGTGCTGGAAGATACAACAGTGAGCAAAACAGATAAAAAGTGTCTGCCAGCCGGGCATGGTGGCTCATGCCTATAATCCCAGCACTATGGGAGGCCGAGGAGGGTGGATCACCTGAAGTCAGGAGTTCGAGACCAGCCTGGCCAACATGGTGAAACCCCATCTCTACTAAAAATACAAAACTTAGCCAGGGATGGTGGCACACACCTGTAATCCCAGCTACCCGGGAGGCTGAGGTGGGAGGATCACTTGAACCTGGGAGATGGAGGTTGCAGTGAGCCAAGATCGCACCACTGCACTCCAGGGTGGGCGACAGAGCGAGACTCCATCTCAAAAAAAAAAAAAAAGTGTCTGCTATCAGAGAGCTTACATGCTAGTTTTATGATAAATGAAGATTCATCTGCAAAAAAATTAATTTCCAAAAAGGCTTTTTATAAGGTGTCAATCCTGAACTTCAGTATTTATAAATATGTAAGATTTAGGATGCCATCCAGATAGCTTCAATATTATGTAAATTTAAAGAGAATATATGACATAGGCCAGGCACAGTGGCTCATGCCTGTAATCCCAGCACTTTGAGAGGCCGAGGCAGGAGGATCACTTGAGGCCAGGAGTTAGAGAACATCCTGGGCAACAAAGTGAGACCCCATCTCAACAAATAATCAAAAACATAGCCAGGCATGTTGGTGCATGCCTGTAGTCCTAGCTACATGGGAGGCTGAGGCAGAAAGATTGCTTGAGCCCAGAAGGCTGAGGCTGTAGTAAGCCATGTTCACACTACTGCACTCCAGCCTGGGCCACAGAGGCCCTGTCTCAAAAATAAATAAATAAATAAATAAATAAATAAATAAATAAATAAATACATAAATACATAAATAAATAATATGGATTCACAGACTGATGAATAAATTGTCCTCTTAAAGATATATCAGATAAATTTGACTTGTGCTGTTTTTATTTTGCCTTACATTTTTGGGCTTGTATGTGTTTAAACTACTTAAAGCTATTATTTAGAGCACAAAGATAAAAGACAAAGTGAATACAAGAAATGTAAGCTATATACCATGAAAAGCAACAGGATTTTGTCCTGCTGTTCTATTAATTCACACCTATTTGACTGAAAAGCTGAAACTCGTCTTTGAATGTGTTTTACATAATATATAAGAAATTTCTACCTCATCACAGAGGTTCCAAATATTGTCAACTGAACATATATCTGGATACTTCTGTAAGTCTGTTGGAAGTTCTTAATTCAGGAAATAAAAACATGACACATAAGTGTCTACTGAGGGCTAGAGGAAATTACCCAATTAAAAGAAAGAATACAATACTCTGGAGAAAAGGAAGTGCCAAGATGTCAAAATCTCTCTCAAGTAGAATCTTATGGATACAGCTCAGCTTTGCTAAATAGAATGACAGAGGATTTGGGTATGATTTCAACTTTTAATAGATGTTTTCCTCTAAAAGGGATAACTCGAGTCTATGAAAAAAAGATAGTAGATAAAAATTTGAGTGAAATAAACTTAGTGAAATGTAATATGTAAATGGGAAAAAAATTTAATACAATTTGATTAATTTTGACTCCACTAATTCAGAATTTCAGAAAGATTCATGAGGCATACACTAAAGTTTACCTTTGTTGTAATTTGGGGGAAATGATCTTCTAGGTCAATGTTTCCCAAACTTCAATGTTCACAGGAATCACCAGAAGATCTCATTAAAATTCAGATTCTGACTCAGTAGCTCTGCAGTGGGCCCCAAGATTCAGCATTTCTGCCAACTTTAATTGAGATACTTCTGCTACTGGTCTAAAACATGCTTTGAGTATCAAGAATTCAAGTAAATCAGCAAGGTCACTTGCAAAAGAAATGATCAACCAACAAACGCACACTTTCACAATACCCTTTGGGGAAAAATGACTACTTACGAACGACTCTATGTTGTTCATTGAAACAGTTGTGGTAGGAGTTCTACTTGGCAAGATGGTGTAAACAGCTAATTGGAGTTAATTCACATTGTTAAAAATGCAAACAAAGGTTTTCTTTAAAAAATACTCTACTGTGCCAATTTTTCATTCTAGTTTCTCTTCATTTATATAACCTTCATTTTAATTAACAAACATGGAATTTGGACATCTGAAATCAAAAGAGAGTGATACGATTATCCATCTTTAATTCTTCTTGAGTCATTTTCCTATCATGTTTGAGATCTCCCCACTTACTTACTTATTCATTTACTAAGAAAAACAGGAAAATGCTGATGAGAGCAAATTTGAGAGAGATAAATTAAATAGAGATCATAAGATGTCCCTTCCTCCCTCATTCCACCCCACACCTGGTGAGATATACAGTTAAGTTTTTTAAAGCTAAATGTTATTATATAGCCCAAACTGTAAATAATAATGCATTAAGAGCTTCAATGTGGTATTTTTTATGGGTCACTACCGTGGCTGGCAATTAGCTGAGGCTATCCAAAAGACTTTGATGTACCTTGGTCCTATTTGCAGGACATGCTAAAGAAACATAGATCCTGCAGTATATCTGTCGATATTCACCAATGATTTGGTTTCTGGTGTCAAATGAAGAGTCCCTCCACTAGAGGAAAATAGCAGCAGAGGACAGAGGTGAAGGTACAACATCAGGAGTACACAGCAAGACATCTGGAGTGCAGTAAGAGAGAGTCCAGGGGAACAGCAAGAGACAGGAAGATGAGGGAAAAAGAGAGAAGTACAAAGATGCATCATTTAAGAAACAGAAAAGGAAAGCAGAGAAAAAAAGATTTTGAGAAAAACCAAAGTTTGACAAAAAGCAAAACTTTGAGAAAAGCCAAAGTTTTAGCCATACAAACTGCCTTGTGTCTGGAAAAGGAGGTACCCCAAGCTGCACAGAACACATGTAACACCAGTACCATCCAAGATGGCAGAGAGATTCCCACGTACCAGCATATTATCTGGGTGGAAAGCACTTTCCTGCTTCAAAGATGCATGGATTATTTAGTTTCCTGCCATGAAACAATCCAATAATAATTGACTACTCTGTGTCTGAGTCTGTGTTCACTAAGCAAATTTTCTTTTCTCTGGAGGAAAAAAAAAGTCTAACAAAATAAACCCTGCAGTAAACTTGACATTTGTATTTCTCATTATAATTTAATAAATTGGCACAGATGGAAAAAGAAAGATGCAAGGAGGGGTGGAGGAGGAAGAGAAAGAGCCCAGAGATAAACCATGGCTTCAGCTATCCCTCTTAGGAGTAAATTGGGTATAGAAACCAGGATTTGCCAAGTAAAGTGTAGCCTTGGTAGATCAAACTTCACAAAGTGGGAGCTAAATTAAATACCAGATGAACATAATCAGACCAGAAATCAAAAGAAAACTATTGGGCATAAGAGTTAGAAAAATTTGAGTAGGAGCCAAAATAGAAAAAAAAATACATAGAGGAATCAAAATTGAAAAAGCAAAGAGAACTGAGGTTCAAGAAAAGAAAGTATGATGTAAAATAAGCTGTAAATGTGGACGTACTTCACTCATAACATTCTTTTTATGGGAATTCCAGTGTGATTCCAAGAGTTCAGAATGGATCTAAAAGAAAACTCTGAGACCTAATATCTTAAAGTTCTTTTATTTCCAGCCTAGAGACTACCAAAACTTCACAGGACATCTAAAGCCACTTCCAGCTGGCAGAGGTGGCCATTTTTTCCCATGCATGCAGGAACAGAGTGGTGAGTCTCCAGCCTTGCACAGTTCTCCATCCCATTGCTCCAATCCAAGACCTAGCTCTGCTGGAAAGATCAGGGACCATATAAAAGTAGAACAGACAGAAGACATAATAGCTCCCTTAAGATACCTTAACAAGCCATATGTTCTGACCCTGAGACCATTATTACGTTTGGATGAGTGGTCCCAGTCTCAAATAAAAAGGAAAGAAAGCATTTGGGGCTACTGAGGAATTTCCTTGAGTATGTATCTTCTATAAATTGGATCTTCCAAGAACCATGCTGGGGATGAAGAGCAATGGTGCTGCTGTCAGTCTTTGCTTAAGCTGAGTAAGTCAGTACTTCTGATGATTCTTATGTTTACTAAGGAGTCTTCTAGACTGATATTCCTTCAAGATAGAAGAAAAAAATAATCACCAGGATTACTTTAGCCCTTAGCAAGTCAGAGCTGGTGGGTGATCCTGTAAGTTACTTGATGTCTTTTCTCAGCATTTTTTACTAGTTGACAAGAATCTACACCTGAAGACATCAATTTCTACTCACCCTTCACTCTCTCATTAAGGATGCAATACTCTGCTTTGACTGATCTTTATACCTCTTTTAGTGACTAATGATCTGTTGGTGAATTGAAAATATAGGCCCTGTCCAGCCCTGAAAAAGACATTCCCTGGAAATGCACTAAAATAAAATACTCATATGAGCACAATGATCTTATAAATCTCAGTATGTATGTCTTTAATACTCACCAAGATATTTTGTAATAAAAGCAACACTCAATCTTTTCCAACAAGCACTAATGGTAAAGTTAACAATAAGAACCACAGAGGTCTCAAGAGGAAAGTTGCAAAAAGAAATGAGAACTCTGCTCCCAGGGCTTTCCCTAAGCAAAAGCGTGAAGACAGGGAAGTTTTTCTTTGGGCCCTACCAAGAACCTCACTGTTTCTAGGTCCTTCTTTCAGCCTTGCCCTGTGAGTTCCACATCCCCACTGCCACCCATGCTCCATGCTTCTACCTGCATCTTGGTGGCCCATAGCACACTTGCACTCTTAGAGAAGTTCCATTTAAGTGGAGCTTCCTTGGGCAGTGTCCTACCTAAGGGTAGGACATGGGGAAAAGCAAGGTGAAAATCAACATGCCTGTCCAGAAACAAAATTCTGACGATCCAAATTATTAAGCCCTCAATAAAACTAGTGTGTGTTGTCAGAAGTCAAAATAGTGTTTACCTTTAGGTAGGTGGTTAGTGATTGGAAGTGAGCATGGTGGGCTTCGGGGTATTGGTAGTTTTCTATTGTTGACCACTGCTGGTTCCAAGGGTATGTTCACTTCATGAAAATTCATTATAGTAAGTGAGCTATACACTTAATTGTGCCTTTTATTGTATGTATAATACAGCAAGAGAATGTTAAAATAGAATATAATGGCCTTAGGAATAATACAATGCAAGAGATCGAAGAAGGTCAGAATAATTCAAAACATAATCAACATTACCTAGACATTTTAAGAAAAAGCAGAATGACATCTGATGACACTATTCCTTGCAAATATTTTTCCCAGTCCATCCTTGCTGGGAAGTATAGTTTTTAAAAGGTTTTCACCAGCCTCAAGCTGGCTTTCAATGTCTTGATTTTGTGGGATGTCTAAAGAAAAGGAGTTAGAGAATGTCTCTAGCATTGTCCTGTGAAGAGGGCAAGCATTGCTCAATTGGATCATTTGAGCCAGAGGCCACTGGTTGATTGGATTATCCATCCAATTCCCCTGGTTCAGAGTCTCATACTTAGCAAGCCATCCATAAAGAGAGAACCAAAATTACATTTATTATTCTAAATTAATAATGTCCTAATTTTACATAAATCTCTGTGGAGTACCAATCTTTTATCAATAGGAGGATCCTTTATAATCTAAAAAAAAAACTTATCAAATTATCACATAACAGTAACCGTAATTTTTTGTTTAGCAACTGTGTTTGCAGTAACAATGTCCACAGTAGGCTGGGACACAAATTAATCTCCCTAAAAAAAGCAACTGGTGCAAAGCACTGGAATAGGCTCTCTCACTGGCATGTGAATAGGTTGTGTATTCCCTGGGCTGATGCAGTCAGACTGTGGGCAATTGCCTGTTTTATCCATGAATAAGACTGTGTGTGACTTCTACTGTGTGTCAGCCATAACAAACCAAATTACATTGAGGCAATGGAAAAAATGTTTTGATGTTTCTATCAGCCTGATTATATTGTGTATTCTCAGAGAAGTCTTAAAAGAGATTTGTTACAATCAGATCTCATGAACAATTGCTACTCTGACAGTAGTACACTTGGGGGAAAAGAAAAGATCAATAATTTGATCAGGTGTTTTGTATTAGTCTTACATTCATAGCATTGAATTACATCATAATACCTGTTGATTTAATGGGTTTTGATAATACCAAGAAAGAATCTCATATCACTAAAGTAGAGAAGTAAAGGGACAAAGATTGAAAGGCAATTTTAAATATCTGTAAAAACATAAGGTTTCCAAATTTGCCATTAGTCTGTTTGTATGTTTTCCATAATTAAAATCTATTTTTTTCTGCCAACTAAAAGTTGTTTGTATTCATTTTACTTAACTCATTTTTCTTTTCCTTCATCTGTCAGGTATTCTCCTGCTCCAAAATGAAAATATTGTAGCTTATATATTTCATGCAGACATTTCAAATATGAATTTTCCATTCAGAGAAAATCTTGTCTTTTCCCTTTTGGGAGAATGTGTTGGCTTCTAGTTCATGCCATTATTTGAAAAATACCTAAAACATGCTGTATTGTTAATCATTAGTTTCTCAACAGTCATGAAGGAAACACTCACAGAAACATAATGTCTGGCGCTTAGACATGCCTAAATCACTATTTTCTCATACTTTATTCTTCTACATCCCACAAGGAGAAAAAATGTCAACTGCTTTCCCAGAGTAACCTTGGAAAAATATATAAGATATCAACATTAGTTTTAGATCAACTGTTAAAATAATGCCTAGTAATATGGTTTGGCTGTGTCCCCACCCAAATCTCAACTTGAATTGTGTCTCCCAGAATTGCGACATGTTGTGGGAAGGACCCAAGGGAAGGTAATTGAATCATGGGGATCAATCTTTCCCATGCTATTCTCATGATAGTGAATAAGTCTCACAAGATCTGATGGGTTTATCAAGGATTTCAACTTTTGCTTCTTCCTCATTTTTCTTTTGCCACCACCATGTAAGAAGTGCCTTTCACCTCCTGCCATGATTCTGAGGCCTCCCCAGCCAAGCAGAACTGTAAGTCCAATTAAACCTCTTTTTCTTTTCAGTCTTGGGTATGTCTTTATCAGCAGCACGAAAATGGACTCATACAGTAAACTGGTACCAGGAGTCGGGTGTTGCTGAAAAGATACCCCAAAATATGGAAGTGACTTTGGAACTGGGTAACAGGCAGAGGTTGGAACAGTTTGGAGGGCTCAGAAGAAGATAGGAAAATGTGGGAAAGTTTGAAACCTCCTAAAGACTTGTTTAATGGCTTTGAAAAAACTGCTGATAGTGATATGAACAATAAGGTCCAGGCTGAGGTGGTCTCAGATGGAGATTAATTTGTTGGGAACTGTAGCAAAGGTGATTCTTGTTATGTTTTAACAAAGAGACTGGCAGCATTTTGCCCCTACCCTAGAGATTTGTGGAACTTTGAACTTAAGGGAGATGATGTAGGGTATTTGGTAGAAAAAATTTCTAAGCAGCAAAGCATTCAAGAGGTGACCCGGATGCTGTTAAAAAGCATTGTTTTAAAAGCGAAACAGGGCATAAAACTTCAGAAAATTTGCAGCCTGATGATGCAGTAGAAAATAAAAACCCATTTTCTGAGGAGAAATTTAAGCTGGCTGTAGGAGTTTGCATAAGTAGCAAGGAGGCTAATGTTAATCCCCAAGACCATGGGGAAAATGTCTCCAGGCCATGTCAGAGACCTTCACGGAAGCCCCTCCCATCACAGGCCCAGAGGCCCAGGAGGAAAAAATGTTTTCGTGGGCCAGGCCCAGGGTCCCTGTGCTGTATGCAGCCTAGGGACTTTGTGCCCTGTGTCCCAGCCACTCTAGCCATGGCTGAAAGGCGCTAATGTACAGCTCAGGCTGTGGCTTCAGAGGGTGGAATGGTGTTAAGCCTGCAGGTATACAGAAGTCAAGAATTGAGGTTTGGGAACCTTCACCTAGATTTCAGAAGATATATGGAAATGCCTGGATTCACAGGCAAAAGTTTGCTGCAAGGGCAGGGCCCTCATGGAGAATCTCTGCTAGGGCAGTGCAGAAGGGAAATGTGGGGTCAGAGACCCCACATAGAGTCCCTAACTGGGGCACTGCCTAGTGGAGCTGTGAGAAAAGGGATGCTGTCCTCCAGAACCCAGAATAGTAGATCCACTGACATCTTTCACCATACATCTGGAAAAGCTGCAGACACCCAATGCCAGTCTGTTAAAGCAGCTGGGTGGGAGGTGGTATCCTGCAAAGCCACAGGGGCAGAGCTGATGTTGGGCCCACCTCTTGCATCAGTGTGACCTGAATATCAGGCCTAGAGTCAAAGGAGATCATTTTGCAGCTGTAAAATTTGACTGCCCCGCTGGATTTTAGATTTGCATGGGCCCTGTAACCCCTTTGCTTTGGCCAATTTCTCCCATTTGGAATGGCTATATTTACCCAATACCTGTACCCCCATTGTATCTAGGAAGTAACTAGCTTTCTTTTTATTTTACAGGCTTACAGGTGGAAGGGACTTGCCTTGTCTCAGATGAGACTTTGGACTATGGACTTTTGGGTTAATGCTGAAATGAGTTAAGACTTTGAGGGACTGTTGGGAAGATGTGATTGGTTTTGAAATGTGAGTACATGAGATTTGGAAGGGTCAGGGGCAGAATGTTATGGTCTGGCTCTGCGTTCCCACCCAAATCTCAACTTGAACTGTATCTCCCAGAATTCCTACCTGTTGTGGGAGGGACCCAGTGGGAGGTAATTGAATCATGGGGACTGGTCTTTCCTGTGCTATTCTTGTGATAGTGAATAAGTCTCACAAGATCTGATGGGTTTATCAGGGGTTTTCGCTTTTGCTTCTTCCTTATTTTTCTCTTGCCACTGCCATGTAAGAAGTGCCTTTCATCTCCTGCCATGATTCTGAGGCCTCCCCAGCCATGTGGAACTGTAAGTTCAATTAAACCTATATTCTTCCCAGTCTTGGGTATGTCTTTATCGGCAGCATGAAAATGGACTAATACACCTAGATATAAGTTAAAGTCATCCACATCTAGAGATGAGCAAAAAGCTAGAAATAAAAGTATCTTATTTTAATTTTTTGAGCTTATTTTTTTCTTTCCATTCAGTTACAGTTAACTAGACTAGTTAGTTAGAAATCACCACCACCCAATATCTTCACCTAGAATATGACTTCTTGGGTCACATGATGTACCAAAGCCAGGTCACAGAATCAAAGGAAAAGATGAAAGCCATAACCTCACATCCATAAGAAAAAGAGAAATAAAGAGAAGAAAAAGAAGACCTTAGAGAATTTGCAAAACACTTGGGGAGAAAAAAAAATGTAGCATTCTATTTACATGCAAAGTTGTTTAATGCCTTGTAACCTCCACCCCTAAGCACAGAATTCCTTTTTTTACCTAACTACTTTAGTGATCATTCCTCTGGCACTATAGTTGTGAATGTTTCTTTATATTATAAATTTTTTCTCCTTTTTTTGCTAAATTAGATGAGCTAATTTAAATTATGAAAGCAAAATTTGACTTTTGCCTTTTGTCCACGTAACACAGTGGTTCTCCACCAGGGACAATTTTGTCCTCCAGGGAACATTTGGCAATATCTGGAGACATTTTTGGTTGTCACAACCTGTGGGAGGGACAACTGCTACTGGTGTCTAGTGAGTAGAGGCCGGGGATGCTGTTAAACATCCTACAAGGCACAGGACAGTCTCCTCCTTCTCACTAAGCCTCATTCCAAAAGAATCATTGGATCATTATTCAAGGTCATATATCTATCTAGAGAAAGCATAGGATACTTACAGCACACCCTGTGATCCAGATAAACTTGGTGTGGACATAGAGATCTGATGCAAAGATCTACCTTCAAGGAATGAACTGCTATCCCAGCTGTTGCAAATACTATCATCAAACAGCCTCTAGTTGCCAGGTGCTTCAAGATTTGCTTCAGCTGCAGACACCATCCTCAGCCAAGGCCAAGCCCTTCTGGGTGTGGACCACAACCAATGACTGATTGCAGCAAGGACATAAAGGCCTGGCCATTTCAGCCCACCATGGGACAACTCTGATGGGATAAATACACTGCAGAGCTTCCATAGGAGGACTGCCCAGCATTGCAATTCAACTTCTCCCCTTGCCCAATCCTGCTTCTCTCTGCAGATTTTGACCCATAATGTACATTCTTCTTCCCAATCTCTGAATCACCATCTGCTGCTGGAGGATCCAACCTGAGACCAGACTCCTTTGGATGGGAAGCTTCTGAGAAGAAAAATTTGGGGAACCCTAACACTCCACATGGAAAAGAACTAGAAGAGGTTTATGGGGCCCACAGAACTGCTGAAGAAAGGTGCTGAGGGAAAATCAGTGGGTGTGGGCTCCATGTCAAAGCATGGAGAACTGAGCTATAGCAGCAGGTTAGAAATGCCCCTGAGACATTGACGATGGCTTATTCAAATTAAAGAAAGCTATATGGTTTTCACAACTCAAAAAACCTGCTGAATGCTGGCAAAAACAAACAAACAAACAAAAAAACCTTCCTCTGAAGTTACATTGGGATATTTAAAAACAAAACCCAAAAAAGTGCATTATCGTGTCAATGAAAAAGGACAGGGATTGACCTGTCCTAAAGAGCTGTGATTCCAGCACCCTGAGGCTCCCAGGCTGTTCCACACCCGTCAGCCACTAGACTGAGTCATCTCTGACCACAGATACATATCTTCCTAAGAGGATACAACTGGAAGGTTCTGCTTTGACTGGTTGTGGGCTCAGACACCCTGGCGGTAACTCAAGCCAACTAGGATCACAACCTGGGAACACACCCCTCAACCATGAACCCATTGAACATGAACCATGGCTATTTTTAGCATTGAGTTGTCCCAACATTGATGAACCATAAAACCTTGAATTTTGCAAGAGATTTTCATCTATGAGAAATAAAAACTTGAATATATTTATTGGTGGGAGAGGGCGGGCCATAGAAACTATTAAAAAGTTATTTGAAACTGAATGAAGAGTTTGCACATGCTGGTATGCAAAGAACTGTATTTTATGGGTCATTATAACTTGTGTACTTATGGAAATTCATTTTTCAAACCTTGTGTTTTTCTCTATTTTTGGTTTCACATGTAGCATTTATTCCTGACAGGTGATTCCAGTTTTTACAATGCAAAACCACTTCTGCAAATTGTAACTTAAATGAATATTCATAAAAATAAGCATAAGCTTTTGCATTTGTCAGTTAGGAAATATTTAATGTCAGTGAGATATTCAATACATGAGCAGGTAAAATTGAGAAGAAATACGCACGAATGTTTATTAAGCAGTGTTAAACAAGCAAAGCAGGGAAAAGTAGAAAAGAGCTGTTCCTTATACCCAGCTCCAAAGAAAATCCAGTAAATAAACATCAATCCATAATCCAAATGTTCAAATGTCCTAGGCAATCTACAGTCAGCACAATCATGATTACACCATAAACCTAGCATTGTGGAGCTCAAGGTCCAATCTGGATGATTTTTTTGCACGTGCTTCACCTTAGAGTTTCAGAGACACTCAAAGGCAGCCTGTTGAGATCTGTGCTTCCCCAGGCCAAGGCAATGAGACTGAGAGCCCAGTTAGAAAGAAGAGATGCCTGAAGAAGATGGATTTCCATCATAGGACCTAGATCCCACTAGAAAAGGAACAGAAGAACAAAGAAAGAAACAAAGAAACCTTCTGCTGGGGACAGAGGGAAACAGGCAGCCATACTAGAAAGGCTCTGTAAGACAGCAGAGAGGAAGGTCTCACTGACAGACTGAGACCACCAAGTACAAGAGCCTCTGAAATGAGAAAGCCAGTCAGAAATTTCCTATCAGAGAGTCAGAAATTCATGGTTCTGTCTCATGGAATTAGGTCCCTGCTATATACAGTCACGCACTGCATAACAATGATATGGTCAATGTGGGTTAGATACATGATAGTGATCCCATAAGATTATAATGGAGCTGAAAAATTCCTATCACCTATTAGCTGTCATAATGTCTGTTGCAGCAAAACACAGTATTCATCTGTTTGTAGTGACGCTGGTGTGAACAAACTTACTATCCTGCCAGTTGTATAGAAGCCTAGCACATACAGTTATGTACAGTACATACCATTTGATCATGATAAAGGACTATGCTATTAGTTTATGTATTCTACTATATTATACTTTTAATCGTTATTTTAGAGTGTATTCCTATTTATAAAGAAGAAGTTAGCTGTAAAACAGCCCCAGTAGGTCCTTCAGGACATGTTCCAGAAGAAGGCATTGTTATCATAGAAGATGGCAGTTCCATGCTGTCATTGTCCCTGAAGACCTTTCAGTGGGACAAGATGTGGAGGTGGAAGACAGTGATATTGATGACTCTGACCCTGTGTAGGCCTAGTGTATGTGTTTGTGTGTTTGTTTTTAACAAAAAAGTTTAAAGAAATTTAACAGAAAAAAAAAGCTTATAGAATAAGGATATAAAGAAAGAAAATATTTTATACAGCCATACAATGTGTTTGCGTTTTAAGCTAAGTATTATTACAAATGAGTCAATGTTTTTAAAAAGTTTTAAAGTTTATAAAGTAAAAAAGTTAAAGTAAGATAAAGTTAGCTTATTTTTGAAGAAAGAAAATTTTTATATAAATGTATAGTCTAAGTGTACAGTGTTTGTACAGTGTTTGTAACGTCTGCAATACTGTACAGCAATGTCACAGTCACTCACCACTCACCCACTGACTCACCCAGAGCAACCTCCACTCCTGCAAGCTCCATTCATGGTAAGTGCCCTATATAGGTGTACCATTTTTATCTTTTTTATTGTATTTTTACAGTACGTTTTCTATGTTTAGATACATAAATACTTACCATTGTATTACATTTGCCTACAGTATTCAGTACAGTAACATGCTGTATAGGTTGTAGCCTAGAAGCAACAGGCTATACCATACAGCTTAGGTGTGTGGTAGGCTATACCACCTAGGTTTGTGTGAGTATACTCTGTGATGTTCGCACAATGATGCATTTTTCAGAATGTATCCCTTTTATTAAGGGACACACAACTGTATATACAGATATATATGTGGATGCATACATGTATATCTACATCTTCCTATATATGTATATTTATGTTAATATATGTATATATGTGTGTAGACACACACTCATATATACTTACATACATAAGCACATACATATTTACACAAACATACATGCATACAGAAACACAGACATGGAAATGTTTGTTTCTTGGTTTTTTGCTGCTATAACATAATAGCACAGACTGGGTAATTTATAAAGAACAGAGAAGTTTATTTGGCTCACAGTTCTGGAGACTGAAGTCCAAAATCAAGGGGCCTCATCTTGTGAGCATGAAGGTCTCCACATGGAGAGAGAGGATGAGAGCAATGCAGACAGAGAGAGAAAAGGGGTAGAACTCATCCTTTGGATCAGGAACTCATTCTTGAAATAATGGCATTAATCCATTCATGAGAGCAGAGCCCTTGTGACCTAATCACCTCTGAAAAGTTCCACCTCCCAACACTGTTACAATGGCAGTTAAATTTCAATGTAAGTTTTAGAGGGGACATTCAAACCATAGCACCTTGGAACCCAGCTTCATACAAGAGCTCTTTCAGAAATAAGCCTGCAAGTCATAGACTTATCAACAACTGTTCCTCTAATCATATTCTCTACAAAGAACAATTTGGTTAAGGGTTACAGACTGCCTTGTGGCCTTATTTATGTTTGCTACCTGAAATCTTGCTAAGTTTTTCAAGATATCTAAGCATGCTTGGTATTCTTTGGGTAAATGACAAAACAAGCAGAGACTGGCCTATCATTATGTATTTTTACTTTTCTATATTCTGTTCTTGGTGGTAAAAGTAGAAAAGGATTTAGGAGATGCCATGTTAACATTTGCATTAATTCACACTTTCTTTGGAAGTTTAATCCTATCAGTCAGGAAATGCAAAATTTAAGGTTCTTCCATTTATGTAAATTTGCTTGCTTTTAATTGGCTGCATTTTTAATCACTAGGGAGTAACTATTATTTTATTGTCCCATTTTTACACAATAGCAAGTTAAGTTTCATTTGTAGCACTTAATTGCCAAGTCACTCATCGATTTTGAGCTCAAACTAACTACATTTCCATTGCTCGATGCAGAATACTGTTTAAAAGAATATACATTTTGCGCATCCAAAATGACAAGCATGCACAATGACTTTACAATTCACATTGCTAAATGAAGTCATAGAGCAATAAGCAGATTGGTAAGCCAAAAACCTAAAGCTTTTATAAATGCATGAATGTAGCCTCCAATTTATCCGTATCCCTGGCTTCTCCATCTCCCACCATCTCCTTCTCCTTTGGGCATCTCAATGATCATTATCACCTCAACCAGAGAATAAGCAAGTGAAAAAGAAAAGCATGAAATTCAAATCAGCTTGCTGCTTTTTAGTAGACTCTTCAAAAGGTTTGTGGGAGAAAAAGCCAAAATTAATGGCTAAAATGAGGTTTGGAGAATATGTTAGATTTCATTTATTTATGCCCTTCTGCACTTGCCCAGCCCATTAACACTAACAATTGAAAGTTCATTTCATTTATCACAGCACACTAAGCAAATGCTATTGTTTTCATTCAAGACCACAAAAACAAAGTAAGATTTTAAATTGCTGCAGGAGGGACTATTATAGAAGTAAACTAAATGACTTCAGGAAGACAAAAGAACTAGTTACCAAAAGAAGTTATGGAATCGTCCTCTCTGAAGATTTTTAGAAATCCAGGAAACAATTCCTTCAATGGGGACATGCTTGGACACAGAGAAATCAACCTGTAATTTCTTAAGGTCCTATGCTTTATAGTTTTACATTAACTCACTTTTTAAATGGGCAATCTGTGAATTAGTTTAAAAACAAGGGAAAATTTGGTATGGCTTAATTAATGATACACAACCCAGAAGCCCCCAGTCCTTCTCAAATTGTGATTACAAAATTTAGTTGCATTGCTGTTAAAATTCAATGTATAATGACCCAAATCTCCACATTTCTAGATTAATAATAGTGTCCCCTTCCCCATACATGTGTACAAATTATGCAAGATTCCAGGTTTTTAAATTCTGGCTTGTGAGTCAGACATCCTGTGTAGATCTCCATAACTTTGCCTTCCAAAGAAGCTGGCCTGCTGATCATGGCTCCCATGACTTACTTCAACAGTAACTACTGAAACCTGAATATCATACAGAAATGGCCCTGTCCCCAGAGTCATGCTCGCTGTTTGCACAGCTACTAAGGAAGTGTTCTGTTGATGAACCTAGAGTTTAGCAGTTTCTTGAGATATAAAGAGAAACACCCCTCGCCCCAAATAACTAAATAAAAAAAGAACTGCTTGGGCCCCAAGCATTAATTGGTTTTGTAGCTCTTATTTGGCTTACTGAATCTATATCCACTGTATTTTTAGACAGAGAATTGTTATTCTTACCCCAGGAAAACTATGCTACAAATCAAGTTGCATAAGAAAACTTGGGCTATGCATATTGAGTCGGGAATATTTAGCTTCAGTCCTCATCTGCTTCTCTCCAGGTACCACATGCAGTTTGACCACATGGTAAACCATAATCTTGAACAGCAAGCTTTGCATTTCCTGAGGGAAATCACAGTGGCTCATCTCAATATTCCTCACCAAACAAATGTTTATTAGATACCTATTGCTAGTATACATTGCATGTGAACATAGGAAGGTACCTGCCTTGCCTTGCTAGAGGAAATAGAAGACACTATGTGAACACCTCAGAGACACCTGATCCAGTCTCGGGGGATCAAGAAGGTTTCCTGGAGGAAGTAACATCAAAATTGTGACCTGCAAGAAGATCAGGAAGCTATCAGGTAGAAAAAGGTAAAAAGGTAAGGAGTATATTTCAGGAAAAGGACTACACATGCAGGAGGACATGTGCTCATGAAACTTCACACGATTCAGCACAGCTGGGGCAGAATAGCAGCAAGACACCACTAGAACTAGTCATAAAGAATCTTGAATGCCATGCCGAAGAACTGGAGCTTTATCTAAAGGGCTACAGAAGAGTCATTAATTGCTTTTAAACACAAGAGTGATAGGATCAAGTTTGTGCTTTAGAAAGATAATTCTGAAAATTTGTTGTAGAAGACTGAGGTTGGAGCCCCTTGGTAGAAGTACAGCATACTGTCAGATTATAAAAAAATAGTACAATTCCCTGAAAGAGGTAGAATTGGAGCTGGGCCCTGGAATTGGAGAAAGGCTATTTAGGACTATCAGAACAGCATGGATAAGGTTAAGGAGGCAGAAAAATGAGAGGACAAAATGTGTAATGAGTGGAAAGTAGATGACTAGGCCAAAGTGTGGGCCTTGAGAAAGAATTTGGTATGCAGCGATGCTACAAGAGTAATTGGAAACAAAATCAGAGATCCCAAATTGCCCACTGACTAATTTCATTCTGATAGCAATGCAGAGTTTTTGAAGTGTCTTGACATGATCCAGTTTTAGAAAGATGATTTAAGGAGTGAAGAAATGTTATTTTGCGCATCTAAACTGAGACGTGAGCTTTTCAGTGGCAGAGATCATCTCATTGCTATGTGAATTTTCAGGACCTCACACTGCATACATTCAGTAGGTGCTCAATAAATGCTTATTCTTTAACCAGAAGGTGGTTGGATGGATGGGTGAGTGGATGTATGAATGGATAGAAGGATGAATAAACAGATGAATCATTGCACCCCTAGGATAAGTGAGCTCTGGGTGAAATAATTTATCTGAGCAAACAAAAACCTAGGAAACCTATAAAATAGGCCATGGAACCCTCACCATGCCCTGCAGAAGCTAACAGAGAAAAAAAGTCTTCTTTATCCCCTTTAATGAGGTCTGCATCTTGGTTCTTGACAACTCTTTTAAGTGTCTCTCCCAAAAATATGCTGTGTGAACTATCCATTGAGATGTTGTTTCCTTCAAGACTATCTTCAAACTCTTGAACTTTAATAGCTATGAGTTCCCATTTTTCCTGATGAATAAGACAAAAGGCTTCCCTTCCTAACATCATATACTAAACCGTGGGTACAGAAATGAAAATATATTACATTTTATAGGGCAACCATGTATTCTTTTCCCCAGAAATGAACATCCCTTCTCACACCTAAAATAAAACTCTTAGAACTGGCTCCTTAATTAGAAAGAATAAGTTGTTTCCTTGATTAATTGCACATTGCAGAAAAAAAGACTATGTAGGAGGTAATAATTTATGGTAGCAATTTGAGGTGGTTTTGTCTTAAACTTTCCATGGTTTCATACTGTAGATTTTGGAAAACATAGTACTTTGTCAAAAAGGGAAGGGGGTGGAGGAAGTAAAATAAATATTTAAGCCCAGAGAGATCATTCCAACAAATGTTCATTCTTAGATCATCTGTTCTTCATTTCATGATATATGTTATAAACAACAGCCTCACTCCAGCTTTTGCATTGCTGAATACTTTAAAATTCAACAAATATGTTAGTGAACATATATAATGTATTGTTGTAGTTTGCATTCACAGATAACACTACTAATGGAGTTGTTTGCCATGTATGTGGGTAAGGTTAAAAATCTGAGAGAGATAAACAGTTTTTCCACATGGGCAGATGCATGGGAGGACTGTTTTATTTTTGTAGTTCTAGAAACCATTTTAGAACAAGTCATTTCTTATGACTCTGTCTTTGCTCAATGGGTTACCAATGTCTTTGCTCTAAAAGAGCTACATGAATTTACTCATTGCCAAGTGGGTCTTTTGGCTGCTGCTGTACCAGAATATCTTAACAATATAGCAAGGCTGTAAATTGTATTTCAGATGATAAGTTAACATTTCTTCTTCTGGAACCTGCAGTCATCTCCTGTTTCAGTTTTCGACAAAGCTGCTAGTTTTTCTATCTTTTGGAAAAGGAAGAACATAGCATTAGGCAGGGTTAGCAAATACTGGTCCATAGTTAAGTTTTACAATTTACAGAAAGTTAAACAAGTAAACCAGAAATACAAACACACAATATTGTAAGTTTCTCTAAAAGCCAAATTTATTCCACTTAAGTGACTGAACTTTTCATTGTGTTAAGATCATAACATCTACCCTCTTGACAATTTTTAAGTGTATACTATAGTCTTGTTAACTATAGGCACAATTTTGTACAGCAAACTTATTCATTCTCCATGGCTGAAACTTTAAGGATGCTGAATAGCTACTCCCCATTTCTCCCCATCCCCATTCTCTGACAACCACCATTCTACTCCTGCTTCTATGTGTTCAAATTTTTTAGATTCCACATCGAAAGTGAGATTATGCAGTATTTGTCTTTGTGTTCCTGGCTTATTTCATTTAGCATAATGTCCTCCAGGTCCCTTCATGTTGTCACAAATGACAGGACTTCCTTTTTGTATGTTTGAATAATATTCTATTGTATGTATATATCACATTTTCTTTATCAATGGACACTTAGGTTGTATGTACATCTTGGCTATTGTAAATAATACTGCAATGAACATAGGAGAATAAATATATCTTCAAGATCCTGTTTTCAATTCCTTTGATAAATAACCAGAAATGGGATTGCTGAAACATATGATAGTTCTATTTTTAATTTTTTGAGGAGCCTCCATACTGTTTTCCATAGCAGTGGCAACACTTTACACTCCTACCAACAATGTACAAGAGTTCTAATTTCTCCACATCCTCACCAACACCTGTTTTGTTTTGTTTTATAACAGCAATTCTAAAAGATGTGCAGTGATATTTTGTTTTGGTTATGATTTGCATTTCCTTGATAACTAATGATGTTGAGCATCTTTTCATACACCTATTTGCCATTTGTATGTCTCCTCTGAAGAAACGCCTATTCAATTATTTTGCTCATTTTGTAATTGGGTTATTTGTTTTCTTGCTATTTCCTTATAGGAATTCTTTATATATTTTAAATAGTAATCCCTTATCAGATATATGCTTTGCCATTATTTTCTCCCATTCTGTGGGTTGCCTTTTCACTCTGTTGATAGTTTTCTTTGCTGTGCAGAAGCATTTTAGTTTGATATATTCATATTTGTCTATTTTTGTTTCTGTTGCCAATGCTTTTGGTGTCATATGCAATAAATCATTTCCAAGAATAATGTCATAAAGTTTTTCCCCTATTTTTTTCTTCTACGGGCTTTACAGTTTGAAGTCTTTTATTTATGTCTTTAATACACTTGTAGGTGATTTTTGTGAATGATGTAGGATAAGCGTCCAATTTCATTTATCTGCATGTGAATAACCAGTTTACCTAAGACCATTTGTTAAAGAGACTCTCCTTTACCCATTGTGTATTCTCAGTAAATTTGTCAAAGATCAGTTGATTGTAACTCAAAGGATTATTTCTAGGCTTTCTATTTTGTTCCACTGTCAATATGTTTGTTTTTACACCAGCAACACCTTACACCAGCAACTACAATTAACTACTCTAGTTTTGTACTGTATTTTGAAACAAAGGAGTGTGATGCTCTAAGTTTTTTTTCTTTCTCTCAAGAATGTTTAGTTCTTTGGGGTCCTTTGTGGTTCCATGGAAGTTTTAGAATTGTTTTTCTATTTTTGTGAAAAAAAAAATGACATTGGGATTTTGATAGGAAATGCAGTGAATCTGTAGATCACTCTCAGCAGTATGAACATTTTAACAATATTAAGTCTTCCAATCCATGAACACAATATGTCTTTCCATTTATTTGTATCTTCTTTCTTTCCTCAGTGTTTTATAGTTTTCAGTGTACAAATCTTTCACATACTTAGTTTATTCCTAAATATTTTGTTCTTTTCAATGCTATTGTAAATGAGATTTTTTTCCCTTTTTTTTGAGTAGTTTGTTGTTAATGTATATAAACACAGCTGATTTTTGTATGATGATTTTGTACCCTGCAATGTTACTGAATTGGTTTATTCATTCTAGTAGTTTTTGCGTGTGTGTGAAGTCTTTAGGGCTTTCTACATATAAGATTATGTCATCCGCAAATTGGGATAATTTTACTTCTTCTTCATCCAATTTGGATACCTATTTCTTTTTCTTGCCTAATTGCTCCAGCTAGGACTTCCAGTACTGGTATGGTTTCAATATGATTTGTCCCCACTGAAAGTCATGTTGAGGCTTGCTTCCCAATGTGGTGGTGTTAGGAGGTGGTAATTTTAAGAGATGATTAGATTATTAAGAAAAATTAATGCCTTTCTTGCCAGAATGAGTTCTCACTCTCACAGGAAAGGATTTGTTACCATGAGATAGGGTTGTTATAAAGCAAGGATGCCTCTTATGTTTGGTCTCTTTGCATGAGCACACTTCTTCCACTTTCCACGAGTGGAAGAAGTATAAGTTACCTCACCAGATGCAGCTGCCTGATCTTGAACTTCCCAGTTACCTGAACCATGAACCAAATAAATTTTTTTATAATAAATTACACAGTCTCAGGTATTCTGTTACAGCATCAGAAAATGGACTAAGATAAGTACTATGTTGAATAGACGTGGTGAGAGTGGACTCTTGTCTGTTCCTAATATTAGAGGAAAAGCTTTCAGTTTGTTACCACTGAGTATGATGTTAGCTGTGGAGTTCTTACATATGGCCTTTATTATGTTGAGGTAATTTCCTTCTATTCCTAGTTGAATAACAGTTTTTATAATAAAAATGCATTTAATTTTGTCAAATACTTTTTCTGCACCTATTGAGATGATCATGTGATTTTTATTCTTCATTCTGTTAGTGTGGTGTGTCACATTAATTTATTTTTACACATTGAGCCATCCTGGCATTCCAGGAATAAATCCCATGTGGTCATGGTGTATAATCCTTTTAATGTGCTGTTGAGTTCTGTTTGCTTGTTTCTATAGGGATTTTACATCTATGTTCATCAGGCATATTGGCCTGTCATTTTATTCTCTTGTAGTGTCTTTGTTTGGCTTCGGCATCAGAGTATTTCTGGCATCTTAGAATGAGTTTGGAAGTATTTCCTACTCTTCAACTTCTTAAAAGGGTTTTAGAAATATTGGTATCACTTTTTTCCTTAAATGTTCTGTAGAATTTATTAGTGAAACCATCAGGCTCTGGAATTCTTTATTGTTGTTTGGAGGGCTTAGATTACTGACTCAATCTCCTTACTAGTTATCAATCAGTTCATATTTCCTATTCCTGATTTGATCATGTCGTATATGTTTCTAGGAATTTATCCATTTCTTCTGAGCCATACAGTTTGTTGGCATATAATTGTACATAGTAGTCTATTATGATCTTTTTTCACATTTCTGAAGCATTAGTTGTAATGTCTCCTCTTTCATTTCTGATTTTATTTATTTGAGTCTTCTCTCTTTATCTCCATCTAACTAAAGTTTTGTCAATTTTGTGTATCCTTTGAAAAACCAACTTTTAATATCATTGATTTTTAAATTGTTTTTCCATTATTTGTTTCATTTATGTCTGCTCTAATCTTTATTTTCCTTCCTTCTGCTAACTATTACTTAGTTTGTTCTTCTATTTCTGGTTTATTGAGGTGTAAAATTGTTAATTTGAGTTCTTCCTTCATTTTTAATGAAGTCCCTTACTACAATAAACTTCCTTCTTAGGACTGCTTTTGCTATATTCCATAGATTATAATATGTTTTATTTTCATTTTCATTTATCTCAAGATATTTTCTGGTTTAACTTTTGATTTTTTAACCCATTGGTTGTTCAGGAATGTACTGTTTAATTTCCACATATTTGTGAATTTTCCAGTTTTTCTTAGCCATTGACTTCTAGTTTAATTTCATTGTAGTCAGAGGAGATACATGGTATGATTTCAGTCCTCTTAAGTTTGTTAAGACTTATCTTGTGACCTAACGTGATCTACCATGAAGAATGTTTTATGTGCACTTGAGAATAATATATATCCTGCTGCTGTTGAGTGGGATGTTTTTTATATATTTGTTAGGTCCATTTGGCCTATATTATTGTCCACTGTTTCCTCATTGATTTTTCTCTCTAGATATTCTAGACATTATTGAAAATGGGTATAGAAATCTCCTATTACTGTATTGCTATTTCTCCCTTCCGTTTAATCAGTGTTTGCTATATATTTATATATGCTTATATACATAAGCAAACATTGATTAAACAGAGGGAAGAAATAGTAATTCAATAAAAGTAGATTATAAATAGATACTTGGTATTGAAATCTCCTACTATTATTTATACATCTATAGATATATATCTGAATATCTATATATATATATATATGCTCTGATGTTAGGCGTATATTGATCTATAATTGTTATATCTTTCTTGGTAAATAATCCTTTTATGATTACATAATGTCTTTCATTATCTCTTGTGACATTTTTTACTTAAACACTATTTTGTTTGATATGTATAGCTACTCATACCTGGCTCTCTTTTGGTTGCCATTTGCATGAAATATCTTACCACACCATCTCTTCACTTTTAGCCTATGAGTATCTTTAACTTTACAGTGAATTTCTTGTAGACAGCTTGTTCTTGGATCTTTTTTTTTTTAACCCATTCAGCTACTTTGTATTTTGTCTTTTTGTTTTTTTGTGTGTGTTTCCTTCTTTTTCTTTTTTTGCTTTTTCTTTTTTTTTTTTTCGGATGCGATCTCGGCTCACTGCAACCTCTGTCTCCCAGGTTCAAATGATTCCCCTGCCTCAGCCTCCCAAGTAGCTGGGATTACAGGTGCCTGCCACCATGCCCAGATAATTTTTGTATTTTTAGTAGAGATGGGGTTTCACCATGTTGGTCAGGTTGGTCTCAAACTCCTGATCCTCTGATCCACCCGCCTTGGCCTCCCAAGCTACTTTGTATTTTGATTGAGAAATTTAATCCATTTACATTTAAAGTAATTATTGATAGGGAAAGATTTACTGTTGCCATTTTGTTAATTTTTTTCTGTTGTGTAGTTCTTTTATCTCATTTCCTCTCTTGCTTTATTCCTTTGGGTTTCCTTGATTTTTAAAATTGATATACTTTAATTCCTTTCTTTTTTTCTTTTATCTATTTCCTATAGGTATATTGTTAAGGTTACCATAGGGTTTACATAAATCATCTTATAGTTATAACAGTCTACTTTAAGCCAATAACAACTTCACTTCAATAGCATACAGAGATTTTATATTTTTTCTTCTCACACATTCTTACTTCATGTTATTGATTTTACAATTTACATCTTTTTATAATATATATTAAGATATTTTTATAGTGACAGTTTTTAAAATACATTTGTCTTTTAACTTTTAAACTAGAATTTAAAATGGCCTATCCATCACTATTAGAGTATTATCGTTCTCTGTATTTCCATATATTTACCTTTACCAGTAAGTTTTATACTTTCATAGGCTTTTGTACGGCTGTTCAGTATACTTTCATTTCAACCTGAAAAACTCCCTTGAGCATTTCTTGTAAGGAATATGTAGTGGCAGTGAACTCCCTCAGCTTTTGTTTTTCTTGAAAAGTCTTTATCTCTCCTTTATTTTTGAAGAACAGTTTTGCTGGAAATGTTATTATTGATTGACCTTTTTTCTTTTTTTCTTTTTTTTTTTTTTCTTAATTTCAGCACATTGATCCCACTCACTTCTGGACTGTGAGATCTTTGCTGCAAAATCCATTAATACTATTGAGATTTTCTTGTACATGAGAAGTCCCTTTCCCCTTGCTGTTCTTAAAATTTACTCCTTGTCTTTGACATTTGACAATTTGCTTATAATGTGTCTCCATGTTGATTACTTTGGATTCTTCTTATTCAGGATTCACTGGGCTTTCCAAATCTGCATGCCCCCTTCCTTCCCCAGATTTGGGACATTTTCAGACATTGCTTTTGAATAAGTTTTCTGCTCTCCTCTCTCTCTCTCTCTCTCTGGACTTGATTGGTCTGCTTAACTGCTTAATGTTTTTCTATAAGTGCCTTAAATTTTCTTCACTCTTTTTAAATTCTCCTCTGAGTGGATAATTTTCAATGTCCTGTCTTCAAGTTCGTTAATTCTTTCTTCTGCTTAATCTAGTTGGCTGTTGAACTGCTCCACTAAATTTTGTTATTCAGCTATTACATCCTTCAGCTCCAAAATTTCTGTTTAGCACTTCTTTATATTTCATATCTCTTTGGTGAAATTCTAACTTTGCCCATGCATTGTTCTCCTGACTACATTAGCTGTTTTTTTAAAAATACATATATGTGTTCTTTCTCAGGTTAAAGATGCTTTTTGTACTCTCAGTTGTTATCATAAATATGGGTTAAATTTTATCAAATGGTTTTTCAGCATCTATTGAGATGATCATGTGGATTTTTCTTTCCCTTATTCTGTTAATGTGATAAATTAGGTTAATATTTTTAATTCATTGATTTTTGAATGTTAAGACAACCTTGTATTTTTTGGATGGACCTCACTTAGTCATGAGGTATTATAGTTTCCACATATTAATAGATTCAATTTGTTAATCTTATGTTTAAGAATTTGCATCTGTTTTCATAAAATACATAAGCCTATAACTTTCCCTTCTTTTGATATTCTTTTCAGGCTTTGATGTTAGGATTATGTTGGTCTCATAAAACAAGAAGTATTACCTCTTTATCTGGTCTCTGAAAAAGTTGTTTTAAGACTGATATATTTTCTTCTTTAAAAGTTTTGGAGAATTCATCAGTGAGGCCATCTCTTCCTGAAGTCTTTATGGGAAAGTTTTTACTTGAGGATTTAATTTCTTTAATATATATAAATTATTTAGATTTTTCAATTATTTCTTGTGTCAGTTTTGGTAAGTGTATTTTTCAAGATTTTAAAAAGTTCATCTTAGGTGTTAAGTTTATTGTCATAGAGTTGTACAAAATATGATTCATTATACTTCTAATTTCTTTAGGGAGTATGGTGATAAAACCTTTTCTTCCCTAATAGTAACTATTGGCTTCTTTCTTTTATTTTTGATAAGTCTTTCTAGTTATTAATAAAATTTTATTGAAATGTTCAAGGATGTAATCATATTAGTCAGGGTTTTCAAAAGAAACAGAACCAATAGAGGATCTACATAAAAAGATATTTATTATAAGAAATTGCTTATAAAATTATATAGGCTGAGTAATCCCAAGATCTTCAGTCAGCAAGCTAAAGACCCAGAAGAGCTGCTGGTATAGTTCCCATCTAAGTCTGAAGGCTTGAGAAGCAGAAGATCTAATGATATAAATTCCAGTCTGACTCCAAGTCCAAGTCTGAAGGCAAAAGACTGGCGTCTCAGCTCAAAGGCAGTCAGAGAGAGAATGAAGCTCCCTTACACAGCATTTTTATTCTATTTGGGCTGTCAATAAATTGGATAAGGCCAACCTACATTAGGGAGGGCAATCTGCTTTAATCAGTCTACCAATTCAAATGTTAACCTCATAAAGAAACACCCTAACAGACACACTCAGAAAAATGGTTAACCAAATATCTGGGTACCTCATGGCCCAGTGAAGTTGACACAGAAAATTAACAATTTTTGGCTTTGTAAATATTCTTACCTGCAGGTTTGTTTTCTACTTTATTTTTGCTTTTATATTTACATATACTTCTTTTGGCCTTCTTTGTATTTAATTTGTAGTTCTTTTCTATTTAATTTGTAGTTCTTTTCTATTCTCATGAGATATAAGCTTTGATGGTAGATTCTCAACCTTTTTTTTCTAATATATACATTTGAAGCTAATGGTATACTCTAAGTACTGTTTTACCTATGTCTTACAAGTTTTGATGTGTCCTATTTTCATGACCGGTCTGTTCAAAATACTTCATAATTTCAAATGGTCTTTCCTATTTGATGCAATGAGTTATCTTGAAAAGTACTGATTAAAAATTTGAAATTTGAGAATTCCAGATATTTTGATTTTTTTTTCTATGTTTCTGCTATTTATTTCTGGCTTACTTCCAATCTAGTAGGAGAACATATATTGTATGCTTTCAATCATTTGACATTTCTTAAGACTTCTTCATGACTCAGAATATACTCTTTTTGTTCAATGTCCCATGGCCATGTGGAAAGTGTATATTATTCCTTATATCAATTAGGTCAAATTGGTTAATGATGCTGGGTGCTTTATAAAGAAAAGAGGTTTATCTGGCTCATGATTCTGCAGGCTGTACAAGAAGTATGGTATCAGCATCTGCTTCTGATGGGGGCCACAAGCTACTTCCACTCATGGCAGAAGGTGAAGGGGAGCTGGTATGTGCAGAGATCACATGGTGAGAGAGGAAGCAAAAGAGAGAGGAGAGGGAGGTGCTAGGTTCTTTTTAACAACCAGCTATCATGGGAACTACTAGAGCAAGAACTCACTCATTACCACAAGGATGGCACCAGGCCATTCATGAGGGATTCACCCCCATGACTCAAACACCTTCCATCAAGCCTTATCTACACCATTGGGGATCAAATTTCAACATGAGGTTTAGGGGGAAATATCCACATTATAATAATATGTTAAAAGTTTTATAATTTCTTGGACATCTTCAAATACTTTTCTTTCTCCTTAACAGGTGCATGACATCTAGTTTGAATAGAAGACTCCTGAATTATAACTCTTTTTCTTTCTGTAATTCATAGATATTATTCCAGTCTTCTGCATTCTAGTGTTGCAGGTAAGTGGCTGATGATATTCCAATTCATTTTCTTGGGCAGAAAACATTCTTTTTGAATAATATTCTTATTTTGTTTGAAAATTTATAGCATATCTTTATACTTAGAATTCACTATTTTTATAAGTGTCTTCAATACTGCATGAATACTGCATGAATACTGCATTCAATCTTTCTTCACTTAGGAAAAAAATCTTGTTAAATAGTTGCTTGTTTTGCTCTGTCGCATACCTTCCAAAACGCCAATTTTTTTAATGTTAGATGTTCTGAAGCTATTGTCTTCTGTCCTTTCCCTCATGATTTCCAAATCTTCATGTTTTTGCTCTGTGCTTTTAAATCTTTTATCGAATTAACCTTCCAAGCATTAATTGGCATATGAACAGTGGCCATCTTTTTCCACATATTATTTATTCATTTGCAGATGCTCTTTATTTAGATGAGGAAGCTACCTTCTGTTTGCTGAATGTATTATTATAAGTGAGTACTAAACTTTGTTAATTTTTTTCATCTATTGATATGATTGTGTGGGTTTTCCTTTTTAGTCTTTTAATATTGGCAAATACATGGATTCATCTTTGACCATTAAAGCAATCTGCATTCCTGAGAATAAACACATTTAATAGTAATATAGTGTCCTTTTTCTTGCTTGCTGCATTTATTTACAAATGTATTTTAAAGGCTTTTGCATCTATGTTCATAAGAAATACTGGTCTGTAGTTTTCTTTTGTTATAATTTCTGATCTACTTTTGGTATCAGGATAATGCTGGCCTCTTAAAATAAGTTGGGAAGTATTTCCTTTTCTATTTTATGAAAGAGTTTATATAGCATTGGTATTATTTCTTCCTGAAGTGTTTGATCAAATTAGCCAGTGAAACTACATCTACTTGGATTGGGGGTGGGGGTTAATTCAATTATCGAATTAATGCAATTTCCTGAATAAAATAAGGATATTAAAATATCCAGGTTTCCATTTTGTTGACTAATGGTGGCCTAGAGTTTATTACAATATCTCTTATTATCCTTTTAATGCCTGTAGAGTCTGTGGTAATTTCCTATCTTTCATTTCCGATATTGGTTATTTGTGTCTTTTCTCTTTCCTACACCATCTGTCTAGCTAGTGTTTATCAATTTTGCTTATCTTCTCAAAGACCTAGTTATTGATTTCTTTTATTTTCTGTTCTGTTCATTTTTTCCAACCTCTTTTCTCTCTCTGCTATAGTTTAAAATGTTTCTATTGCCATATCTTCCAGATCACTGAGATTTTTTTCTACAGAATTTAATCTATTAATTCCTTGCAGTCAATTTTTCACTTCTAGAAATACTATTTGTCATTTTTATATATTCTATTTCTCTCCTCATTATATTAATAGCTCCCTTTACATGCTATAGCTGTTTCTTTGACTGATATTCCCATTATGTCTAGCATTTATAAGTCTGTTTCTATTGACTGATTTTTCTCCTTATAATGAATATATTTTCCTGCCTTGTCATATCTAGTAATTTTATTGGATTCTGAATATTGTGAAATTTATACAGTTAAATACTGGATTATGTTTTCTTCCTTTAAACAGTGGTGAACTTTGCTGTGAAATTCACTTAAATTAAATGCATACTTGATCATTCAGAGGATTGTTTTTAAACTTTCTTATGATGGATTTAGAATAGTCTTTATGCTGGAGCTAGATTTGTACTAATACTAAGGCAAGATTCTCCTAGTATTTCCACTAAATTGTCTGGGTTTTTAACAAGGACACTCTGGTCTGACTAGTCAGAACTCAAATATCTTTACAATCTACGTAAGCTTTCAAGAATTGTCATGGAGTTTCACCTCAAAAATGCAACAGATTCAAAGGAACTCCTCTGAAAATGTCTGGATCTCTTTTCTGCATAGTTCTTTCTCCTCTGGAACTCAGGCCCAAATGTTTAGCTGCCTTAAACTCCCCAAATTCTTATTTTTGTCTCCTCAATTCATTGAAATTACTATATTCTGCTTGGAAGACCATACATGCATTATGATCTGGAAAATGCCTGCAGGCAACAAATCAATTGCATTAATAGATTGTAGGTGTAGGGCTCACCTCTTTTGTGTGCCTTCTCCTGGGACCACTATAACCTTCACCGCCTGTTGCCCACTGTCATAAAACTGTTTTTCCATATAGTTGTTCAATTTTCCGTTTGTTTTTT
Source organism: Homo sapiens (assembly GCF_000001405.40). Lineage (NCBI taxonomy): Eukaryota > Metazoa > Chordata > Mammalia > Primates > Hominidae > Homo > Homo sapiens. Next base: position 148,616,584 of record NC_000004.12, on the reverse strand, counting down.
TTTTTTTTTTTTTTTTTTTACTGTGGGAGGGTAAGTTAGGCCCAATTACTACATTATTGCTGGTAGCATAAAGTCTATCCATTGATTTATCTAGTTATGAATTTATGTTTTTGGCTTATGTACTGCATTTAGGTCACATTTTGCTATGTGGCTCTATTTTAATTTCTTCAGGTATGATTACTGTTTTTCTGTTTATGTTGTCATCTGTCTATTTCGGTAGTTCTAATTCCATTTTAATTTCTTCAAGTGCAATTATTGTTTTTCTGTTTATGTTATCATCTGCCTATTTCACTAGTTGCAATTCACTGCGCATGTGGTCTGTTTATCACATAACTTTTCTCAGCCTTTTGGACCCACTAAGATGATGATGATGATGATGATGATGATGATTTTGGATGCTTTCTGTTTTTGTTTTTGTTTTTGATTGCTCACTGGGACTCATGGTTGTTGGATTTCTTTAAGAGGCAGCATTCCCTAAAATGGCTAAGAGCTCAACAGTGTCCCTTCTGGTCCTCTGATGGATTATTGACTTTGAGGAAGCCTCCCTTTTCCTCATAGTCTCCCAAGCTTAGGGCTGGAATGACTCAATTACTTCTTTTCCTTTGGAAGTCCGGAAGACCAGTAATATTCATGACAGCCAATGTTACCTACAACCCTCATCCATAATGCTTACAGATCAAGATACTTTCTAGAATTGTTCACCTTATAATCCTTACATCCATGCTCCCATGCAGATCTCCAAGTGTTTCTTGAACTCATGGGGGAAACCCCCTCACTAGTAGTCTCTGCTGGTGCTTCTACAGAACTGAAGACTTCACGGAACCTGGGAGCCTACAGACCTCAGTAAAGGCCTAACTAAGAAGATATAGCTGAATAAAAATTGGACAACAAAGAAAGATGTCAATGTTTCTATTGCCATCAGGCAATATTAATTTTAACTTTTAAGATGTTTATTTTGGGCCTTCCCCCACGTGTCACTCCCTTAGTACTGTTTTCTAGGAGATAAAAGCTACATTCATAAAATAATCCATGTTGTTGGTTAATAATTTATTCTTTCAATGAAAGTTGTTTGCATTTCAATCACAACCTTTTATAAACACTAACTTAATCTAAAGGCATGTATCTGTTTGTAGGACTTTTAAATATGACAAGCTAGGGAGGAAGACATTTTCTTTGTGAATCCCATTATAATCATCCTAGAAATGGAATTGCTGTAGCATAGGATGTGAACACATTCAGCTTTCTTAGATATTACTAGGAATTTTACCAATAGCAGTGCATAAAACTGTTGTTACTCCTCACCCTCTGCAACGCTTGAAGGTATAAGATATTTAAAGTTATAGAAGTCTGATATGTGTAAAATATTAAATTATTGTGACTTTAATTTTTATTATTTATTATTTGCCATTTGGATAACTTCTTCTGTGAATTTACTGTTCATATTACTTGTTTGACGCTAGATTTTTTTTTTTTTTTTTGAGAGAGAGCCTTTCTCTGTCCCCAGGCTGGAGTGCAGAGGCGCAATCTCAGCTCACTGCAACCTCCACCTCCCGGGTTCAAGTGATTCTCCTGCCTCAGCCTCCCACGTAGCTGAGACTACAGGTGCCTGCCACCAGGCCCAGCTATTTTTTTTACTTTTAGTTGAAACGGGGTTTCATCATGTTAGCCAAGATGGTCTTGATCTCTTGACCGCGTGATCTGCCCACCTTGGCCTCCCAAAGTGCTGGGATTACAGGCATGAGCCACCACACCTGGCCGATTTCACACTAGATTTTATCTTTACTTACTGGTAGGTGGCCTTCGAATAGTCTGGGAATGAATCTTGTGCTGAAAGATTGTAAATATTTTCTTCCAAATCTGTGACTTCCCTTCAGATTATAGTTTTAATGTTAGAATTGTCAAATTTATCAACATTTCTGTTAGAGGTGGTGCCTTTAGTTCTTGTATTCTTATTTAAAAAGTCTTTTTCTGCCCTGAAATTATCCTATGTGTTCTTGTAAAACATTTTTAGTATTGTTCTCCATATTTAAGATATTTCCATCTGGAATTTATTTTTGTATGGTGTGAGATATGGATATAACCAGAAATATAATTATTTTTTCCTTAATGCAAGCCAAATTTTTTTTGGTTATTTATTTTATAAGCCCTGTTTATTACATCTTTGCCTCACTGATTCCCCACTGGCCAGTAAGGTCACTACTGTTTTACACCAAATTCTCCAATATGAGTCTATTTCTGGCCTCTCTCATCTATTTGTCTATCTCTGAATCAAGCCCAGGGATCAATGTTTTGTTGTTATGGGGAACTGGAATTTTTGAGAAGCTCACTGGTTACTGTCCTTTGCCATAGAAATGACCTCCGGATTGGCAGAAGGTTGTTGGAAACACCTAACCATCAGAGGCAAGGTAGATGTAATTAATATCATGGCATCAAGACCAGAGAGGTACTTAGCGTGCTTGACACACAGGGATTTCCAGTGATGGTGAATAAATCGTGATGTCCATACAGTTGAGATATAAGAACAGCTAAGTTCTAAATTGTTTGATTGGTGCAATAAAAAAAGAAATTAAGACCCAGTGAGCAGAAAGCTGATGTCAGGTACCATAATGGAAAATCACCATATTCATCCAGCTTCTAGATCTACATTTGTCAATATTGTTTGAATGGGTGATAAGATCTCTTTGAAGAATGACCCTGCAATGAAACCCGAGGAATATATGATAATTATCTTTCTTGCTTGCTCCAAAGAAACCCTAAGCTATTTTGCCAGGGTAAAGGCCACTTAGAAACAAGTAATACCTAGATTTTCCAAGGCAATGCAAAATACAATCTTAGTCCTCTAATTTTAAAGAGGGCTTATAGAAGCCAAGTAATCAATGCAGTTATAGCCCAGGATAATCTGATAGTACATCCATAGGTCCTTGAACTCACTCTGGTTCTTTCCTCAGGTTATAAATGTGTAATTGATGCAGATATATATATATATATAGCAGGTCACATTGGCTGGAATGGGAGATACAGTAGAAAGTCCCTGAAATTTGTGTCTCCTGGCCAAGGTAAATAATCCAAAGTAAGTAAATCAGAAGAAATACCATATCTCACAAAGAATTGCAGGGATGTCTACTACCATCAAAGAATTTAAGGATGTAGTGGTGATGCATCATTTCTCTATCAATTCATCTAGGCCTTCACAAATATCCCATGAACAACGGCAGATGAGGGTACTATAAACATAACAAGGAGGTAGCTCCAATCACAGTAACTGTGTGAAATATAATCATTTTACTGAAGCAGATCAATGCAGATTCTGGAATTTAATAAGCATTTATTTATTTAACAAAATTTTCTTATCAGTTCCCTGAGTATGGAGAATCAGAAATAGTACTTTTTCTTAGCAAAAAAGCAATTTACCTTCACTGTCCTGCCTTACAGCTATTTGACTCTCCTCCCCTCTCTTATGTAACTTAATTTGGCACTAGATGATAGTAAACTCTGTGCACATGTATATTTATATGTATATGTGTATGGTTTTTTTGCTTTGAAATTGCAAAAAGTAACATGTATTTGATAATGATGATTTTCCACTTCATTTCCTAAGTTTTCATGTTTTTATTCACCAGTAGACTAATTGTATCTCAAGCTTTGTAATAAACTGGTCAAATCTTTCATTTTTTTCTCATTCAGCAACATTAAACACATAGAGCTCAGAAGTGAATTTTCCTTTGACATGCAATAATCTTCAGACATTTTGAATGCAACAAAAACTTCTCTATGTTTCCATCTCATAAGGTAAGGGTATTGGCTAAGGGTATTGTAAAACTCTCCAGCCATTTGAAGCTCTCCTGCACAATGAAATACATGAAATGCTGTAGGTTTAGAGATTGCTGGATGATTTCAACTTACAATTGAAATTATCATAACTGTTTCATTCAAACTTTGATATTTCTGCTACTATATTTTACATTTTTTTTCATGGTGAAAAATAATGAAAACCTTTTCACAAACATTCTTAAACTTCTCTATGCATTATTTAATAATAAAAACCTGCTTGGTCCTACAGAAGTCAGACCTCCTTTAAATCTCCTAATATACCATTTTAATTTCCTGCGTGGATTTTGTTAACCTGTCAAGGGTTGTAAAACAGGTAACAGAGAAATTTTGAGCATTAATAATCTATTTTTTACAGATGTGCTCCTCTCTACCTCATTAGTAGACCTGACACCAAACTACTTTCTATGGATTGGCTGAAAAATCTCACCTCAAAGAATCAGACACCAATACTAACACTGTATTAGAAAAAAATGTGCATATGGTCTCCCAAAGGTACTCATCTAGTTATTTCCCATTTTCACATTTACAAATACTAATTGGTCCACCTAGGTGACACCCTCAGATCAGAGAAAATTCGAGTGATAGATAATGGAAATAAATCTTTAAAGACACTGGACCAAGACATACGAGCTAGATACGTAAATGTCTTGTTTAAGATGATGGCTAGGAAGGTACCAAGAGCAGATTTTACCTAATTGATAATTTTTCTTAAGACCACTAATACGTATTAATAACTATTAGCATAGTAACAAATCCATCAGAGAAGATGGAAATATTCGACCCAGGAAATAAGAGTGATGTAATGAGATCATCAGAAACTTTTTCGTTAGTTCTGACTTCAGACTTCAATTGATCACTTATTAGCTGTGTGATCTAGGGCAAATTATTGCACTTCACTTTTACCATCTGTAAGTTGTAAATAGTAACACATACCTGAGACAATTGTTGTGAAAATTAAGTAATGAAATACATCTAGCACATCATTAAGACTCTGTGAATGTTAGCTTTTTAAAAATATACATCTATTTTAATAGAAAAAAAAAACACCTCAAAATTTAGAAAGGCAAGATGATTTCTTACATTTCCTCCAGTTTGATGTTTCTGATGATATGTTTCCAAATGAAGGCAGAAGAATCAGGGAAACTTGCTTAGCTCTTATTTAGAAGCTCAAATGCCACCAAACTTCACTTCTGCAGCATGGCGTTCTCACATATTATCAGTTTCCACTTATACAAACCAATTTGACCATGCAGCATATTCACTACACCGCCGGGACAAGAACAAGTATTCTAGTTAAGAAGATAGACTTTTCTGTGTTGGAATTACAGTCCCTAAATTCAAACTTAACTCCCAGGATATCTCCCTTTCCAACATGCCTGAGAACACAGACTAATCAAGTCCATTTATCTCCTACCTTAAGGGAGATCCCGCTAACAGCTTTGTAAATAGTGCTTTTCACAAATCTTAAAAGTCAAGATTAACAATAAAAGTAAATGCAAACCCATGGGAAATGCTAATGGTAAAATGATAATGAAATTACCTCTAGCCCTCCTTCTGATGAAAAGTTTTCATCGTTCTCTTTGGATTTGTTTTGCTAAAGCATATTCTGATTTTCTTGTATTGTTTTTATGTTTTTGTTTTGATAAAGCATATTCTGTTTTTCTTGTATTGTTTCTATGTTTTTGTATTTGAAGCTAGGGAGTGAAAAAAGTAAAGACAGCATAGCAGTTATGTAGTTTACAAGATTACTTGATGTTTCACTGGATGCCATCTTAATAATACTAGGATGTATATTTAAAGAAGTAAAATTATATCTACTTGCAGATAACATGATTCTCTATGTTAAAAAAAAAAAGATTCCACAAAAAAAGCTATTAAAACTAATAAATCATTTCAGTAAAGTTGCAGGAAGCAAAATCAGCATTAGAAAACCAGTAGCTTTTTTTTTTTATTTTTTTTTTGAGATGGAGCCTGACTCTGTCACCCAGGCTGGAGTGCAGTGGCATGATCTCCGGTCACTGCAACGTCTACTTCCCAGGTTCAAACGATTCTCCTGCCTCAGCTTCCTGAATAGCTGGGATCACAGGCACCTGCTACCATGCCCAGATAATTTTTTGTATTTTTAGTAGATACAGGGTTTTGTCATGTTAGCCAGGCTGGTCTCAAACTCCTGGCCTTAAGTGATCTGCCCACCTGGGCCTCCCAGAGTAATGGGATTACAGGCCTTGAGCCACCGCACCCAGTCCAGTAGCATTTTTTCATGCCTAAATAACAGCCTAACTGAAAAAAAAAAAAAATCAAGAAAACTAGACTGTGATAGCATCAAAAAATTAGAATACTTTGTAATAAATTAAACCAAGGAGGTAAAAGACCTGCACACTGAAAACAATAAAACATTGACAAAATAAATTACAGAGGACACAAATTAATGGAAAGATATTCCATGACAATGGGTTAGAAGAATTAATATTGTTAAAACGTCCATACTACTCAAAGCAATTTACAAATTTAATGCAATCCCTATCAAAACCCAAGGATATTCTTTACAGAAATAGAAAAAATAATCCTAAAATTTATATGGAACCACAAAAGACCCTGGATAGCCAAAACAATTCTGTGAAACAAAAGTTGGCAGTATTATACTTTCTGATTTAAAACTCTTTTACAAGGTGATAGTAATCAAAACAGTATGGTACTGGTGTAAAAACAGACACAAAGGCACGAGAGAATAGAGAGCATAGAAATAAATCCAACCACATACAATCAACTAATTTTTAACACGGGCACCAAGAGGACACACTGGGGAAAGGAAAGTCACTTTAACAAATGATGCTGGGGAAACTGGATTTCTACGTGCAAAAGAATGAAATTTGACTTACATTTTATGCCATACACAAAATTCAGCTCAAAATCGGTAAAATACCTAAACGTAAGACCAGAAACGATAAAACTCTTAGAAAAAAATATAGGGGAAAAATTCCTGAACAATGGCTTTGGCAATAATTTTTTTGAGTATCACATCAAAAGCTCAGGCCCCCAAAACAAAAATAAATAAATCGGATTACATCAAACTAAAAAGCTTCTGCATACAATCAACAAAATGAAACAACATCCTACAGATCAAAAAAAAACTTGCAAACCATATTATCAAATAAGGCGTTAGTATTCGAAATTTATAAAGAACTGAGACAGCTTAATACTAGAAAAACAAATAATCCTATTAAAAAATGGGCAAAGGACCCAAACAGATCTTTCTCCAGAGAAAACATAAAAACGGCCAACAGGTATATGAAAAAGTGTTCTACATCATTAGCCATCAGGGAAGTGCAAATCAAAACCATGATGAGAACTACATCACATCATTAGGATGGCTCCTGTAAAAAATGAAAATTAAAAAAGATAAATGCTGGTTGAGGGTATGAAGAAAGGGAAACTCTTGTGTGCTGTTGGCAGAAATGTAGATTGATACAGCCATTATGGGAAAGATTATGGAGGTTTCTAAAGAAATTAAAATTGAAACTACCACTCCCATATTCATTGCAACATTATTCTAGCCAAGATGTGGAAACAACCTATGTGTTCATCAAGCGACACATGAATAAGGAATATTATTCATTCCTAAAAAACAATGTGGTCGTGCCATTTGCCACAACATGGATGAGCCTGGGGGAAGTTACTAAATGAAATAAGCCAGACGCAGAAAGAAAAATATTGCACGATCTCATATGTGGAATCTTAAAAAAAAATTTAAATATACAGAAACAAAGAACAAAACAATGGTTACTAGGGGCAGGGAAGATGTGGGGTGGAAATGGGGAGATATAGGTTAGAGGATTCAAACTAGCAGATGTGTAGAATGAACAAGTCTAAAGATCTAATGACATATAATCATGTTGAGTAGCTGGGACTACAGGCGTGTGCCACCACACCTGGCTAATTTTTTTTATTTTTAGTAAAGACGGGGTTTCACCATGTTAGCCAGGATGGTCTCGATCTCCTGACCTTGTGATCCACCCGCCTCAGCCTCCCAAAGTGCTGGGATATAAATTATATTTATATAAATATAAAAAATATATGATTTTTATAATTTTCTCCTTATAATACATCTTCATCTCGGACACAACCAAAAAAGCAATACTAATGAAAAATAAATAAAGGCTAAGGAATTCTTACAGATTAAAGGAGACTGAAGGGATATGACAACAAAATGAAACATGATTCTTGATTACATTCTGAAATATAACAGCCCTTAGTGAAATATTTGGTAAACTAAAATCATTACCAAAAATATTTGGTAAATAAAATCTTTAACTGTGATAATAGCATTTTATTAAGGTTAATTTCTTGATTGTGATCATTGTAATGCGGTTATGGAAAACAATATCCCTATTTTTGGTAAACACATATTAAATTATTTAGAACTAAAGGAGTATCATGTTTGCAACTTACTCTCAAATGATTCAGAAATATGTTTGTGTGCATATAGCTATATGTGTATGCATGTGTATGAGTGTATATTTAAACACATATACCTATATACATATATACATACATGTAGTCAATCATTATTCACGGGTTCCATATTTCCAAATTCAATACCTCACTAAAATTGATTTGTAATCACAAAATCAATACATGTGACACTTTTGGAGTCATTTGTGGACATGCACAGAGTGGTGAAAACATGAGTTGCCAAATAAGCACAAATCCAGCTGAGGTCAAACAAGCTATCCCCTGCCTTCTTGTTTCACCTCTCACACTGTAAACAAATGTCCTTTTCACAATCTATTTAGAGTAACATTTTTCACATGCTTATGCTTTGTATTGGTGATTTTGCTGTTTAAAATGTCCCTCAGACATAGTGCTGAAGTGCTGTCTAGTGTTCCCAACAGGAGGAAGGCTGTGCCTTCTGGAGAGAATATATGTGTTAGAAAGTCTCTGTTCAGGCATGAGTTATGGTGCTGTCGGTCATGAGTTCACTGTTAATCAACAATATATTTTAAATAAGTTGTCTTTAAACAGAAATACACATAAAACAAAGTTTTGTATTTGTGGAATCCAGTTGTGGAAAATGTTGTGACCAGAGACTCATGGGAACCTAACCCTGTATTTCCCTTAGGAACAATGACTCGGTATTTGCTAATTCAGTGTTTGCAGTGGCTTTAAAGAACAAAACTAAGACAAATAACAAGAATACAGAAAGAGAGAGAGAAAGAGAGTGAGAGGAATGATAAAGCAAATGTGGTAATATTAATTTAGAAAATCTAGAAGAGAATTATACAAGAATTTTTTCTACTATTTTTGTAGGTTTTCTGTAGGTCTAAATGTTACAATGAAATTTAAAGATTAAAAGCAAAACAAAATGCTGCATCCTTGGTTCAGAAACTTCTTTCAGAATCAGGAGCAATCTAGAGGCAGATGAGGGGAGGTGCACCAAGATGTGGGAGTCTGAGAGGCAGGCGTCTGTTTACTCTGGGTGACCCTAAGCAGAATAAGTAGGAGAATATGAATAATGGTCAAGAAAAGAAGTAAGATGTACAAGAGGCATGAAGAGTCCTGAATGTAGAAGAATCATGGGGTCAGAGGCTACTTTGATTTGTGGGAAATCGGGAAACAAGGTAAAAAAAGATAGATTCGACCAAGCATTCAGATTTAAAACTTTAATGTGACGCGATTGGAAGTTCTGCTTGATAGACACTGTTTACATGGCACTGGATCAACCCGATAACTTTAAAAGAAATGGGCAGGACCAGACAGTGCCTTCCTCTGCATTAATATTCATCTTTTCTCAACATTGTAATTCTTCCAGAGCCATTTGTCAAAACTTCTTTTGATTATAAAAAAATGAGGTAAAAAAGAGTGATGAATAACAACAAAAACCTTCTGTTGCATCTGGGGAGAAATGTTTATTTGTGTGCTGGAATTGATATATGTGTTTCTTTGGTTGTATGGATTTGGGAGTATCTTTTTGTTTGTTTAGGAAATAAGTACATTTAACAATATATCCTGGACACATTAAGTGAATTTGTTATTAGAGTGTGTCTTACTCTGTTGTGTGTTACTATAACAGAATGCCACAGACTGTGTAATTTATTAAGAAAAGAAATTTATTTCTTCAAGTTCTGGAGGCTGGAATGTCCAAGGTGGAGGAACCCACATTTGGTGAGGAACTTCTTGCTGCATCATCCCATGGTGGAAGGTGGAAGGGCAAGAGAAAGAGAGAGAGAGAGAGACGGAGACAGAGACAGAGAGACAGAGAGCAAGAGGTGGTTGAACTCACTTTTATAACAAGTTCACTCTTGTGATAAATAACCCACACCCATAATAATGACGTTAATCCATTTTGATTACTTCTTAAAGGTACCACTCTCTACACTGTTGCATTGTGGATTAAGTTCCCAACACATGAACTTTGGGGGTACATGCAAACCATAGCATCCCACCCCTGGGCTCCCAAAATTCATATACTTATCACAATGCAAAATACACGTATTCCAGCCCAACTGTCCCCAAAGTCAACTTGTTCCAGCATCAACTCAGAAGTTCAAAGTCCAGAGTCTCATCTAAATCAGATACGGGTGAGACTCAAGGCACAATTCATCCTGAGGCAAATTCTTCTCCTGTTGTGATCCTGTGAAATTAACAAGTTATGTGCTTCCAAAATACAATGGCAGGACAGGCATAGGACAGACATTTCCATTTCAAAAGAAGAAAGGGGTAACTGGTCCCAAATAAGTCTAAAATCCCAAAGGGAAAACAACATTAAATCTTAAAGTTTCAGAATAATCTTTGATTTTATGTTCCACAATCTGGGCACACTGCTGTGGGGGCATGGTTTTGCTGGACTCAGTCCACTCAGCAGCTCTCATGGATTGGAGTCTTGTGCCTGCCACTCTCCCAGGCGGATGCTACAAGCTGGTAACTACACTTCTGGGGTCTTGGGAATAATTTCACTCCCAATGTTCCACTAGGCATTGTCTTAGTGGAGCCTCCCTGTGGTGGCTTCAACTCCACATTTCCACTCAGCATTGCCCTAGAAAGGGTTCTCTGTGGTGGCTTCATCTCTAAAACAAGCCTCTTCCTGGGCCCCTAGGCTGTCTGCAACACCATGTGAAATCTAGATGGAGGAAGCCCCACAACTCTTGTATACCATGCACCTGCAGAATTAGGACCACATGGTTGCTGCCAAAATTTATGGCCTGTACCTTCCAGATCAGTGGGTCAACATGCACACATGCCTCCTTGAGCCATTGCTGGGGTAGCCAAGGAGCACTGTGCCAGAATACAGAGAGCAGAAACCCAAGGTTTGTGGGCAGCAAGCCCATGGAGGGCATTTCAGGCCCATCCCTCAAAACCATTCTGCCCTCCTAGAGCTCAGGCATGTGATTGGGGTCAGGCCTTAGATATCTTCAAAGTGCCTTCAGGGTCATTCACCCAAAGTCTTGATGGTCCCTTCTGTCTGCACTAATTTTAGCATAGGATTGCTTGGATACACCTGTGGTTTGCTTTCCTGAACACGTTTTTTTGTTCTTCACATGGCCAGCCTGAAAATTTTCAAAATCTTTCCATTCTTTGTCTCTTTTAATTGTAAATTCCATCTTTAAGTCTTTTCTTTCCTCTTGCATCATACTGTATGCAGCTAAAAGAAGCCATGTAACTCCTTCAATATTTTGCTTAGAAATTTCTTCAGCCAGACATTCTAGTTCATTGCTCCTGAATTCCTCTTTCCATAAAGCCCTAAGACATGGACACAATTCACCAACATTCTTTGCCACTTCATAACAAGGATCACTTTTACTCCAGTTTCCAATAAGATATCCCTCTTTGCCATCTGAGATTTCATTAGAATGGTCTTTATTGTTCATATTTTTAACAACATTCTGATTATAACCACTTATGCAATCTTTACAAAGTTTCACACTTTCCCTACAGCTCTCCCCTTCTTCTGAGCCCTCATCAGAATCACTCTTAACACTCCATTTATGGCAATCTAGGCTTTTTCTAGCCTGCTCCTCAAAATTCTTCTAGCCTCTACCTATTACCCAACTCCAAATCTGCTTCTACATTTTCAGTTATTTGTTACAGCCACAGCCTTGCTTCTCAGTACCAATTATCTGTCTTAGTCCATTTAATGTTGCTATAACAGAATTCCACAGACTGAGTACTTCATTTTTAAAAAGAAATTTACTTCTGATACTTCTGAAGGCTAGGAAGTCCACGGTTGGGGGCCTCAAGTCTGGTGAGAGCCTTCTTGCTGCATCATCCCATGACAGAAGGAGGAAGGGCAAGAAAGCAAGAGGGCGCCAAACTTGTTTTTTATAATAATCCCACCATCCCCATTCTCATGATAATTATCCAACTCCCATGATAATGACATTAGACCATTCATGAGGGAAGAGCCCTCAGGATTGAATCACCATTTTTTTTTTTTTTTTTTTCCAGGCAGAATTTCACTCTTGTTGCCCTGGCTGGAATGCAATGTGCAATCTCAGCTCACTGCAACCTCCACCTCCTGGGTTCAAGCGATTCTCCTGCCTCGGCCTCCCAAGTAGCTGGGACTACAGGCATGCACCACCATGCCTGGCTAATTTTGTATTTTTAGTAGAGATGGGGTTTCTCTATGTTGGTCAGGATGGTCTCAAACTCCCTACCTCAGGTAATCTGCCCACCTCAGGGCCTCCCAAAGTGTGGGATTACAGGCGTGAGCCACTGCACCTGGCCGAATCACCTGTTAAAGCTCTCACCTCTCAACACTGTCGCACTGGGAATTAAGTTACCAACACATGAATGTTGTGGGAGACATTCAAGCCATAATAGAACGTGACATACATACAAAAGGGGCATAATTCATAAGTGTACAGCTTAATAAATTTTTACAAAGTTATCAAGAAAAAGAATATCATCAGTACAGCGGTTGTCTTCATACTTCCTCCCAGTCACTATTTCCCTCAAAGGTACCATTATCCCACTTCCATAGGTTAGTTTTGCCTATGTTTAAACTTTATATAAACAATATTATGCAGCATATACTCTTTCTTACCTGGTTTCTTTTATTTAATATTGTCTCTATGGATGTCATTTAGTTTTTCCATGTAATAATAGTTTGTTCATTCTTATTGCTCTATAATATTCTCTTGTTTGAATATACTAAAATTTATTTATTCTGTTTACTAGTGAATTATATTTGATTGTTTTCAGTTTGGGGTTATTATCAATAGTACTGTTATAAACACCCTTACATTGCATTTGTTACACATCTACAAACGGTGTTTATACCTAGTTGTGATATTGTTGGGTTATTGAGTATACGTATGTTCAGTGCTCAGTTTTAATCTGTCAAACAGTAGTTATGGTTGTTAAAACAATTTATAATCAATAGTGGTGTATTAAAAATTATCCTGGATTATTTTTATTGTTGTTTGCCATTTTTATTTGACTATATTTGGAGAATATATTCTGCAGAACCTGTACTTCTTGAAAGGTAAAATTTTAATTGTGACCAAGAACATGAACAACTTTTAAAAATATTCCCTGAACTAACAGAAAAAATGTATAGTCTATGCTTTTTTATATACACACACAATCATCAAATTGAGACCTCAATAACTTTGGAGCAGTAGCATATTCCATGATACAAAGACAATAGCATATAAATGCCAATCTCTCCAAATTAATATATAAACTTAATGCACTTCCAAATAAATTACAATAAAGTGTTTTTGTAATGTAAAAATTATACTATGTTTATGCACAGACACTTTTTAAAAATCAACTATCACGAAAAATTGAAACTAAAGTAGTAAAGAGATGCTTGTCCTACTACACACAATGCATTACCATCAAGTTACTATAAACTTTAATACAATGTGTTGGTAGAGGAATATGCAAATAGGAAAATATAGAGTCTAGAAACCAATTCAAGTACATAGAAATTTTACATACAATAAAGATGGTTTTACAGTATGTTTGATAAAATGAACTATATTTAATAACTATCCTGAAATAAATAACATTATTTTTCAGCTATCCATTAAGCATAATTGGCTACCCATTCAGAAAAAAAGACTTATACCCTATTTGATATCACACAAAAAATAAATCACACAATAATTTAAAAACTATTCAAAAATTAAGTTTATCAGTAGAATACTTAAAAGAATATTTGTGTAACTTTGGGATTGGTGGATGATTTAAGAAGAATATTTTGGAATTCAGAAGCCGTAATTATCAAAAGATTTGACTACATAAAAATTAAAATTTCATTTAAAATTTTAAAGATAGACTGGGAGAAAAGATTTGCAATATATTTAACAAAGGTTAAAATCAAAGAAAATGACTGAATAAATTGTGTTTTAAACCTAAATGTTACTCAGCTATTAAAAAGAATGAGTTAGATCTATATGCATTGACATAAAAATGACCATTTTTTGGTCATTGACCAATATTATTTTGTTAATCTATATTCTGGGAACATAATGACAGCAGTACAGCTTTTGGATCTTCTGGAAACCTCATGTAAAAACAGTCAAAGTAACTAGAGAGAAAATTCAAAATATTTACAACAAAAATTGAAAACAGGGTACCACCATGAACCCTAAAATACAAACAGAGACAAAGTACCAATAACCACAAGATCTAAATGTTATTGAAATCTGTATGAGAGAAAACAGAGGGAAGCAAGCATATACCTGACTGACCTAAGAACAGGATAGCACAAAATAGTCATCTTAAACTTTGGCAGACCAATCTGAAAACAGCAGCTGCATCTAGGAAGGGTTTTGCACCCTCCAATAGTTTTTAAGGGCAAAGAGCCACGGTAAGGCTAAAGAGTTTGGAGCAGTCTAGTCCCTCTGAACTCTTGAAACTCCCTTGTAGGACAGGGTCACACACCAAGAAGAAACTTCTGGGAGAAAAATGAAAACTGAGAAGGATTGGTATACAAGAAACAAAGAAAAGAGAAAAGCCAAATAAAATTAGGCAAAGTGAATAAAGCCAGCAAATCATAGAAAGCAGTATGCCATATATTTAACACTACACAAAAACAAAAAGAAAAAGAAAATTTGTGAAGACAGAAAGCTATCTAAACCTAGATCATTCTGAAAATTTAAAACAGAAATCATATTAAATGAGCAACATAAAGGTATTGAGATCAAATTCTATATAAAATTACTGCAGGAAAAAGAATAAGAACCTGGATGACATCTGTATACAATAAAACACACCAGAAAGATACATTCAAAAGACAGATAACAGGTGTAAAGTACTATTTCCAAACAAGCTAAAAGGCATTAAGAAAATGTACAAAATATGAAAAAACAGTGTAACTTAAAATTACAAAAATTCAAAACTGAGGTAATGGAACTCAAGAATTAGAAATAAGGGAGAAAATCATTTTAGAAATCAAGACTTAGCTAGAAGAAACACAGGAGTGAATAAGCACAACAAATATTGTCTTAGGGACTTTACAAGAAAATGGTGGATAGGAGGCAGGACTAACTTGCAGCTCCTACTCAGCAGGACAAAGCAGTGTGTGGAGACCCACATTGTGAACTTCTGCTCCAAGAACTACTGCAGGAAGATACCAGGAAAGCCAAGATAATCCACAGACCCTCTGACGGAGGTGAATTGCCACTGCAGGCTCCATGGGACGGCTGAGGAACACCAAAGACAAAGAGCATAATCTCTTGGAAGCTCTATGGCCCCGCCCACGGCCTGATCCTCCCTACACTACCACAGCTGATGCACTCTTGAAAGCACCACATCCTGGCTGGAGGCCAACAAACACAGAACCAGCGCACTTAACAATAATGCAACCAAGGACCCTCAAAGTTCACTTTGCTCCCCTACTGCCTCTGCTGGAGCAGGTGCTGGTATCCACCGCTGAGAGACCTGAAGATGAATCACATCACAGGACTCTTTGCAGACATTCCCCAGTACCAGCCTGGAGCTCCAGTGGGTGGCTAGACTAAAAAAAGAAATAACAATCACTGCAGTTTGGCTCTCAGGAAGCCCCATCCCTAGGGGAAAGGGGAGAGCACCACATCAAGGGAGCACTGTGTGAGACAAAGGAATCTGAACAGCAGCCCGTGAGTCCCCGATTGTCCCTCTGATATAGTCTACCCAAATGAGAAGGTACCAGAAAAACAATTCTGGTAATATGACAAAATAAGGCTCTGTAACAGCCCCAAAAGATCACACTAGCTCGCCAGCAATGGATCCAAACCAAGATGAAATCTCTGAATTGCCAGAAAAAGAATTCAGGAAGTCAACTATTAAGCCAATCAAGGAGGCACTAGAGGAAGGTGAAATCCAACTTAAAGAAATGAAAAAAAACTGATACAGATTATTAATGAAAAAATCTCCAATAAAATAGGTAGCATAAATAAAAAACAATCACAGCTTCTGGAAATGAAAGACACAATTAGAGAATTGCAAAATACACTGAAAAGTTTCAACAATAGAATCAAACAAGTAGAAGAAAGAACTTCAGAGCTCAAAGACAAGGCTTTCAAATTAACCCAATCAGACAAAGACAAAGAAAAAGGAATTTTTAAAAATGAACAAAGCCTCCAAGAAGTTGGGGATTATGTCAAACGACCAAACCTAAGAATAATTGGTGTTCCTGAGGAAGAAGAGCCATCTAAAATTTTGGAAAACATATTTGAGGGAACAATCAAAGAAAACTTCCCCAGCCTTGCTAGAGATCTAGACATCGAAATACCAGAAGCTCAAAGAACACCTGGGAAATTAATCACAAAAATATAATCACCTAGGAACACAGTCATCACGCTATCTAAAGTCAAGACAAAAGAAACTCTTAAGAGCTATGAGGTAAAAGCATGACATAACCTATAAAGGAAAACCTATCAGATTAACAGTAGATTTCTTAGCAGAAACCCTGCAAGCTAGAAGGGATTGGGGTCCTAGCTTTAGCAGGCTCAAACAAAACAATTATCAGCCAAGAAATTTGTTTCAAGCAATACTAAGCTTCATAAATGAAGGAAAGATAAAGTTTTTTCAGACAAACAAACGCTGAGAGAATTCGCCACTAACAAGCCAGAACTACAAGAACTGCCAAAAGGAGCTCTAAATCTTTAAACAAATCCCTGAAACATATCAAATTAAAATCTCCTTAAAGCATAAATCTCACAGGACCTATGAGACAACAACACAATGAAATAAAACTAAGGTATTCAGGCAACAAATAGCACAATGAATAGAATAGTACCTCACATCTTAATACTAACATTGAATATAAATGGCGTAAATGCTCCATATAAAAGATACAGAATAGCAGAATAGATAAGAATTCACCGGTCCATTCCGAGATGGCCAACTAGGAACAGCTCTGGTCTGCAACTCCCAGTGTGATCGACGCAGAAGACAGGTGATTTCTGCATTTCCAACAGAGGTACCCAGTTCATCTCATTGGGACTGGTTGGACAGTGGATGCAGCCCACAGAGGGTGAGCTGAAGCAGAGTGGGGCATCGCCTCACCCAGGAAGCGCAAAGGGTCGGGGGATTTCCCTGTCCTAGCCAAGGAAAGCTGTGACAGACTGTACTGGGAAAATCGGGACACTGCTACCCAAATACTGCGCTTTTCCAACGGTCTTAGCAAACAGCACACCAGGAGATTATGTCCCATGCCTGGCTCAGCGGGTCCCAAGTCCACAGAGCCTTGCTGACTGCTAGCGCAGCAGTCTGAGATAGAACTGCAAGGCGGCAGCCTGTCTGGGGGAGGCGCATCCGCCATTGCTGAGGCTTGAGTAGGTAAACAAAGTGGCCAGGAAGTTCAAACTGGGTGGAGCCCACTGCAGCTCAGTGAGGCCTGTCTGCCTCTATAGACTCCACCTCTGGGGCAGGGCATAGCTGAACAAAAGGCAGCAGAAACTTCTACACTCTGAAACGTCCCTGTCTGACAGCTCTGAAGAGAGCAGTGGTTCTCCCAGCACGGCATTTGAGCTCTGAGAACGGACAGACTGCCTCCTCAAGTGGGTCCCTGACCCCTGTGTAGCCTAACTGGGAGACACTTCCCAGTAGAGGCTGACTGAAACCTCATACAGCCAGGTGCCCCTCTCAGACGAAGCTTCCAGAGGAAGGATCAGGCAGCAGTATTTGCTGTTCTGCAATATTTGCTGTTCTGCAGCCTCTGCTGGCGACAGCCAGGCAAACAGGGTCTGGAGTGGAAATCCAGCAAACTTCAACAGACCTGCAGCTGAAGGACCAGACTGTTAGAAGGAAAACTAACAAACAGAAAGGAATAGCATCAACATCAACAAAAAGGACATCCACACCAAAACCCCATCTGTAGGTCACCGTCATCAAAGACCAAAGGTAGTTAAAACCAAAAAGATGGGAAGAAACCAGAGGAGAAAAGCAGAAAATTCTAAAAACCAGAGTGCCTCTCCTCCTCCAAAGGATCGCAGCTCCTCGCCAGCAATGGAGCAAAGCTGGATGGAGAATGACTTTGACAAGTTGACAGAAGTAGGCTTCAGAAGGTCGGTAATAACAAAATTCTCTGAGCTAAAGGAGGATGTTCAAACCCATTGCAAGGAAGCTAAAAACCTTGCAAAAAGATTAGACGAATGGCTAACTAGAACAAACAGTGTAGAGAAGACCTTAAATGACTTGATGGAGCTGAAAACCATGGCACGAGAACTACGTGATGCATGCACTAGCTTCAGTAGCCGATTCCATCAAGTGGAAGAAAGGTTATCAGTGACTGAAGATCAAATGAATGAAATGAAGCAAGAAGAGACGTTTAGAGAAAAAAAGAACACAAAGAAACGAAAAAAGCCACCAAGAAATATGGGACTATGTGAAAAGACCAAATCTACGTTTGACTGGTGTACCTAAAAGTGAAGGGGAGAATGGAACCAAGCTGGAAAACACTCTGCAGGATATTATCCAGGATAAATTCCCCAACCTAGCAAGGCAGGTCAACATTCAAATTCAGGAAATACAGAGAACACCACAAAGATACTCCTCAAGAAGAGCAACCCCAAGACACATAATTGTCAGATTCACCAAGGTTGAAATGAAGGAAAAAATGTTAAGGGTAGCCAGAGAGAAAGGTTGGGTTACCCACAATGGGAAGCCCATCACACTAATAGCGGATTTCTTGGCAGAAACTCTACAAGCCAGAAGATTGTGGGGGCTACTATTCAACATTCTTAAAGAAAGGAATTTTCAACCCAGAATTTCATAACCAGCCAAACTAAGCTTCATAGGTGAAGGAGAAATAAAATCCTTAACAGACAAGCAAATGCTGAGAGATTTTGTCACCACCAAACCTGACTTACAAGACCTCCTGAAGGAAGCACTAAACATGGAAAGGAACAACCGGTACCAGCCACTGCAAAAACATGCCAAATTGTAAAGATCACTGATGCTAGGAAGAAATTCCATCAACTAACAGACAAAATAACCAACTAACATCATAATGACAGGGTCAAATTCACACATAACAACACTAACCTTAAATGTAAATGGGCTAAATGCCCCAATTAAAAGACACAGACTAGTAAATTGGATAGAGTCAAGACCCATCAGTGTGTTGTATTCAGGAGACCCATCTCACATTCAGAGACAAACAGGCTCAGAATAAAGGGATGGAGGAAGATCTACCAAGCAAATGGAAAGCAAAAAAAATCAGGGGTTGCAATCCTAGTCTCTGATAAAACAGACTTTAAACCAACAAAGATCAAAAGAGACAAAGAAGGCCATTAAATAATAGTAAAGGGATCAATTCAACAAGAAGAGCTAACTATCCTAAATATATATGCACCCAATACAGGAGCACCCAGATTCATAAAGCAAGTCCTTAGAGACCTACAAGAGACTTAGACTCCCACACAATAATAATGGGAGGCTTTAACACCCCACTGTCAATATTAGACAGATTAACAAGACAGAAGGTTAACAAGGATATTCAGGACTTGAACTCAGCTCTGCACCAAGCAGACCTAATAGACATCTACCAAACTCTCCACCCCAAATCAACAGAATATACATTCTTCTCAGCACCACATCACACTTATTCCAAAATTGACCACATAGTTGGAAGTAAAGCACTCCTCAGCAAATGTAAAAGAACAGAAATCACAACAAACTCTCTCTCAGACGACACTGCTATCAAATCAGAAGTCAGGATTAAGAAACTCACTGAAGACGCGGTGGCTCACGCCTGTAATCCCAGCACTTTGGGAGGCTGAGGCAGGTGGATCACGAGGTCAAGAGATAGAGACCATCCTGGCTAAAGCAGTGAAACCCCGTCTCTACTAAAAATACAAAAAATGAGCCGGGTGTAGTGGCAGGCGCCTGTAGTCCCAGCTACTCGGGAGGCTGAGGCAGGAGAATGATGTGAACCCAGGAGGCGGAGCTTGCAGTGAGCTGAGATTGTGCCACTGCACTCCAGCCGGGGCAACAAAGTGAGACTCCATCTCAAGGAAAAAAAAAAAAAAAAAACCTCACTCAAAACCCGCACAACTACATGGAAACTGAACAACCTGCTCCTCACAGACTACTGGGTACATAACGAAATGAAGGCAGAAATAAAGATGTTCTTTGAAACCAATGAGAACAAAGACACAATGTACCAGAATCTCTGGGACACATTTAAAGTAGTGTGTGGAGGGAAATTTATAGCACTAAATACCAACAAGAGAAAGCAGGAAAGATCTAAAATCAACACCCTAACAAACAATTAAAAGAACTAGAGAAGCAAGAGCAAACACATTCAAAAGCTAGCAGAAGGCAAGAAATAACTAAGATCAGAGCAGAACTGAAGGAGATAGAGACCAAAAAAACCCTTCAAAAAATCAATGAATCCAGGAGCTGGTTTTTTGAAAAGATGAACAAAATTGATAGACCACTAGCAAGACTAATAAAGAAGAAAAGAGAGAATAATCAAATAGATGCAATAAAAAATGATAAAGGGGATATCACCATCAATCCCAGAGAAATACAAACTACCATCAGAGAATACTATAAACACCTCTATGCAAATAAACTAGAAAATCTAGAAGAAATGGATAAATTCCTGGACACATACACCCTACCAAAACTAAACCAGGAAGAAGTTGAATCCCAGAATAGACCAATAACAGACTCTGAAATTGAGGCAATAATTAACAGACTACCAACCAAAAAAAGTCCAAGAGCAGATGGATTCACAGCCAGATTCTACCAGAGGTACAAAGAGGAGCTGGTACCATTCCTTCTGAAATTACTCCAATCAAAAGAAAAAGAGGGAATCCTCCCTAACTCATTTTATGAGCTCAACATCATCCTGATACCAAAGCCTGGCAGAGACACACAAAAAATAGAATTTTAGACCAATATCCCTGATGAACATCGACGGAAAAATCCTCAATAAATTACTGGCAAACCAAATCCAGCAGCATATCAAAAAGCTTATCCACCATGATCAAGCTGGCTTCATCCCTGAGATGCAAGGCTTGTTCAACATATGCAAGCCAATAAACGTAATCCATCACATAAACAGAACCAAAGACAAAAACCACACAATTATCTCAATAGATGCAGAAAAGGCCTTCGACAAAATTCAACAGCGCTTCATGCTAAAAGCTCTCAATAAACTAGGTACTGATGGAATGTATCTCAAAATAATAAGAGATATTTATGAAAAACCCACAGCCAATATCATACTGAATGGGCAAAAACTGGAAGCATTCCCTTTGAAAAAGGCATAAGACATGGATGCCCTATCTCACCACTCCTATTCAACACAGTGTTGGAAGTTCTGGACAGGGCAATCAGGCAAGAGAAAAAAATAAAGGGTATTCAATTAGAAAAGGAGGAAGTCAAATTGTCCCTGCTTGCAGATGACATGATTGTATATTTAGAAAACCCCATCGTCTCAGCCCCAAATCTCCTTAAGCTGATAAGCAACTTCAGCAAAGTCTCAGGATACAAAATCAATGTGCAAAAATCACAAGCATTCCTATACACGAATAACAGACAAACAGAGTGCCAAATCATGAGTGAATTCCCATTCACAATTGCTACAAAGACAATAAAATACCTAGGAATCTAACTTACAAGGGATGTGAAGGACCTCTTCAAGGAGAATTACAAACCACTGCTCAACAAGATAAAAGAGGACACAAACAAATGGAAGAACATTCCATGCTCATGGGTAGGAAGAATCAATATCGTGAAAATGGCCATACTGCCCAAGGTAATTTATAGATTCAATGCCATCCCCATCAAGCTACCAATGACTTTCTTCACAGAATTGGAAAAAACTACTTTAAAGTTCATATGGAACCAAAAAAGAGCCCGCATTGCCAAGACAATCCTAAGCGAAAAGAACAAAGCTGGAGGCATCATGCTACCTGACTTCAAACTATACTACAAGGCTACAGTAATCAAAGCAGCATGGTACTGGTACCAAAACAGATATATAGACCAATGGAACAGAACAGAGGCCTCAGAAATAACACCACACATCTACAACCATCTGATCTTTGACAAACCTGACAAAAACAAGAAATGGGGAATGGATTCCCTATTTAATAAATGGTGCTGGGAAAACTGGCTAGCCATATGTACAAAGCTGAAACTGGATCCCTTCCTTATATCTTATACAAAAATTAATTCAAGATGGATTAAAGACTTAAATGTTAGACCTAAAACCATAAAAACCCTAGAAGAAAACCTAGGCATTACCATTCAGGACATAGGCATGGGCAAGGACTTCATGTCTAAAACACCAAAAGCAATGGCAACAAAAGCCAAAATAGACAAATGGGATCTAATTAAACTAAGGAGCTTCTACACAGCAAAAGAAACTACATCAGAGTGAACAGGCAACCTACAGAATGGGAGAAAATTTTTGCAACCTACCCATCTGACAAAGGGCTAATATCCAGACTATATAAAGAACTTAAACAAATTTACAAGAAAAAATCAAACAATCCCATCAAAAAGTGGGCAAAGCTATGAACAGACACTACTCAAAAGAAGACATTTATGCAGCCAATAGACATATGAAAAAATGCTCATCATCACTGGCCATCAGAGAAATGCAAATCAAAACCACAGTGAGACACCATCTCACACCAGTTAGAATGGTGATCATTAAAAAGTCAGGAAACAACAGGTGCTGGAGAGGATGTGGAGAAATAGGAACACTTTTACACTGTTAGTGCAACTGTAAACTAGTTCAACCATTGCAGAAGTCAGTGTGGTGATTCCTTAAGGGTCTAGAACTAGAAATACCATTTGACCCAGCCATCCCATTACTGGGTATATACCCAAAGGATTATAAATCATGCTGCTATAAAGACACATGCACACATATGTTTATTGTGGCACTATTCACAATAGCAAAGACTTGGAACCAACCCAAATGTCCATCAATGATAGACTGGATTAAGAAAATGTGGCACATATACACTGTGGAATACTATGCAGCCATAAAAAAGGATGAGTTTATATCCTTTGTAGGGACATGGATGAAGCTGGAAACCATCATTCTGAGCAAAGTATTGCAAGGACCCAAAACCAAACACTGCATGTTCTCACTCATAGGTAGGAATTGAACAATGAGAACACTTGGATACAGGGCGAGAAACATCACACACCGGGGCCTGTTGTGGCATGGGGGGATGGAGGAGGGATAGCATTAGGAGAAATACCTAATGTAAGTGATGAGTTAATGAGTGCAGCAAACCAAAATGACACATGTATAAATATGTAACAAACCTGCATGGTGTGCACATGTACCCTAGAACTGAAAGTATAATAATAATAAAAAAAAATTCACCAACCATGTATCTGCTGTCTTCAAGAGACTCATCTGTGACATAGGGACTCACATAAGCTTAAGCTAAAGAGGTAGAAAAAGATATTCCATGCAAATGGACATCCAAAGTGAGTAGGAGTAGCTATTCTTATATCAGACAAAACAAACTTTAAAGCAACAACAGTTTGAAAAGACAAAGAGGGACATTATATAATGATAAATGGACTAGTCCAAAAGGAAATTATCACAATCCTAAATTTATGTGCACCTAACACTGGAGCTCTCAAATTTATAAAACAATTATTACTAGACCTAAGAAATGAGATAGACAGCAACACAATAATAGTGGTGGACTTCAATACTCCACTGACAGCCCTAGACAGGTCAACAAGAGAGAAAGTCAACAAAGAAACAATGGACTTAAACTATACCCTGGAACATCTTAACACAGATTTACAGAACATTCTACCCAACAATTGTAGATGTAAATTCTATTCATCAGCACATGGAACTTTCTTCAAGACAGACCATATGATAGACCTCAAAACAAGTCTCAACAAATTTAAGAAAATCAAAATTATAGCAAGTACTCTCTCGGACCACAGTGTAATAAAATTGGAAATCAACTCCAAAAGGAACCCTCAAAATCATGCAAATACATGATAAATAAGCTGTTCCTGAATGATTATTGGGTCAAAAATGTAATCAGTATGGAAATTTAAGCATTCTTTGAGCTGAATGATAATTGCGACACAACCTATCAAAAACTCTGAGATACAGCAAAGTCAGTGCTAAGAGGAAAGCTCATAGCATTAAATGCCTACATCAAAAAGTCTGAAAGAGCACAAATAGACAATCTATGGTCACACATCAAGGAGCTAGAGAAGTAAGAACAAACCAAACCCAAACCCAGCAGAAGAAAAGAAATGACCAAGATAAGAGCAGAACTAAATGAAATTGAACAAACAAACAAAAAAATACAAAATATAAATGAAACCAAAAGCTGGTTCTTTGAAAAGGTAAATAAAATTGATAGATCATTAGTGAGATTAACCAAGAAAAGAAGAGAGATGATTCAAATAAGCTCAATTAGAAATGAAACAATATATTACAACCAATACTACAGAAATACAAAAGATCATTCAAGGCTACTACAAACACCTTCACATGCATAAACTAGAAAACCTAGAGGAGACGGATAAATTCCTGGAAGTAAACAACCCTAGTAGATTAAACCAGGAAGAAATAGAAACTCTGAACAGACCAATAACAAGCAGCAAGGTTGAAATAGTAATTAAAAAGTTACTAAGAAAAAAAAACCCCAGGACCAGACGGATTCACAACTGAATTTGAGCAGACATTCAAAGAAAAATTGGTACCAATCCTATTGACAATATTCCAAAAGATAGAGAAAAAGGGATCCTCACTAAATCACTCTATGAAGCCAGTATCAACCTAGTACCAAAACCAGGAAAGGACATAACAAAAAAAGAAAACTACAGACCAATATCCCTGATGAATATAGATGCAAAAATCCTCAACAAAATATGAGCTAACTGAATCCATTAGCATATCAAAAAGATAATCCACCATGATCAAGTGGATTTCACACCAAGGATGCAGGGATGGCTTAACACCCACGAGTCAATAAATGTAATACACTACATAAACAAAATTAAAAACAAAAATCACATGATAATTTCAATAGATGCAGAAAAAGAATTTGACAAAATCCAACTTCCCTTTTTGATTAAAACCCTCAGCAAAATCAGCACAGAAGGGACATATCTTAAGGTAATTAAAGCCATCTATGACAAACCCACAGCCAACATTATACTGAACAGGGAAAAGTTGAAAGCATTCCCCAAGAGAACTGGAACAAGACAAGGATGCACACTTTCACCACTTCTATTCAACATAGTACTGGAAGTCCTAGTCAGAGCAATCAGACAAGAGAAAGAAATCAAGGGCATCCAAATTGGTAAACAGGAAGTCAAACAGTCAGTTTGCTGATGACATGATCATATACCTAGAAAACCCTAAAAACTTATCAAAAAAGCTCCTAGAACTGGTAAATGAATTCAGCAAAGTTTCAGGATACAAAATTAATGTACACAAATTAGTAGCCCTGCTATACACCATAAGTGACCAGGCTGAGAATCAAATCAAGAACTCAACCCCTTTTAAAATAGCTGCAAAAAATAAAATAAAATAAAATTAGGAATATACTGAACCAAGGAAGTGAAAGATCTATACAAGGAAAACTACAAAACAATGCTGAAAGAAATCATAGACAACATAAACAAATGGAAACATGTCCCATGCTCATGGATGGTGTATTAGTCCATTTTCACACTGCTAATAGAGACATACCCAAGACTGGGAAAACAAGTAGCTTTAATGGACTCACAGTGATGCACAGCTGGGGAGGCCTCACAATCATAGCGGAAGGCGAAAGGCATTTCTTACATGGCGGGAGCCACAGAAAATGAAAACCAAACAAAAGGGGTTTCCCTTTATAAAACAATCAGCTCCAGTAAGACTTATTCACTGCCACAGGAACAGTATGGGGGAAACCACCCCCATGATTCATTTATCTCTCACTGGATCCCTCCCACAACATGAGAGAATTATGGGAACTACAATTCAAGATGACATTTGGGTGGGGACACAGCCAAACCATATCATTCTGCCCCTGGCCCCTCCCAAATCTCCCATCCTCACATTTCAAAACCAATCATGTCTTCCCAACAGGCCCCCAAAGTCTTAACTCATTCCAGCATTAACTCAAAAGTCCACAGTCCAAAGTCTCATCTGAGACAAGGCAAGTCCCTTCTGCCTATAAGCCTGTAAAATCAAAAGCAAGTTAGTTACTTCCTAGATACAATGGGGGTACAGGCATTGAGTAAATACAGCCATTCCAAATGGGAGAAATTGGCCAAAACAAATGAGCTACAGTCCCATGAAAGCTTGAAATCCAGCAGGGCAGTCAAATTTTAAAGGTGCAAAATGATCTCCTTTGAATCCATGTCTCAAATCCAGGTCCCATGGTCCCAGGTGTTCCCATGGTCTTGGGCAGCTCCACCCCTGTGGCTTTACAGGCTACAGCCTCGCTCCTGGCTGTTTTCATGGGCTGGCATTGAGTGTCTGTGGCTTTTCCAGGCATACAGTGAAAGATGTCAGTGGATCTACCAGTCTGGGGTATAGAGGACGGTGGCCCTCTTCTCAGAGCTCCACTAGGAAGTGCCCCAGTGGTGACTCTGTGTGGGGGTGCCCACCCCACATTTCCCTTCTGCACTGTCCTAGCAAAGGTTCTCCATGAAAGCACTGCCCCTGCAGCAAACTTCTGCCTGGAAATCAAAGCATTTCCGTATATCCTGTGAAATCTAGGCAGAGGTTCCGAAGCCTCAGTTCTTGACTTCTGTGCACCTGCAGGCTCAATACCATGTGGAAGATGCCAATGCGTGGGGCTTGCACCACTTGAAGCCCATGGCCTGAGCTGTACCTTGGCCTCTTTTAGTCATGGCTAGAGTGGATGGGATGCAGAGCACCAAGTCCCTAGACTGCACACAGCAGAGGGACATTGGGCCAGGCCCATGAAACCATTTTTTCCTCCTAGGCCTCCGGGTCTGTGATGGGGTAGGGGGCTGCCGCAAAGGTTTCTGACATGCCCTGGAAACATTTTTCCCATTGTCTTGGTGATTAACGTTTGGCTCCTTGTTACTTATGCAAATGTCTGCAGCCAGCTTGAATTCTTCCTCAGAAAATGGGGTTTTCTTTTCTATTGCATTGTTAAGCTGCAAATTTTCTGAACTTTTATGCTCTGTTTCCCTTTTAAAATGGAAGGCCTTTAATAGGACCCAAGTCACATTTTGAATGCTTTGCTGCTTAGAAATTTCTTCTGCCAGATATCCTAAATCATCACTCTCAAGTTCAAAGTTCCACAAATCTCTAGGGCAGGGGTAAAATGCTGCCAGTCTCTTTGCTAAAACATAACAAGAGTCACCTTTGCTCCAGTTATTAACAAGTCTCTCATCTCCATCTAAGACCATCTCAGCCTGGATTTCATTGTCCATGTCATTATCAGCATTTTG
Source organism: Homo sapiens (assembly GCF_000001405.40). Lineage (NCBI taxonomy): Eukaryota > Metazoa > Chordata > Mammalia > Primates > Hominidae > Homo > Homo sapiens. The sequence continues at coordinate 148,588,888 of NC_000004.12, read as the reverse complement.
GTCAAAGCCATTCAACAAGTCTCTAGGGAGTTCCATACCTTTCCACATTTTCCTCTCTTCTTCTGAGCCTTCCAAACTGTTTCAACCTCTGCCTGTTACCCAGTTCCAAAGCGGCTTCCACATTTTTGGGTATCTTTTCAGCAGTGTCCCACTCTACTGGTACCAATTTACTGTATTATTCCATTTTCACACTACTGACAAAGACATACCCAAGACTGGAGAAAAAAAATAGGTTTAATGGACTCACAGTTTCATGTGGCTGGAGAGGCCTCACAATTATGGTGGAAGGTAAAAGGCACTTCTTACATGGCTGTGGCAAGAGAGAATGAAAAACAAGCAAAAGAAGTTCCCCCTTATAAAACCATCAGATCTCATGAGACGTATTCACTACCATGAGAACAGTATGGGGGAAACTACCCCCATGATTCAATTATCTACCACTGGGTCTGTCTCACAACACAAAGGAATTATTGGAGCTATAATTCAAGGTGATTTGGGAGGGGACACAGCCAAACCATACCAGAAGGATAGAATCAATATTGTGAAAATGACCATACTGCTAAAAGCAATCTACAAATTCAATGCAATTCCCATCAAAATACCACCATCATTCTTCAAAGAAGTAGAAAAAACAATCCTAAAATTCATATGGAACCAAAAAAAGAGCCCAAAAAGCCAAAGCAAGATTAAGCAAAAATAACAAATCTGGAGGCATCACATTACCTGACTTCAAGCTATACTACAAGGCCATAGTCACCAAAACAGCATGGTGCTGGTATAAAAACAGGCATGCAGAACAATGGAACAGTATGGAGAACCCAGAAATAAAGCCAAATACTTACAGCCAACTGATCTTCAAAAAAGCAAACACAAACATAAAGTGGGGAAAGGACAACCTATAAAACAAATGGTGCTGGGATAATTGGCAAGCCACATGTAGAAGAATAAAACTGTATCCCCATTTCTCACCTTATAAAAAATCAACTCAAAATGGATCAAAGACTTAAACCTAAGACATTAAAACATAAAAATTCTAGAAGATAACATCAGAAAAACCCTTCTAGACATTTACTTAGGCAAAGACTTCATGACCAAGAACCCAAAAGCAAATGCAACAAAAGCAAAGATAAATAGATGGGACTTAATTAAACTAAAAAGCTTCTGCACAGTAAAAGAAGTAATCAGCAGAGTAAACAGACAACCTACAGAGTGGGAGAAAATCTTCACAATCTATACATCTGACTAAGTACCAATATCCAGAATCTACAAGGAACTCAAACAAATCAGTAAGAAAAAAAAACAACCTCATCAAAAAGTGGGCTAAGGACATAAATAGACAATTATCAAAAGAACATATACAAATGCCTAACAAACATATGAAAAAATGCTCAACATCAGTAATGATCAGGGAAATGCAAATCGAAACCACAATGTGATACCACCTAACTCCTGCAATAATGGCCATAATAAAAAAATCAAAAAATAATAGATGTTGGCATGGATGTGTGAAAAGGGAACACTTTTACACTGTTGGTGAAAATGTAAACTAGTACAACCACTATGGAAAACAGTATGGAGATTCCTTAAAGAACTGAAAGTAGATCTATCATTTGATCCAGCAATCCCACTCCTGGGTATCTACACAGAGGAAAGTATAAGTCATTATGCCAAAAAGATTCTTGCAGGTGCATGTTTATAGCAGCACAATTCACAATTGCAAAAACATGGAACCAGCCCAAATGCCCATCGATCAATGAGTTGATAAAGAAAATGTTGTAAATATATACCATGGAGTACTACTCAGCCATAAAAAGGAATAATATATTGGAATTTGCAGCAACCTAGATGGAATTGGAGACTATTATTCTAAGTTAAGTAATTCAGGAATGGAAAACCAAGCATTGCATATTTTCACTTGCAAGTGGGAGCTAAGCTATGAGGATGCGAAGGCATAGGAATAATACAATGGGCTATGGGAACTTGGGAGAAAGGGTGGGAGGGGTTAGAGATAAAAGACTACACATTGGGTACAGGGTACACTGCTCTGGTGACGGGTGCAACAAAATCTCAGAAATCACCACTAAAGAGCTTATTCATGTAACTAAATACCACCTGTTCCCCAAAAACCTATTGAAATAAAAAAAGTAAAAATTTTAAAATATATATTGTCTTAAAAATTAAGTGATAAAAACTAGTAAAACAAACCTCTTAAAAAGAAATGAAAAATAAAAGGATTTGAGGGTAACATAATTAAAGATAGTAAGAGAAAATCCAATAAATAGATAATCAAAGAAGGGAAATCACCATGTAACAAAACTAGACATTTATTAAAACTTTCCTAAATAATAAGAAACAATTTTTACAACTAATATTGAAAGATCATAATGCGTACTTAACAAAATTGACTCAGAATGACCAAGTTATTTTAGTGAAATTGCTAGACTATAAAGGAAAATAAAAACTCTTAAGTACTTAAAATAAAATAACACATAACTTAGAAAGGGTATAAAAGTATATTATCATCAGACTTTTTGATATAATATCTTTATGCCAGAGGAACATAAATATATTGAATGTATGCAAGGAAAGAAAACGTGAAACAACTATTTTCTAACCAGCTAAACAGGTCTTAAAGAATAAAAAGCATGAACTATTATAATTTAGGGAATGGCATTGCCATGAGTCCTTCTTGAAAAATCTACTGAAAAAGGTAGCTTAAAGCAACCCAAATGACCAAAGAGACATTTGAATAAGTATCAGTCGGTAAGAAATAAATATATGAATTCACATAAAACTAATTCTAGATGAGAATTAAAACAAAGAGATTGGGTGGCTGGCAAGATGGCTGAATACGAACAGCTCCGGTCTGCAGCTCCCAGTAAGATCAATGCAGAAGGTAAGTGATTTCTGCATTTCCAACTGAGGTACCAGGCTCATCTCATCGGGACTGGTTAGACACTGGGTGCAGCCCATGGAGGGTAAGCTGAAGCAGGGTGGGGCATCGCCTCACCTGCGAAGCCCAAGGGATCGGGGAACTCTGTCCCATAGCCAAGGGAAGCCGTGAGAGACTGTGCCATGAGGAATGGTCCACTCCAGCCCAGATACTACACTTTTCCCATGATCTTCACAACCCACAGACCAGGATATTCCCTTGGGTGCCCATGCCACCAGGGCCCTGGGTTTTAAGCACAAACCTTGGTGGCCATTTGGATAGACACCAAACTAGCTGCAGGAGTTATTTTTCATACCCCAGTGGCGCCTGGAACACCAGCGAGACAGAACCATTCACTCTCCTGGAAAGGGGGCTGAAGCCAGGGAGTCCAGTGGTCTAGCTCAGCGGAACCCACCCCCACAGAGCCCAGCAAGCTAAGATCCACTGGCTTGAAATTCTCGCTGCCAGCACAGCAGTCTGAAGTTGACCTGGGATGCTTGAGATTGGTGGAGGGAGGGGGGGTCCACCATTACTGAGGCTTGAGTAGGCCGTTTTCCCCTCACAGTGTAAACAAAGCCACAGTGAAGTTTGAACTAGACGGAGCCCACCACAGCTTAGCAAAGCCGCTGGAGCCAGACTGCCTCTCTAGATTCCTCGTCTCTGGGCAGGGCATCTCTGAAAACAAGGCAGTAGCCTCAGTCAGGGGCTTACAGATAAAACTCTCATCTCCCTGGGACAGAGCACTTGGGGGAAGGGGCAGCTGTAGGCACAGCTTCAGCAGACTTAAATGTCCTTTCCTTCTGGCTATGAAGAGAGCAGTGAACCTCCCAGCACAGCGTTCGAGCTCTGCCAAAGGACAGATTGACTCCTCAAGTGGGTCCCTGACCCCTGTGCCTTCTGACTGGGAGACACCTCTCAGCAGGGAGACACTCATACAGGAGAGCTCCGGCTGGCATCTGGTGGGTGTCCCGCTGGTATGAAGCTTCCAGAGGAAGAAACAGGCAGCAATCTTTGCTGTTCTGCAGCCTCTGCTGGTGATACCCAGGCAAATAGGGAATGGAGTGGACCTCCAGCAAATTCCAGCAGAGCTGCAGCAGACGGGCCTGATTCTCAGAAGGAAAACTAACAAACAGAAAGAAATAGCATCAACATCAACAAAAAGGACATCCACTCAGAAACCCCATCCGAAGGTCACCAACATCAAAGACCAAAGGTACATAAATGCATGAAAATGAGGAAAAACCAGCGCAAAAAGGCTGAAAATTCCAAAAAATAGAACGCCTCTTCTCCTCCAAAGGATCACAACTCATCAGCAAGGGAATAAAACTGGACGGAGAATGAATTTGACGAACTGACAGAAGTAGGCTTCAGAAGGTGGGTAATAACAAACTCCTCTGAGCTAAAGGAGCATGATCTAACCCAATGCAAGGAAGCTAAGAACCTTGAAAAAAGGTAGAAGAATTGCTAACTAGGATAACCAGTTTAGAGAAGAACATAAATGACCTGACAGAGCTGAAAAATACAATGTGAAAACTTCGTGAAGCATACGCAAGTATCAATAGCCAAATTGATCAAGTGGAAGAAAGGATATCAGAGATTGAAAACCAACCTAATGAAATAAAGCTTGATGACAAGATTAGAGAAAAAAGAATGAAAAGGAATGAACAAATCGTCCAAGAAATATGGGACTACGTGAAAAGACCAAATCTGTGTTTGATTGGTGTACCTGAAAGTGATGGGGAGAATGGAACCAAGCTGGAAAGCACTCTTCAGGATATTGCCCTGGAGAACTTCCCCAACCTAGAAAAACAGGCCAACATTCAAATTCAGGAGATACAGAGAACACCACAAAGATACTCCTCAAGAAGAGGAACCCCAAGACATAATCGTCGGATTCACCAAGGTTGAAATGAAGGAAAAAATGTTAAGGAAAGCCAGAGAGAAAGGTCAGGTTACCCACAAAGGGAAGCCCATCATACTAACAGAGGATCCCTCAGCAGAAACCCTACAAGCCAGAAGAGAGTGGGGGCCAATATTCAACATTCTTAAAGAAAGAATTTTCAACACACAATTTCATATCCAGCCAAACTAAGCTTCATAAGTGAAGTAGAAATAAAATCCTTTACAGACAAGCAAATGCTGAGAGATTTTGTCATCACCAGGCCTGCCTTTACGGTGCAACAAATTACTCAATTGGTTAGTATATGGCCAGGAATTATGCATAAAATGTTTGTACTGGTTTGAAGATAGTCCTTCTAAATCATCAAGGAAGAAAAAAAATAATTTACAAAAAAAAGAAAAAACCTGAACATGGAAAGGAACAACCAGTACCAGCCACTGCCAAAACATACCAAATTGTAAAGATCATTGGTGCTATGAAGAAACTGCATCAACAAATAGGCAAAATAACCACCTAGCATCATAATGACAGGACCAGATTCACACGTAACAATATTAACCTTAAATGTAAATGGGCTAAATGCCCCAATTAAAAGGCACACACTGGCAAACTGGATAGAGTCAAGACCCATTGGTGTGCTGTATTCAGGAGACCCATCTCACGTGCCAAGACACACATAGACTCACAATAAAGGGATGAAGGAAGATTTACCAAGCAAATGGAAAGCAAAAAAAATCAGGGGTTGTGATCCTAGTCTCTGATAAAACAGACTTTAAACCAACAAAGATCAAAAGAGACAAAGAAGGGCATTACATACTTCTAAAGGGATCAATGCAACAAGAAGAACTATCCTAAATATATATGCACCAAATACAGGACCACCCAGATTCATAAAGCAAGTTCTTAGAGACCTACAAAGAGACTTAGATGCCCACACAATAATAGCAGAAGACTTTAACACTCCACTGTGGATATTAGACAGATCGATGAGACAGAAAATTAGCAAGGATATTCAGGACTTGAACTCAGCTCTGGACCAAGCGGACCTAATAGACATCCACAGAACTCTCCACCCCAAATCAACGGAATATACATTCTTCTCGGCACCACATCGCACTTATTCTAAAACTGACCACATAATTGGAAGTAAAACACCCCTTAGCAAATGCAAAAGAATGGAAATCATAACAAACAGTCTCTCAGACCACAGTGCAATCAAATTAGAACTCAGGATTAGGAAACTTGCTCAAAACCGCACAACTACATGGAAACTGAACAACCTGCTCCTGAATGACTACTGGGTAAATAACGAAATGAAGGCAGAAATAAATAAGTTCTTTGAAACCAATGAGAACAAAGACACAATGTACCAGAATCTCTGGGACACAGCTAAAGCAATGTTTAAAGGGAAATTTATAGTTCCAAATGCCCACAAGAGAAAGCAGGAAAGATCTAAAATTGACACCCTAACATCACAATTAAAAGAACTGGAGAAGCAAGAGTAAACAAATTCAAAAGCTAGCAGAAGACAAGAAATAAGTAAGATCAGAGCAGAACTAAAGGAGATACAGACATGAAAAACCCTTCAAAAAATCAATGAATCCAGGAGCTTGTTTTTAGAAAACATCAACAAAATAGATAGACTGTTAGACAGACTAATAAAGAAGAAAAGAGAGAAGAATCAAATAGACACAATAAAAGATGATAAAGGAGAGATCACCACTGATCCCACACAAATACAAACTACCATCGGAGAATACTATAAACACCTCTATGCAAATAAACTAGAAAATATAGAAGAAATGGGTAAATTCCTACACACATACACCCTCCCAAGTCTAAATCAGGAAGAAGTCGAATTCCTGAATAGACCAATAACAAGTTCTGAAATTGAGGCTGTAATTCATAACCTACTAACCAAAAAAAAGCCCAGGACCAGATGGATTCACAGACGAATTCTGCCGTAAGTACAAAGAGGAGCTGGTACCATTCCTTCTGAAACTATTCCAAACAATAGAAAAAGAGGGAATCCTCCCTAACTCATTTTATAAGGCTAGCATCATCCTGATACCAAAACCTGGCAGAGACACAACAAAAAAAGAAAATTTCAGGCCAATATCCCTGATGAACACTGATGCAAAAATCATGAATAAAATACTGGCAAACCAAATCCAGTGGCATATCAAATAACTTATCCACCAAGATCAAGTTAGCTTCATCCCTGGGATTCCAGGCTGGTTCAGCATACGCAAATCAATAAACATAATCCATCACATAAACAGAACCAATGACAAAAGCCACATGATTATCTCAATAGATGCAGAAAAGGCCTTCAATAAAATTCAACACCCCTTCATGTTAAAAACTCTCAATAAACTAGGTATTGATGGAACGTATCTCAAAATAATAAGAGCTATTTATGACAAACCCATAGCCAATATCATACTGAATGGGCAAAAGCTGGAATCATTCCCTTTGAAAACTTGCACAATACAAGGATGCCCTCTCTCACCACTCCTATTCAACATAGTATTGGAAGTTCTGGCCAGGGCAATGATGCAAGAGCAAAAAATAAAGTGTATTCAAATAGGAAGAGAGGAAGTCAAATTGTCTCTGATTGCAGATGACATGATTGTATATCTAGAAAACCCCATCGTCTCAGCCCCAAAACTTCTTAAGCTGTTAAGCAACTTCAGCAAAGTCTCAGGATACAGAAGCAATGTGCAAAAATCACAAGCATTCCTATGCACCAATAACAGACAAACAGAGAGCCAAATCATGAGTGAATTCCCATTCACAATTGCTACAAAGACAATAAAATACCTAGGAACACAACTCAGAAGGGATGTGAGGGACCTCCCCAAGGAGAACTACAAACCACTGCTCAAGAAAATGAGAGAGGACACAAACAAATGGAAAAACATTCTATGCTCATGGATAGGAAGAATCAATATCATGAAAATGGTCATACTGCCCAAAGTAATTTACAGATTCTATGCTATCCCCATCAAGCTACCATTGACTTTCTTCACAGTATTAGAAAAAACCACTTTAAATTTCATATGGAACCAAAAAAGATCCCGCATAGCCAAGACAATCCTAAGCAAAATGAACAAAGCTGGAGGCATCATGCTACCTGACTTCAAACTATGTTACAAGGCTACAGTAACCAAAACAGCATGGTACTGGTACCAAAACAGATATATAGACCAATGGAACAGAACAGAGTCCTCAGAAATTACACCACACATCTACAGCCATCTGACCTTTGACAAACCTGACAAAAACAAGCAATGGGGAAAGGATTCCCTATTTAATAAATTGTATTGGAAAAAGTGGCTAGCCATATGCAGAAAACTGAAACTGGACCCCTTCCTTACACCTTACACAAAAATTAACTCAACATGGATTAAAGACTTAAAAGTAAAATCTAAAACCATTAAAACCCTAGAAGAAAACCTAGGCAATACCATTCAGGACATAGGCATAGGCAAAGACTTCATGACTAAAACACCAAAAGCAATGGCAACAAAAGCCAATATTGACAAATGGGATCTAATGAAACTAAAGTGCTTCTGCAGAGCAAATGAAACTATTATCAGAGTGAACAGGCAACCTACAGAATGGGAGAAAAATGTTTTAGTCTATCCATCTCACAAATGGCTAATATCCAGAACCTACAAAGAACTTAAACAAATTTACAAGAAAAAAACAACCCCATCATAAAGTGGGCAAAGGATATGAACAGACACTTCTCAAAAGAAGAAATTTATGGGGCCAACAAACATTTGAAGAAAAGCTCATCAACAGTGGTCATTAGGAAATGCAAATCAAAACCACAATGAGATTTGTCTTATACCAGTCACCTTGTATACCTTGTATACCTATGTAACAAACCTGCACATTCTGCACATGTATCCCAGAACTTAAAGTATAATAAGAAATAATAAAATAAAAATAAAAAACAAAGAGATTATACAATCTCACAGGTAGATATATTAAAACCATTAAAAGGGATAGATTAGGGTAGCATATTAAAATGTTTTGGCTGTTTTCTGTAATTATAATTAGTGATAGTATTGTTATGGTACTGTTATAATGTGGAATAAAACTAATGAGTACGAATTTTTTCTTTGAGATGGAGTCTCGCTCTGTCGCCCAGGCTGGGGTGTAGTGGCCCCATCTCTGCTCACAGCAACCTTTGCCTCCCAGGTTCAAGCAATTCTTCTGCCTCAGTCTCCTGAGTGCCTGGGATTACAGGCACATGCCACCTTGCCTGGCTAATTTTTGTATTTTTAGTAGATACGGGGTTTCACCACGTTGGCCAGGCTGGTCTCGAACAACTGACCTTAAGTGATCCACCCACCTCAGCCTCTCACAGGCATGAGCCACTGTGCCTGGCCTGAAATATTTTAATTGTAACATTTCCTATACCTTTGAAGAATTCTTAGAATGTAAAAAGGACACAGCAGTGTAATAAAGACTAGGTTAAGTAAAAATCCAGTAGTTCTAAACTTCAACTGGATATATCAGTAAGAACACATGAGGTACTTTATAAAGTGTGTTTATATCCTAATTCTATACACAGAAAATGCCTAGAAAGAATGATAAATCCAATAGCAATGAAGATCCATAGAGACCTGATTGTGGACTTGAAATACTATTTCCCAATGAAGATGGAAGGGGTGTTTCCTGGAGACAATGACTGATTCTTGTCTGAGAAAGAGGAAATGAACAAAATGAGTATGAAATACCTTGACATACCTGATGTCATGGAACCTATTAAAAACTCTTAGGGCAATGTTTTAAAAAACAAAAACAAAACAAGACTCAGAAGCAAGCTTCAAGAGAATTCGCAATCCAAAAATGAAAATTTTGAACCTCAATAAGAACAATAATTACAGCATGTTAAAACTCAACAAATACAGCATGATTGAATCCATGATTTTACAATTATATTCTTGCTTTCTTACTGCATTAGCTAGGGCTTCCAGTATGATGTTGAAAAGGAGCACTAGAAGGGAACACCTTTGCCTTATTCCTGACCTTAGAGGAAACTGTCTAGTTTCTCACCACTAAGTATAATATTCACTGTAGGGTTTTTCTGTAGATGTTCATTACCAAATTGAGGGAATTCCACTCTCTTCCTAATTTCCTGAGAGTTTCTATCACAAATAGGTGTTGGATTTTGTCAAATGCTGTCTCTGCATCTATCGATATGATATAATCATGTGCTTTTTTCTTCTTTAGCCTGTTAATGTGATGGATTATATTCTTTTTTGAATGCTGAACCAGCCTTATATACCTGGGATAAATCCCACTAGGTTGTAGTATATAATTCTTTTTATATGTTGCTGAATTTTACTTACTAATGTTTTTTGTGGAATTTTAGCATCTATGTTCATAAGAGATATTGGTCTGTAGTTTTCTTGAAATGTCTTTGTATGGTTTTATTATCATGGTGATGCTGGCTCATGGAATTAGTTAGGAAATATTCCCTCTGTTTCCATCTTCTGGAAGAGATTATAAAGAATTGATATAAATGCTTTCTTAATGTTAGGTAGAACTAACTCACCAGTGAACCCAGTTGAGTTTTTTGCTCTCTGCTTTGGAAAGTAGTTAATTATTGATCAGAATTACATTTTTTAAGAACATTAATTGGTCACCTTCTAAAAATGACTAGACACCAAATCATTTTCTTGAAAACTAAGTAAGAAGAAAAGAATGAAGCATTTATCCTGCCTTTCCTATATGAACTGTACCTATGGGTAATTGAACAGTAGATGTGGGAGTTGTCTCCTTATGAAATAATATAAAGTGAAATAAATAAAATAATAAAATAAAATAAAATAACATCACTATATGGGGAACAAGTGCTTCAGGCAATGGGAAACTAAGTTCCTCATAGACTAGGAAACAACTATAAATTCTGAATATAATACAAAAAGTAGCTACTTTAAAGCACTGCTGAGTGAACAGAGGCTGATAGATTCTGGTGGGAAATCCATGGTAGGAGGAAAGGAGTAATATGTATTGGGTTCCTGTTTCAGTGAATTTATCCAAAAGCCAGACACATTCAGCTTTATTCATAATAGCAAAATACTGGAAACAACCCAAATGTGCATCAACTGGTGAATGGATTAACAAATTGTTCTAAGTCTACATGATGAAATACCACTCAGGAATAAAAAAAGGAAGAAACTACCAATCCACATAGAAACAGAGGTGAATCTCAAAAGCAGTATGCAACGTGAAACAAGCCAGACACAAAAGACCATATATCATATGAATCCATTTACCTGAAATTTTAGAAAATGCAAAACTATAGTGATAAAAATGAAATCAGTGGTTTTCAGGAGATAGTAGATGAGCTCAAGAGGAGATTGACTACAAAGAAACATATGAGAACTTTTGGGGGTAATGGAAATGTTCTATATCATTATTGTGACAGTTTCTTCACTATATGTATTTATCAAAACTCATCAAATATCACATTTAAAATTAGTAAATTTTATCATATATGAATCATACTTCAAGAAAACTGATTTAAAAACAGAGCAAAATCCAGACATTATGTACCTCCTGCTAAAGAAGCTGAAAATCACCTACACTCTTGCCAAAGTTATTGGATATGAGTCTGGTAAAGGCTCTGGATCCAGCTGCCAATTTGAAGGAAAGATGGAGAACAAATTACTGTAAACTTCTCCAGGAATATGAAATCAACAAGATCCAGGTTATGGAAAGTCTGCAGATTAAATGGCAAAGACTTTTCAACAGACACTTTAAAAATGGAAGGAGAAAAACATACAAGTTAGTCTGCAGTGTCTAAGGATTCGCACTTGAGTGATAACACAAAATAATGCAAGGAAGTGATTGTTATAAAAGTCAAGATAGTGGTTACTTAGGAAGGGAAAGAGAACTCTTATTGGAATGGGCCACAGGAAAGGTCTTCTAGAGTGGCAGCAAAGTCCTATTTCTTCACCTGCATTGCCTTTATAAACCTGTTCCTCTTATAAATAATTCATTAAGCTAGGGATTTTCCAAGTGTGGTCCCAGTTATGCAGCATCATCATCATCCAACAACGTGTTAGAAATACAAATTTTTAGATCCCAGCCCAGGTCTAGTGTTACTGAATCAGAAACTCTCAGGATGGGCCCAACAAGCTTTTTTGAGAATCCTTCCAGATAATGCCTGTAGTCCCAGCTACTCAGGAGGCTGAGGCAGGAGGATCACTTGAGCCCAGGAGTTAAAGGTTGCAATGAGTTATGATTGTGCCACTGCACTCCAGCCTGAGTCACACACCAAGACCTCATCTCTTGAAAAAAAAATGTTAAAACACATTTTTAAAGGTGCAGAGTAATGTGTATTTCAGAAAGGCGACGAGGAACTTCTGTTATATATGTATAATACATGTGTTACATATTATATGTACTATATACATATATATACATTATACATATATAATAATGTATACATTTTGTATATTTATATAATGAAAGTGTAAAATGGCATTCATCTCTAGCATTGATTAACTCAGGAATGTGGTATTAAAAGGAAGAATTTAACTTCTTCAAATTCTTTGGTAGAGAATTTAACTTTTTAAAATTCTTTTGTATTGCTGGCATTAATTTGAGTTACATATTGCTCTCGTAACTTAAAATAATTATAAAGTTTAAAAGATGAAGAACACAAAAACTAAGACTTTCACTTAAGCATTTTAAAAATTGTGTCTCCCAGAACACTAGTATTCCACAAATGTTCATGGGTGTTCCAATTAAAATGTTTAGTAGTCAAATAAAGGTATTCAGTTGGTGCAAAAGGAATTGCGGTTTTTGCCATTAAAAGTGACGGCAACATGGCACATGTACACATATGTAACTAACCTGCACGTTGTGCACATGTACCCTAAAACTTAAAGTATAATTTTAAAAAAGTGACAGCAAAACCAGCAATAATTTTTGCACCAATCCAACATAAAGAACATCATAGAACTTCAAAATGCAAATTTGTATTTTAAATGTTGTTAGAAATTTCACATTTAACTTCACCAGTGTTTCCCAACTTCTTTTTAAAGAATGAATGCTTTCTTCACAAAATTCCTATTACCATCTAGCAGCCATGGTGTTGGAGCCAGCTTGTACAGCTTGTGAGATCTGCCTATGCACAATTCCTCCCAACTTTGTGTTCAGTGACATCAGGTTGGTAGCTTAAGATCAGCCATAGTGGGACTATTTACACTACGGAAATCAGCAATCACTACAAATCAAGACGACCTACCCTCCAGTGACAACTGTGAAATATTTTCCAGCACACCACAGTTTAGCAGACTCAGCATTTACATAAGACATGGAGAAATTCTGCTTTAGATTATTTCCTTTAGCTGGAATCTAGTGGTCCTAACTAACTTTAAATTTATTATATTTCTAATACATAATGCATGAGCAAAGCAAGATTTTATTAATCTCACCATACCAAAATGTATTCATAAAGATTTTTCAAACCACTAAAAAGAAGGTTGAGGAAGAGTAGAAGTTGATAAAGTAAAAGAGGTTTAGAGGTACCTCTTACTAACGTTGCTGTACAAGCATAGAAATCTGAGGGGAGAACGAAACATTTATAGTAGTACATTCAATGCAGCAGGAAGAGACAATTGTGGTAATTTTCCATTGATGTGATGCTACTTTTCTTGGGTGGTATGCAGTTCTAATCATTTTTGTCTCCAGCCACAATTACCTCTATCACAGCATGTAGAAATAGCTCCAGTTCCCCCCGGGATAGTGTATGAAAGTAGGTGTGGATTTGTATATTTTTGGCTGAAATGACCAATGTCCTAAAGAATGTTGTCACATCCACGTGGAACCAGTAAGCACCTCCTGTCAGACTAGTCTGAAATACATTTCCAGTAAGCGCCATCCTTACTGGCAAGTACGTCATTCCCTTATCCTCTCTCAGCTACTTTCACACAGACTTCTCGACATTAAAACTTAGTACATCAGCAGAAGAGTGGGACAAGGACCAGTGGTAGAAGATTTTCGAACAGGTGGTGGCAAGCAAAAGTGTGACAATAGCATCAATATAGCTCATCTTTATAATGGAAAATTTATTATGACAAAAACTGAAAGAGGCAAATGTTATATAACCAAAGTCCCACCCTTGCCAAGCTTGGGTTGCTGTCAGCAGCCCTCCTTACACAGAATTAGAACACACCACACAGATAAATTATGTTACATGCATCTATGAGAGCAAAGTGGGAATCCCAGCAATGAGAAAACAAACCCAGTTGCTCAGTAACACAGTGGCCATGTGCCGTACAGTAACTTTGAGCCCAACCCTTCAAGCAAGACTCCAATTCCTCATCCATGGAGTCACGCATACCAGAATTACAGGCTTGCATGCCATAGGCTTCTGAGTGAAAGAGGAAACCCTGATGGTGAATTATGCTGTGGGCTTTCCTTACACGTGGTGGTAGAAACAGCATGAGCTCAACTAGAATTCTCACTGCAATGGGACTGTTCCAGGAATGATACAGGGCCTTTTGCCAATTACTAATACATGGTAAATCACAGTGAAAATAGATACAAAGTATGTTAATATGTTGATAACAGCATTCACGTGATCAAATTTACATAATTTTAATTTATAAGAACTATAACATATTTATATTTATTCTGGGGAAATTAAGTAGTACACACACAGAGAGCGGGGAGGGGGAGGAGGAGAAAGAGAGAGAAAAACCATGTAGATGAATGAGTATTACAAAGAGTCAAACCTGCTTCTAGGCATTTCCTCCACTGTCAAAACATCTCGAAACATCTTGGACTTGCAAAACCATCGTTTGTTTTCAGTAATTATTCTGGATGTCTCTCCATGCTGACAAGTGAGCTTCAAACATTTTTCCAGGCTTTTGTGAGAAGCATATAGCATTCTTACCTGATAATGAGACCTATGGGAATTGAAGATTTTCTAAGGAGTTCTTAGGTCTTATTTTACCTTCTTGATTACTGTCATTTGCGTCCAAAGTTTAACTCTTTATCTGACTGTTAAAAACATAGCTATCTACCTCTCAATTCCAAATGAAAGGGAATATTATAATCTTGGTGATATTTTGCCTTCATCATAATAGCTTCATTTATTGTGCACTGTTTTCAGTTACTTTATTTTATGTATTTCTTACAATAACCTTATGGAGTAGACAGATTATACATAAGGATACTTACATCTAGAAAAATTAAAGAACTTGCCTAGAAATGTAAAGCAAGAGATACAGCTAAGATTTTAACTTTCTTCCTAAAAAGCTGTTAAGTGTTCCCACTTCAATATTCTCCTTCCATGTAGCACCAAATATTCACTGTTCCTCTTAATTCTTGCTTCTTCAATTTCTTGAGTCAGTCACAGGCACTATAGTCCAAACATTCTTGTGAAAATTGAGAACAGGAAAATAAGTCTCCTAGTTTGTTTCCTATCAGGTATTCCTGTTGAGAGTGAGCCCAGTGAAAAAGTTCTGAACTGCCTCTCAGATTCCCTTCTGACAATGCAGTTTCAAGGAAGAAGGCCATTGCCGCGTTGTAATTGAGACGAGCTGACTTTTGTGCTGTCTCTGTGAGATCTGCCCCTGGCAATCACATTTCCTGGCCCTTAACTTGATGAATGTTGGCACAGCACAGTGACTATTGCTTGCAGGAGGCTTAATGAACAATTGCATTCTGATTGACTTCTAGACCAGACAAAATGCTGAATATATTCTGTTTCAATACCCAGAGGCTCTTCCATTAACATCCAGGTGAGTTTTACATGTAGACCAAAGTCCCTAATAAACTTAATGTTAGATTCAGTCACAAAACTACAAACTGTCCAATGTGACTTGCAGCATGTGGAGACATCAAGATCATAGGTGCAAATCTGTAATGACAGGTTTATTTTAGTGCCTTTAGTAACCTAATGAAAACAAAATTATTATTAATTTTTCTTGGTAACTATAATTTTATTTCATTAAGTTCGCTTTTTTGTAACATGTTACTGCCAGGAATAAAATGTTTCTATATCTAGCTTAGGTTGACACAATGGCAATACCATAGGGATACCAAGATCCTAATAAAAACTCAAGGAGAAGGAGGCCCCAGATTGTACTTTGAAGTATCAGTATGCATAAACAATGCAGGTGGAGTGCTGGAAAGAGCTCAGGATTTCATCCATGTGTCCTTGGACAAGGAACTTTTTCTGACTCTTAGTTTCCCCATATGTAAATTGGGGATAACGTTGTCATCTTCAGAAAATAGTTGCAAAAGTTAAATAAGATAATGACTATGAAAATATTTCCTAATTTATACAAATACTAATATTTATTAATACAATAGAAAAATCTCTCAATTTATTTGGCTGATATTCCAATTTTTCAGTCATACTCAGTTTTCGGGAGGAAGACAATAGATTAACTTTTTTTACAGATATTATTTCTTTCATAGCAAAAAACAAAAAAAACTTCAGAAAATGTATTTTTCAAAGCATCCTATTCCACACATTTGTTTGGCATTTCTCTCCTTGCTCTTTCTTTTTAAAATTTATTTTTATTATGAGTCATCAATATTTAATGAAAAACTTAGAAAATACACAAAAATGGGCATGAAATATTATCTGTACCACCACCGAAACACAAATACCATTAACATGTAGTCATATTTATTTTTAAATATTTTCTATACACTTCCAAATCAAAAATTGGACTATGCTATTTATTAAACCATGTAATAATCTCTTTTGTAACACTAACATATATTGTTATTTTTCATTTGCCTTATATCAATAAAGATTCTTCAAGAAATTATTATATTCTCACACTATTTTAGTATATGGCAAAATAACTTATGTAACCATTTTATTTTATCTACATTGTTTGTCTATTCAAATAATTCTGCAATTAATGTGCACAAATAGAAATCTTTGCACAATCTGTCTCCAAGAGTCAAAAATACTTTGATTAAAAACATGAGATTTACTACGGCTCTTGAAAGATAAGACCAACTTGTTTTTTACATAAATTGTATTGATTTACACAACTACTAGCCATGAGAGCATCCATCTCAACACACATTTGTTAACATTGGTTATTATATGTTCAAAAATTTTTTGCTTGATTGATGGAAAAAAGTATCTCATTTTAATTTAGTTTTCATTCCAATGATGCTGAAATTAATTATTCATATTTTTAATAACTTATATGTCTAATTGAGCTAAGTCAGTAGTTAAAATATCTCACACTAACTAAATTTTCCTAAAACTCCTTTGAATTTCCAAATGCTTTCACCTTCTCTATTAGTGATATTATATTATTCTGAATATGAGGATTTTTTAGTGTTTTTGTCTTCATTACTGTTGCCTAGGCTGGAGTGCAGTGGTGCGATCATAGCTCACTGCAGCCTTGAGTTCCTGGGCACAAGCGATCCTCCTGCCTCAGCTTCCCAGGTAGCTGGGACTAAACACATGTGCCATAAGGCCCAACTAATTTTTTTTTTTTTTGAGACGGAGTTTCACTTTTGTTGCCCTGGCTGGGGTGCAATGGCATGATCTTGGCTCACCACAACCTCTGCCTCCCAGGTTCAAGCAATTCTTCTGCCTCAGCCTCCCTAGTAGCTGGGATTACAGTCATGTGCCACCACACCCAGCTAATTTTCTATTTTTAGTAGAGACAGGGTTTCTCCATATTGGTCAGGCTGGTCTCGAACTCCAGACCTTAGGTGATCTGACCACTTCAGCCTCCCAAAGTGCTGGAATTACAGGCATGAGCCACCGTGCCTGGCCCCAGCTAATTTTTAAATTTTTTTGTAGAGACGAGATCTTGTTTTGTTGCCCAGGGTGGTCTCAAACCACTGGCCTCAAGCAATCCTCTCACCTTGGCCTCCTAAAGTGCTAGGATTACAGATGTAAGCTGCTGTTCCCAGCTGATTTTACTTTCTTTTGATTAAAATGACTCTCTTTATAGGACTTAATGTTTTTGCCTTAAATTCTGCTTTATCTAATAGTAATATTAGTTTTCAAAATTTGCATTTGCCTTGCATTTACTTGCCCATATTTCCAAACATATGTGTTTTAGATGAGGAAACTCTAAGTAGTGTATCTCTGGATTTGTCCTTTCATTGGGGTATTTAACAAATATACATTTGATAGTCTAGTATTTCATCATGCTTCTATCATGCTTTCATATGTATTTTCATATTGTCTTTTAAAAATATTTTCTGGCTGGCTTTTTCCTATCTTTTTTGCCAGAACAGAGGGGTTTACTTGAGTGGGGGGAGGAGTGTGCTTTGGGTTTTTTGCAGGGCTTGGGTTGTTTTTGTTTGTTTTTGGGGGTTTTGATTTTTTGCTGTTTATTAGCTTTAGTTTGGAAAGAAAAAACTCCATTTATTTCTTAAGTGACTACTATAAAGTTTTCCAAATACAGTCTTAATACTATATTAAGCAAGCCAGAAGAGTTAAGGGCAAAGTAATTGTTGTCAGCCACCACTGATGGAAAAGAAAATGCTTGTGTCTTTGCTTTTGAATCCACTCCAATCTCTAGACATTAATTTAATTTAGGATATCAACTCTGTATTTTTCATTTGTTAATATTTTAAAAAATAAAAGTCATTTATTTTAAAGGGAAAGCAAATTTTATAATCCAAGTGGTACTTTAATAATTATGTAGACTAATGTTGGTCTATATAATTTTTACTAATAATTTAAACTAGTGGTCCTTTGCAGCCACTAGTTCCTTTGCCAAGAATTCTGATCCTCAATGCAACTTGTGTTGGTATAACTCAGTATTTAACAATTTTTATTCAAGTTGCCTGAATAGCATATTTTGAATTTATGTGTATCAAAGAATGCCTTTCTGTTGCCTTCACACATTGTTAACTTAGCTGGGTATAAAACATTTTCAAAGCTCTGAATTAAAAACAACAATGAGGAGGAGGAGGAAAAAGGGAAGAGGAAAAGCAGAATTAAAAAAATATATGTTTTGCTTACTATGTTTCAGGTATTCTTCTAAGTACTTTAAATACACTAATTCATTTAATCTAACAATAACGATACGCAAGTACATTCATTGTCTGCACTGTTTGTTGATGAAAATGAAGCACAAAGATGGTAAGGACTTTTCCCAGGCTTACATAACTAATATTCAGCAGAGCTAGGTTTTGAAACCGGGCAGTCTGGCTCTAGTCTCTCCATAATCTTGACCATTAACCTCTTCCTTTATATTCTAGCATTTAAGAGTGAAAAAATTAAAAGACAATCAATGTCCTTTGTTGGAAACTCGGTAAACCTAGATGAACTTTTTGTTGTTGCTGTTCTTTGTTTTTCTTGATGTTCAGGTGATGCTGGATTTTTAAGGCAAACATAAGGACATGTCTAGGTGTGGTTCTGTTTTTATAAAGTTGATCTTTACTTCAATGTACATTCTTGCTCTTGAGGCTGAAATTATCCTTTCTTTTTAATTTTAATTTTAATTTTAGATTTAAGGGGTACATGTGCAGGTTTGTTGCAAGAAGATATTTCATGATGCTGAGGTTTGGGCATCTACTGATCTCATCACCCAAATAGTGAACATGGTACCCACTAGGAAGTTCTTCAGACCCTGCCCCTCTCCCTCCCTCATTTTGGAGTCCCCAGTGTCTGTTGTTCTCAGTCATGTGTATCCAAGATTTAGCTTCCACTTATAAGTGAGAATATGGGATTTTTGGTTTTCTGTTTCTGCATTACTTCACTTAGGGTGATGGCCACCAGTTTGCATCCATGTTGCTGCAAAGGACATGATGAAATCATCCTTCTTTTCAGGTGGTGTTTTCCTTTTTCCTTTGACCACTGCTGTTGATTCATCCTGTTTTCTATTCATAGAAGTCCTATTTTATGTAGGTTAATCTCGTGGATGAATCATCTATGCCACTCATATTTTTCTTGTCTTAATCTCTGAATTCTGGGTGAGCACATTTAATCTTTCACTAAATCAATTAAATTTTCACCAGATTCTCTTCTACTATTTAACTCCTCTATTTATAAATTAAACAATGACGTTTTCCATATGCGTGTAATACTTTCACATCATAGATTGTTTCTCCCTTCCATAATGGCTTCCCTCTGCTTTCTCTCTGAGATTTAACAATTTATTTCCCTAAGTAAGATGACTTTCCTACTTACTTATCCTGTAGAGAAGAGTGTATGCTCACTTAGTAGTGGCTTATAATCAAATATAAGACTGATAGGAATTTGTATGGGTCCCTGCTTAAAGCTCTCACATTTTCTTTTTTTTTTTTTTTTTGAGACAGAGTCTTACTCTGTCGCCCAGGCTGGAGTGTAGAGGCGAGATCCCGGCTCACTGCAAGCTCCGCCTCCCGGGTTCACGCCATTCTCCTGCCTCAGACTCCAGAGTAGCTGGGACTACAGGCGCCCGCCACCACGCCCGGCTAATTTTTTGTATTTTTTTTAGTAGAGACGGGGTTTCACCGTGTTGGCCAGAATGGTCTCGATCTCCTGACCTCGTGATCCGCCCACCTCGGCCTCCTAAAGTGCTGGGATTACAGGCGTGAGCCACTGCACCCAGCCAAAGCTCTCACATTTTCAAAGAGCATAGTTTAAGGCATAGAAAAAAAGAATAAGAGAGAAATTATATTCACAGTAAAATTGCATCATAGGTTCTGAGATTCATAAGTCTAGGGGAATTGTGGAGGGAATTGGAGTCATAGACAGTTATAGCAAAGAACTTCATTTCAGTATTCGTATAGAAGCCCTGCTGGAAAAGCAGGCCTTGGCATTACCTGGATCTCTCCAGGGTTGCAGCTCCTGGTATTTGACACGTGTCCCATTTCAGTCACTTCCAACAACTCACTGCTCATTCTACTTGCCACCTTTCTCAGTGGCCAGTTATACAAAATCTTCCTGCAATGTGCTAAGCACTGAGATAATTACTGGAAACATAAGGGGGAAAAGGCTTTTCTTACTTTCAAGGGTCTAATGGGGGACACAAACACAAAAACAGTGTGTTTCAACATAATACGGTAATGAATATGATATGTAAATTTTGGATACTATTATGGTTTAGAGAATGGACACATATTATCAGGTCGGAATATCTCACATTTAAATGAAACTATTTCTGCAGAGTTACTAGTTGAACCCACTCTGATTGAATTGATCTTTGAATGTATTGGGACAAATTTATTTGTTGGTTTGACTTAGTTTGGTTTGATTTGATTTTTTTAACCACATTAACCAACAATCAGGTTATTTTGTTCTTAATAAAATTTAGCCTTTGTCCTCTCTAAGTCATCTTACAACAAAATAGGTGAACAAACTGTTCTTTTCTTCTTACATCTTTATATATCTGTGTGTTTCAAAAGCTTACCCAAAAATTTGCACCCAATCAAGTCAGAAGTACAGACACAGTATCATCAAGTTACTCTACTCACACATCAGTAAATCAATTTGCACAGTGAAACAACCATGATCACCAAACTGTATCACAGTTTGTATAGACTATTACAATTCACCTTTAACAAATTATTAAATAAGTTAGACATAAGGTTAAAAAAAGATTGCATCTTTATATACATACATAAAATATAGAAATAAATGTATAATATATTCAATATTTAATACACATAAAATTGTATATATTTATACATATAATATTATATGTACATAGCTATATCTATATCTACAGGTATAAACCTGTGCATATATGTCAGTGTCAGTTTGAAATCTGACCATTCATTGCTGGGAAGATGTACATAAGCATTTGCATGGGGACTCATTCATTATGAAAACCATGATCCCTATGTGAAAATAAGGCAAACACCAGAAGGCAAATCAGAAAGGAAGAGCGAGGAGGAAAACTCAAAGGCTTGACAAATCACTGCAATAAGAGATTATTTTCTCAATTTGCTGATGATCTGTTTCTCTAGATTAATAGTAATCCAATACCATATGTTTAGTTCAAACCCTACAGCTTTTAGTGCGTGCCTCTTTTGGAATCAGCCTGCTAGGTCAGCGGCTTTAGCTGCTTTTGGCAGTGTTTTGATTTTTCACAAAAATTGATACAGTAACTCTGAATCTGAGTTTCTTAGATAAACTTTTAAGCTAAGAGCTTTTATCTCTTCAAAAGAATATCAGGCTGCCAAAGAAGCCAACAATATTTATATGTATTTATATTTATCTAGGTATATGATTAGGATGTGTGACAGTTTATAGAGAAATTTGAAAAACTGACAATCTAGATTGATATTTATATTTCCAAGTCAGATTTTTTTAGTATTTTTTACCGATAATATTATTTTGATGTTTGGATTGTATTTCAATAACAGTGGGATCCCAAATGCTTAGAAAAATATTATTCTCTGTACATTTTATCATAAATTGAAGCCTTTTTCATAGAGATACTATTGTTTACCTTTTGAGGGTATTAAGGTATCACACACACAAGTACAGGAAAGACAAGTGAAAAAACCAAAGGCCTTAATTTATAACAAATGTACCGTATTCACTTTTGATAAACAAAAGGGTCAATAAAATGAATATGCACATAAACAACTAGAAAGGACATTATTTAGAGTTCCCCAGATCTTCCAGGGATACTCTTAATTTATAGGAAAATTTATTACCAGATCTATTTAGATTTTTCTAAGATTTTTTTTGCCAGGTGAAGCAGTATCATTCTCTGAAAGGCTTTGAACTTTATAATTTGAATCTTACGAAAAAGGGAGGAACAACAGCTACAGGCAATGACTTCAGTATTTTCAATGAATATTTACGTCAACCTTCTGTAAGTGGACTGTCTTAGAAAGGCAGATATTCTCTGGGACAATTTTTGCCAACACCTGCAGTTTAAAAATACTGCTTGGAGAAGTCTATTTCTTATATTATCTCTAATAATTCATTTAGGGAAAATGACCTTGTTGTGCAACTCTGTTTGGAACTGTTAATTAAAATTAATGAGTATCTTGCTATTTTGCACTGGCTTGTTTCTTAGATCAAGCTAGTTTAATCTGGACTGGTCTGATGTCCTGCCTGGACAGGTTTGATACTCTGCCAAGAAGCCAGCAATAGGCTGTGGAAGGCTAAAAATCTGAGCTGCCAAATAGCAGAGTTCTGCAAGTTGAATTTGGGACATGAACAACAGAAAAGGGAATTGCAGCTCAGAAGTAAAGGTGGCAACTGAAGAAAGCTACTCCTTATGTAGCAAAATGATTTCTTATGCTTTTTTTTTTTTTTTTTTTTTTTTTTTTGGTGGGGGACAGAGTCTCGCTTTGTCGCCCAGGCTGGAGTGCAGTGGCACGATCTTGGCTCACTGCAACCTCCGCCTCCCAGGTTCAAGTGATTCTTCTGCCTCAGCCTCCCGAGTAGCTGGGACTACAGGTGCATGTCACCACGTCTGGCTAAATTTTTGTATTTTTAGTAGAGACAGGGTGTCACTGTGTTAGCCAGGATGGTCTTGATCTCCTGACTTTGTGATCCACCCGCCTCGGCCTCCCAAAGTGCTGGGAATTCAGGCGTGAGCCACCACGCCCAGCTGATTTCTTATGCTTTTTTCAGTTATCAATTAAGAACTACGCACAGACATTCAGAAAATTTCAGTAACTCCCTAGAATTGGCACTAAAATATGTAGACTCAAGAAATAATGAAATACTCAGTGTTAGAGACCTGCATTAAATCTGATCACTGCTTGACTACTCTATATCTTTAAAATAATAATAATAATAAACAACTGAATTTGTTTCTTAGGAAAACCTCAACTTTTGGTTTTAGGATCAGAGAATACTTCATTTTTAAAATATATTTTTAAGTTATGATTGTTTTAATAACGTTTGGGATTTCCTAAAGACCTACAAATGATATATAAATTACCCTTAGCAGATATGCATATTTCAGTCACACAAAAAGGGAAACTAGAAAACTTAGAGGTGGTTATAACAAGCCTCAGCTATCACTGTTATTTCCAAATCAACACAACTAGTACTCTTCTCCCAGTCAACAACACAAGGCAGTATTATTTTGTTGTTATTTATATTATATGAAAACTTGGGAGACAGAAGTATTCATAATTTCCTGACTACTTAGCAATCACACTTTAATAAACATGCCTTCCTTTAATTATAGTGCTTATGGATAGTCCCTCTATGTGACTACTAATTGGTAATAAGGGGACTATTATTATGATACCAGTTTTCCCCAAAAATGATAATAGATTTAATAGAATTTCAATCCAAATCCAGCAGGACTGGTTTTTCGGAAATTATCAAGCTGACTCTCAAATGTATATGAAGAGGCAAAGTCATTAAAATAGCAGAATTAATTTTGAAAAAAATAATTTTGCAAACTATTTTGCAATTTGGAGGAATAATACTGTCTTATTTCCAGACTTTCTATAAAGATACAGTAGTTAATATAGTATGGCACTGGAGAAATGACTGACATAGATCAATGGAACAGAATAGAGCCCAGAAATAGACCTACACATATATATGGTCAATTGATTTTCAGTAATAGTGCAAAAACAATTCGATGGCTAAAAGACAGCCTTTTCAATAAATGATTCTGGAACAATTAGCTTTCCATATTATCAAAATATAGTGTCTTGATCCATACTTTACATACCACAAAAAAGTAACTCAACGTGAATTATATACCTACATGTACAATTCTAACACTTTTAGAAGAAAATCTTTATGAACTTCAATTAGCCAAAGAGTTCTTAGGTATGACACCAAAAGCACAAACCATAAAAGAAAAAAATAGACCCATTGAGCTCCAAAAAATTAAGAACTGCTCTCAAAAGACTAGGAAAAGAATGGAAAGACTAGTCACATACTGGGAGAAAATATTTGCAGTACACATATCTGATTTTTTTAAAATTGTATGCCTAAAAAATAAAAATACCTCTCAAAAGTTAATAATAAAAAAGCAAAAGTTTCAATAAAACAAATGGGTGATACTTTACCCAGGAAGATACACAGATTGCAAGTAAATACATAAAAAGACATTCACGATCATCTATCTTTAAGGAATCACATTAAACCTACAATGAGATCTTACTAGCCACCTATTAGAATGACTAAAAAAAAAAAAATTCTAAGTGCTGGTAAGAATGTGGGACAACGCATTAATGGTGAGAATGGAAAATTGCCAAAACAGTTTGGCAATTTCTTATAAAGGTAAACATACACTTAAAATAAGAGTCAGTAATCTGACTCCTAGGTATTTACCCAAGTGAAATGAAAACTTATATTTACATAAAACCTCTGTAAATGCTTATAACGACTTTCTTTGTAATTACTTAAAACTGGAAACAACCCAAATGTCCCTCAACTAGGGAATGGATAAACAAACTATGGTGCAGCCATACAATGGAATATCATTCAGTAAGTTAAAAGAATGAACTATTGGTACTTAAAACAACTTGGGTGACAATGTATCTTGTAAAGAAAATAAGCCAAACTCAAAAGGCTTATGGTATGATTTTGCTTATGACATTCTTGCAAAGGATGCAAACAAAACAAAACAAATCTAGCAGTGGTGAGAGGCTGGGAATGGGGAGCGGGTTTTCTGCAAAGGGCCATGAGGGAGTTTGGGGATGCTAGAACTGTTCTCTAGATTGTGGTGCTGGTGGCGGTGGTGGCTATGGTTACACGGCTATATGTTTGCCAAAGCCTGCAGAATACTACACTACGAAAAAGTAAATGGGGGAAAATATAGTGTTGGAGGAAGCATTACAAAAAGATAGAAAGAAGACAGCAGAGTTCAGAGTCATTGAGGAAGAATGAAGTATTATAGTTGAGCTAAGGATATGGGCAACATGGGCCAGGGTGAGGATCTCGTGTCAGCAATGTGTGATCTGAGACATTTGATATATTTGCGTCCTTGACACAGGGTAAGTTACTTAACCTCTCTAAGTCTCCATATCATCTACGAAATTCAGATATGTAACACCCTCTTCATGGGTGGCTCTGTAGCTAAAGGAGAAAACATATGTGCTTTGTCTTAGCACAGTGTTGGACACATAATGAGTGCTCAGTGAACAGCAGCTGTAGCAGATGCCTCTAGTATGCTGAGTCACATCTGCTTGGCCCACCTCTACCACAGATGGAGTGGACCAGATTTGTACGTCTCAGACTCAGATGCACTGACAGCATCCCATTTCGAGCATGCGCCTCTGACCTCTGCATTCTGCCCCAGGTCCTGGGAGCACTGCTGGCCCAGCTACAAGTGCAGCCCAGAAATGCTGGGGAGGTGAGAGCTCTGACAACCTCAACAAATGGTGCACAGCAGCCAGTGTCTTCTTTTTCAGGAGGAGAAATGTGGAGGTTCTAACCAGATCGAGAACGCTTGCTCACAGTGGCAACCACAATAGTGTACGTATTGTCTTCTTTTTCCCCAATATCTTACTCCTTACTCCTTCATCTTCAGCTTCCTGAGATCACCCCTCCATTTACCGCCTATCCCAATGACACATTTCAGATTCTATTTTCAAGAGAACCCAAACCAAGACAACTATTACCAGAAAGCAGTTTTTTAGAAAGTCAGATGCAATGATTTCATGAAATGTCCATTCCTCATGCCCCCTTTTATACATCTTCTTTTCAGTCAGTACTATTTACGTTGTGATTTGTAGCTTGCTACATATGTAGATTATCCCATTACTCCACAATTTCATGCAACCATGGAGTAGAGAGTTTACAAATGCACTCACCACTTTGCTGCTGTGGCTTTTGTGTCACATCCATGCTCCACTCTAGGCTCTTCCCCCTTTTTGCTACCCAACAAAATAATCTCTGCTTTAAAATAGGCAACACCCCTGTTCTTACATCTCCCATCCCTGCTTCTTCCATTCATGCTAACTTGCCTAATTCCTTCCCATCCACAATGCCATGACATCACTGAGCTACTCTGTAAAATGTGCTGGGGTGACCCTGGGGTTCCCAGGCACAGACTCACCTTCAGTGCTCACAGGGAGCCTTCATTCTCCATACAGAAGAAGAACGCAGGGAGCACTCAAGTGAAAAGGGCTGGAAGGAGAAACAGACATAGCAATACCCTGCTCTATCCCGCAGGATTAATGCTTTCAGGTTCTCCAAACATCTCCTTTTGCTACTTCCTCTACCCCTCACTCCCATTCATAGTTGTTTGGAAAACTGCTGGTAGCTATTTGCAAAATCAATTTATACTATCAAAGAAAACTTGACCCTGGACTGTAGAGCAAATAAGTCCCATTGTAACAAGATTTAACAAACACAAAAGCAGTCTTGAAATATTGCTGGATCCTTTAAAATGAAATTATTATCTATATATGGCACTCCACATCTGGTTATGACACCAGGCTGTGCTTTCGATGGTTTTATAGCTTATCCTAGTGCTGTCTAATAGAACTTTCTGTGGTGATGGAGAGTTTCTATATCTGTGCTGGCCACTGAGCATTTGAAATGTGGCTTGGGCCACTGAAGAACTGAACTTTTAACTTCCTTTCATGTTAGTTAATTTAAATTTAAATTGCCACATTTAGCTATTCCCTCCTACCTTATTGCACAGGCTTATAGTTTCATCACCAATTATCACAGAAACACCAATTATCACAGAAATTAAAGGTGTATCTCCTAAGAGTACTCTTTTTTTTCATTTGGTTTTGTTATTTGGTTGAGATTGGCAAAATAGGATTTTTCTAAGAAACACTAGTACTTGAATGTTACCCACCTTGAGTTTAATTATTAGTATATAAAAATACTTTGATGCTTTTAAGTTTATTAGTATCCCAAGAGTCATAAACAAGATATATTTCCTTTTAAAATTATAAGAATTTAAACAAACAAAAGCTAAAAGCCTCTTGAACAGGAAGGCTTTTCTCAAAAACAGAATGTATAGTTTGACACCAGCCTCTGTGTACTCTGTGGCTTTCTTGGGAAGAGCAGTTTTAAGCAGATTATTAAATAAATCTAGGCCTCTTAGATTATTTTGTTTCTCAAAGTTAGGAATATAAAGAATCCCCAATAGCGTCATGTCCTTTTTCTTTATCTATTGCCCATATCATTATTGAGAGCCTAGAGACATAAATGATTACTTTTTCCCAGACAATCTAACTTACTTGAAAACTATCAGAATATAGACAACTGACAAGATCAAGCAACTTATTGTGATCAGTAAAAACATACAGTCTAATATAAGGTCTTCTCAACCAATCCCCAGTTTGGTATTGGCCAAAGGATATAGAATTTCAGTTAGACCAGAAGATTAAGTTCAAGAGATCTATTGTACAACATTGCAGACATATTTTTTTTTGAGACAGAGTTTCACTCTCTTGCCCCAGCTGGAGTGCAGTGGCATGATCTTGGCTCACCGCAACCTCCACCTCCTGGGTTCAAGCGATTCTCATACCTCAGCCTCCTGAGTAGCTAGGATTACAGGCATGAGCCACCACACCCAGCTAATTTTTGTATTTTTAGTAGAGATGGGGTTTCACTATGTTGGCCAGGCTGGTCTCAAACTCCTGACCTCAGGTGAACCACCTGCCTCAGCCTCCCAAAGTGCTAGAATTACAGTCATGAGCCACCTCACCCGCTGCAAACATATTTAATAACAATGTATTGTATCCTTGAAAATTGCTAAGAGCATAGATTTTAAGCATTCTCACCTCAAAAAAAAAGTATGGGAGAGAATGCATATGTTATTAATAGTTAGCTCGATTTAGCCATTCCACTATATAAGCATATTTCAAAATATGCTGTCCACAACAAATACATACAATTATTATTTGTCAACTTAAATTAATTAATAATAAAATGCAAATTCTGTTCCTTCATCTGGACTACAGTTTCCTACTTCTAAGTTTTTGCTCACAGTGCAAAGTGAATGTCTTCTCCTCCCCATGCTATCCATCCAACCCTTGCCTGTTTTAGGTCCTACCTCAGTTCAACCTTCTCCATGTGGCCCTGTAGGGGTTAAGCCTCTCCTAATCTTCAAGAACAAATATTGTCCACATCACTCACTTGTCATTTATTGTTAGTTGACGTGTGTGTGTGTGTGTGTGTGTGTGTGTATCTGTGTGAGAGAGAGTATAAGGCTATATGTAAAGCACTTGAACAATGCCTAGCACATGGTGAGTGCTCAATAACTGTCAACCATTATTAGTATTATTATTGCTCCTACTAGTGGTAGCCTAATACCCTAGCATAGTGTCTTGAAATTAGTAGGTTTTCAATAAATGTAAACCCTATAAAATAATGTTAATGCATAGATGCTTTGCAAGGCATTTCACAGACCCACAGAAAAAAGTAAGTAAAGGGAGGACTTAACTAATTATTATGAGTTTGAAAAATAGATTTTGCATTAAAATTCTTTTATGAAAGTTTTATCCAGTTTGTGTGTACATCCAAATTATAATATATTTAGTCTCTTCTCAGGGATAACAGCCCTCCTCCTACCCATCTGTCATGTCAGGTTGCACTGAGCAAATGCTAATCTACCTTTTTGATACATCATTTGACAATTTCTGGTTTCAGATATCACATGCAAGGTTGCACATCAGTGAATTAAATTTGAATCCATATTGTCAAGTGCATATTTAGAATAAAATTATGTTGCATCTTTTATATAAACTTAAAAAGTAAAGTTGTACATCAAGTGAGTGTGTGCATATAACTTGAATGGAAAAAAATAAAAGCAAGACAAAGGAAGACATTGTCTTATTGGCTATGAAATTACTGAATCAACTCAGTTGATTTATGGAAGAAGGTCTAAGCAGCTTTGGTTGAACTTTTGCAGTACAATTTCTGGATGCCCCTTCCACTAATTCATTAAATAAAATGAGCATTCTTTTCATTCGAATTATCTCAGCTATATGTGTTAAATATGCTAAAAGCTAAACACAAGCAATAATATTCCTGTCATGTGTTTCACCGGCCAACTCCTCAGAAATAATTAACCTATATTGAGAGAAGTAATTCTTCACTCAAAATGATTTTTACCCCTGCAAAGGAAGCAGCATGCAATAAAAATTCATATAACCTAGTATTCATTACCAAAATAGAACTGAAAAAGCACTAACAGCAATTTAGTTCAATACAATGGAGACAATTGCTGGTGTTTACTTTAATTTTATAGGATAACTTTATATTTCAGATTTGACAGATTTTTTAAAGGTTTGTTTTAATTTCAGAGACTAATTTTATTGGAATTGGGAGCATGTGAAGATTTTTCAATTTTTGAATTGAGAATATCAATTTTTAATATATTTGAATCCAAAAAATATCAACATGATTTCTTACCTCTAAAGTTAACAATAGAAGCAGTGTCACGTGCATTAGGAACGGCCTCAATCCCCCATTGCTAACTAGAGAGATAGACAGAAAGACAGAGATAGAAACAAACTTATGGGCCGGACACAGTGGCTCACGCCTGTAATCCCTACACTTTGGGAGAGGCCAAGGTGGGCGGATCACCTGAGCTCAGAAGTTCCAGATCAGCCTGGCTAACATGGCAAAACTCTGTCTCTACTAAAAATACAAAAAATTAGCTGGGTGTGGATGGGCACCTGTAATCCCAGCTACTCGGGAGGCTGAGGCAGGAGAATCGCTTGAACCCAGGAGGCAGAGGTGACAGTGAGCTGAGATCGCGCCATTGCACTCCAGCCTGGGCCAGAGACCAAGACACTGTCTTGGAAAAAAAAAAAAGAAGAAGAAGAAGAAACAAAGTTGTGATTATTATGATTCTCTACAGTGTGGCAGCTAATATGCAAAAGGCACCTTGAGTTATACATGCATTTTTCTAGCGCCTTAATGTTGTGCACCATCGAGCAAAAGCAGTTGACCACAACACAATAACACAGATCACTGCGGCAGTCAGCAAACAGACACAGTCCTGTCCTCAATGAAACAAGTACTGTCTTGGAAGTGCTCAGAGGGAGGTTTTTCTCCTTTTGTGCATTTTATACGAAGTCTGCAACTGTTTTTCCTCCATCTGCAACTTATTTCTCTTCTCTTACCTTCTTAACTCAGAAGCTTCAACTGTCTCCCATCCAAGCACTAACCAGGCCCAACCCTGCTTAGCTTCCAAGATCAGATGAGATCGGGCATGTTCAGGGTGGTATGGCTGTAGACAGAAGCTTCAACTCTCATATTCACTATCATCTAACTACATTCACCTTTTTCCCCCCAAGAGCAAAATTCAAAATTTACTGTGGCCTTATTTTTTTTAAAATAATTTAAATGTAAAAGAACATTTTTTTAAAATAAGACCACAGTAAACGTCCTTTTAACCAAATTCGTGTTAATAATTAGGATTTTAATTTTTTTGTCATGCACTGGCAATAAAGTTGTACAGGTTTGAGTGGCCCATCCCAATTCTGTTTTTTTCATTCTGTTATTTTTTAAACATGATGTTGCAGAACATGAGGGTTTTTTTTTTTAGAAAAGCATACATCGTACTATAGCAGAAAAAATGTTTGTTTTCTAGTTTAGATTTTCTCAATAAAAAATTTCATCCTTACTCTAAAAATCACATTGCTTATGTTCAAGCTTCAATACATCATACATCTTTGTATCTAAGATCACCCCCAAGGCATTTACAAACCTCCCCTCTTTTTCCCACAACCTCATCTAGCCTTGGACTTTGAAAAAGCCCTCAATATACGTCGTTAGGTTATTAATACATCTATTTTAGTGTTGTCAAGTGCTCATCAAAAATTATTTTATTCAAAAATATCATTTGATATTAATTGGTTAAGTCATTAAAGTGTTTTATTCTATCAATAATCTGTGATTTACAATGTTCTACCTATCTAATTACAGCACTGTGACTCATTTCTTCTATTTCATTGCACAAGGCTTCTTGTAAAAGATAAAAGGTTTTTGTTTACCTGTCATCTCTCTTTTCCCTTCACTTCCCATGTTGGTCTTCATAATATGGACTTTGGGATGCTAGTCACCTGCCTGCTATCTTGCTGACATATTTTTGCAAGTATTTTTGGCATATCACTGCATGAAAAACTTGCCCTTTCTCTCCCATAGGCTATATACTTTAGCACTTTCCCCCTAACCTGAACTCTTCCATCTGTCTAATTCTCTTGACAAAAATAAATAGGCATCAGTGGTAGTTTTTAATATGTCAGTTTTTACTACATCAAGAGAATGACTTGGTCCAATATGAGTGGTGTTTCTTTAGCTGTTATATTCTTTTAATTTTGTTCATTTTGATTTTTTCAGATCAGTAAATCTCTTCTTCAAATCAGAAGAGTAGAATATGTAAGTTAAAAAGATGAACTCCAGAGCCAAGCTTTTGAGTTCACATTCTCTTCTGTTTATTCACTATGTGGTCAAGTTATTTAACCTTCTTGAGCCTCAGTTTTCTCATAGAATTGTGGGTAAATTTAAATTAGTGAATATATATGAAGTGTTTATAGCACTGTCTGATATATAGGAAGAATAAGCAAATGAATGATGCTATCATTGTTACTATCATCTCCCCATGTCACTGCTTCTTATGACATGTCATTCCTAAATGTTTTTATGCTGTATATTTGTAGGTATTAAATTATAAAGTACAGTTCAAAGTTTGACATACTAAGTCAAACTTTGACTTAAAAGTTTGACATACCAAGTGAAACTTACTAAATTGTAGTAAATCAGAGTTACTGTCTTCAAACACACATGTACACGCACACACATGCATGCATGTACACACACACACACGTCAGGCAGGAATGTTTTAAAATCCTGTCAGCCACTGTACCACACTAAAACATTGACTAGGAACCCAAGGCGGTAGACTTAGTAAAGGGGGAATCTCACATCTTTGGTTGACTTTTCCAAAACAACCATCTAATGTAAGCAAGATGAGGAAGTATGAATTCAAATTACACTCTATGACTGATGTTTGGGAACAAGACATTTCACTATATCATTAATTCACTGAGAAGATAAATAAGTAGTTACTATCCTGTGCCAAGCACAGTGCAAGGAGCTGGGGGTACAAAGAAAAACAAGGACACACAGTCATGGTCCTTACTGTCTCAGTTTATAATCTGGTGGAGAAAATACACAAAGGAAACAATGTAGCAGAAGAGCTGAAAAATAAATAATGCAAAGTTTCATGAAAGTACCCAGAAGGGCATGTATATTTAACCTGAGTAGTCAAGGACTGCCTCCAGAGGAAGCGCTGTCTACATGGAGATCTAAAGGATGAAGAGGAATTAGTGAAAGTCTGGGTGAGACATTTCCGAGGTATGCAAAGGCTATGTTGCATTATTAATTAATTAATTAATTAAGTCTATGGGCTTGTTTTCACTGTGCTTGTCTAGCCTCCTCTAGAGTAAGAGCAGATTTGTCTGAAACTGCACTGCTATATATTCATCTCCTAGAAAAGCGCATATACAGTAGCATAGAATAGAAACTCTATAAATATTTGTGAAATGAATGAACAAATGTCAACAGCTCTGTTATTTTCCTCTTAGAGCTTCCAACCAAGAACTCTGGTTAGTTTAATCTGATGATTAAACTTAAGGGTTTGCACGGGTACCATTTATGCATGTCAAGGATCTATTGCACAAATAATAGTACATGTCATCCTTGTGTTTATATCAAAAGCTATGGCTTACTCTTCAGTGTTGTTGAAGGGCAAAGAGACAATGCATATTATCTATGTTAAGAAAAAACGATATTAGTATTTCTTGCCTTTCCATGATCTTTATTAACTGCCTTTAAGATTCAGCTACAAAACATATGTGGGTGTGGGAGTATGTTCCAATGTTTGTACCCCAGCATTTTGTGCAGATTCTCAATTATCTTCCCATCCCAATCATAGAAAAAGTGAAGAAAGGACACCCTCCCCAAAGTCTTAAATACTCGATGTTGTGTTAAAAGTACAATTTCAGCTCTAGGTTCAAGACAAAAATGTTGCCAGGATGTCTAAGTAAGTCCTAAAGTCTTTCTGAAGAATCACAGTAAAATACTGATTTGAAGCAAACCCAACAAATGTGAAAGGTAGGTTGAGCTTAGTTCTAGGAATCAGTAATTACGGCATAAGCACAGAACAGGTGGGGGAATTGTGAATCAATGAGTTTATTTCTGGCATCTTTCTACTTCCCCATTCAGAAATTTTCCCAACTCACTGCCCAAACCATCTTCTCCTCCAATACAGTCCCCACTTAAGGCTGATCCTCTCAGGCAATACCTTAAGCTCTCAATTTGTCTCTTTATCCTTTTATCTTTCAAAAGCTCAGCTAAATTGCAGGCCTCATTTCTATGTAGTTGAGGTATTCATGAAAGGCAGTGTGACCTAGTAAACAGCAGAATTGAAAGTCCGGTTCAACCAACTATGCTGTGCAGTCTCTGGCAAGTTACATGAGCTCTCTGAAGCTCTGATTCTCATCAGTAGAAAGGCAAAAACAGTTGCTATTACATTAGGAAAATGTAATCGATGAATCCATATTGGCAAGTTTATGATAAAAATAATCAATGCATGCTTCCAGAAATGTCCACATTTTCAAAGGATGTGAGTCCAAAGGAACACAACACAGGAAATTGTCTTGCATCACAAAGACAATATTGAGATTAAAGAATTTTTGCGCAGATTTTAACCTATATTTCATGAGCAGCTACCTACAATATCTGTTAGAATGGGGTGCATACAGAAGAGGATTAACAAATATAAATTGCTAGATAATCAAAGAGTTCCAAAACAATTATTGGACCAGGAGTTAGCCTGGAGCTAGGCATATATTAAGCGCTTTAATTTTTAGCTAAAGGAAATAGACCACTACTTTATATATTTTAGTGTGCAATTACCTTCTGAGTATATTTGGATACTTCCCATAGTGCCAATACTTTTTATTGATGCTAAAACGGACGTTTTCCCTCACACTCACATCTCTGACATCAGGATACATCCCACCATTTGTTACAATTAATTAACCTCTTTCTTCTTGCTTGGTGGGACATAATCAATGCAATCTTAGATTCACAGAAATGTAACATATTGAATTCTAGACAATGACTATTCAGTATGTTCTGATGGTAAGTCAGACAACAAGTACAGTTGTACCTCGGTATTCATGGGAGATTGGTTCCAGGCCCCCCATAGATACCAAAATACTCAGTGTTTGTCTCTTATACAAAATGGTGCTGTATTTCCATATAACCTGCACACATCCTCCCATATAATTTAAATCATCTTTAGATTACTTATAATACCTAATGCAATGTAAAGGCTATGAAAATAATTATACTATATAGTTTTTTAATCTGTATTTTTTAATGGTTGTATTGGATTTTTAAAAAACTTTTATTTTAGGTTCAGGGTAGGTGTGCAGGTTTGTTATATAGGTAAATTGTGTGTTACGGTGGTACCGTTATGTTTATTGCTTTTTTTCCAAATACTTTTCATTTCTGGTTGGTTGAATCTGTGGATACAGAACCAACAGGTGTGGAGGACTGACTGTACATAGTTTAATGGACCACAGAGATCTATTTGGCTTCTTGGATGTTTAGTCCCTGAGCATCAACTCTAATAATATTTATAAAGGCAGATATAAACAAGGTATGCATGATTAAAAAAAGAGGGTGCTTCAAATGCTTAAAGCACAATTTCTAAAGTTGTATCAATGGATGAAGATATCACTCAAGCTTTTGAAAGAGTTCACATCCTAGCAGTTTTTGTTTCACTTTGTGATATTTTTATTTTATTTATGTATTTATTTTTGGAACAGGGTCTCGCTCTGTCACTCAGGCTGGAGTGCAGTGGCGATGTCACGGCTCACTGCAGACTGGAACTCCTGAGCTCAAGGGATTCTCCTGCCTCAGTCACCCAAGTAGCTGGGACTACACCATGCAAGGTTATTTTCTAAATTTTTTATAGAGATGAGGTTTCAATGTGTTGCCCAGACTGGTTTCAGACTACTGGACTCAAGTGATCCTCTTCCCTTAGCCTCCCAAGTGTTAGGATTACAGGCATAAGCCATGGCACCTGGCCTACTTTTTTATTTTTTTAATTTTTATTTAATTTATTATTTATTTATTTTTGAGAGAGAGTCTCACGCTGTTACCCAGGCTGGAGTGCAGTGGTGCAATCTCAGCTCACTACAACCACAGCCTCCTGGGTTCAAGTGGTTCTCCTGCCTCAGCCTCCCAAGTAGTTAGGACTACAGAGGTGCATCACCACGCCCCACTAATTTTTTGATATTTTTTGTAGAGATAGGGTTTCACCATGTTGCCCAGGCTGGTCTCAAACTCCTGAGCTCAGGTGATCAACCTGCCTCAGCCTCCCAAAGTGCTGGGATTACAGGCACGAGCCACTGTGCTCAGCCTACTTTTTGATATTTTTAAACAAGCACTAAGGCATGTACTTTTTAAAATTAAATATATACTCACCGTATTTTGAGATTTGGTCACACCCCTTGAAATAACTATATATTCTCTAGGTCATCACAAAGCCTGACTTTGAAAATCACTACCTTGTATTCACTACCTTGTATATTTATGCAAAAATACACAGGGCATAATGGCTCCTTTAAACAACAACTAAACTGTTCATTCTACCCAACAAACAGTTTACTGGATAGAAACCATTTTTTAATGATTTTTGGGGTGAGGGAAAAAATTTTTTAGAAAAAAAAGAAATCCACGCAGTGATAACAGAAGCACAGTAAGTTTATATTTAACTTTACAAAGCTTCCATTATTTGGGGTTAATGTAAACATAGCCACGTGACTCACGACAACATAACTAATATGTCTGAATAGCACAATGATCAGTGTTGACTGTCATGTACTCACCTTCTCTAAGAGGCTGTTTATTTTCAAAATGACATTTCACTGCCTATGAAGATGCAAGCATCCTTATTGCTTTCATACATTTTGGTTTTAAATTTGTGATTTGCCACCCTGGGTGCAGTCATCTGCAGCCCAGATAAGAATATCCCTTTTTTTTTTTTTTTGAAACAGTCTCACTGGATTGCCTAGATTGGAGTGCAGTGGCACAATCTTGGCTCACTACAACTTCTGGCAGCCACATTCAAGCGATTCTTGTGCTTCAGCCTCCCGAGTAGCTGGGATTACAGGCATGCACCACCATGCTGGGTAATTTTTGTATTTTTAGTAGAGACAGGGTTTCACCATGTTGCCCAGGCTGGTCCTGAATTCCTGGCCTCAAGTGATCTGCCTGCCTCGGCCTCCCAAAGTGCTGGGATTACAAGCGTGAGCCATGGCGCCCGGCCCCAGAATATCTTACTTAAAAACATTATATGACATAAAAACCCCAGCCTCCCACCATAACCTACACATGTGTGCCAGTGAAAGAGTATAATCCATTCCAAATGCTTAAATCTATGATATTCCCTGTAGTCACGGGAAATGTGACATTGGACAGACCTGTTGCACCATGGATTCACATATTTAAAGTTTCTATGACATTTTAGAATGGTACAGCCTGGCAATATCTGCAGCTGCATATGACAGCATTCGACATAATTCTTTTATTGGCTTATGTAATTCTCATGTGGGAAAAAAAAGATTTAGATACTATCAGAGATAGATCAAGAGATCCATAGAAATTTCAAAAGCAAAATGAAATCCTACAACTATCAAAACAAGGAGAATATTTTCTCTCCTTTTTCTAAAGCAGACCAAACACAAAATTGACAAAAATCAATTTTAGAATGCTAATCTTTAAAAAAGCAGTGGAAACAACCCAAATGTCCATCAACTGATGAATGGATAAATAAAATGTACTATATCCATACAATGGATTATTATTCAGTAATAGGAAGTACTGGTATATGCTACAACATGGGTAAATCTTAAAAACATTGTGCTAAAAGAAAGAAGCAAGTCACAGAAGACCACATCTTGTTTGATCCCATTTACGGGAAATGGTCAGAATAGGTGAATCCATCTAGAAGGCAAGTAGATTAGCCATTGCCTAGGGCTAAGGGTGGGTGGCAGACGGGGAGTGACTGCTAATAGGTACAGGGTTTCTTTTTGAAGTGATGAAAATGTGCTAAAATTATTGATAATCTATTAATTGTTAATTATTAATGATACTCTATTAATTGTGCATAATTAATAGATAATCTATTATGTATTATTAATAGATAATCTATTGATTATGCATTATTAATAGATAATCTATTAATTATGCATTATTAATAATCTATTAATTTTTAATTGTCAGTCAATTGTGGTGGCAGTTGCATAATTCTGAATATACTAAAAGCCATCAACTGGTACACTTTAAATGGGCAAATTATATGGTATGTGAATTATCTGTAAATAAAACCATTTCAAAAGAAAAGGAAATAGCTTAAAGGTGAAAGCTTTTCCTCCTGGAATGGCAAACACTTTCTCCATGGGCAGATATAGAAATGATCTGCCACAGCCCTAAAAAATAAAAATTTGCAAAGGGAAAGGAGGTTCCCTCGCAGAAATTTGCTGCAGATAACTCAAAATGAAGGCAGTTATCGCTTCTATTATCTGTGTTTAAACAAATGATTCTAGTAACCAGGAAGCAGTTATTGGAGCCTGAGTAGGATCTGGATAAAAAGCAGGAAGCCTAGTTA
Source organism: Homo sapiens (assembly GCF_000001405.40). Lineage (NCBI taxonomy): Eukaryota > Metazoa > Chordata > Mammalia > Primates > Hominidae > Homo > Homo sapiens. The sequence goes on along the minus strand of NC_000004.12, from coordinate 148,550,496 downwards.
AATTTGAATCCCAGACGATGAATCAAATTTTACTATGTGTATGTTCCCAAATATTACATAAATAATAAATTAAATATTATATAAGTATTGCACATTTGGGGACATGATTATATTGTACTAAAAAACTATGTATTATCTGTCTGAAATTAAAATTTATTTGGATTCTCTGTATTTTCTGTTGTTCTTAAATCTGGCGACCTAGGGCCTGCAATTATTAATTTTTAGAGATGTGGGAGCTCAGAGCAGTTGAACACAAAACCAAGGCAGGTCTAGGTAAGATTGGAAGAAATTTGTTTCATACCCTAAATCGCCTATTTATAAAATAAATAAATAAATAAATATTTATTTGGTTCTTTATTTGCCCAGCATTATGCAAGACACTGGAGATACTACAGTAAGAAAGGTGGACTCCCAACTTAGAGTCTGGTAAAGACAGACAAGTGAAAACGCAGTAACAATAAAATGCAATAAATGATAGAAGATGAGAAGAAGGTAGCAACTGAATAGAAAAAGTCGGAGAATCCTAGGTAAAGGAAAAAAGATGGGCAACGACTCAGAGATGAACAAGAACATGGCTAGTTCAAAGAATCAAAGTAATTTCATATGAAAAATTACAGCACGTACAGAATGAAGAAGGTATTATTAAGAAGTATAGAGAAATCAGATCCTGGAGGGTTTTTTTTCTAATAGACTTCATTTTTCACAGCAGTTTTAGGTTCATAGCAAAATTAAGCAAAAAGTATAGAGAGTTCCCATTTATCCTCTGTCCCCAACACATGCACAGCTTCCCCACCTATCAACATCTCTCACCAGAGTGGTACATTTGTTACAATCGATGAACTTACATGAACAGATCATTATCACCTAAAGTCCACAGTTTATATCATGGTTCACTCTTGATATTGTATATTCTATAGGCTTGGACAAATTTATAATGGCACATACCCACCATTACAGCATATAGAGGAATTACATTGCCCTAAACACCCTCTGTGTTCCTACTCATCCCTCCCTCCCCTCTAAACCCTGGCAACCAGTGATCTTTTTACTGTCTCCACAGTTTTGTCTTTTCTAGAATGTCAGATAGTTGGAATCATACAGTATGTAGCCCTTTCAGATTGCCTTATTTCACTTAGTAATATGTTAAACATGTAAAGTTCCTCATGTCTTTTCATGGCTTGATATCTCATTTCTTTTTAGTACTCAGTAATAGTCTATCATCTGGATGTACCTATGGAGGGTTTTCTTGATTTTGCAAGAGCCTCAAGCATTTGCTTCATCTACCTGTTGGATAATCTGGTTCTGCAGACAGAGGATGTTTAGCAGTACTGAATACTCAAGAAGACAATATAATGAAAACTTCAACATGCCCACTGGATTTAGACACAAAGATAACAGAAACTTGATAAGTTTAAGTAGAGAGATGGGTCAGAATCCAGATTGAAATTAGTGGTAGACTAAATAGGAGGTAGAACAGAGGCAAAGGAATGGAAATAATGAACATACACAACCCTTTCAAGGAACTGGCTCTAGAGAAGAGACGAGAGTTTTCAGCCTTAGAACTTATAGCTCTTTTTTTCAGCTTTATGAGGTAAAAGTGATAAATAAAAATTGTATATATTTGAGATATACAACATGATGTTTTGATATTCGTATGTATTGTGAAATAATTACCATAATCAAGCTAATTAATATAACCATCACTGTATTAGTCTGTTTTCACACTGCTATAAAGAAATACCCGAGACTGGGTAATTTTTAAATTCACTCACTATCAGGAGAACAGCACGGGGGAAACTGCCCCCATGATCCAATCACCTCCCTCCCTTGACACATAGGAATTACAATTTGAGATGAGATTTGGGTGGGAACACAGAACCAAACCATATCAGTCACCTCACATAGTTATCATTTTTTGTGTGTGTGGTAAGAACATTTAAGATCTAATGTCTTAGCAAATTTCAAGTATACAAAACAATATTATTAACTATAGTCCCCATAGCTCTCCGGAACTTATTTATCCTGCATAACCACAGCTTTGTACCCTTTGACTAACATCTCCCCATTTTTCCCACCCCACCCAATCCCCAGCCCTTGCAGCCACCATTCTACTTTCTTCTGTGAGTTCAACTTTTTCAGATTCCACATATGAGTGAGGTCATGCAGTATTTGTCTTTCTGTGCCTGGCTTATTTCACTTAGCATAATGTCCTCCAGATTCATCTATGTTGTCACAAATGACACGATTTCCATCTTTTTTAAGTTTGAATAATATTCTATTGCATATATACACCACGTTTTCTCTATCCATTCATCCTCGATGGGCACTTAAGTTGATTCTGTATTTTGGCTGTTGTGAATAATAATGCAATGAACATAAGGGTGTAAATATCTCATTGAGTTAGTGGTGTTATTTCCTTTGGATATACATCCAAAAGTAGGGTTTCTGAATCATATGACAGTTCTATTTTTATTTTTTTGGAGGAACTTTCATACTGTTTTCCATAATGTCCATACGCATTTACATTGCCACCAACAATACACAAGGGCTCCCTTTTCTCCACATCCTCACCAACATTTATCTTTTGCCTTTTTCATAATAAACATGATATCAGGTGTGAGTTGATATCTCATTGTGGTTTTGGTTTGCATTTCTCTGATAGTTTGTGATATTGAGCATTTTTTTCATATATCTCTTGGCCAATTGTATGTCTTCTTTTGAGAAATGTCTATTCAGGTTCTTTCCCCATTTTTTAATCAGGTTGTTTGTTACTATTGAATTGTTTGAGTTCTTAAAAGAGATTTTAATGGGACAATCTTGAGTGTGTTTATGTGCTGATGGAGAGTTACTGAGGTCTGTAGAAAGTGCAAGAAGATGGTCTCTTGTGAAATAGGAAGGAAAAGTAACTGCCTGAACATAAAGGGGGAAATAGAGCAGCCAGAAATACAAGATGAGTGGTGAAGGAATTAGCTGCTGGACAGAATAGGGTAGTTGACTAGGAGATCACTGTGGCTAAGAAAGAAAGTAGGACAAAATATTAATGATATAGTGCTTCTTTTCACTGAGTAAGTATTCCTAAGGTAATAGGAAACCACTATTACACATACACACACCAATGATAGAAATATTTTTAACAACATTTTTGATGTATTATAAAAATTCAAATAAAGAGAACTTCATCTATATTAGAATAATCTGTCCTTCAACGCAGAATACCCCAGAATGAGAATCTAGAAAAAGCATCACTGCCACTCAACTCCTTAAAAATTCAGAGAATCAGCTTCAATTTACTAATCATCTCCTATTCCATTATCCACAGCTAGATGCTAGAAGCATTGATCTGAATAATTTAAAACAGCAGATATTCAAAAATGATTTTAGGTCCTGAAAAACGTTAAGTATTTACATTAAATTTACATTGTTAATTGGCCTCACTTACGCAAATATTAAAACTAGTTTAAATTCTCTGAGAAAATACTCAATGATATCAAGGATTAGAAAATGATTAGAATTTAGAGAGAATCCAGAGACTAGCAGTTAGCAACAAATGACAAAGAAAATGAATCCCCACAATGGTATTGAGACAAATTTCTTTTTTTTTTCTTTTTTGTCTTTTGTTTTTTTTCAGAATTAGGGAGCAAGGAGGGTCTTATCTTGCCAGGCTGGTCTCGAAATCCTGGGCTTAAGGAGACAAACTTCTAACAGAGAGGAATTTTTTTCCAATTACAGAAAAATAAATGATCCCTAAATTTTCAGAACTAGAGCTGTTTTTGTTGTCAACAAGATCTTACTCCTACCTTGTGCTGAAACTTGACTTAAACTCCAAGTGCATTCCTTCCAACACCCAGACTTAGCTAAATTACTTCTCAGTAATAAACAGTTCTGCCATGTGCATGCATTGAGTAAGATGCAGCCAGGACACATGGCCAACTGTAATATGATTACACTTCTGTCACATCCTTCCTCTACTCACTCATTCATTCAGTCAATTTGTTCAATCTCAGTCATCATTCGAGTCCTGAGAGCTTACTGTGTGTCAGGGACGGAGTTAACTGCTAACATCACGCAGAGCAATGACGGAGATGACCTAAGTAAATCACCAGTTAAAAACTATGGAATGTGATTTAGGACAGTTATATACTATAAGGGAAAGTAGTGGACTGCTCACTTAAGTCTGATGTTAACTTAGGAATACTTTCCAAGCAGATTTTTTTTTGTATTAATTCTGGAAGAATGAGTAAGAGTTAACCACATTGAGAAGGAAGAGGATCAGGAAGGATAATAAGAACAGGGGTTCACTTTGGACAAAGAGGTGAGAGATGTTATGATGGACACAAGAAAGGAGTTTCCTCTGGCTGAGAGTTACATCATCGGTTAGACCGTCGAGAGACTTGTATGCCAAGATAATGAAGTGGATCATATCCTAAAGGTTATGAGGATTTATTGATGGAAGACTTGTAATGACATGATAAGTTTTATATTTTAGACAATTGCTCTAGATGGATTGGAGAAATTTGGGGAAGATGTGAAGCAGATAAATAAGCCATGGAGTCTGATTAAGATAGAAGCTGTGGAACTGGAGGAGCTGAATATCAAGAAATATTGAAGGGGCAAGAAGCACAAATTTGGAGATTGGTGAGTGGAGAGCAATGATGGGAAGGAATAGCAGTGGCTTACTCCTCTAATCCCAGAACTTTGGGAGGCCAAGGTGGGAGGATCACTTGAGCCCAGGAGTTCAAGACCAGCCTGGGCAAAATACTGATATACCCGCCTCTAAATAATAATAATAATAATAATAATAATAATAAAATGCTATCTTTTTTGTCTGGGCACAGTGGCTCATGCCTGTAATCCCACCATTTCGGGAGGCTGAGGCAGGAGGAGTTGGAGACCAGCCTGGGCAACATAGGGAGCCCTCATTTCTACTAAAAATAAAAATAAATTAGCTGGGCGTGGTGGCATGCACCTGTAGTCCCATCTATTCGGGAGGCTGAGGTGGGAGTATCACTTGAGCCCAGGAAGTGGAGGCTGCAGTGAGTCATGATAGCACCACTGCACTCCAGCCTAGGTGACAGAGCAAGACCCTGTATCAAAATAAGTAAATAAATAAATTTTAGTTTGAACACGTAATGAATGTTGGCATTACCTCTCACTGTTAGAGACTATAGCTGGAAGAAAGGATTAGAGCAGAAGACAATGAGTTCTTATGTGGCCATGCTAAGAGATATTTTCATAGAGGTCATCACAAAGTGAATTAAATTGGTCTGTCGCTCAGGAGACAGATCAAAGCCGGAGATATACACTGGGAGTCATGATAATATAAGCGGGTGCAGATAAAGGCATAGCCCACAGGGAGTAAAACAAACAGGAAAAAACAGAGAAAAGGGAAACAAAAACAAAACAAAGACCTGTACATATTATACCAACTAAACGATAGTAAGTGTTTTACTTGGTGGGGCTGAAAGGGGTAAGGCTAAGGTAGAGTTCAACCTTTCTTTATCCCTATCAATTCACCCTGGTTATTCCACTCAAAATAATTTTTAAATGTTTTATTATTTTGTCTTGATGAATGTTTCTTATTCCTTAATTATAAGTAAATATTACTTTTCAAAAATAGCTCCTAAGGGAGCTAAATTAATACATTTGCTTCTTTTCTTTAATTTCAAGAACCTGAATCAATCTACAGATCATCTAATATTTACATGATATTATATTCAATGACACTCATTGACAGAGGAGAATGAAGTATAATATTGTAGAACACCTTATGGTACATCACAAATAAATTACTACAGATTCCTCATATTTCTGGAAGCACATGCCTATGTGATGTGACTTTTCCTCCCAAAAAGCGAGAGAATCTTTACCCCCTTTCTTGAATTTTAGGGACTTTTTTTGTTTTGGTTTTTTACCTGGTTTGGTCAAAGATGCAAATGATGCAGGCAGAGACTTGACAAGGTCTGTATACTGGAGCCAACACTCTTGCTGCTGGGAAATCTTCCACCACCATATGAACAAGCCCAGGTTAGCCTGCTGGAGAATGAGACCATGTGGGACAAAAATGAGCCATCTCAAATTAAAGGCCCTAGATCTAACCAATCTTCCATCCAAAAGACTTGCAAATGAAATCATCCTAGACTATCCAGGCACAGTTTGAGCTGCCAGCTGATTATACATATTAACAAAACTGCCTCAGAAGAGAAGAGCCACCCAACTAAGCCAGAAAGTTGTCATCAAATTAAATGATTATTATTTTAAGTCAAAGTTTTGGGATGATTTGTTATGCAACAATAAGTAACTAACGTCACCACCTTCTAGAATTAAATAAGAAATCATTTAATATCTCTGATATATGAAGAGAACCTCACAGCAGGCAAACTTTACCTCTTCTGTGACTTTATTCAGAAAAACATACTACACTTAAGCATGTTTTAGAGTGAACAGACATATATTAAATCATAACAATTAAGTATCTTGATTTTCAATCACAGTTAACAGCATGGATTAATTCTGAGTAGAGCAAGCAGCTCTAATGAGTTTTCACCCTGAAGCTACACATCTTTAAACTTGGTAATTGTAATGAAGGCACATAATGAGGTTTTTTAAAATCTAAATAGCACACTGATACTTATTACTGATCTTTTATTTTTGCTAATAAAATGTTTTAGATGTCCTAAAAACTATTTTGAGAAGGATGCCACAGAAGTTTCTCAAAAAACCTAGGATGAAAATATTTCATAAAAGAATTAACATCGCCACAAAAAATTCAACAGGATTCTTCTAGGATACCAATCTCACAAGTTAGAACTAGTTTTCATAGGATAATTACAGACAAAGATTATGAATTATTCATCTTTGTATTGCCTATAATCCCTCCAGTTTAGGAGGCTCTTGATATATATTTGTTGAATGAGTGAATGAATGAATTATTGAGTGAGTGAATGATTAATGGGCCAAATGCATTGTTTCAGGCTTTATTATATGTGGTTCTTATACTTCAGGAGATGTGATTTGACCCATGAGATAACTGACTTGATACAATTAATGAGTCATTTCATAACAAGGTTCTACTGGTATTGTACTCATAAATGAAACCATGCTAATGACTCAGAAAGATTCATCTCAACTAAGAGATCCCTCTGTGCAAGTTAAATTTGTCAGTTTCTTCCCAGTATCTAAAATGGATTGTATTCTTCTTTCAAAAGAACAAAATCAGCCGATCTAACTTCCACCTAATTTATAAGTTGTGTGTATAGTTATAGACATAGATCGCATAAAATATACATTTATCTTTATATAGAGAGATAACACTACTGGTGGCGATTGTTATCTGAGTGAACAGGTGTGGCTGAAAAAACCTTTGCCTGACCAACTGTTCTTTCCACACTATACACATATAAAGAGTATTCTATGGTTGGCAGCTGTAGCCATATTTGCAGATCCCACAGCTATTTGTAACTGCACTATTTAAAATAATACTCTACCCATTACCATTATTCATAAATAGCTATACTTCTAACTAATGCAAGTAAACCTGTTCTGCCTATTTTCACTTGGAATTCCGGAATTACACTGAATCATATGAAGTTTCACTTTGTGAGCTCTTTATAGTTTTTCTTCTGCTCACTATTTTTGCTTGCCATCCTTTACTTAGCACACAACTTTATGAGTATCCTATTGTCATACATTCTCTACACCTGCCCAGTCTCAAAGCCACGTGCTTCAGTAAGAAAATACACACACTAGCTAATTTAGGCCCTCACTGTCTGACTTACCTATTTAAAGTTAAATATCACTCACAAGGGGATGTAATAGAACTTTTCAAGAAATAATTTGTTCATATATTTACTGGCTATTTATTGAAGCACCAGGCACTGTTCTAGGTGCTGGGAATATAGCAATATGCACAGTCACTGCCACAATGGAACTTTGTTGTATGCATGTTTCTTTTTCCACTTCAGAGCAGGGATAGCATCTCTTCCTTAATATCACCTAGACCACTGTTTTGCACCTAGTAAGTGTTTAACAAATGCTGACAGACAGGTCAGCACTCCGGAAACCCTCAGTTTATGCTGGACTTCTGATTGAGTCCATTCCCACTCCTGCTTGCTGGATCTCTTGGATCTCCACATGACCTACATAACAAAAATCATGATTGCTTTCAGCTCTCTATTGCCAATCAAAATAACTGGCTACATTGCTTTCTTTCTGCAAGCTGGAATATGATTTTGCTCTACCTAGACTTATGACAGTCCTGTGGTCCCATGTTTATTCTGCCAAGCTTTTAATATGTTTCATTAGCATCTTTCCTGAGTGCCCTAAATGTATTCTAGGAGTGCAGGTACAGGATCACAGCATGGATTTTAGGAGGCTTGTCTGTGGCATGACACACTGCCTCGTGCTCGCTCTCTCCATGTGCTTTTCAAACACCAATATTCATCAGCACACCACATCAGCTAGAGGCAAGACACCAAAAAAGATGAGTAGTAAACACAGTTGTTCATTTGCCTACTTTCTGGGAATGAACATCAAGCATCAAGCATCTTGGAGATTTGTTGGTCAGTTGGTTATTCCCAAGACTATATTTTAGGAATCCCAAAGAGAGCTACTGATAGATTCCTACCACAAAAGTTCTTTGACAGATTCTACCTAATCAACTTCATATTTCTTGCTCAGTATAAATTCTCCCACAAAAGGTCTTCCTGGTTTTATAAATTTGGATTCAAAAAGGTTAAATATTATATTATCCAAGTTTTATTTCCCCTTAGATTTTTATAAATACCACATAATTGCCAGCCTTCACCCTGTGTATAATCTAAGACAAAGTTGAAAGAGAGGGGGAGAAAACTCTAAAATGTATTTATAAGCAATACATATACTTCTGGAGAACTAGGAACTGGGATTGTGTAAATTGCTTTGCATCATGGTCTGGACAGCAGATTATACATGCATATATTTGTTAAAAATTACCTAAGTATAATTTCTATCCCTCAAGGCTCAAACCATAGAACAATAAAAACTAAGTGCTTATTTCATGCCTCCTAGGTTCACAGCAGTATGCTAATTCCTGTGAAAAGAAAAGTCACTCCCCTTGCCAAGGATCCCTAAAACTTTTATGAAGCAATAAGACCAAATAATAAAATGAAAATATGAAAGGGCCAATAATAAAATGTTATCTTATACTAGTTTAGCAAAATCACAAATATCATTTAAAAGCCAGTCAATGGCTAATTGAATGGCAACACTAATTAGTGCTGAAGAAACCCAGAGACAAAAGTATTCCGAGAAGTCCAGGTGCTTCACTCAAAAGCAAGTACTCTCAGAAAATGGATCAGAAGTACACAGTTGGACCCAGGCTCAAGGCCTTGTAGTTGGGCGTGGCAGGAATTAGCTTGAAAGTGATGGCTTGTCAGGGATGGATAGACATTTGTCACACTTCCTTGGCTGTCCAGGAGCTTTCTAATCCTTCCTATGTTGGAGAATTGTTGCCTCCCCAAAGCAGAAGCTAAAAAATTGCTTTCCCAGCTTCTCTTGGAACTCATGACCTGGGACTCTCCAATGCACTGACATGAGACATGAGTTCAGAAGTAGATGAGGTGAATGAGAAAGTGCAGTGTTGAGTTGATGCCAGCAAGGGCAGCAAGGACAGTCAGTGCCAGAGGCTGCCGTGACAGTAGTCCGAGCTCTAGTATCCTCTGAAAACTTCTCAGCCTCTATATTTGGCAGCAAGCTGTCTAGTACAGTAGTGCCACACTGGAATTTGAAGATTGTTCCTAGCTGTAAGTAAGCAAGTTTAATTCTGTGGTTACTGTAGAGACTTTATTATTTTAAACATAATTTTTAGAGATAGGGTCTCATTCTGTCACCAGGCTGGAGTGCAGTGTTGTGACCATAGCTGACTGCAGCCTCAACTCCTGGATTACAGGCATGTGCCACACCTGGCTATTTTTTTTTTTTTAGATTGTTTTTTGGAGACAGGGTCTCCCTATGTTGCACAGGCTGGTTGTGAACTTCTTTTTTTTCTTTTTTTGAGATGGAGTTTCACTCTTGTAGCCCAGGCTGGAGTGCAGTGGCGCAATCTCGGCTCACTGCAACCTCCGCTGCCCAGGTTCAAGCAATTCTACTGCCTCAGCCTCCAGAGTAGGTGGGACTACAGGCGTGCGCCACCATGCCTGGCTAATTTTTGTATTTTTAGTAGCGACAGGGTTTCACCATGTTGCCCAAGATATTCTTGAACTCCTGACCTTGTGATCCGCCCACCCTTGGCCTCCCAAAGTGCTGGGATTACAGGTGTGAGCCACCAAGCCCAGCCGTGAACTTCTTATCTCAAAAGATCCTCCTACCTCCACCTCCCACATTACTGGGATGTAAGCACAATCCATCACACGTGGCGGCAGAGATTTTATGATGTACCCACTATCTAAAAAATGTCTTACTCTGTTTAAAATAGTAAAGTTGGATTCTGTTGTTTGCAACTAAAAACCTTAACAAAGACCAGATTGACTACAGCAAAATGTGCATCTTGAATCATTATTTGCCTAGGAAGAAAAAAAGAAAAAAAAAGTATATTAGTAAAAATACTAAGTCCAGAAGAAGTTCTGGAAAATTAGGGAGAAAGCAAGTGGCCAAAGGATAGAAAGAGTGCATGATACATTTAATATGATGGCATAACATGCAAACAGCATTAATGCTGGATGTTTGACAGAGGCGTGCAGCTCTGTCGGCTGCACTCCTCCTCTTCCTCTATACTCTGCGCTCTGTGAGGCTGAACTCTGACCTCTGCATCATTGGGCTCACCTGCTTTCTGCATTTCAGCTGAGTTCTGCCAATGCAGAGCACTATAAGGCAAGAGTATGAGATCAGAGTCCATTCTTTTGACTTCCTCCCTGCAAGGTTTCGCAGACTGATGTTTATCCTGACCAAAGGTCCCAGCTCCTGCCAGGCAGGCTTTTCTCACCACATTCTTTCTTTAAGTACCTTTTCTTACTCTTGAGACATAGGGATGGTGATGAAATTCCTAAGCCACTAGTTCTGGAGTCTAACCTTATCCTTTGGTGTTTCCACACCTTTACCACACCTTTGCAAATAGTATGTTTATAAACACTTCTCCATTTACCCAGTTGAGTGTGTCATCACTTTCCTGTTGGGACCCCAACTACTAAACTATTATAGATTATTTGGAAGTACATGTCTTATAAAACTATGAAAACCTGCAGGGAAAAGATGAACACAACATTGAGAAAAGTGCTTAACCCTAGGGGATAGAAAGAGAAGGCGAGTAATTAGATTAGAGAATGGTAAACAAGAGACACAGCAGGCAGTAACTATCTATGTAATATATATCATATAAACATTTATTCTTACATTGGGTCATAGAAACATAAATATTTTCTACACCATTCTTCATGATTTTTATGTTACAGTCCACAGCTTTACATTTTTTTCACTCTATTAAGGCTATCTTTTAGTGAATAAAAGTCCTAAATTTAATGTAGTCCAATTTATCAATCTATATGCTTAAGATTAGAGCTTTTTATGTCCTATTTAAGAAATCTTTGCCTGTTTAAGAATATCTTAGTCATTAAAATATTCTGCATGTTATTTTCTAGATGTTTATCAGGTCATCTTTCTCATTTAGGCCCACAATCTATTTTGAATTTATTTTTTGTATGGTGATATGATTTGTATGCTTAACATACTGTGAGATTCTTGTGACTAACATTGTATTAGGATTTTGCCTTTATGTTCATGAGTAAGATTAGCCTGTTGATCCTTTTTTAAATAAGGGGCTGGTAATTGGCTATTAGTGCTATTAGTAATATTTCCTCCTTAAATATTTAGAGCATTCAGTGGACCTAGATGTTTCTTTCCAAGGAGGTTTTAAATGAGAGATTCAATTTCTTAAATATAACTATTCTATTCAGACTTTATTTTCTTGCACCAGTTTTCATAAATTGTGGTTGTTTATTTCATCTGAATTTTCAAATTTATTGTCATAAAATTTTATCTGCAGTATCCACACAGATGCAAAAGAACATTTTTATCTTCTGAAGCAGAACACTTGGCATCTCCGTGACAGATAACTTCACTATCACTCAGAACCACCCCAAGATTAAATATCAGCCTTATATTTGTATAACTTAAGAAAGCAAAGATCTGTTCCAAAGTGAATGTCTGTCTCCACTAGAAGCTAAAAGCTCCTAGTAACTTTACAATAAAACTCACTCATGGGAAACACAACTTACACTTCACCTAGCACTAATTACACAAGTGATAAACATACAGGCAGCAACTGGGAAACTCTAGAGTGCAACTCTGACATCAAATCAGAGCAAGAGATTTAGATTTTTCAGTTACCAGATTGGAAATAGTAGATAAAGCCATAAGAAAGAGCTCATATTTCAGAAAAACATGGAGAGTGAAAAGCACCAAGTTAAAGAGGGAGGAAAGTGGAAAAAACTTGCAACAAAAATAAAATATGAAAGGCGAAAAGTAGGGGGTAGAACTAGAGTGATGGCATCAGACATGTCAAAGGGGAGTTTGAAGAGGGAAGAGTTGGTCAGCCATGCCCAATTCGAATAGCGGTTTTGGGGAATGAGTACTGATTAAGATCATTGGCTTTAACATTTAAGACCATTGGCTTTAACATTTAAGACAGAAGTTTCAGTAAAGTAGGAGATGTTAATGAGGAAGTAAGTAGTTAGAAAATGTGGGTACTGGGCTGTTTCTACTGATCTCAAAGGAACGCCCATACTGAATAGCTGTGGTACCAAGTAGTCAAGAGATGTTGAAATGTCTCTGTGTGAAAAAAGGGAAAGTTTTAAACTGTAGCCTTACCAATCAAGATGTGAAAAGGATAAACAATTCAAGCAGTTTCAGGTGAGCCAGGCCTAACACCCAAAGGTCACAGACATTACAATCTGAACAACAACCCCGTCTTCCTTCAACCTGATATTTAAAGTCCCACAAGGCTTTACATTTTTTAAAAAAGCACTGCTTTTCTTCTGGCTCTTTGTATCACTTAAAGTGTTTACCAATCTCTATAATAAAAGAAAAATACAATTCTAAGAGGAGTCATTATACTCTATCATTTTAGCTACGTTTACATGAAACAAAGAAGTAATGTGTACCCTGGGAAACCGAGCACAGTGAACTCCTATTACCCTCACTCTGTCATTACGTGATTTCTGGGAACACCAAAGATAAAAGACCACCCTAATTCCAGAATCTCAGGTAGCACTTCGATAAGTTTAAAGGTTCTGACAGTGAAATTATTGCCCAATCCTGCACCAAAAAGAGATTTTTAAAAGAAGACTCTTTCTTCCAGGAAAAAGTTCTATGTCTTGGACACTTGCAGTATCTTAAAAGAAAATCTTTTTTTGTTTTGGTATAAGGAAGGAGATTGGCACAAAAAACCAGGTCAAGCCATCTCTTCAATGAAGATATTTCTCAGGTTACTACAGAATAACCTTAGTGCTTCAAAGGAATAATCAAACTATTTCAATATAAAGAGTCTAATTATTTATTTTAAAAATCGTTGTTGACAACACCTTAATTTCAGAAAACAAATGACTTTTAACCAGTCCAGTGTCTCAGGATACATTTTAGCTTCCCCTTACATTCCTTCTCTAGAAAAGAGTCTTGCCTTTGTCCTCTGCAGCAGAGATGAGCAGGTCTTCTTCCCAGAGCTCATGCTGTTGGGGAAGGGGTGGCAGAGGGAATAGGTGAGGTGAATCCTCACGACTCTTCCCCTGCACAGATTTAGTAATTCTAGGCAACCCCGCTCCATCTTAGCTGGAATAGTGGAAAGTTTTCAATTGTAAAAACTTTTTTTCATACCTTAGTCTTGCTAAAAATAGTTTCCTATAACTGAATGAAAGTATAAAATGAAATTATGAGTAGGAGAGGTTTTCCTAATGCAGTCATGTATCAATTAAAGATAAGGATACATTCTTCATCCTTGTTAAAAACATCAGAGCATACTTACACAAACCTAGATGGCGTAGCCTACTACACACCTAGGCTACATGGGATAGCCTATTGCTTTTAGGCTACAAACCTGTAAAGCATGTGACTGTACTGAACACTGTAGGCAACTGTAACACAGTTGTAAGGATTTGTGTATCAAAACATAGAAAAGGTATAGTAAAAATACAGTATGAAGCTCAGGTGCAGTGACTCATGCCTGTAATCCCAGCATTTTAGGAGGCCAAGGTAGGCAGACTGCTTGAGCCCATGAGTTTAAGACCGGCCTGAGCAACATGGAGAAACCCCATTTCTACAAAATAGTACAAAAGTTAGCCAGGTGTGGTGGCACATGCCTGCGGTCCCAGCTACTTGGGGGACTGCAGTGGGGGGATTGTTTGAACCCAGGAGGCCGAGGCTGCAGTGGGCCCGGATTGTGCCACTGCACTCCAGCCTGGGTGACAGAGTGAGACCTTGTCTCAAAAGAAAAGGAGGGGGTGGGAAGGGTCAGCCACATCTCTGGGGTTCAGTAAACTCAGCCATTCCAGCCTGCCAGCTATGAAGAATACAAATCGTCTGAAGACGGAAGGGTCTCCCACAACACACCACAGCTGCCTTGCCAGATCATGGCCAGACTGCTTCTTTAAGAAGGACCTCGATCCATTTCTCCTCACTGGGTGGGACCTTCATGAAGAAGCTTTAGCCACTCTAGCCAGGGTTCTATGGATAGAGCTCTGATCTGTTCCTGGGACAGAGCTCCTGGCACAGAGGGGAGTGGGGGGTGGAAGCCGCCATCTCTGCAGCAGTTCAGTTGACTCAGCCTCTCTAGCCTGCTGGCTTGGAGAATAGAGTCTGGAAGAGGAAGGGTCCCACTTCCACCCCCAATGCAACACACCTGCTATACCAAAAGGCAGCCAGATTGCTTTTTTAAAAGGGTCCCTGATCTCATTTCCCCTGACTGGGTGAGACCTCCCAAAAGGGGTCACCAACCACCTCCTACAGGTGTGTTCAGGCTAGCAACAGGTCAGTACCCTCCTGGGATGGAGCTTCCAGTGGAAGGAGCTGGCTGCCATCTTTGCCATTTCACGGCTTTCACTGGAGATACCTCCAGGTATGGAAAAACCAAGGCAACCAAAGCAGACCCCCAGCAAACATCAGCAGCCCTATGGTAGAGTGGCCTATTAAAAGAAAAACAAACAAACAGAAAACAACAACATCAACAAAAAACACCACACACTAACCTCATTCAAAGGGCAGCAACCTCAAAGACCAAAGGTAGATAAGCCCACAAAGATGAGAAAGAATCAATGCAAAAATGCTGAAAACTCAAAAAGCCAGAGTGCCTCTTCTCCTCCAAAGGACTATAACACCTCTCCAGCAAGGGCACAGAACTGAGCTAATGCTGAGATGGCTGAATTGACAGGAGTAGGCTTCAGAAGATGGGTAATATTGAACTTCACTGAGCTAAAGGAGCATGTTGTAACCCAATGCAAAGAAGCTAAGAATCATGATAAAACAATACAGGAGCTGACAGACAGACTATCCAGTTTAGAGAGGAACACAACCGACCTGATGGAGCTGAAAAACACAACATGAGAACTTCACAATGCAATCACAAGTATCAATTGCAGAATAGACTAAGTGGAGGAATGAATCTCAGAGACTGAAGACTATCTTTCTGAAATAAGACAGGCAGACAAGAATAGAGAAAAAGAATTAAAAAGAATGAACAAAACCTCTGAGAAATATGGGATTATGTAAAAAGACTGAACCTATGACTGATTGGAGTACCTGAAAGAGACAGGGAGAATGGAAACAAGTCGGAAAATATACTTTGGGATATCATCCAGGAGAACTTCTCCAACCTAGCAAGACAGGCAAACATTCAGATTCAGGAAATGCAGAGAAGCCCAGTAAGATACTCCATGAGAAGATCAGCCCCAAGACACATAATCATCAGATTCTCCAAGGCTGAAATGAAAGAAAAAATGTTAAGGGCACAAAGAGAGAAAGGCCAGGTCACCTACAAAGGGAAATCCATCAGACTAACAGCAGACCTCTCCGTGGAAACGCTGCAAGCCAGAAGAGATTGGGAGCCAATATTCAACATTCTTAAAGGCAATAATTTTCAACCCAGAATTTCATATCTGGCCAAACTAAGCTTCATAAGTGAAGGAGGAATAAGATCCTTTTTAAACAAGCAAATGCTTAGGGAAATCATTACCACCAGGCCTGCCTTGCAAGAGCTCCTGAATGAAGCATTAAATATGGAAAGGAAAACCCATTACCAGCCACTACAGAAACACACTGAAGTACACAGACCAGTGACACTGTGAAGCAACCACATAAACAAGTCTGCAAAATAACCAGCTGGCATCATGATGACAGGGCCAACTTCACACATAACAATACAAACCTTAAATGTAAATGGGCTAAATCCTCTAACTAAAAGACACAGAATGGCAAGCTGGATGAAGAGACAAGACCCGTTGGTATGCTGTCTTCAAGAGACCTATCTCATGTGCAAAGACACACATAGGCTCAAAATAAAGGGATGGAGGAAAATTTACCAAGCAAATGGAAAGCAAAAAAAAAGCAGAGGTCACAATCCTAGTTTCTGACAAAACAGACTTTAAACCAACAAAGACCAAAAAAGACAAAGAAGGGCATTACATAAAGGTAAAGGATTCAATTCAATAAGAAGAGCTAACTATCCTAAATATATATGCACCAAATAAATAATGAAATACTTTATATTAGAGTAAATTTATTTCACCAAATAAATAATGAAAGTATTTCATATTGGGTAAATAATGAAATTAAGGCAGAAATCAAGAAGTTCTTTGAAACTAATGAGAACAAAGAGACAACTTACCAGAATCCCTATGATGCAGCTAAAGCGGTGTTAAGAGGGCAATGTATAGTACCAAATGCCCACGTCAAAAAGCTAGAAAGATCTCAAGTTAACGAGCTAACATCTTAACTAAAAGAACTAGAGAACCAAGAGCAAATAAACCTCAAAACTGGAAGAAGACAAGAAATAACGAAGATCAGAGCTGAACTTAAAGAGATAGAGAAGTTAAAAAGTCTTCAAAAAAATCAACAAATCTGGGAGCTGGTTGTTTGAAAAAATTAATAAAATAGATAGACTGCTAGCTTGACTAACAAAGAAGAAAGAGAGAAGAGTCAAATAAACACAATCAAAAATGATAAGGGAGATATCACCACTGACCCCACAGAAATACAAACAAACATCAGATAATACTATAAATTCCTCTATGCACATAAACTAGAAAATCTAGAAGAAATGGATAAATTCCTGGACACATACAACCTCCCAAGACTGAACCAGGAAGAAATTGAATCCCTGAATAGACCAGTAATGAGTTCTAAAATTGAGGCAGTAATAAACAGCATACCAACCAAAAAAAAAGCCCAGGACCAGATGGACTCACAGCTGAATTCTACCAGAGGTACAAAGAAAAGCTGGTACAATTTCCACTGAAACTATTTTAAGAACTTGAAAAGGAGGGACTCCTCCCTAACTCATTCTATGAGGACAGAATCATCCTGATACCAAAACTTGGCAGAGATACAACAAAAAAGAAAACTTCAGGCCAATATCTTTGATTGATGATGAACATCAACGCAAAAATCCTCAATGAAAGTACTTTATTGCCAGTAGGCAAACCAAATCCAGCAGCACATCAAAAAGCTTAACCACCACGATCAAGTTGGCTTCATCCCTGAGATGCAAGGTTGGTTCAACATATGCAAAACAATAAATGTGATTCATCACATAAACAGAACTAAAGGCAAAAACCACGTGATTATCTCAATAGATGCACAAAAGGCCTTCAATAAAATTCAACATCACTTCATGTTAAAAACTCAATGAACTGGATATTGAAGGAACATACCTCAAAATAATAAGAGCCATATATGACAAACCCACAGCCAATACTGTACTGAATGGGAAAAAGCATGAAGCATATCCCTTGAAAACCAGCACAAGACAAGGATACCCTCTCTCACCACTCCTCTTCAACATAGTACTGGAAGTTCTGGCCAGGGCAATCAGCCAGGAGAAAGAAATAAAGCATATTCAAATAGGAAGAGACGAAGTCAAACTATCTTTGTTTGCAGATGACATGATCCTATATCTAGAAAATCCCATTGTCTCAGCTCAAAAGCTTCTTAAGCTGATAAGCAACTTCAGCAAATTCTCAGGATATAAAATCGATGTGCAAAAATTGTTAGCATTCCTATCACCAACAACAGGCAAGCAGAGAGCCAAATCATGAACGAACTCCCATTCACAATTGCTACAAACAGAATAAAATACCTAGGAATACAGTTAACAAGGTAAGTGAAGGACAAGGTAAGTTCAAGGAGAACTACAAACTGCTGCTCAAAGAAATCAGAGAGGACACAAACAAATGGAGAAACATCCCATGCTCATAGACAGGAAGAATCAATATCGTGAAAATGGCCATACTGCCCAAAGTAATTTATAGATTCAATGCTATTCCCATTAAATTACTGTTGACATTCTTCAAAGAATTAGAAAAAGTATTTTAAAATTCATATGGAACCAAATAGAAGCCGCAATAGCTAAGACAATCTTAAGCAAAAGGCTGGAGGCATCATGCCACCTGACTTCAAACTATACCACAGGGCTGCAGTAACCAAAACAGCATGGTACTGGCACAAAAACAGACACATAGACCAATGGAATAGAATAGAGAACTCCGAAATAAGACCACATGCCGACAACCATCTGATCTTTGACAAACCTGACAAAAACAAGCAATGGGAAAAGGACTCCCCATTTAATAAATGGTGCTGGGAGAGCTGGCTCACCAAATGCAGAAAATTGAAGCTGCACCCCTTCCTTATGCCTTATACAAAAATTAACTCAAGATGGATTAAAGACTTAAATGTAAAACTCAAAACTATAGAAACTGTATTAGAAAATCTAGGCAATGCCATTCAGGACATAAGCACAAGCAAGATTTCATGATGAAAATGCGAAAAACAGTTGCAACAAAAGCAAAAATTGACAGATTGACTCTAACTAAACTAAAGAGCTTCTGCACAGCAAATGAAACTATCACCAGAGTGAACAGACAACCTACAGAATGGGAGAAAATTTTTGCAGTCTATCCATCTGACAAAGGTCTAATATCCAGAATCTACAAGGAACTTAAACAAACAAGAAAAAAACAAACAACCCCATTAAAATGTGAGCAAAGGACATGAACAGACACTTCTTAAAAGAAGATATACACACAACCAACAAACATATGAAAAAAAGCTCAACATCACTGATCATTAGAGAAATGCAAATCAAAACCACATTGAGATACCATCTCACGTCAGTCAGAATGGCTACTATTAAAAAGTCAACAACAGATGCTGGTGAGGTTGTGGAGAAAAAGGAATGCTTTTACACTGCTGGTGGGAGTGTGAATTAGTTCAACCATTGTGGAAAACAGTGTGATTTCTCAAAGACCTAGAGGCAGAAATACCACTTGACCCAGCAATCCCATTACTGGTTATATACCCAAAGGATTATAAATCATTCTATTATAAAGATACATGCTATTTTCATTGCATGAATATGTTCATTACAGCACTATTCACGATAGCAAAGACATGGAATCAACCTAAATGCCTGTCAATGATTGACTGGATAAAGAAAATGTGATACATATACACCATGGAATACTATGCAGCCATAAAAAGGAATGAGATCGTGTTCTTTCCAGGGACATGCATGGACTGGAAGTCATTATCCTCAGCAAACTAACACAGGAACAGAAAACCAAACACCACATGTTCTCACTTATAAGTGGGAGCTAAATGACAAAAACACATAGACATATGCGGGCAAACAACACACAGTGGGACCTTTCAGAGGAGGGGTTGTGGGGAGGAAGAGCATCAGGAAGAACAGCTAATGGATGCTGGGCTTAATACCTAGGTGATAGGATGATCTGTGCAGCAAACCACCATGGCACACATTTACTTATGTAACAAACCTGCACATCCTGCACATGTACCCCAAACTTAAAAGTTGAAGGACAAAAAAACCTCCAAACCTATTTCTTAAAAAAAGAGAAAGAAAAAAATACAGGATGAAAGATTTTTAAATGGTATGCCTGTATAGGTCACTTATTATGAATGGAGCTTGCATGACTGGAAGTTGCCCTGGGTGAGTCAGTGAGTGAATGTGAAGGCCTAAGACATTACACCACTGTAGACTTTATAAACCCTGTACACTTAGGCTACAGTAAAATTATTTTTTAATGTTCTTTCTTCAACAATAAAATTAACTTTAGCTTACTGCAACTCTTCTACTTTATAAACTAATTTTTTAACTTTTAACTCTCATAAAAACACTTGGCTTAAAATACAAACACATTGGGCCGGGCACAGTGGCTCATGCTTGTAATCCCAGCACTTTGGGAGGCCAAGGCGGGCAGATCATGAGGTCAGGAGTTCAAGACCAGCCTGACCAACATGGTGAAACCCCATCTCTACTAAAATACAAAAGATTAGCTGGGCATGGTGGCAGGCACCTGTAATCCCTGCTACTCGGGAAGCTGAGGCAGGAGAATCGATTGAACCCGGGAGGTGGAGGTTGCAGTCAGCCAAGACCACACCACTACACTCCAGCCTGGGCAACAGAGCGAAATTCCATCTCAAACAACAACAACAACAACAACAACAAACACAAACACATTGTACAGCTATACAAAAATATTTTCTTTCTTTTTATCCTTATTCTATAGACTTTTTTCTATTAATTTTTCATTTCACTTTTTAAACTTTTTGTTAAAAAACTAAGATATAAACACACACATGTCTAGCCTGTACAGGGTCAGGATCATGAATATCACTGTCTTCCACCTGCACAACTTGTCCCACTGTAAGGTCTATGGGGGCAATAGCACGCATGGAGCTGTCATCTCCTATGATAACAATGCCTTCTTCTGGAATGTCTCCTGAAGGGTCTCCCTGAAGCTGTCTTACAGTTAACTTTTTTATATATAAGTAGAATGAGGATACTCTAAAATAACAATAAAAAGCATAGTAAATACATAAACCAGTACTATGGTTGTTTATTATTATCAAGAATTATCTACTGTACATAATTGTATGTGCTAGACTTTTATATGACTGACAGCATGGTAGGTTTGTTTACACCAGTATCACTACACACGAGTAAGGTGTTGCATGATGACATTATGACAGCTATGACATCACTAGGCAATAGAAATTTACCACTCCATTGTAATCTTATGGGACCACTGTTATATATGCCATCCATAGTTGACTGAAATGTTACTATGTGGCATATAACTGTACTATTTTTTGGCATTTTCTGAACAACACAAATCAACAGTCTTGGGCCATATGAGTTACATCGTCAATGTTGTAACACTGTAGAGTTGGAAGGGACTCTAAAAATATTCTGGTTCAAACCCCTCATCTGATGAGAAAAAGCCAGGAGATGTGTGATTACGTACACAAGGTCACATAGTTAATGGAGGATTAAGTACTAAAACTCTAGTTATTATGTTCTACCACGCCAAAGTTTTCTTGCAACAATACACAACTAATTTATTTTCCCTTCGTTCTTCCTTTTCTTTTTCTTGTCTTTTATTCTCCTTTCATTTATTATCTTTTCTTTCCAAATTTCCTTCCTTCTTTCCTTCTGTTTTCTCTCTCTCTCTGCCTCTCTCTTTCTCTCTCTTTCTTTCTTTATCTTTTTTTCTGTGCCAACTTTACTGGGTTAAGGGATAACTAGATAGCTGGTAAAACATTGTTTATGTGTGTATCTGTGAGGATGTTTCCAGAATAAATGAGACTTTGAGTCAGTAGACCAAGTGAAGAAGATTGCCCTCACCAATATGGGTGAGCATGATCCAGTCTTTTGAGGAGAGCCAGATAGAAGCAGAAGGTAGAGAAATGGCAAATTCACTCTCTCTTCTGGAGCTGGGATGTCCATTTTCTCCTGCCCTCCGACATGAGAACTCCAAGTTATTTAGCCTTCAGACTCCAAGACTTACACCATTGGCTCACCTGGTTCTCAGACCTTCAGACTCAGACTGAATTATACCACCAGCTTTCCAGGTTCTCCAGCTTGCAGACAGTCAATTATGGGACCTCTGGCCTCCATAATCCTGTGAGCCAATTTCTATAATAAACCCCCTCTTATGTATCTCTCTATATATCCTATTGGTTCTGTTTCTCTGGAAAACTCTAATATTTTTCTTTCTTTTTTAAAAATGGAATAAAATTTGAAACCAAAGATTAAAAATATTGCATACTTTAACCTACTACACTGTCTACCCCTCCAGGCACCATTAAGAAACCTTCAATAGTTTCTTTGAACTGAAACTTGTCATACAGGTTCTCAGCCTGGAAACAACCTCATTATTTGTGGAGCGGCTTTAAAAAAATAATTTGAAAATAATTCCTTATATATTTTACTTCACTTTGCATAACTCAGTGTATCTCCATACTATCCATTTTAACACTGGTTTCTTATAAAGCCATTTAAAATGCATCCACTGAAACAGTGAGTAAAATTTTATCATGCAGGTCAACAAAATTTGGCATGGGTTTCATGCATCCAGATTTATTTTAGCATGTTAGATATAATTTTAACTTGGCCTTTACCCTAATAGAGTTTTAAAGTTAAAAAAACATAAACTTGAACACTAATCTACTTTTATGAGTAACTGTAATCCAAATAATTAAGTGTCATGCATACAGAGGTCACTTACTTTATCAACAATAGAAACAACACTAGAACTCAAGTCTACTGAATGGAAATCCAGTTCAATTATTTATTCCACCACATCATATTGACCCTCCCTCCAAAAGAAAGTTTACAGATCAACACAGAACTGTTTGCATCTTTCCAGTCCTAATGTTCCTAAAAAAAACTTTCATCTGTAAGTTTTGCTTCAATAATTATTCTTATTTAGCAATGGGAAGGGCAGAGGATATTTTGATTCTGTCTGCCTTTCTTGGGTTCCACCTTTCTTTCATTGCTGGCCCCTCACTACAGTTGCCCTACTGAAATGGTGAACAAACTTCCAGGTTCTTGTCTTACATCACCAAAGGGGGGAAAAAACCAGTTCCTTGCATCTGTGAAGGAGGTTTCCTTCCTGGCTGGCACAAGCCATCAATTCTTAGGAAAATAGCTGCATCAACAAGTCAGCTATGCAGTTCCTTAAGGATTTGGGCATGGTAGAAGGTGGCAGAATGAGGCTGAGTTTTCATGTTTCAACCTTTATAGAGTCTGTATAACTTTACTCTCAGAGAAAAGTTTTCACCTACAATATCTCCTCTTAGTCAACGCTGAAGCCCATCAAAATACCAAGAACCAACCGCCTCCAGGTCTCTACATGAAGACCCAGGACCTGGCCAATGCCCCCAACGCCCCTGAGATTCTCGAGATCGAGTTCAAAAAAGGGGTCCCTGTGAAGATGACCAACGTTAAGGATGGCACCACCCACCAGACCTCCTTGGAGCTCTTCGTGTACCTGAGTCAAGTCACGGGCAAGCACAGTGTGGGCCGTACTGACATCGTGGAGAACCGCTGCATTAGAATGAAGTCTCGAGGTATCTATGAGACCCCAGCAGGCACCATCCTTTACCACACCTATTTAGATATCAAGGTCTTCACCATGGACTGGGAAGTGCATAAAGTCAAACAGGCCTCGGCTTGAAATTTGCTGAGCTGATATATACTGGTTTCTAGCACAGCCCTGAGTGTGAATTTGCCCACCACTGCATCGCCAAGTCCCAGGAGCGAGTGGAAGGGAAAGTACAGGTGTCTGTCCTCAAGGGCCAGGTGTACATCCTTAGCCGGGAGTCCCCACTGTCTCTCTACAACAAGGAGCTGGTGAGCATGAACATGCAGGGTGATTATGAGCCAATTGATTCCACCGGGTTCATCAACATCAATTCCCTCAAGCTGAAGGAATATCATCTCCAGAGAAAGGTCACTGCCAAATAGACCCCTGTACAATGAGGAGCTGGGGCCTCCTCATATTTGCAGATCCCCCAAGTACAGGCACTAATTGTTGTGAGAAATTTGTAAGTGTGACTTGCTCTCCCCAGCTGGCAGTGTAGTGGGGCTGCCAGGCCCCAGCTTTGTTCCCTGGTTCCCCTGAAGCCTGCAAATGTCATCATCAAAAGTAAGGATGGAGGGCAGCTGCAGTGGGGAACTATAAAATGACAATTAAAAGATGAAAACATATATATATATATATATATATAATTCTACCTCTATAACCTCTTTACTTCAATATTTCCAAAGTGTCTTCATCTTACTTGATAAGTACATACAGCATAAAATCTTTCATCACTGTTAAGCACTCCTTGACACTGTCAGTCTCTTTGATTACCAAACCAGCTTCCTCTCCTAGGCCTTCTCCCAGCCCTTTGACTAATCTTTAGCCTTTCTTTGCAGTCTTCTCCTCCTCTGTCAATCCCTTAAATATGGTACCCTGCTCTTTTCTCAATATCCAAGCTCTGCTGGCCAATGCGTCTATTAAGTCAGCACCTAACTGATCCCTCACAAAATTACACTTTAGCCCAGATCTCTCTCATATCCTAGCAGATAAATATCTAGAGCTGTGCTGTCTAATACAAAAGCCACTAGACACATATGGCTATTCGATAAATTTAAGTTAATTATACTTAATATAACTTAAAACTTAATTTGAAGTCCTCACTAGCCACATGTGGCTACTGGTTACCATACTGGACAGAACAAACATAAAACATTTCCATCAATGCCAAAAGTTCTACTGGATAGTGCTGCTCTAGAACCTTCTACAAACGGCATCAAAATAACTCATTTCTACCTTAAAATGCCTCAAACTTATCTTATATGAATGTCCAAACCTGCTCTTTCATATGCATCTTCTTTCTTGTCTCTACTTTAACTCTACTGCTACTGCCTTAGTTCCCATAAACTTTGCAACAGTATCCTAACTGATCTTCCTTCCTATAGTCCTGCAGCCCCCCAAAATGCACTTTTCAGGATGCAGCCAAGATCTCTTTCCAGAATGTAAGTCTGGCTGTGTTAATCCCCTGGTAATAACTCTTCAGTGGTTTCCCAGTGGCTAAATAAGGTAACCACTTAATTTATCATCTGAATCCAGGCAATTTTGATAATTTGGTGTTATTAACAATTATACAGCCATAATAGGACTAAATTGGGACTCTCAGAGGTAAACAAGTCTGTATGGTCACCCTGCATAGAGACTAAATTTCTTGGCATAGCTCATGTCCTCTTATACGATCGAGCCCCATATGTGTCTTCAGCACTATAGACTTGCTTGCCATTCACTGAGTGTGATGTCCTCTTTCACACTTCTGTGAATTTGCTTGTTCGAATCCCAGTGCCTGGATCAGCTGCACTCTCTTTGTCATGCCTGCAAAAATACAGAATTCTTGAAGATGTATATGGCTGGGCGCAGTGGCTTATGTCTGTAATCCCAGCACTTTGGAAGGCTGAGACAGGCGGATCACAAGGTCAAGAGATCAAGACCATCCTGGCCAACATGGTGAAACCCTGTCTCTACTAAAAATACAAAAAATTAGCTGGGTGTGGTGGTGCGTGCCTATAGTCCCAGCTACTCGGGAAGCTGAGGCAGGAGAATCACTTGAACCCAGAAGGCGGAGGTTGCAGTGAGCTGAGATTGCTCCACTGCACTCCAGCCTGGGTGAAAAAAAAAAAAAGATGTATATATAAGCACTACATATATACTGTTTTATTTTAAAATATGTATTTCCTATATGTAAAATAATACATAATTCTCAGAGAAATTAGGAAAATGTAGAAAGTTTTAAAGAGAGCAAAATCATCCACCTTTCTACCACTCTGAGACAACTACAGTTAACAATTCATTGTGTATTTTTTCTTTATTTATGTGTACCTTTGTATTGTTTTCTTTCCAAAATTTGTTTTTTTTCTATTTTGCAACAAGCTTTTATCATGTGATATATTATTTACATTTTGTGTCATTAAATAGCCTCTGCCATTAAAACTCATAATTACTGGATATTAATTCACTGTATGAAGATGTAACAGTTTAGTCTTATGTTGGATATTTAGATTGCTTGAAATTTTTAAAATTTATAAGAAATTAAATGTTTTCTCATAGCAAAAGCAATTCATATTTATTGTAGACGTTTGGAAGAAAAATCCACAAAGAAGAAAAGAGACATCACCTTCTGAAAGATTACTTTTATAATGTTTGAAAAATAAGTCTGTATGAAAATATATTTTTGAAATTGTTTTAAGTCATTCAAAAAATATTCTATTTCTAGAAATGTGGAAAGGCAAAATTTCAAGAACGCAAGTATTGCATAAAGGTACATTTTTATAGCTATGATTTTTTTTAATATTTAATACTGCCACTAAGCTAAATTCTTCTAAATGTACAAGGTTAAATATGTTGTAAGAAATACTTCTTAAGATATTTAGCAGCATTCCAGAAACTCTACCCACGAACATTAAGATGGAATGCAAACTTTCTGAAAATTTCCACTGCATTTTAATCATGGATGAAACAGAGAGAGGTTCATCTTTCAAATGTTATGCAAAACTTCTAACCAGGAAATTTTTGAAAATATAAATTATTTATAACAAAGATGTAAGACTTAACCAAGTGTAATTGAACCTGAATTTGTGGTTCTAGGAAACATAAATATAATTAATACATCACAGATAGAGTCACCATTTTCCTTTTCAGCAAGTGAAAGGTAGACCTGTGAATATATGAATACCAGAATATGTGTGAAAACACTACCATAATTTTATTACTTGCTGCTATTCTCTTCATTTTAAAATGACTTCATTCAATCTCAATTAAACTTTTAATATGCCACATCTTGGCAGGAACATGTCACAGATTTATTCCAGTGGTCTCTACACACTTACCTATGACAGAAATGATTTTGCTACCTCCTTTCAAAAAAAGAGATATCAAAATATTTGGAATGGAGACATGGTGACTGAGTAATACTAAAATGGTGTTGGATTTTGGAGAAGGTAGTTCAGAACTATAAAAATATCAAGAATTCTTCTCTGCTGCAAGCCCTAAACATATACATAGTATATGACCTAGAAATTATGATTGAAAAAACACCACCTTCAGAGATTGGGCAGAATTTCAGCAAACACACCAGCATGTAAACATAGCACCAACCAGCTGCCATGGACAAACTAACAGGCACAGTAGCACTTGGCCATTCTGAACCGGGCCCTGAAAAAGGGCATGTGACTTATCATTGTAGGTGGTGTTTGGGATTATCTGGGAACATCCAGTGTGAGAGTGTCGCCAGTAGGCAGTGCACATTTGTGCAGGCTGATTATGGAAATGTAAAAATACCATCAAACATACCTCGGTCTCTTTCGCCAATGTAGGAAAAAAGGAAAGCTAAGATGAATGGCTCTAAACCAAGCTGAACACAGAGTGTGCTGGTTATTTCAAGAGACAGAGCCTTGTGTTTACTAGTGAATCAAGTGTGGCATGAACTAACAGGCATGAAAATAGGTACTAATCCTAATGTCTTAAAGGGGTGAACCCAAATCAGTTCAGATTTAATCTGCCTCAGTGTTCGGTTTAATTGGTCATTTCCAATTGCCAATGTATTTGGTAGGAGAAGATTCAAACTACAGTTTGCTGTAAGTCCATGCTGAGATTCTGTATGGCTTTCACAGAACAGCAGAGGGAGAGGCAGGGATCAGTGATAGTAAAGCTGATACCAGTTGGCCAGACTACTGAGATAAACACACAGCTGTCCTGGAACCAACGAACAGAGATCTCCTGCAGCTCACGCTTTTCACCCTGAAATGTGTAATCCCCCCCTCAACTAGGGCATAATGCTAACATTTTTTTAACCTCACTTATAAATATTCTTCTATGCATAATTATCCACCCAAATGCACTTCTTGTTCCTGTAGCTGTATCTTATAGATAAAACAAATATTGTTATACATAAAATCATGTTTTCCTTTGGCTTCCAATAGGATTTTGTAGACAAGATCCTTAAGGAACTTAAACTAAGTCTGTGACCACTGCAGGCAAGTAAAACAAGCTTTCATATTTAATAATAAAACTTTACCAGTGGCTGCAAAATGGCTGAATAGGAACATCTCTGGTCTGCAGCTCCCAGCAAGATCAACAGAGAAGACGGGTGATTTCTGCATTTCCCACTGAGGTACCTGGCTCATCTCATTGGGACTGGTTAGACAGTGAATGCAGCCCATGGAGGGTGAGCCTAAGCAGGGTGGGGCGTTGCATCACCAGGGAAAGGTAAGGAGTGGGGGAACTCCCTCCCCTAGCCAAGGGAAGCCACGAGGGACTCTGCCCTAAGGAACAGTGCATTCCAGCCAAGATACTATGCTTTTCTCATGGTCTTCTCAACCTGCAGACCAGGAGATTCCCTCAGGTGCCTACACCATCAGGGCCCTGGGTTTCAAGCACAAAACTGGGTGGCCATTTGGGGCAGACACTGAGCCAGCGGCATGAGTTTTTTTTCATACCCAGTGGCGCCTGGAACACCAGTGAGACAGAACCGTTCACTCCCTGGAAAGGGGGCTGAACCCAGGAAGCACAGTGGTCTAGCTCAGCGGATCCCATGCCCAGGGAGCCCAGCAAGCTAAGATCCACTGGCTTGAAATTCTTGCTGCCAGCACAGCAGTCTGAAGTCAATCTGGGATGCTTGGCTTGATGGAGGGAGGGGCGTCTGCCATTACTGAGGCTTGAGTAGGCTGTTTTCCCCTCATAGTGTAAACAAAGCTGCAGGGGACATTCAGACTAGGCAGAGCCCACCACAGCCCAGCAAAGCCACTAGCCAGACTGCCTCTCTAGATTCTTCCTCTCTGGGAAGGGCATCTCTGAAAGAAAGGCAGCAGCTGCAGTCTGGGGCTTATAGATAAAACTCCCATCTCCCAGGCACAGAGCACCTGGCAGAAGGGGCAGCTGTGGGCACAGCTTCAGTAGACTTAAACATTCCTGCCTGCCAGCACTGAAGAGAGCAGCAGATCTCCCAGCACAGTGCTAAAGTTCTGCTAAGGGTCAGACTGCCTCCTCAAGTGACTCGCTGACCCCTGTGCCTCCTGACAAGGAGACACCTCCCAACAGGGGTCAAAAGACACCTCATACAGGAGAGCTTTGGCTGGAATCTGGCAGGTGCCCCTCTCAGACGAAGCTTCCAGAGGAAGGAGCAGACAGCAATCTTTCCTGTTCTGCAGCCTCTGCTGGTGATACCCAGGCAAACAGGGTCTGGAGTGGACGTCCAGCAAACTCCTCCACACCTGCCGCAGAAAAGCCTGACTGTTAGAAGGAAAACTAACAAACAGAAAGGAATAGCATTACATCAACAAAAAAGACATCCACACAAAAACCCCATCCGAAGGTCACCAGCATCGAAGACCAAAGGTAGATAAATCCACGAATATGAGAAGAAACCAGCTCAAAAAGGCTGATAATTCCAAAACCCAGAATGCCTCTTCTCCTACAAAGGATCACAATTCCTCCAGAGCAAGGGAACAAAACTGGACAGAGAATTAGTTTGATGAACTGACAGAAGTAGGCTTCAGAAGGTGGGTAATAACAAACTCCTGTATGCTAAAGGAGCATGTTCTAACCCAATGCAAGGAAGCTAAGAATCTTGAAAAAAGGTTAGACAAATTTCTAACTAGAATAACCAGTTTAGAGAAGAACATAAATGACCTGATGGAGCTGAAAAACACAGAATGAAAACTTCATGAGGCATACACAAGTATCAATAGCTGAACTGATCAAGCAGAAGAAAGGATATCAGAGATTGAAGATCAACTTAATGAGATAAAGCATGAAGAGAAGATTAGAGAAAAAAGAATGAAAAGGAATGAACAAAGCCTCCAAGAAATACAGGACTGTGTGAAAAGACCAAACCTACATTTGATTGGTGTACCTGAGAGTGACGAGGAGAATGGAACCAAGCTGGAAAACATACTTCAGGATATTATCCAGGAGAACATCCCAACTTAGCAAGACAGGCCAACATTCATATTCATGAAATACAAAGAACACCACAAAGATACTCCTCAAGAAGGGCAACCCCAACACATAATCATCAAATTCACCAAGGTTGAAATGAAGGAAAAAATGTTAAGGGCAACCAGAGAGAAAGGTCAGGTTACCCACAAAGGGACGCCCATCAGACTACCAGCAGATCTCTCTGCAGAAACCCTACAAGCCAGAAGAGAGTGGGGACCAATATTCAACATTCTTAAAGAAAAGAATTTTCAACTGAGAATTTCATATCCAGCCAAACTAAGCTCATAAGTGAAGGAGAAATAAAATCCTCTACAGAAAAGCAAATGCTGAGAGATTTTGTCACCACCAGGCCTGCCTTACCAGAGCTCCTGAAGGAAGCAATAAATATGGAAAGGAAACACCAGTACCAGCCACTGCAAAAACATACCAAATTGTAAAGACCATCAATGCTATGAAGAAACTGCATCAACTACCAGGCAAAATAACCAGCTAGCATCATAATGACAAGATCAAATTCACACATAACAATATTAACCTTAAATGTAAACATGCTAAATGCCCCAATTAAAAGACACAGACTGGCAAATTGGATCAAGAGTCAACACCCATCAGTGTGCTATATTCAGGAGACCCATCTCACATGCAAAGACATACATAGGCTCAAAATAAATGGATGGAGGAAGATTTACCAAGAAAATGGAATGCAAAAAAACAAAAAAAGCAAGTGTTGCAATCCTAGTCTGATAAAACAGACTTTAAACCAACAAAGAAAAAAAGAGACATAGAAGGGCATTACATAATGTTAAAGGGATTGATGCAACAAGAAGAGCTAACAATCCTAAATATATATGCACCAAATACAGGAGCACCCAGATTCATAAAGCAAGTTCTTAGAGACCTACAAAAAGACTTAGACTCCCACGCAATAATAGTGGGAGACTTTACACCCCACTATCAATGTTAGACAGATAAACGAGACAGAAAATTAACAAGGATATTCAGGACTTGAACTCAGCTCTGGACCAAGCAGACTTAATAGACATCTACAGAACTTTCCACCCCAAATCAACAGAGTATACATTCTTCTCAACACCACATTGCACTTATTCTAAAATTGACCACATAATTGGAAGTAAAACACTCCTCAATAAATGCAAAAGAATGGAAATCATAACAAACAGTCTCTCAGACCACAGTGCAATCAAATTAGAACTCAGGATTAAGAAACTCACTCAAAATCACACAACTACATGGAAACTGAACAACCTGCTTCTGAATGACTACTGGCTAAACAATGAAATTAAGGCAGAAATAAGTAAGTTCTTTGAAACCAATGAGAAGAAAGACACAACGTACCAGAATTTGTGGGACACAGCTAAAGCAGTGTTAGAGGGAAATTTATAGCACTAAATGCCCACAGGAGAAAGCAGGAAAGATCTATAATCGACACCTTAATATCACAATTAAAAGAACTAAAGAAGCGAGAGTAAACAAATTCAAAAGCTACCAGAAGACAAGAAATAACTACAATCAGAACAGAATGGAAAGAGATAGAGACACAAAAAACCCTTCAAAAAATCAACAAATCCAGGAGCTGTTTTTTGAAAATGTTAACAAAATAGATAGACCACCAGCCACACTAATTAAGAAAAAAAGAGAGAAGAATCAAATTGACACAATAAAAATGATAAAGGGGATATCACCACTGATCCCACAGAAATACAAACTACCATCAGAAAATACTATAAACACCTCTGTGCAAATAAACTAGAAAATCTAGAAGAAATGGTTACATTCCTGGACACGTACACCCTCCCAAGTCTAAACCAGGAAGAAGTCGAATCCCTGACTAGACCAATAACAAGTTCTGAAATTGAGGCAGTAATTCATAGCCTACCAACCAAAAAAGCACAGGAGCAGATGGATTCACAGCTGATTTCCACCAGAGGTACAAAGAGGAGTTGGTACCATTCCTTCTGAAATTATTCCAAGCATTAGAAAAAGAGGGACTCCTCCCTAACTCATTTTATGAGGCCAGAATCATCTTGATACCAAAACCTGGCAGAGACACAGCAAAAAAGAAAATTCCAGGACAATATCCCTGATGAACATCAATGCGAATATCCTCAATAAAATACTGGCAAACTGAATCCAGCAGCACATCAAAAAGCTTATCCACCATGATCAAGTCGGCTTCATCCCTGGGATGCAAGGCAGGTTCAACATATGCAAATGAATAGACACAATCCATCACATAAACAGAACCAACAACAAAAACCACATGATTTTCTCAATAGATGAAGAAAAAGCCTTCGATAAAATTCAACACCCTTTCATGCCAAAAACTCTCAAGAAGTTCGGTATTGGTGGAATGTATCTCAAAATAATGAGAGCTATTTATGACAAACCCATAGCCAATATCATACTGAATGGGCAAAAGCGGGAAGTATTCCCTTTGAAAACTGGCACCAGACAAGGATGCCATCTCTCACAAGGTTGCCTCTCTCAGGGAGGGAGGAAGTCAAATTGTGTCTGTTTGCAGATGACATGATTGTATATTTACAAAACCCCATCGTCTCAGCTCAAAACCTCCTTAAGCTAATAAGCAACTTCAGCAAATTCTCAAGATACAAAATCAATGTGTAAAAATCACAACCATTCCTATACACAAATAATAGAAATAGAGCCAAATCATGAGTGAACTCCCATTCACAATTGCTACAAAGAGAATAAAACACCTAGGAATACAAATTACAAGGGATGTGAAGGACCTCTTCAAGGAGAACTATAAACCACTGCTAAAGGAAATAAAACAGGACACAAACAAATGGAAAAACATTCCATGCTCATGGATAGGAAGAATCAGTATCATGAAAATGGCCATCCGGACCAAAGTAATTTATAGATTCAATGCTATCCGCATCAAGCTACCATTGACTTTCTTCACAGAATTAGAAAACAACTACTTTAAGTTTCATATGCAACAAAAAAAGAGCCTGTATAGCCAAGACAATCTTAAGCAAAAAGAACAAAGCTGGAGGCATCATGCTACCTGACTTCAAACTATACTACACGGCTACAGTAACCAAAACAGCATGACACTGGTATCAAAACAGATATATAGACCAATGAAACAGAACAGAGGCCTCAGAAGTAATGCCACACATTTAGAAACATCTGATCTTTGACAAACCTGACAAAAACAAGAAATGGGGAAATGATTCCTTATTTAATAAATGGTGTTGGGAAAACGGGGTAGCTATATGTAGGAGAACTGAAACTGGACCCCTGCCTTACAACTTACACAAAAATTAACTCAAGATGGATTAAAGACTTAAATATAAGACCTAAAACCATAGAAACCCTAGAAGAAAACCTAGGCAATACCATTCAGGCCATAGGCATGGGCAAAGACTTCATGACCAAAACACCAAAAGCAATGAGAACAAAAGCCAAAATTGACAAATGGCATCTAATTAAACTAAAAAGCTTCTGCACAGCAAAAGAAACAATCATCAGAGTGAACAGGCAACCTACAGAATGGGAGAAAATGTTTGCAATCTATCCATCTGACAAAGGGCTAATATCCAGAATCTAGAAAGGACTTAAACAAATTTACAAGAAAAAAACAACCCCATTGAAAAGTGGGCAAAGGATGTGAACAGATACTTCTCAAAAGAACACATTTATGCAGCCAACAGACACACGAAAAAATGCTCATAATTACTGGTCATTAGAGAAATGCAAATCAAAACCATGGCCAGTTAGAATGGCAATCATCAAAAAGTCAGGAAACAACAGATGCTGGAGAGGATGTGGAGAAATAGAAACGCTTTTGCACTGTTGGTGGGAGTGTAAATTAGATCAACCATTGTGGAAGACAGTATGGCGATTCCTCAAGGATCTAGAACCAGAAATACCATTTGACCCAGCAATCCCATTATTGGGTATATACCCAAAGGATTATAAATCATTCTACTATAAAGACCCATGCACACATATGTTTATTGCAGCACTGTTCACAATAGCAAAGACTTGGAACCAACCCAAATGTCCATCAAAGATAGACTGGATAAAGAATATGTGGCACATATACACCATGGAATACTATGCAGCCATAAAAAAGCATGAGTTCATGTCCTTTGCAGGGACATAAATGAAGCCAGAAACCATCATTTTCAGCAAACTAACACAAGAACAGAAAACCAAACACCACATGTTCTCACTCATAGGTGGGAGTTGAACAATGAGAACACATGGCCACACAGAGGGGAACATCACACACCAGGGCCTGTCATGGGATAGGGGGCTAGGGGAGGGATAACATTAGGAGAAATACCTAATGTAGATGATGGGTTGATGGGTGCAGCAAACCACCATGGCATATGTATACCTATGTAACAAACCTGCACGTTCTGCACATGTATCCCAGAACTTAAAGTATAATGAAAAAAAATAATAAAACTTTAATGTTGCAGAGGGCTTCAAGGGTTTTAAATCACGTTTACATATAATTACTTTATTTTATGATTGCAATCACCTAGTACATAGGACAGGAGTTATTATCATTATTATACCAATGAGTAAACTACTCTGGGTTTAGTGATGTTTCATGTGTTGTTCAAGGACCTTTGACTAGTAAGTGACCTGGTTTTCTAACTTACAGTTCAGTATTTGTTCTTCTACACTGTGAATTTAATAACTGCCATTTTTTTTCAAAATTTCAAGATATAGATAGATGTCTCTAGGTAAGTTTCTATATCTATTTCTTATTTAAATTTCTATATGTAGTAATGTAGATAAGATTTATATGGAAATCTAGATACAGAAATCTAAATAAATTTTTATATGTGTGTGTATGTATAATATTTACTTTGAAATTTAGAATTTCCTTTGAAGTCAGGGAGTAGTGAGAGGATGACCTCTCTGCTCTGCCTACATGGAAAGCAACGCAGGAGGAAATAACTCTCCATCCTGGAAATACACAAAGCATGAGTCATCTATTTAATGTGATGGCAATGGTCTCTACCATCTGAGGTCACTTCTTGTACTTGGAGAAAGTTGGCAGAATAACTTCCAACCCAGAAGTCAGGAAGTTGGGCTATTGAAAGTTTTATTTAAATGACCTTTCTCTTTTGCAAATTCTGAATGTGAGGCTTCCTTCCAGTCCTACAGACCTCAGGCTATAAGTAAAATATAGTAAAAAGAGGAATAAAAATATCAATAAGAGTTGAGTAAATAATGGAAAGTTGATACCACAGTAGATGATGTCCAAAAGACAGAAAGCATAAAACATGAAAATGTCAAGTGAAATGAAGGCAAGATTTGTCTCACATGGTGTGAATTTCTAAAATCTCTCAGGAATAATTTTTATTACCTGCCAAATCTTAAGAAAGATTGAATTGTATTTGTCAATGCAACATCAATCGGGTCTTATACTTCGTTGTTGTATTTGGCACTTCAGTAAGGTACTTTTGCACAATTATGTCAACACACTGAGTTAGCCTTTGTCAAGAAAGGCAAGCACTTAAATTCTTGTCAGCCTATCATGTCATTAAAAAAAGGATCTAAGAGTCAAGAACAATAAGCAACTATTCTTGGCTTCATTAGTGCCTGTATTTTGGTATTTTCCTTTTGACACTCTTTCTCAGGCACATCTGGGCAAGTCTAGTTACATTAAGCCTAGTTTAAAGGAAACTGAAAATTCCACAGTGAAGTTCTCCACTTGACTGACAGATATTTCACTCTCAGGAAGAGTGGAAATTGAGTATGATTGTCTTTCACTTTGAGATGCGTTTGTAATACGAACAGGTGCATCCAAGCTAAGTTGGGGTTAGTAATGAATGGAAGAATCTGTAGTGACTGTTGGAACCAAAATTAATGTGAATAAAGCAGAGAGGCTGCCAGAGAGATGAGATCAAGTACAGATTAAGTACCACAAGTCTCATTAGTTGGTACCTAGGACAATAAATAGTAGATGGTTTAATTATGTTTTATAATGAAAGAAAGCATATATTGAGGAGGGACTGCAACATTAACTATTAATTAGATACATAAATGTTACTCTTCATTAGTTTGCATTTCTTAAAATAGATAAACACTCAGAGATCATGTTTAATTCTCTGCTGACTAATAACAATGTTAGAAATATGAATCATAAAAAAGTCAGTTCCTGGAAATAGCATACCTTTGTTTCTCATGCAATCAGTATTTTAAGTGGCTTCACTACAAAGATGAAAATAGTCTTAGCTATTTTTCGTTCTCAGTGTAATTAAGTATTTTCTGCAGTCAGAGATCCTAACTCCAAGACAGGGGAGTTAGGAGATGCCTTTTGGTGAGTCTTCAGAAAGAATCTTCAGGGACTAAGTCTACTGGAGAGGAATGATTTTATCTTTTGAAGATGGGGTTGAAAGTATGTCTCTATAAGAAATATCTTTGCAACTATTCATTAGAGACAAAATGCAAGAATGCAAATGGCTGCATTCTGTTCTAATTTTTTTATAATTATTATTTTTCTTTTCTTAAAGTAAACTTTGAGGACTTACAATAACAGGCATTTATGTATTTATCCTTACAAGAGTAGTTAACTACGTACCCCTGAAAAGATAGAAGAACTCCATGAGAATAGGGGCCCTCTATTGGTTTTGTTTATTTACGTAGACTCAGTTCTTATAACAATACCTGGAACTTAATAAAATCTCAATAAGTATTTGTGGAATAAATGAGTGTACTTAAACTGTGTATTTAAACTGGATTCCTGAATGTTAACATCTCTACAAGCCCTCTACACCATGTGAATGGTGAAAGATCCTTCTTCACAGGCTTTTGAGTTAGACAAGGCTGGGTTCTACTCTAAGCCAATCACAATGAACTGAGCCTCAGTTTCCTCTTACATAAAATGAGACTTACAATGCTCACTTTGCCTGGATGTACAGTAATCCTCTCCCTAACCCTTATCAGAAGA
The DNA here is from genome assembly GCF_000001405.40 of Homo sapiens. Lineage (NCBI taxonomy): Eukaryota > Metazoa > Chordata > Mammalia > Primates > Hominidae > Homo > Homo sapiens. The sequence continues at coordinate 148,513,482 of NC_000004.12, read as the reverse complement.
AAATATATTGCAGCATTCCCAGGGGATGCCTGAAACCATGGATAGACTCAAACCCCATATGTGCTGGGTTTTTTTCTCTACAGTAGCAGGCAGGTGGCACATACAGCATGGATACACTGGACAGAGGATTATTCACATTCCAGGTGGGAGATTTCATCACTCTACTCAGAATGGCAAGCAATTTAAAACATATGAATTGTTTACTTCTGGAATTGAATATTCCATTTAATATTTTGGGGCATTGTTGACTGCAGGTACCCGAAGCCTTGGAAAGCAAAGACGCAGATAACGGGTGGACTCCTCATGTAGATTGCAGAAAATGTGCACACCTGAACACAAAGTCCAGGAGAATATTTGATATATATTATAGGTGCAATAAATTGAGATTATTTCTACCATTTGTTACCTAGACCATTCTACTAATGTAAGTTTAAAATAAAATGTCAACCCAAAAACTAGTGCAACCTCTTATAACTGGAAAAAATTAACCTAGCAAGAACAAGCGATTTGTTGAAGGATCAAAAAGTCGTGCTTTCCAGGAGAGAGGGGGTCTGTATCAATTCCTACTGAAGAATTCGAGGTCAGAATTCACAGGATTAATCCTCTGTTTTTAATTGCACATTGATTTTGGTGTAATTCAATATATGTTTTCTTAGCCCTCACAAAGCTAATATGTAATCTCTTTTTAATACTAATCTTAACCTCTTATATTTTTTTCAGCTCCTGTACAAGCTAAATAAACTTAGAAACCCTACATGATGAATCAGTTCTTCAAATAATTATAACTTATATTAATTTAGATTATCACAGTATTAGTTGAACTGGATCAATTCAACTTTTTTTGTATATTTCACTTCCTTTATTTAGAGTTTAAGAGCTAAACAATACTTAGCAAAATACTTCTTCACCTTATCAAAACACTAGAAAACTCAGTCTGTGCCTAAGGTAAAGTGTGATACTGTTAGGTGGCATCCTGCCACTTTACAGAGGCCTCAGATCACACTATTCTTTTTAGAAAATTAAAATTATGCTGGATGGCTTGAAAACATCTGGAGAAGCCTTCTTAACTCCCAGCACTACAGTTTCTTCCTGCATCTGCTTTCACCACACCTCTTAACTACCTTCTCCACCATCACTTCATGCCTTATTCCTGCTTTTCTAATCACTTAAAATCCTGATCCAATAAGTATGGTTAGGCGTCTGAACCATTAGCGTATCCATCTACAGTCAACTGCAAGATGCAGCAGTGAGACACTCAGAGCAATGAAAACACAGGATCAAGAAGAGCAGATCTCCGCGTTCATCACATAGACTCAATAGGACTTGGCCAGACAACTGACTGAAGCTGCCTTATCTGTATATTGAGGGTGTTGAAAACACAGGCTGTAGAAATTCCTCAAGGTTATTCAGAGGTTTCAAGTCTGTGAAAACACGCTGTAACTATAAGTGCTCTACAAATATTGGTTGCTTTTAGGATTATTACAAGAGAATCTCTTGCCCCAGACTTACTTGCTGAGATAAAGTTGCAAGGCAATTGATAACCACTAAAGAGGTAAGCTACAACATCAGTAGGCTCAAGCACATTGAACTAAAGGGTCAAAATAGTTTGAAATATCCAAGATACCACAACAGATAAACAATACTCTGAACTGGGAACTAGGCACAGATTTTTAACTGAGGCTCGAACTCTCACTCTATACATGGGGAAAGTCACTTAGCAAATTAGCAATTAATTATGTATCCCATTACTGTACTAGGTATGCAACTCACATACATTATCTCTAATCTTAAAATATTATAGCAAGATAGGTATAATTATCTCTATTTTATAGGTGAGGACATGGAGACTTTGAGTGGCTTAGAGCATGACTAAGATTATAGATGTATGAAACAGTAGTTATCTTTCCAAAGTCCCTCCCTTCCCTACTCTATCATGTTACTGCTTTCTCCCTTAGTTGTCTGATCTGTGAATTCAATGGTCACTCCAAAGGTTTTCTTAGGTCCTCTTCAATTCTAACATGGTGATTGACTGCAGGTGATAAGTACTTGGCCAATTAGTGGCCTGCAGATGATCTACTGAAGTAGCTTGAAATAAATCAACCATGTACCTATGAATAGATTATAAGTGTCCCAAGATGTTGACACTCTTAGCCTTCAGACTTCTGGGTAGGAGCAAGGGGAAGCTGGAGCCCCTGGCTCTGTCACTATGTGTACCCTATTCCATTTACTCCAGTTTACTATGCAAGACAATTTTCAGCATGTTAGGACCAAAAGCCTCTGGGAAGTTCTGCAATAAATGCATCACATGGTTATATACAACACAAAAAGTGCTTTGTAGCTTGTATCTGTTGAATCCATATCACTCAGGCCATGTTGTGACTCTGGAAATGACTTGGTTTCCCCAGCAAAAACCCATAGCATAACTTATACATTCTCCAGCTTGTACAGTTGGAGCCACAAATAAACTGTAGAAGCAGAGAAATTGATTAAGCCAAGAAAACTAAACACAATTTTTGGAGCATAACCTAGGTAACTGTATTTACCTGAAAGTCTATTTAAACTAATAGTCTTGCTACATTTCAAGACTTTATTAGGGAAATCAGGACATATGTTGACCTTTCCCTGTGGGCCAAATCAGTCTTGAATTCTGATGCACAATATGAAATTCTCCTTAAATGATAGTAATCTTTTCTTTCCATTGATTCAGTAATTTTTAAAGCACATTGCATTGTAGAAACATGCAAAGTAGTTACCACTAAACACATCATTGACCTAGTTGATGTTTAAAAGGTTATCAAGCACGTACATCTTTGAAATATTAAGATTAGAGTTTCCTGGACAAATTATAAAGCTAGTACTTCCTCTTGGTTTGGAGGTCAGCTTCTATACTTCATAGCTAGAAACTGACCTTGACGCTCTTTGTGAAACAGAACTGTGGAAGTACAGTCCACTGTGGTTCCTACAGTAACCTTCTTTCCAGGCAGAGCCTTCTGGGGATGAGAAAGATGCTAAAGACCAAGGAGAATGAGTCAAAAACAAAGTATCCTGTGGGCAAAACCTCACCCATGCAATTAACTGAACCAGCCACTCCTTACTGGGACATGTGCCCTAAAAACCTGCTCTTCCAAGAAGCGAAATACTGCAAAGTTGCTGCAGCTGCACCCCACTGCTTCAGTCTAAGACCAGTAGATATGCTCACATTGCATGCAGAAGAAACAAGTCTCCACTCTTCTCTCTTCAGCCTTTTGCCAACCTATACTTGCTTTGGGAACAGTATGGCTTCACGTAAAAATTGCAGTTATTGAGGCTTGTTCATATGGAAAGTTAGGATAAAGGTGAGCATTTCTCTAATATAGAATAATAAAATTATTGGTTTTAACTTTGAGTCATCACATTCTTTATTAAATGCACATCATTATTTATGGTGTACTAATATTATTTTTATTTATTTATTTTTTTTATTTTTGAGACAGGCTGTCACTCTCTCACCCAGGCTGGAGTGCAGTGGTGTGATCTCAGCTCACTGGAGCATCGACCTTGCAGGCTCAAGCAATCCTCCCACAGCAGCCTCCTGAGTAGCTGGGACCACAGGCACATGCCACCACACCTGGTTAATTTTTTTTTCTTTTAGAGATGGGGTTTTACCATGTTGCCCAGGCTGGTCTCGAACTCCTGAGCTCAAGCGATCCACCCACCTTGGTATCTCAAAGTGCTGGAATTACAGGAATGAGCCACCACATCCAGCTAGTGTGCTAATATTAAAGAGTTTAAATCTGGATGCTACTATCTCTGTTGGATTTAGAAAACAAAACCAGTAATCCATACACATAACCACAAAACAGTTTTCTTTCTTCCTCAGAAGTCAAATTATCATTTCATTTTGCTTGTTGTGTTAAAAATGAGAAAGCTGATTGGGGACCAAAGTTTATTATCCTTTAGTACTTGTGCAAATTACAGAATGAAAATAAATTAACTATATAGAGGAATAAAAAGTATCTCTAATTGTGTTTATTTTTTATGTATAAATATTGATTTTTTTTAATGTAGACTGTAAGAGACTTTCAAATAAGAATACCAGATTTATAAAAACCTTAACTAGGGCTTTCTGGGACAGAACAGAAGAGTTTGCCCACCAACAGCCCTACAAACCAGAACGTCTGGAGGCCTCAGAGAAAGATAATACCACATCAAACAGGTGAGAGAAAGGATTAAATTTTTTAAAAAACATACTACATTAGTGAGGTGTTTATTTTGTTTTCTCTTTTCAAAAACAAAGAGATATACTGGGAATCTGACAAACTCTGAGGCTTGCTTGAATTCGTCCCTGATTGTGTAATGCTATCTCATGCTATAACCCTGAATGTGTCATGCTATCTCACACTATATCCCTGAAATGTCATGCAACATCATGCTATATCCCTGAATGTGTCATGCTATCTTATGCTATATCCCTGAATGTGTCATGCTATCTAATGCTATATCCTTGAATGTGTCATTCCACATCATGCTATGTCCCTCAAATGTGTCATGCTATCTCATGCTATATCCCTGAGTGTGTCATGCTATCTTATGCTATATCCCTGAATGTGTCATGCTATCCCATGCTATATCCCTGAATGTGTCATTCTACATCATGCTATATCCCTGAATGTGTCATGCTATCCCATGCTATATCCCTGAATGTGTCATGCTATCTCATGCTATATCCCTGAAATGTGTCATGTAACATCATGCTATATCCCTGAATGTGTCATGCTATCCCATGCCACATACTTGAATGTGTCATTCTACATCATGCTATGTCCGTGAAATGTCATGCTGTCTCATGCTATATCCCTGAATGTGTCATGCTGTCCCATGCTACATCCCTGAATGTGTCATGCTATCTCATGCCACATACTTGAATGTGTCATTCTACATCATGCTATGTCCCTGAAATGTGTCATGCTGTCTCATGCTATATCCCTGAATGTGTCATGTAACATCATGCTATATCCCTGAATGTGTCATGCTATCCCATGCCACATACTTGAATGTGTCATTCTACATCATGCTATATCCCTGATTGTGTCATGCTATCTCATGCTATATCCCTGAATGTGTCATGCTGTCCCATGCTATAACCCTGAATGTGTCATGCTATCTCATGCCATATACTTGAATGTGTCATTCTACATCATGCTATGTCCCTGGAATGTGTCATGCTGTCTCATGCTATATCCCTGAAATGCATCATGCAACATCATGCTATATCCCTGAATGTGTCATGCTATCTTATGCTATATCCCTGAATGTGTCATGCTACATCATGCTATATCCCTGATTGTGTCATGCTGTCTCATGCTATATCCCTGAATGTGTCATGTTATCTCATGCCACATACTTGAATGTGTCATTCTACATCATGCTATGTCCCTGAAATGTGTCATGCTGTCTCATGCTATATCCCTGAATGTGTCATGCTACATCATGCTATATCCCTGATTGTGTCATGCTATCTCATGCTATATCCCTGAATGTGTCATGCTGTCCCATGCTATAACCCTGAATGTGTCATGCTATCTCATGCCATATACTTGAATGTGTCATTCTACATCACGCTATGTCCCTGAAATGTGTCATGCCGTCTCATGCTATATCCCTGAAATGCATCATGCAACATCATGCTATATCCCTGAATGTGTCATGCTATCTCATGCTATATCGCTGAATGTGTCATGCTATCTCATACTATACCCCTGAATGTGTCATGCTATCTCATACTATACCCCTGAATGTGTCATGTTATTTCATGCTGTATCCCTGAATGTGTCATGCTACATCATGCTTACATCCTTTTCAACACCTGTTCCCTCTGTCCTAAGTGCTCAGCATTTCTCCTCATAACAAATTTAGAGTCATCATTTAAGGTCCAGTTCTGATGTAATCACCTCAAGGAAGTCACCTTAGGTAATGGTTGAGTTGATCCATGATAGCCATGACCATGACAATTCTAGTCCTCACACCATCTGGTTAAGGAAGTCCCTATTGCTAGACTTTTCCTTATGAGCAGAAACCAAGTTAGACATTGCTTTTCTTTTGCCCTGAGTTTTTCTTAGGATTAAACATAATGAATTAAACCACCTAGCACAAGATTATATGTTTTGTCTATACAAAATAAATGCTTTTGGTTGTTATTATTGTTATTATGATTAGGTTGCACAACCCGCAGAGAGCACAGCTAAAACTCAGCCAACACAGACACACTGGACTTGTGTGGCGGCACTCAAGGGTAGGTCACTCCTATGCACCCGGGCTCCCGGGTTCTTTATTCCCTCCCTTATGTTCCAATTATACCTTAACACACGGTGGATACTTTGTGGTGTGTGTCAGAGAGGTGGAGTGGTAGATTAATGAAGGAAAGTTTTCCATGCACTTAGTCATAACAACATAGAACCACATACTTTTGTTCTACTCTCACTGACTTTTGGTAGAATCTTATGTGTGTCTGGTATGTAAAACTTATGTTTGTGTGTGTGTGTGTTTTAATGACTAACATATGATAAATTGCAAATGAAATTATCACATTACCAGCTTGATCTATTTAAAAAATTTGGACACTGTTAATCTTTGTTCTTGTTTGTTCTTACTTGTTCTTAAACATAGGAGGCAATTTTATATATCAGATATTTTTACAAAAAGGAAATTGCATAAAAAGTGACCAACTGGGACAAATAATATGTCTGTTCTTCACAATATTTAATACCATAGGTATTTGGAAATGTCTAGATATTTAGAAATATCTAGATTTTTGTTAGCATATTACTGTAATAAACTAAAATCTACTCGTATATTTTTACACATATAAAATGTATGATTGTAAAGTGATACAATTGATTTCTCATGCTGTAGGCAAAATTTAGTCTTTATTCTACAGTCATATTAGCTGTATGCTTTTCTTTTCTAAGCTGTATGTCTCAGAGTTACAATGCATTAAACCAATCATAAATGCCAATGATGTGCAAAACAGTGTGTTTGATGATCTCAAGGAAAAAATAAATCCCCGATTTTTAGGAACTTATAGTTCAGTAATATATATGCCTTGTCTTTGTGTTTTTCTTGCTTTCCCTTATTTTTTGACAGCATATGAAATTTAACTAGCAATATTAGAGGCCTCTAGAATATAAAGCAGATTGACTCTCATTCTTTAAAGATTTCAAGCAGAATTATAACGGGGGTGTATATGGGTGTAAGAAAGTAACTTTTATAATTAAATATCATCTCCCTGGTAAACTAACATGTATTCAGCACTTTTATTTTATTTTATTTTGTTTATTTTATTTTTATTTTTCTGGAGACAGAGTCTCACTCTGTCACCCAGGCTGGAGTGCAGTGGCAGGATCTCGGCTCACTGCAACCTCCGCCTCCTGGGTTCAAGCGATTTTCCTGCCTCAGCATCCTGAATAGCTGGGATTACAGATGTGCACCACCATGCCTGGCTAATTTTTGTATTTTTAGTAGAGATGGGGTTTCACCATGTTGGCCAGGCTGGTCTCGAACTCCTGACCTCAAGTGATCCACCCACCTCAGCCTCCCAAAGTGCTGGGATTACAGGCGTGAGCCCAACACGTTTATTTTAACAAAGGTTACCATGATGCTTGCATTACCATGGTATCAGGGAAAGGTACTTGCTGTTTTAACTTCCAGTAGTGGGGCCCCATCCTGCATATGCACCCACTCCCCTGTTATTTTTAGTCACTGAGCAGCATTAGTTTTCTAATTAGTTTGGTCAATGGTATCCAGTATGTTCTGTAGCCCTTTGCAACACTCTTTTCAGAAAGTGAATGATTTTAGCTAGTAGAGTGCCCATAAATTCCACACAGCAAGAGAATTTTTACTAGAGTAAAATATTATAGATTTTCAGAGAATAAAGACCTATACATGAAAGTGTTAAATACTGTGTCTTAGTCTGCTAGGGTTGCCATAATAAAGTACCACAGACTGGGTGGCTTAATCCACAGAAATGTATTTTCTCACGGTTCTAGGGGCTAGAAGTCCAAGATCAAGGTGTCAGCAGGTTTGGTTTCTCCTAACGCTTCTCTCCTTGCAAATGACCAGCTTCTCACTCTGTCCTCACATGGCCTTTTCTCTGGGCAAGTGAATCTCTGGTGTTTCTTCCTCCTCTTACAATGACAGTTCATACTGAATTGGGGCTCTACCCTTAGGGCCTTCTGTAACCTAAATTCCCTCTTTGAAGGCCCTGTCTCCAAATACAGTCACAATGGGGATGGGGGCTTCAATACATGAATTTGGGAAGGGGGCTGTGGGAGATGAAATTTAGTACGTAACACTTTGAAAAAAGACATCTTCAATATCATAAATATAAGTAATCTCACTGAAAGAAACTCCTCTAAATATTTCTGAGCATTCCTTCCAAACCTCTGAGAAAGTAAATTAGGCAAAGTATACAGTACAGCTGTCATGGATTTTATTTTACATCTCAGGTTTAAAAAAATGCCACATTGGTTATTTTTCTAAATTATATTTAATCTGATCAACGGGGTGTGGAAAAATCAACTGTGGTTATTATTGGGGCTCCATCACCCCTCATCATCCAGGTCCAGTGTAGAGCCTGAAATTCGTATATGGCTGAGAACATTTGGGAGACCCCTGGTGTTTAGCCCTCACTGGTCATCATCATCACAGGTGGACTTTCCTAGTACGAGTCACATGATGGCTTCAGGGCTGAAAGGTGGGTGGAGGTTCTGCTGAGGTGGGAACCTAGCACCTTGGGTCCTACCTCCCTAGGAAGATAAGGGGGAGGAAGTCAGCAGAGATTTCTGCTACTCTTGGAGCCCCCAGACCACTGGCTTACCTCCCTCTCAGATTTAGCCAACAGTGTGGCTCCTTCCTCCGGCCTGGCCACTTCTGGTTCCCCTCATCATGTAGCCCTCTACCTGAGAATCTCTCCTCATTGGGGTTTAGAAATGCATGTTTCTCCTTATATCCATCATTTTTTTCTCACTATTACAAAAAATAAAAATAACAAAAGACCTGAACGGAGTTGCCTTGTAGGCTGACTTACTCAGTAGAGATGACAGCTGAAGTCTACACAGTCCAGGAAAATGAAATGTTCCACATCTGTCTCATCACAGCAACCAGGAGGAGAGCACAAATCCCTTCTAGCGGACAATGAGAGACATCATAAACTACAGAGATAAAGACATTGAATGAGTTGCATTACAGTCTCTTTCAATGTCTTTTAAGCTGTCTCTATTTTACTTTCCTCACCTGCCCTCCATTCTTAATTTCTTAGGAGTGTCAAAACGAACCTCAGTTTCATCACAGGAAGAGGAAGTCTGATATCAGGAGAGAGTAGATGAGAAGAAATGTGAATTTTGCCAACAACATATTCTTCCCCCTTTCATATGACTCTATTGTTCTAATTTTATCCAAAGCTCTACAAAACTATTCACTTCAGGAAATCTCAATAATCCAGTAGCCATTCTGGAGTCAAATAAATTCTGCAAATGTGTTGCTAAGAAATTGGATTGGGAAAATATAAATACATGAGTTAGATAAGCAGAGTAGAAAATGTTCTTTAGCTAAGACACCTGGTCAACATTTGTATTCCTTATATATCTTATTCCTGTTAGCTAGCTCTCAATGTTTGAACAAGATGGACAAGACTGATTACTGTGTTCTTTGATATTAGTCGGGACTTCTACATGCAGGATTGATTCTTATAATAAAAAGATACTTTGCATAATTATTTTCCATAAAATTGAATAAAATATAAATCAAATGTCATAATTTTTAAAAACTGTCATGTTAAAAGTGTTATCATTAAATTTCCCCACATCAAGATTCTTTTGTCAAAAACTTCTGTCATATTTTTAAAAGAAGTAAAGGATGAAATAATGTGATTACTGGAATTTGCTTCAAAATAATTCAGAGCTGGGACAGGAAGGGAATGAAAGGCAAGATGGAACAAGACTGACCATGGGATGTTAATTTTCAAGGCTTGTGATGAATACGTGTTGATTATATTACTCTCTCTATTTTTGTATATGTTTCAATTGTTCTACAATAGAAGTTGAAAATAAGTAAAACGTCAAAATTGAATTTAGGACTCCTTACAAGAAAATTAAGAATTAGGTGGGGGGGGGAGGGGTGCTGGCAAGATGGCCAAATAAGAACAGCTCTGGTCTGCATCTCCCAGCAAGCTCAACGCAGAAGGCAGTGATTTCTGCATTTCCAAATGAGGTACCCAGTTCATCTCATCAGGACTGATTGGAGAGTGGGTGCAGCACACAGAGGGTGAGCTGAAGCAGGGTGGGACGTTGCCTCACCCAGGAAGTGCTAGGGGTCGTGGAATTCCCTCTCCTAGCCAAGGGAAGTCGTTAGGGACTGTACCATGCACTCTGGCCCAGACACTGCACTTTTCCCATGGTCTTCCCAACCCGCAGACCAGGAGATTCCCTACAGTGCCTACATGACCAGGGCCCTGGGCTTCCTGCAAAAAACTGGGTGGCCATTTGGGCAGACACTGAGCTAGCCACAGAAGATTATTTTTCATACCCCAGTGGCGCCTGGAATGCCAGCGAGACAGAACCGTTCACTCCACTGGAAAAAGGGGGCTGAAGCCAGAGAGCCAAGAGGTCTGGCTCGGCGGGTCCCACCCCCACGAAACCGAGCAAGCTAAGATCCACTGTCTTGAAATTCTCACTGCCAGCACAGCAGTCTGAGCTCACCCAGAGGGGCATCTGCCATTACCGAGGCTTGAGTAGGTGGTTTTCCCCTCACAGTGTAAACAAAGATGCCGGGAAGTTCAAACTGGGAGGAGCCCACCAGAGCCCAGCAAGGCCACTGCGGCCAGACTGCCTCTCTAGATTTCCTCCTCTGTGGGCAGGGCATCTCTGAAAAAAAGGCAGCAGCCCTAGTCAGAGACTTATAGATAAAACCGCCACCTCCCTGGGACAGAGCACCTGGGAAGGGGCGGTTGTGGGTACAGCATCAGCAGACTTAAACGTCCCAGCCTGGCAGTTCTGAATAGAGCAGTAGATCTCTGAGCATACCATTCAAGCTCTGATAAGGGACAGACTGCCTCCTTAAGTGGGTCCCTGACCCCATGTATCCTGACTGGGAGGCACCTCCTAGTAGGGGCGACAGACATCTCACACAGGAGAGCTCTGGCTGGCATCTGGCGGGTGCCCCTCTGGGACGAAGCTTCTGGAGGAAGGAAGAGGCAGCAATCCTTGCTGTTCTGCAGCCTCCGCGGTGATACCCAGGCAAACAGGGTCTGGAGTGGACCTCCAGCAAACTCCAGCAGACCTGCAGCAGTGGGGCCTGACTGGTAGAAGGAAAACTAACTAACAGAAAGGAATAGTATCAAAATCAACAAAAAGAAAGTCCACTCAAAAACCCCACCCAAAGGTCACCGACTTGAAAGACCAAGTGCACGCGCCTGTAGATAAATCCACGAAGATGGGGAGAAACCAGCGCAAAAAGGCTGAAAATTCCAAAAACCAGAACACCTCTTCTCCTCCAAAGGATCACAACTCCTCGCCAGCAAGGGAAAAATCTGGACAGAGAATGAGTGTGACGAATTGACAGAAGTAGGCTTCAGAAGGTGGGTAATAACAACTCCTCCAAGCTAAAGGAGCATGTTCTAACTCAATGCAAGGAAGCTTAGAACCTTGAAAAAAGGTTAGACGAATTGCTAACTATAATAACCAGTTTAGAGAAGAACATAAATGACCTGATGGAGCTGAAAAACACCACACGAGAACTTTGTGAAGCATAAACAAGTATCAATAGCCAAATCAATCAAGCAGAAGAAAAAATATCAGAGACTGAAGATCAACTCAAAGGAATATAACAAGAAGAGAAGATTAGAGAAAAAGGAATGAAAAGGAATGAACAAAGCCTCCAGGAAATATGGGAGTATGTAAAAAGACCAAATCTACATTTCATTGGTGTAACTGAAAGTGATGGGGAGAATGGAACCAAGTTGGAAAACTCACTTCAAGATATTATCCAGGAGAACTTCCCCAACTTAGTAAGACAGGCCAACATTCATATTCACAAAATACAAAGAACACCACAAAGATACGCTTTGAGAAGAGCAACCCCAAGACACATAATCGTCAGATTCACCAAGGTGAAATGAAGGAAAAAATTTTAAGAGAGCCAGAGAGAAAGGGCAAGTTACCCATGAAGGGAAGCCCATCAGAATAACAGCAGATCTCTCTGCAGAAACCCTATAAGCCAGAAGAGAGTAGGGGACAGTGTTCAACATTCTTAACGGATTTTCAAGCCAGAATTTCATATCCAGCAAAACTAAGCTTCATAAGCAAAGGAGAAATAAAATCCTTCACAGGCCAGGCAGGGTGGCTCATGCTTGTAATCCCAGCACTTTGGGAGGCTGAGGTGGGCGGATCACGAGGTCAGGAGATAGAGATCATCCTGGCTAACACAGTGAAATCCCATCTCTACTAAAAATACAAAAAAAAAAATTAGCTGGGTGTGGTGGTGTGGTGGCACGCACCTGTAGTCCCAGCTACTTGGGAGGCTGAGGCAAGAGAATCGCTTGAACCCAGGAGGCGGAGGTTGCAGTGAGCCAAGATCATGCCACTGCACTCCAGCCTGGGTGACAGAGTGAGACGCTATCAAGAAAAAAAATCCTTTACAGAAAAGTAAATGCTGAGAGATTAAAAGAATAAAGAAGGAAGAGCAAACAAATTCAAAAGCTAGCAGAAGAGAAGAAATAACTAAGATCAGAGCAGAACTGAAAAAGATAGAGACACAAAATACCTTTCAAAAAATCAACGAATCCAGGAGCTGGTTTTTTTAAAGGTCAACAAAATAGACCATTAGCCAGACAAATAAAGAAGAAAAGAGAGAAGAATCACATAGATTCAACAAAAAATGATAAAGGGAATATCACCACCGATCCCATAAAAATACAAACCACCATCAGAGAATACTACAAACACCTCTATGCAAATAAACTAGAAAATCTAGAAGAAATGGACAAATTCCTGGACACATACACCCTGACAAGACTAAACCAGGAACAAGTCAAATCCCTGAATAGACCAATAACAAGTTCTGAAATTGAGGCAGCAATTAATAGCCTAACAACCAAAAAAAGTCCAGGACCAGACAGATTCACAGCCGATTTCTACCAGAGGTACAAGGAGGAGCTGGTATCATTCCTTCTGAAACTGTCCCAAACAACAGAAAAAGAGGGAATCCTCCCTAACTCATTTTATGAGGTCACCATCATCCTGCTACCAAAACCTGGCAGAGACACAACAAAAAAAGAAAACTTCAGGACAACATCCCTGATGAACATCGATGCGAAAAGCCTCAGTAAAATACTGGCAAACTGAATCCAGCACCACATCAGAAAGCTTATCCACCATGATCAAGTCGGCTTCATCCCTAGGATGCAAGCCTGGTTCAACATACGCAAATCAATAAACGTAATCCATCACATAAACCAAACCAATGACAAAAACCACATGATTATCTCAATAGATGCAGAAAAGGCCTTTGACAAAATTCAACAGCCCTTCATGCTAAAAACTCTCAATAAACTAGGTATTGATGGAACATATCTCAAAATAATGAGAGCTATTTATGACAAACCTACAGCCAATATCATACCGAATGGGCAAAAACTGGAAGCATTCCCTTTGAAAACTGGCACAAGACAAGGATGCCCTCTCTCGCCACTCCTATTCAACATCTGTAGTGGAAGTTCTGGCCAGGGCAATCAGGCAAGGGAAAGAAATAAATGGTATCAAATAGGAAAAGAGGAAGTCAAATTGTCACTGTTTGCAGATGACATGATTGTATATTTAGAAAACCCCATCGTTTCAGCCCAAAATCTCCTTAAGCCGATAAGCAACTTCAGCAAAGTCTGAGGATACAAAACAAATATGCAACAAACAAAGAGCCAAATCATGAGTGAACTCCCATTCACAGTTGCTACAAAGATAATAAAATACCTAGAAATACAACTTACAAGGGATGTGAAGGACCTTTTCAAGGAGAACTACAAACCACGCCTCAAGGAAATAAAAAAGGACACAAACAAATGGAAAAACATTCCATGCTCATGGATGGGAAAAAATCAATATTGTGAAAATGGCCATCCTGCCCAAAGTAATTTATAGATTCAATGCTATCCCCATCAACCTGCCATTGACTTTCTTCACAGAATTAGAAAAAAACTACTTTAAATTTCATATGGAACCAAAAAAGAGCCTGTATAGCCAAGACAATCCTAAGCAAAAAGAACAAAGCTGGAGGCATCATGCTACCTGTCTTCAAACTGTACCACAAAGCTACAGTAACCAAAACAGCATGGTACTGGTACCAAAACAGATATATAGATATCTGAACAGAACAGAACAGAGGCCTCAGAAATACCACCAGACATCTAGAATCATCTTATCTTTGACAAACCTGAAAAAAGCAAGCAATGGGGAAAGGATTCCCTATTTAATAAATGGTGTTGGGAAAACTGGCTAGCCATATGCAGAAAGCTGAAACTGGATCCCTTCTTCATACCTTACACAAAAATTAAGATGGATTAAAGACTTAAACCTAAGACTTAAAACCATAAAAACCCTAGAAGAAAACCTAGGCAATACCATTCAGGCAATACCATTCAGGCAATACCATTCAGGCCATAGGCATGGGCAAAGATTTCATGACCAAAACACCAAAAGCAATGAGAACAAAAGCCAAAATTGACAAATGGCATCTAATTAAACTAAAGAGCTTCTCCACAGCAAAAGAAACAATCATCAGAGTGAACAGGCAACCTACAGAATGGGAGAAAATGTTTGTAATCTATCCATCTGACAAAGAGCTAATATCCAGAATCTACAAAGAACTTAAATTTACAAGAAAAAAACAACCCCACTGAAAAGTTGGCAAAGGATATGAACAAATACTTCTCAAAAGAAGACATTTATGCAGCCAACAAACATACGAAAGAAAGCTCATCATCACTGGTCATTAGAGAAATGCAAGTCAAAACCACAGTGAGATACCATCTCATGCCAGTTAGAATGGCGATCATTAAAAAGTCAGGAAACAACAGATGCTGGAGAAGATGTGGAGAAATAGGAACACTTTTACATTGTTGGTGGGAGTGTAAATTAGTTCAACCATTGTAGAAGACAGTGTGGCAATTCCTCAAGGATCTAGAACTCGGAATACCATTTGACCCAGCCATCCCATTACTGGGTATATACCCAAAGGATTACAAATCATTCTACTATAAAGACACACGCACAGTAAACAGTGCCGTTTACTGCAGCACTGTTCACAATAGCAACGACTTGGAACCAACCCAAATGCCCATCAGTGATAGACTGGATAAAGAAAATGTGGCATATATACACCATGGAACACTTGCAGCCATAAAAAAAGATGAGTTCATGTCCTTTGCGGGCACATGGATGAATCTGGAAACCATCATTCTCAGCAAACTAGCACAAGAACAGAAAACCAAACATCGCATGTTCTCACTTATGCATGGGTGTTGAACAATGAGAACACATGGACACAGGGAGGGGAACATCACACACTGGGGCCTCTTGGGGGGATAGCATTATGAGAAATACCTAATGTAGATGATGGGTTGGTGGGTGCAGCAAACCACCATGGCACATGTATACCTATGTAACAAACCTGCACATTCTGCACATGTACTCCAGAACTTAAAGTATAATTTAAAAAACACAATTTGCATTTTAATTTAAAATTGCACCAGAAATCTTTACAGTAATTCTGATAAGGTCATTAAATCATTCTTTCCTTTAAAAAAAAAATGAAGACTGACAACAAATATGATAGAAAGGCCAACTTATAACTACTTGAGAACACTGGACAAGTGTCAGAGTGATGTGGAAAATTTCAACTACTTCTGCCGTTAAAGCGTTCAGAACCCCAGGGAATTGAGCTCTTTTGTCTTCTTCTGTCATGACTGTGAAAGCTGATGGGTGTGTCAGTCACCCCTCAAAGTGGTGCTTTGGGGAATAACATCACTGTGGCAGCTAGTGCCAACTGATGCTCATGCTGTTTTCCTATTCTCTAAGGTCTTGTCAATCAGCAGCTGCACTTCTGGGAAGAATTGAAAACCAAACCCCAGTGGCAACTCTCCATACCCTAATAATCTAATAATGGGGTAAATAAATAGCAAGAGGCAAAGATGCTGGTATTCCCCCCTCCTTTATCCTTAATCTTCTGGATCCAAGGCTGGCTCCTCTCCTCTTGCTATCTTAATCTTCTGGGTCCCACTGGAGGACAAATATACTCATTTCAGAATTATCTATTAAATGGGGTAGGGAACTTTGCCAGGTGTTACAAGGATGTGCAAAAGTATCAGCCATTCTCTCTTCCCCTAGAGGGCTGGGAACTGAGACATAATTAGGATACATAAAGGTGAAATAAGTGAAAAATGCAAGGCAGTGTTGAACATATGCCCACTGAATAAAACAGGTATCAAATATTGTGAGAGTTCAGAGTAGGGAAGGGCCCATAGTTGAGGAAGTAATTTGGAAAAGCTTCACGGAAAGGATGGGATTTAAATGGAGGCTTTAACTATATCCAAATTCAAGGACTGAGTGAGAAGCACATAGTGCAGTAGAAAGACAACTGAGTCAGACACATCTATCTGCCTTCCAATTCCAGCTGTTATCTCTGAGCCTGCATTCTCTCATGTATAAAGGTTGTTATAAAGACTTAAAATATTAACATTTGGGAAAATGCCTGTAAGTACATAGGTTCCCACTGATTGTTTGCTTTTGTTTTGTGTTGTTTTGTTTTTCTGAGATGGAGTCCTGCTCTGTCGCCAGGCTGGAGTGCAGTGGCACGATCTCGGCTCACTGCAACCTCCAACTCCCTGGTTCAAGAGATTTTCCTGCCTCAGCCTCCCAAGTACCTGGGATAACAGGCACCCGTTACCACGCCCAGCTAATTTTTGTACTTTTAGTAGAGACAGGGTTTCACCATGTTGGCCAGGATGGTCTCGATCTCCTGACCTCGTGATCTGTCCACCTCGGCCTCTCAAAGTGCTGGGATTACAGGCGTGAGCCACCACACCCGGCCAATTGTTTGCTTTTTTATACATATATATTGGTATAGGAAGTCACAGGATAAAAATGTCTAAACCAAAGTTACAGCCAGATTGTAGACACCTTGAGTATCAGACTAAGGGATTTAGACTTTATTCTATGGATATCCAATGTTTAAGCCAAGAAGGTCATCGTGAAAGTAATATTTGGGAAAGATGATTGCAGCAGTTATGCAACCTGTTTGAGAGGGAAGACTTGATCCAGATAATTCATTAGGTTAATGCAATAGTCTAAGCTATGGGCTAATCCCAGAGATGTGGCCAAAGATGAATGTATCATGAAACTTGAATGGGACCCTTCCAAGGCCTCAGAAAAAAAACCCCAGACATACCCTCAGAGTCACAAGGGTTTGTAAAATTTGCAAAAATAAGATACTATAGTTGGTTAAGACCACCGTCTGTTTCCACTCCTAGTTCTTCCTTCAATATCATTTTTCTCTTGTGGTGCTCTGGAGTGGCAGTGAGCACTTTGGGAATCAGACTAGTGGGATTTGTGTTGGAGAGAGATCTAGTTCTGGTTTAGTGGGGTATGTTTATGTGGATTGCAGTCACTTCCCGGAAGAGTTAGGTTATTATTATCTTTACCTATATAGAAATGGCTTCAGAAATATGCCTAACCCCCAGTGCCAACTCCCAGAAGATGCAGAGGCACAGGCTGTATTGCAACATACCATGACCTAAGACACCAAGGCCCCAAAGGCAATGGGTGATAGAAGCAGAAAACTATTTTGGAATGTATGGAGCCATAAGCAAGTCAGTGGAAAATTCTTCCAACCATCAGATGTATAACATTGGAAGTGGATGATTTGGTTTTCATTGACAGCTAATCAAAAAACAGATGTTCTGTCCCATTAGGAATATATTATTGGACAGTGCAGCATATACATTATAACTGTATAACCACATTATAATAATAAACACACTGTACTTTGTTTCTGTTTATATTGGAAATGTAAAAAACAGGTATAGGCTGGGCACAATGGTTCATGCCTGTGATCCTAGTACTTTGGGAGGCAGAAGCAGGCAGATTGCCCGAGCCCAGGATTTTGAGACCTGGGCAACATGACAAAACCCCGTCTCTACAAAAAAATACAAAAATTAGCCTGGGATGGTGGTGTGCTCCTGTAATCCCAGTTACTTGAGAGGCTAGGGCAGGAGGATTACTTGAGCTGGGGAAGTTGAGGCTGCAGTGAGTTTTGATCACACCACTGCACACCAGTCTGGAAAACAGAGACTCTGTCTCAAAAAAACAAACAAACAAACAAACAAAATATATATATATATATATAAAATACTATATATATAAAATATTATATTTTATATATAAAATACTATACAGAAAATATTACATTTTATATATAAAATACTATACAGAAAATATATTTTATATATAAAATACTATACATAAATTATATTTTATATATAAAATACTATATATAAAATATTATATTTTATATATAAAATACTATATATATAAAATATTATATTTTATATGTAAAATACTATATATAAAATATTATATTTTATATGTAAAATACTATATATATAAAATATTATATTTTATATATAAAATACTATATATATAAAATATTATATTTTATATATAAAATACTATATATATAAAATATTATATTTTATATATAAAATACTATATATATAAAATATTATATTTTATATATAAAATACTATATATATAAAATATTATATTTTATATATAAAATACTATATTTTATATATAAAATACTATATATAAAACATTATATTTTATATATAAAATACTATATATATAAAATATGATGTTTTATATATAAAATACTATATATATAAAATATGATGTTTTATATATAAAATACTATATATATAAAAGATTGTATTTTATATATAAAATACTATATATATAAAAGATTGTATTTTATATATAAAATACTATATATATAAAAGATTGTATTTTATATATAAAATACTATATATAAAATACTATATATAAAATATTGTATTTTATATATAAAATACTATATACATAAAATATTGTATTTTATATATAAAATACTATATACATAAAATATTGTATTTTATATATAAAATACTATATACATAAAATATTGTATTTTATATATAAAATACTATATACATAAAATATTGTATTTTCTATATAAAATACTATATACATAAAATATTGTATTTTCTATATAAAATACTATATACATAAAATATTGTATTTTCTATATAAAATACTATATACATAAAATATTGTATTTTCTATATAAAATACTATATACATAAAATATTGTATTTTCTATATAAAATACTATATACATAAAATATTGTATTTTCTATATAAAATACTATATACATAAAATATTGTATTTTCTATATAAAATACTATATACATAAAATATTGTATTTTCTATATAAAATACTATATACATAAAATATTGTATTTTCTATATAAAATACTATATACATAAAATATTGTATTTTCTATATATAAAATACTATATATAAAAATATTGTATTTTCTATATAAAATACTATATATAAAATATTGTATTTTCTATATAAAATACTATATATAAAATATTGTATTTTCTATATAAAATACTATATATATAAAATATTGTATTTTATATATAAAATACTATATATATAAAATATTGTATTTTATATATAAAATACTATATATATAAAATATTGTATTTTATATATAAAATACTATATATATAAAATATTGTATTTTATATATATAAAATACTATATATAAAAATATTGTATTTTATATATAAAATACTATATATAAAATATTGTATTTTATATATAAAATACTATATATAAAATATTGTATTTTATATATAAAATACTATATATATAAAATATTGTATTTTATATATAAAATACTATATATATAAAATATTGTATTTTATATATAAAATACTATATATATAAAATATTGTATTTTATATATAAGATACTATATATATAAAATATTGTATTTTATATATAAGATACTATATATATAAAATATTGTATTTTATATATAAGATACTATATATATAAAATATTATATTTTATATATAAGATACTATATATATAAAATATTATATTTTATATATAAGATACTATATATATTATATTTTATATATAAGATACTATATATATAAAATATTATATTTTATATATAAGATACTATATATATAAAATATTATATTTTATATATAAGATACTATATATATTATATTTTATATATAAGATACTATATATAAAATTTTATATTTTATATATAAAATACTATATATATAAAATATTATATTTTATATATAAAATACTATATATATAAAATATTATATTTTATATATAAGATACTATATATATAAAATATTATATTTTATATATAAAATACTATATATATAAAATATTATATTTTATATATAAAATACTATATATATAAAATATTATATTTTATATATAAAATACGATATATATAAAATACTATGTATAGAGGATACTATATATAATATAATATAGTATTTTATATATAAAGTACTATATATAAAATATCATATTTTATATATAAAATACTATATATAAAATATCATATTTTATATATAAAATACTATATATAAAAATCATATTTTATATATAAAATACTATATATAAAATATCATATTTTATATATAAAATACTATATATAAAATATCAAATTTTATATATTAAATACTATATATAAAATACTATATATATAAAATATGATATTTTATATATAAAATACTATATATAATATTATATATAAAATACTATATATATAAAATATTATATTATATATAAAATACTATATATATAAAATATTATATTATACATAAAATACTATATATATAAAATATTATATTTTATATATATAATATAAGGTGAAATAAGTGAAAATACATGATATTTTATATATATATGTGTGTGTGTGTATATATATATAATTCCTAGGTTTATAGAACACAAACTTTTGGTCCCATCTCATGGTAAGCCTAAAGCAGCTTATTATGAAAAAAAATTTTTGATAGTTTTTTCATAGATTTGATAACAATTTTATGACATTACCAATAATGAACTGATGATGAAAGAAACTTTTCTAAACCATTAATAGTTTTTAAAAATGTGAATCCATTAAGTTGAAGAAAGACTGGGTTGCCTTTCTATTCTTTCTACAGAAAATATTACACAGTCCTTTGCTTACAAAGAGGTGATCAACAAGTACATAGCCCCCACCCCCCCCCAAAAAAAAGAAGTATCAGGGAAAAATCAAGGTGTTCAGGTATATTAGGCAGTGAATTAATAAAAATGTTGTGCTATTTGTATGGATTTTGTAATGTTTATGATGTTTGTGTGCTATGATTCCTTTTCCCAGCCTAAATAAAATTTAACTTCCATGCCTAATTTTGTATTTATAATTTTTTCTAAAAGAGAGTTCCTTAAACCTGGATCTACCCCCTGATTGTGACAATGAGAATAAAATGAAAAGAAAAGATGCAGACATTCAGGAGGAATCATGAAGAGGGAAGAGGCCCAACCTGAGGAATTGGAAGAATGAAGGCATCTCTTCAATTTGGTTTTTAGATATGCTGGGTTTACCTGATGGAGCAGAATAGAAGAGTCTAATATCATCCTGAAGCCTAAGAAACAGATTTCAGGCTAAAGACTGTTTAAAGCAGCATCCTCCCTGGGATTATCTCAAAGCATGGTTGGAAAGAGTAAACTAGACCTAGTCATCTTTTCTTTACTCTTCATTGTCTCTACATGGTATTTCCAAGCTGTGAAGACATAATTCTGTGGGCTGTTCATAAATATTACATGAAAGATCTAACCTGACAAGTATATGTGAGAAACTGGGTCAAAGAAAATTGAACTTGTTTCTTTAACAACCAATTTCTTAGATCCTTTGATATGCTAATTTGCATTACTAATCTCCTGTAGAAGGCTATCCCATTGACCACAGAAACATTGTCCACTCCTTTTTGGGTGCCAGAATTTTTGGGAAAATGGTCAGTGACACAAGTTTGGAATACTCACGTCTAGTAGAAAATAAATGAAAGGAATGTCACATGCCCTCAATGGCCCACTGCCACTACCCACACTGCATTCTCTATCATCTGCAGCAAGCTCCCAACTTATCTTTGGCCCTATCGCCACCACCCCTTTACCCCAAAACATGCTCCAAACTCTGGACAAAGTCATCTTTCTAGTATGCAAATCAGGTTATATTAACATCCTCTTATTGCTTTTAGGAAAAGATACCAGTTCTTAGCAGAGAGACATGGATCTCTTCCCAAGCTGTTGCTCCCATCTATCTATGTGGTTTCCATGACAGCTGTGTTATTAATCTTGTCATAGTTGACAAGTCTCTTTTTCTGGATTTTAGGACTTGGGAATAATAGAGTCAGCGGTCATGTTTCCTGTTATGTGACCCTTAGAAGAAGAGGTGTCTGCAGAGAGAAAGAAAACAGATACACAGGATGAACCAAGACGAGCAGGTGCTGATGTTATTCAAGGTCAGATGTCCCTGTGAACTAGCCCCACTCCTGTCCTAGGGCTCTATAGATGGTGCTTCATATTTATGATTAAAATATTTTTGAGTTGTTTGAGGTGTGCTTCTGGTGCTTGCCACAGAGAGTCCCCATGAATGCAAATAGTTCCCAAGAACTTTTATGACTTGGGACCTATTTAACTGTCCAAAATCATCTTTGTTTATTTCCCATCTCACCTTTTATGTTCAATACCACAAACATGTTAGGCCCCTCTCACCTTCAAATCCTTCCTTGAACATACTCTTCTATTTCTTTATTCATCCTTTAGGTCTTGATTAAAATGCGTTTTCCTTACAGAAACCTTTCCTGACTTCCAAGTCTGGGACATGTGCCTCTCACCGCCGTTGTCCTCCTATAAAAGGACTTATCTCACTGTGTGTCATTCCCTATTTGTTTCCTCTCCTGTGTATTTCTTTATCATAAATCCCTTCTGTAAAGTCAGGAGCCATGACTATTTTAATCATCGTTCAATTCTCACTGGCTAACACGTGTCAGACATATACTAGGCTCTCAATATATATTTGTTGAATGAATAAGTACATTAATCACTCAGGTAACATGTGTAAAATAGTAGTAAATGAATAAAGAATGGGATGAAAACCCATGAATCCACCCCCCATCTAAAAAGCAGAGCACTGCTGGAACCTACAAATTTCCCGTGTGTTCTTCTCTGTTCTTTCATTTTCCCATCCGTATCCCCCAGAGATCACCAATATCCCAAACTTTGTTTTCTTTATTTAATCGGCTTGCATTTTCTTAAGGGTCATACCACATACAAGGAGACTTCAAAAAGCTTGTGGAAAATGGAACTAAAAGATAAAAATAAAAATTATAAGAAGAAGAAGAGCAGGAGTTACTATGCAGTCATTAATAATATTGTAAAATATTTCAAACAGTATATGGGTATATGGGTACTTTTTGTTAAAGATGGCAAGTTGAATGCATATATTTACCTCTGCCTGCTTAGAAAACTCTACAAAATTACATTAACAGGGTCACAGAGGAGAAAGCTCCTAAGGCTTAAAGAATAGGAGCACAGACAACAGCACATTAGATATGTCAACAAAATCTTAGAAGCTTGAAAGCAAGCAGATGAGCATTCACCAACTTGATACACCAAAAGATGACCGCTGGCCAAGCATGGTGCCACTGTCTGAAAGAGAGTCTAAACCTGGATCTAAACCTGGATCTGTTCTGGACTATGACAATGAGAATAAAACAGAAAGTATAGATGCAGACATTCAGGAGAAATTATGAAGAGGGAAGAGGCCTAACCTGAGGAACTGAAATTATGAAGAGGGAAGAGGCCTAACCTGAGGAACTGGAAGAATGAAGGAATTTCTTGAATTTGGTTTTTAGATATGTTGGGTTGACCTAATGGAGCAGAACAGAAGAGTCTAATATCATCCTGGAGCCTAAGAGAGAGATGTCAGGCTAAAAACTGTTTAAAGGAGCATCCTCCCTGGGATTATCTTAAAGTGTAGTTGGAAAGAGTAAACCAGCCCCAAAAACTTTTTGAAAACCCCTCATATATAGGTATTCCTAAATGATAAAATTGTGTTGCTTATTTTAGCAAATTTGAAGTTTATAAAACTGGTAGCATGAAACGTTTTTGAAACTTTTAACAACACACAGTATTTCTTCTAAGCTTCATCCACATTCATGTATGTAGTGGTAGTTAACTCATTTTCACTGCTGTATAGTATTGCATTGAATATACTTTCCACAATTGATTGATCCATTTTTTCCCATTCTTCCCATCACTCAACTCTCCAGATTCCTTCTATAATCTATAAATTCTATAAAATTATATAATTTTATATTTATATAAATTTATAAATTCTATAAAAATTTTATTTCCCAAAGATGGCACAACAATATTCCTCATACCATGTGCTCTTCTCTTTGTGACATTGCCACTATCCCATCAGGAAGTGTTTAATTTCCCTCTCCTTGAATCTAGGTGGGCTTGCGACTGCTTCAATCAATACAGTATTGCAGAAGTGAGGCTGTGTGACTTCTGAGACTAGACCATAAGTCTTATGATAATGCAGTTTCCATGTTGTTCACCAGAACACTCATGCTCTTAGAGCTTTGAGCCACCATGTAAAAAGTCAACTGCCCCAAGGCCACCATATTTTGAGGAAGCCACACCACATAGAAAGCCCAATGTGTGGACACTGCAGTCGTCAGTCCTGATTTTCAAACCAGTGCAGCCCAGGTGTCAGGAATATCAATGAAGGTGCTTGCTGATGGTTCCAAACCCCATCCTTTGAGTCACTCCTAGCCTTTGAGTCTTCTCAATTGAGGTCTCAAATATCCTATAGCAGAGACTAGCTAACCCCCATGTGCTCAATCCACATTCCTAATCCATGGGCACAACTGTAAACAACTATTAATTAGTTTTAGAGTACTTTGGTGTGTCACTATACTAACCAGAACCATTTCTTAGTAATGTCCCTCCTCTGGGCCCCATATCTACCTGGGAGAAATCGTCCCCTTGCCTTCAAGGCCCGTCTAACTTTATCAACCAATGTTCTTTTCTCTAATACCCGCCATAGTTCCTTCTAACTAAATCAGCTCATAATTCTTTATTAAAATGTTATAAAAATTCTTTACTAAAATCTTTCCTCTGCCTCCACCAACTTCACAGGATTCTAGGTCTCCTGCTCAAGCAGAACCACCTTGCAACCATTTGCCACTCACTTCAACATTTAGTTTCTCTAAAGACTTCTTTACCTTTGAGTAAATTTGTCTTAACAGTGTTTCTCCCAGTGTGGTCCACAGACCACCTGCATCAGAAGCATCTGGGTCCTTATTTAAAATACAGATTCTCTGGGCAGCACCCCACACATACTGAATCAGGGTCACTGCATTTGTAGCAAGCACCCCAGATGTGCCTTAAGCATCCCAGTGTTTAAAAATCATGAATCTCTTGTGAATTATTTATAGGGGATGGGAGGTCAGTGCATGTAGCGCTTGGTGTAAACTTGAGAAAAGAGACCTAGGAGAACTCAGACAGAAATCCTTTTCTTTTTGCCAACTAAAGCAATTAAAACCCCAGTGCTCTATATATCTCTAGCCCTGTTTCTTTTCCCAGGCACTATAAAACCATGACCCCAAAGTTATACAGCAGATGCTCAGAAAGCATTGCAAGCCTTGAACTTAAGGTAACAAATAAATGAATCAATGAAAGAATGTAGAATTTACTGTCTACAAATCATTACAAAAGAGGTTCTGATTTTCAGATCTTGGTATGGGTTAGTGTCAAGGATGGGGAATATATTTATAATTTTCAATGATATTTTAAATACATAATAGTCATATACACAAACATGCATTATGTCACTTACCCCAGGCATGAGTATTTCACTAATCTAAACAATCCCTCTGTGGAATTGCTCTTTCATTGTGCACCTTTATAAACATTCTTTCAGTTCTGTTTTCCTGTTTCCAAAGTGTGTTGTTTATATGTTTCTATACACCCTGCCTTACTTCACAAAGGATTTTGAATATTTATTCCACTTGTATATTAAAACAAATACAGCCCGGGTACGGTGGCTCATCCCTGTAATCCCATAATGAGGCAGGCAGATTACCTGAGGCCAGGAGTTCAAGACCAGCCTGGCCTACATAGGGAAACCCTGTCTCTACTAAAAATACAAAGATTTGCCAGGCGTGGTGGTGCACGCCTGTAATCCCAGCTACTCAGGAGGCTCAGGCAGGAGAATCTCTTGAACCCCAGAGGCAGAGGTTGCAGTGAGCCGAGATCGTGCCACTGCACTCCAGCCTGGGTGATAGAGGGAGACTTTGCCTCAAAACCAAAAACAAACCAAAAAACAAATACAAATAGGTGGCAAGAATGTTTCCATACTCAAGTCAGCTGTTCCCCAATATTAGAGGAACAGAAGCAAAGAACCATGACTTCCCCATCCCTGTTTATCTGAGAAAATTATAAAAGTTGCCTGTCACTTAACTTGTCATGTAATTACCTAATAGTGTTTGAATATAACATTAAGAAATGTGTTCTTAGCTATATTCATGCCAATGTTACAAGTTCCTCTTTCTCAACCACCATTTACTGTTTGTGATCTTCTTCTAAACCATCACAAAATGTGCATGTAAAAGGCAGGAAAGCAAGAAATAAAGGAAAGAGAAGGAGACAGGGAGAGGAAAATCTGATGTAAGAAGAATTCCTAAATAGAGAAATCTATCTCTTATGTCATAAGAATCACTGAATTCTCAAATCTCAGAGAAGATTCACTAGACTGCTGCATCAACTTGACACTTGCTTTGTGTTATTTTCTCTTATACTGTGCTCTATTTTACACACACATCTTCCAGTAATTTATAAGTGCTCTGAAAGTACAGATAAAGTGTATTTTCACTACTGAACCTTAAGATGATAGCCAGTTGGTACACATTCTTTAAGTTCTCTGTCAGAGAATTTCTCTCTTTTAATGAGACATAAAAGAGTTCACTTTGCAACAATGAGCTATAAAAATAGTAACCACAAAAGCAGCAAAATGAATTCAATGCTTAAAAATATATAGATCAGGCCAGGCATGGTGGCTCATGCCTATAATCCCAGCACTTTGGGAGGAGGAGGTGGGAGGATGGCTTGAAGCCAGGAGTTCAAGACCAGCCTGGGCAATATAGCAAGACCCTGTCTCTATAAACAATTAAAAAATTAAGTGGGTATGGTGGTGCATACCTGTAGTCCCAGCTACTAGGAGGGCTGAGGTGGAAGGATCGTTTGAGTCCAGAAGTTTGGAGCTGCAGTGTGTTAAGATTATAATACTGCACTCCAGCCTGAGCAACAGAGTGACACCCTGTCTCTAAATACACACACACACACACACACACACACACACACACGTACGTACATACAGATCACATATATTATTTCATTTGATCCTCACAGCAACCCTATAATGTAGACGAAAAGAAATTATTAATTTTTCAGGTTTTTTTACATGTGTTCTCTTTTTCTTGACACGTACTCTCTTCTGATATCTACATAGCTTCCTCCCTCATTTTGTTCAAGTTTTCCCTCAAATGTTACCTATTCAGAATTCTCCCTTGACTACTCAAAAAAAATAGTACACCATCTCCTACTCTCCCCCTCACCCCGCTTACTCTGCTTTAATTTTCCCCATAGCACTTTTGCCATATGACAAGATGTAGCTTTTGTATGCTTTCTCTACTTGGATGTAAACTCCATGGTGGTGGTAATTTAGTTTGTTTGCTACTATTTCTCCAATCCCAGAAGAGTACCTAGCACATAGTAGATGCTCAATAAATAAATGAATGCATTATTCCCATTTCATGAAGAACAAGTCAGGAAGTGTGGGCTTAACATATTTGACCAACATGGCACATCAAATGAATGGCAGATTAGTTTCTGCATCACAGGTGTTAACTCCAAGTCCCCCTATATTTTCAGGACCATCAGAAAGAAATTGTGCTAACTTGATGTACACGATTGACTTCGCTGGCATTAATTTCTGGAATAACGTGGATCTTCTTTTGCTGCTTCACGAGTGTTACCTGGAGAAAAAAATGAAAGCAGGCCACGTTTACTGATACTAGATAGGATGGTAGGAAAACGTATAAGCTGAGCCATAGGCAAGGCAATCTGCATCCCACCAAGAAGCGATGCACATTTCCTCGGTGTCAATCTTACTTCCATGGTCCCTAAACAAGCCTTTTGCAAATTATTTCAAAGCACTCTTTGCCAATAAGCAAACTGATTTCTTCCACAATGATAGCATCTTGAGATATGATGCTATTAAGATAACAAAAGCCATTGGCTATTCTCATAGTGGACCATTTAGCAGTATGACAGGTATGCGATATTGCATGAACACTGGCAAGGGGAACAGCCTTTGCAAATGGGTCCAATAATTGCTGTGCTTTCATCAGATTATAAGTATAGCAATAAAGAAGTCCTCATGTAATTTTAGACAGTACTTTCCCTTGGCCTTTAAAGATGACTAACACACTTCTAATACTAAACACAATTTAACCTAACTCACTTAGAAATAGTAAACTCTCTGTTGACTACCATCCTATTAGCCTATTAACCAGCCTATCCTCTATTAACCAGCACTTTCAAACAAATCCTAGTAGTGAATGCTAAAGTTGCAAGACACTTAAGAGATCATCCATTAAAAGTCCATTATTTTAAAAGAAATTTTTGCTAAGTAACTTATCAGTTACACCCAGTCAGGAAGCAGTGCAGTCAGACTAGCACCCTCAATGTTCTTTCTACTGCACACAGTAGGATTGCATTTTGCACAGGGTCTGCCATTCCCAGCAAACTGTTAACTGGATGGATTTGAATTTAATGGCTTTGAAGCCTGGCAACACCATGAAGTAATTTTGAATGATTTGTAAATCATTGGGAGGAACATACATTAAATGATCTTCATTACACTATTTATGTTCTTTGATAGTGTTCGATCTCTGAGAATTTACAATGTCAGTACAGATTATATATAATAAACGTTATTAATGAAAATGTTTGGTCAAGCAGTACAATCAATTTTCTGACCAAACCTGAAGGTATTTTTTTTTATTTTTGGAATTACAAAGTCAGAAGCCAGTAAGGAATCTGAAAGGCTAGAACACTGATACAGAATTACCTCAGCTAATGCCTATTCTATAATAATGTATTCATTCAATTCACAAACATATACTAACCAACTCCCATGTGCCAGTGTAGAAAACCTTTATTAGCTGTTCACTAAACCATTTCCCTCTCCCTCCTAGGCACAGCTAGACTACTCTTTTCACCCTCCATTGCAGTTAGCTACGGCCGCATGACTGAGTTCTAGTCCCTGGGTTGTCAGCAGCAGTGATATATGCCATAACACTTTCCCGTGTGTGATCCTCCATTTACCTTCCTCATCTTCCAACCAGATGCAGAAAATCTAGTAAAACTCTCTAAGAGTTCCAGGAGACAGCAGAGCCACAAGGTGGAAGGAGCCTGGGTCCCTGAGTCACATGTGCAGGAGAGGAATGTAAGTGCCATGTAAACACAATGGAATATCTTAGGAAAGGCTTTCCAGAAGCTCTGGTAGCAGAGACGGACATTGAATTAAGGTTTAAATTGGAAGAAAAGAAAGCAAAGTCACCTTAGACAGAAGAGAAAGCATACATAGAACTTTAGATGTGAAAATATTACATGACATTTCAGAAACAACAAGTTGTCTAAAGTAACTGGCATATGTAGTAAAACACAGGCAAAGCTTTGAATCTTAAGATAAAAATTGAGTTGTGGAAAGATTATGAAGAGGCTTGTGTGCCAAGTTAAAGAATTTAGACTTTACCCTATAGGCAGCAGAATCCAGGAAAAGGCTTTAAAACTGGGGAGTGACATAAACAAAACTATCCATTAGAAGGTAAACTCTGGTACCCTGTGGAAAATAACTTGAAGAGGGAAGCTGGTGTGAGAAGGAGGCAAGTATTAGACTATTGGAAAAGTCCAGGCAACAGACAATGCAAGGAAGGATTCAGGCTGCATCAGAAGAAACTGATACAAAAACAGATAAAAGAGACCATAATATTCAAGTAGCTGTTAGGTGTAAGCCAGTGGTCCCCAACATTTTTGGCACCAGGGACCGGTTTAATGGAAGACAATTTTTCCACAGACTGGGGTGGGGGAGGATGGTTTTGACACGATTCAAGTGCACTATGTTTATTGTGCATTTTATTTATATTATTAGTACATTGCAATATATAATGAAATAATTATACAACTCACCATAATGTAGAATCAGTGGGAGCCCTGAGCTTGTTTTCATACAACTAGACAGTCCTATCTGGGGGTGATGGGAGACAGTGACAGATCATCAGGCATTAGATTCTCATAAGGAGCATGCAACCCAGATCCCTTACATGTGCAGTTCACAATAGAGTTTGCAATCCTGTGAGAACATAATGCCTCTGCTGATCTGACAGGAGGCAGAGCTCAGGCAGTGATATCGTTTGGCTCTGCTTCCCCACCCAAATCTCATCTCAAATTGTATTCCCCATGTGTTGAGGGATGGACCTACAATCCCTACATGTCAAGGGAGGGAGGTGATTGGATCATGGGGGTGGTTTTCCCCATGCTGTTTTCATGATAGTGAGTGAGTTATCACAAGATCTGATGGTTTTATAAAGGGTTCTTCCCCCTTCGCACTCTCTCTCTCTCACCTGCTGCCATGTAAGATGTGCCTACTTCCCTTTCCACCATGATTGTAACCTTCCTGAGGCCTCCCCAGCCCTGCAGAACTGTAAGTCAATTAAACCTTTTTATAAATTACCCTGTCTCAGACAGTTCTTTACAGCAGTGTGAGAATGGACTAATACAGGCCGTAATGTGAGCAACCAGGAGCAGCTATAAATGCAGATGAAGTTTCACAGAGTGATACCGGTCCTTGGCCCCAGGATTGGGGACCCCTGGTACAATCAGTTAAAAGTAACATTAACCAAGACAGGGAACACAGAAAAGATACAGATTAGAAGGAAAAGATGATAAATTTGCTTTTAATTATGTTGAATTTGAGGTCCAAATTACAGAAGCTATCCAGTGGGCATTTTGCATTACATATGTAGAACTTAGAAAAAAAATCAAAATTGGAATTATAAATTTGGGAGCTGGCCATGTAGAGATGGTATTTAAGCCAATGGAGTGGATGAGATCTGCCAAGAAAAGAGTATAGAGTGAGAAGAGAAGAAAGAAGAGATTTCACAAGATATTTGAAAGAGTGGTTACAGGAGTATAAAAAGCATCAGGAGAGGAAAGTGTCATGAAAACCAAGGGAGGTGAGATTTTAAGACTCCCACTTATGCCGAGGAGGTCAGACCAGACCCCGCAGGGAAACCAGATATGCTAACTAGGCACAGAGTAGGGTTACAGTGCCTGGAACTCTGTCAGGCACTGTAGGCATGTTCCAAAGATTTGCCAGAGAATGCAAACCTGTCATCAGATTGAAGTGATAAGTTTTGGCTGGAAGTCAAAGATGGAGCAAAAGGTCAAACACCAAGTAAATGCAGAACCTCGGAGGTGGAGGATCAAGACTGGAAAAAGGGGGAAAAAAAAAAAGGTCTAGGATTTTTGCTGGAGCTCCTACTTGCCAAGATCTGGCCAGACGGTAGACTGGGTCAGAATAAACACAAGAGGTGGGCAATTGTTTCCAGGAACTAGAAGCCTGAAGGGCCACTGGAAATTGGCTAGTAGGTATTGAAGCAATTTTGTTAGTTTTGGAGGAAGAAAAGGCAAATTACTGAAGGCAATGAATGAAGACATTTTCCTCAAGATTGCTGATTGTTAATGGAATTTTGTGTGGAAGCTTGGGGAGTAGGGAGGCTGAAAAGAAAACTCCGAAAATATTTGTAGGCTAAGGGTAAGAATCTATTGAAGAAAGTGACATGGAAGATTGAAAGAACACATAATATAAGAAATCAAGGTGGAAGTCAGGAGATGGGACCAAAGAACCTATGAAGGTGCTTCCTGTGAAAACAATGTCTTCTCTTGCTTTATTGTCTTTGTCAGTTCTTGCCACTAAAACAAAACACCTGAGACTGGATAATTTATAAATAATATAAATTTATTTCTCACAGTTCTGGAAGCTGGAAAGTCCAAGATTAAGGTGCTGGCAAGGCTCCACTTCTTAATACTATATATCACATTGTGATCAAGTTTCAACATATGCATTTTGGAGGACACAGTCAGACCATAGCATTGATCTTACCTTTTGGTGGGGGAGGGGAAAAAACAGGAGAATAATATGGAAGAAGTCTAGATAACTGGTGAGGGATACTGAGGGAGTTCACAACTGATGGTCTTTGTTTTCTTAGTAAAGCCGGGCTGGGTCATCCACTTGGAGAGCTAGAATGTGGAGGGTGCCCACAGGTTTGAAGAGAAAGTAAAGCTTTGGAATAACGGAGGCTGCAGAGAAAGAGGACTGTCCGGGATATATGAGTAATTAGATTTGCACTGAAGGCTCAGCTCAGGCAAGGAGTCAGAAGGAGACAAGATGTTCCCTAGAGATGATTAGAGCCAGAGGGTCTAAGAACAGGGAAAGAAAGAAATAAATCAGATAGTTTGCCTGCTAGGAACAAAGGAAAGAAAAGAGGATAACGAATCCAAAAGTGTCAAAGAGGGTATGATGAAAGAACTGACTGACCAGCCTGCCCTTAGCTACTTGTGGATTGAGGTGAGAGCTTAGCACAGTTCCTGCCACAGTGTCTGACACACAAAATACACTCAACAAATGTGGAATAAATGAATGAACAAGTGAACGAATGAAAGAACAAGCACATGCTGGAAATTCAGGCTGGTTATGGAAGAAATGAAGTGGACTAGGAAGGATTCAAGAAGGAGGACTGTGTCCTGAGGCAGAAGGACAGGTTTTATGGAAATGGAAAAGTTTGAGAAGAGAAAAAAATACAAGGTTGCCGGCAGACAAAGTCAATTAAAAATTCAGATTTTCAGAGGAGCAGTTAAAAGTGATACAAAAGTCCAAAATATACTTCTGTAAATGGAATTGGTAAAATGAAATGGAGGTAAATGTCCGTGTAAGGGCAGGCCATTTGATGGCTCATCAGTAAATATCATGATGTCACTAAAGTTGACAGTAGATGCTAGAACAGAGAGAAGCTGTGAGCCAAGCTCCAAAGTCCTTAGGGTTAAGAAGAAATGACCCAGGGGTGACAGTAACAAGAACTTGAATATATCATGGAGATAATAACATGGGCCCTCCCTACCACCTGGAATTCTTGTAAGGATTAAATAAAAGAATAATTGCATAAATGTTTGTGTTTGAAAGTAAAAGATGCAAGTGTCCAGGACACTTCATTTTAGGTGAAAACTACATAAAATTGTCAGAAAGCAGTTTTGGGGAACCAGGATAATGCTGAGTCCTCTTTAAGAAGCCAAAATAATACCCACTCTGACTAGTGAGAGACGGTATCTCATTTGGTTTTTTGTTTTTCCGGGTTTTTTTGAGATGCAGTCCCACTCTGTCACCCAGGCTAGAGTGCAGTGGTGCAATCTTGGCTCACTGCAACCTCTGCCTCCTGGGTTCCAGTGGTTCTCCTGCCTCAGCCTCCTGAGTAGCTTGGATTACAGGCATGCACCATCATGCCCAGTTAATTTTTGTATTTTTAGTAGAGACAGGATTTGTTCATGTTGGCCAGGCTGGTCTCAAACTCCTGATCTCAGGTGATCTGCCCGCCTCAGCCTCCCAAAGTGCTGTTATTACAGGCATGAGCCACCATGCCCAGCCCTCATTTGGTTTTGATTTGCATTTTTCTAATGATTAGTGATATCGAGCATTTTTTCATATGCTTGTTGGTCACATGTGTCTCTTCCTTTGAAAAGTGTTCATGTCTTTTGCCCACTTTTTAATTAGGTTATTTGTTTTTTGCTGGCAGACTAGATAAAGAAAATGTGGTATATACACACCATGGAATACTACACAGCCATAAAAAAGAGCAAGATAATGTCCTTTGCAGCAACATGGATGGAACTGGAGGCCATTGTCCTACGTGAACTAAAACAGGAAAAGAAAACCAAATACCACATGTTCTCACTTATAAGTGGGGGCTAAACCTTTTGTACACACGGACACAAAGAAGGAACAACGAACACCAGAGCTCACCTGAGAGTGGAGGGAGAGGGGAGCATGAGGATTGAAAACCTACCTATCAGGTAATATGCTTATCACCTGAATGACAAAATAACCTGTACACCAGCCCCCACGACATGGCAATTTACCCTATAACAAACCTGCACATGTACCTCTGAACCTAAAATAAAAGTTTTCTTTTTTAATTTTTAAAATTTAAAACAGAGGCCAAAATATAGTAGTAACAGAGTGTTGTGGTGGAAGCAGTGTCACTTGAAGTAAAGCTGGATTTCAATAAAAGGACACAGACAAAGAAAATAATTTTCACTACTAATGAAGTGCTAAATCCTGGGAGCTTTATCTACATCATCTTAAATTCCCACAGCAACCATGCAAAATAGGTATTACCATCTTCAAATTACAAATGAGGAAACATGGACTTTAGTTAAGTCACTTTCCATAAGTTGCACATTTATAAAATTGAGTAGTTAGGATTTGAACCCAGCTCAGGCAGATGAAATCCCATTCCCTTTCTACTACATGACACTACATGAAACTTCGATGTATTTAGCACTTTATAGGGGAAATAGGATATGAGCATTAGAATGATGCACAAATCCCTAGTATAAGATAGAGGCAAAGAGGACAACTGAGCTGGAGGGGACTGGAGTGTGGGCATGGGTATGTGACAAGAGGGGTCTGCCCTTGCTGGTGGATGAGACTGGAGATGGAGGGAGTTGGAAGGGGAGCAGGAAGAGAGCAAATGAAATTATCTGGGCTTGCATTTCAACTGGAACTTTGATGTTCAGTGATTATGGCGTCTGTATGAAGTTCATTACCACCAGTATGGAGGTTAACTGGCTCCTTTTTTTATGTTAGTTTTTTTTTTCATTATTTACATGAACAGTCAAGCAACCATCTTGCCACTTTAACAAGCACCCTTGAGGAATCAATTAAAAATTCCTATTTCAGAGGACTTACATATGTATAGTAACAGCTTGGGTTAATTTACTAATTCATCTAATCAGCCTGCCATATTATTAGCCAACTTCCCTAAATCTTGTTATAATTTACACATTAAAAAGGAAATGTCTTCCAATTATCTTTGTGCACAATTAGAGAAAACATATAGACACATCATTTTAGATGATTGGTCATAACTTTAATGTATTTCATGAAGGAAAATTGATAAAATCATGTTTTAAAGTACTTAAGGTGTTTGAAAACTGCTCTTTCAAGCAGTTTTTTTTTTCTTGAGTGTCGTTTTTATAGTCCTGTTTGTGTGATTTTTTTTTTTTCTTTTGGACAAATCCTTTCTTTATATATAGCACAGAGATATACATCAGTCAGGTTCCAAATGGCTCATCAAAAATTCTGAGAGAATTTAGAAAAAAAGCAAGCTATTATTTAAGATAAATGCTATGAAGGAGGGATAGCTTTCACAGCCAGAGATTTTGAGACACGCAAAGAATCTCATGGAACCCAAGATAACTGGCCTTTTTTGGACAGCTTCTCTTCTCACTCCTGGCGCATATTAGATCCCTTAGATGGACTTAGTTGTACTTTGCAATACATCCCTGGTACCTTCCCAATCTGTCCCAATATTCTAACTCCCAAAGAATGCGCAAGGCTTATTGGGACACTCACACAAGCATGCAAAAGAAAATTCCACGGATTCCTCCCATTAGACTTCTTTTGTCTGGTGACATCTTCCTTCTTCTGTTTCCCAGTTGGCTTCTCAAAAACTTATTGTCCTATGTAATTCAGCTCTTTTTCACCATCCTTTAGAATGCAGAGAGGAATTAATTTTTTAAATTGCCCTCTAACACAAAGAAGTCATTTATACCCCAACTCTCACTTTACTGATAAAAAATTTAGGCTAAAGAAGGTATGCGTGGCACAGCTAGGAAGAGAATGGGGTTCTTTATATAATGTTGCTGTTCTTGCCCCCACATTCAGTAAGCCCTGAAGATTCTTCCAACTCCAAATTCTATCATTTGTCTGCTCTATGGCTCATGATGAATTTGGACATTAATATATAGTGGCCTACAGCTATAATAATGTGAATGGTTTGGGATGAGGAGACTTTGTGTGTCTACTTTTTGTTGTTGTTGATTTTTTTTTTTTTTGATATGGAGTCTCGCTTTGTCACCCAGGCTGGAGTGCAGTGGTGTGATCTCAGGCTTACTGGAACCTCTGCCTCCTGGGTTCAAGCAATTGTCCTGCCACAGCCTCCCGAGTAGCTGGGATTACAGGCGTGCGCCACCGCCAGGCTAATTTTTGTAGTTTTAGTAGAGACAGGGTTTCATTCACCATGTTGGCTAGGCTGGTCTCCAACTCCTGACCTCAGGTGATCTGCCTGCCTCAGCCTCCCAAAGTGCTGGGATTCCAGGCATGAACCACCCCACTTGGCCTTGTCATTGTTGATTTTTTTTAACTGATAAATACAAATTGTATATATTTATGCTGCACAAAATGATGTTTTGAATCATGCATAATTGTGAAATGGCTAAATTCAGCTAATTAACATAGGCATTACCTCACATATTTATTTTTTATGTGGTAAGAACATTTAAAATCTACTCTCTTAGCAATTTTCAAGTACATCATACATTGTTTTCAACTATAGTCACCATGTTGTACAATAAATCTCCTGAGTTTATTTCTCCTAACTGAAATTGTGTATCCTTTGACCAACATCTCCTCAATTCTCCCTCCCCTCCCAACCACCATTCTACTCTCTATTTCTAGAAATCAAATTTTATAGATTCCACAAATAAGTGAGATCACGAGGTATTTGTCTTACTGTGCTTTATTTCACTTAGCATAATGTCCTTCAGGTTCATCCATGTTGATACAAATGACAGGATTTTCTTCTTTTTTAAATTTAAGTTTGAATAATATTCTATTGTATGTGTGTATGTGTGTATAAATGTGATATGTATATTATATATAGAACATTTTTTAAACTTTTAAAACATTACATTGTGTGTGTATAAATGTGATATGTTATATGTGTATGTATATATATATATATATATATATATATATAACATTTTTAAAAATCCATTCATCCTTTACCAGCACTTAGGTTGATTCTGTATCTTGTTATTGGGAATAATGCTACAATCCATATGGGAATGCAGATATCTCTTCAATATACTAATGTCATTTTCTTTGTATATATACTCAGTAGTGGAATTGCTGGATCATATGCTAGTTCTATTTTTAATTTTTTCAGGAATTTCCTTACTGTTTTCCATAATGTTTGTACTAATTTACATTCCCATCAATGGTATGCAAGAGTTCCCTTTTCTCCACATCTTCCCTAATACTTGTTATCTTCTGACTTTTTGATAACAGCTATTCTAACATACGTGAAGTGATAGCTTATTGTAGATTTAATTTACATTTCTCTGATAATTAGTGATGTTGAGCATTTTTTCATATACTTGTTGGCTGTTGGTACATCTTTTGAGAAATCTCTGTTCAGGTTCTTTGCCCATTTTTAAATGAGGTTATTTGTTTTCTTGCTGCTAAGTTGTTTGAGTACCTTATATGTTTTGGATAGTAACTCCTTATCAGATGCATAGTTTGAAATATTTTCTCTCATTCTATAGGTTGTCTCTTCATTCTGTTGGTTGTTTCCTTCACAGAGCAGAAGCTTTTTAGTTTGCTGTGATCCTATTTGTCTATTTTTGTTTTTGTTGCCTATGCAAAACCAATGTTATGGAACTTTCCTCCTGTTTTCTTCTAGCACTTTTATAGTTTCAGGTCTGATGTTTTTTAATCCATTTTGAGTTAATTTTTGTATATGGTATGAGATAAGGGTCTAATTTCATTATTCTGCATGTGGACATCCAGTTTCTCCAAAACTGTCTATTGAAGAGACTGTTCCTTCTCCACTGTGTGTTCGTGGCATCTTTGTTGAAAATGAACTGACTGTAAATGGCATGGGTTTATTTCTGGTCTCTCTACTCTGATTCTGTTCCATTGGTTGATGTGTCTGTTTTTATGCCAGTACCATGCTGTTTTGATTACTACAACTTTATAATATATATTGACATCAAGTAGTGTGATGCCTCCAGCTTTGTTCTTTTTGCTTAAGATTGCTCTGGCTCTTCAGGATTTTTTGTGATTCCATACAAATGTTAGGATTGTTTTTTCTATTTCAGTGAAATATTTCATTGGGATTTTGATACAGATTGGACTGAATCTGTACATTGCCTTGGATAGTATGGACATTTTAACAATATTAATTCTTCCAATCATTGAACACAAAATATCTTTCTATTTAGTTGTTTCTTCAATTTCTTTCATCAATGGTTTATAGCTTGCAGTGTACGGATCTTTTACCTCCTTGGCTAAATTTATTTGTAAGTATTTATTTGTAGCTATTGTAAATAAGATACTTTCTTGATTTCCCTTTTAAATAGTTCATTGTTAGTGTATTAAAACACTACTTATTTTTGTATGTTGCTTTTTTTCCTGCAACTTTACCGAATTCATTTATTAATTGTAACTTGGAGACTTTAGGGTTTTCTGTATATAACATCATGTCTGCAAACAGACAAATTAACTTCTTCATTTCAGATTTGGATGACTTATTTTTTTTCTCTTGCCTAGTTACTGTGGCAAGGACTTCCAGCACTACGGTGAAAAGAAGTGGCAAGAGTGAGCAACCTTATCTTGTTCCTGACTTTAAAGAAAAAGCCTTCAACTTTTCACCACTGAGTATGATGCTAGCTGTGGCCTTGTCATATAAGGCCTTTATTGTGTTCAGGTGCATTCATTCTATACTTAATTTATTGAGAGTTTTTATACTGAAAGGATGCTGAGTTTTGTCAAATGCTTTTTCTGCATCTATTGAGATGATCATATGGTTTTTGTCCTTCATTCTGTGAATGTGTTGTGTCACATATATTAATTTGCATGTGTTGAACCATCCTTGCATCCAGGGATAATTTACACTTTGGTATTATGCTTTGAGAGTTTGAGAAAGATTGGTATCAATTCTTTAAATGTTTGGTCAAATTAAGCAGTGAAGCCATCAGGTCCTGTCTTTTCCTTGATGTGAAACCTTTTATTACCAATTCAATCTCCTTACTCATTGTTGGCCACAGCTCTAATTTGATATAATGATCCTTGACCGATCTGAAATGCCCAGATACAAGGGAGAATTGATGATCATTCCTAATATCATATACACACACATCACTAGTTGTACAAAAGCCTGCACTATTGTCTGGTTTTTAGTGACTATGTGAAGCTTGTTAGGTTCATTTCTATTTGGTTCTCAACTTTAAATTATTTAACAGGTTAAAAAAATCAATTAATCAAGCATAAACACACTGTGTATAGTTCTACATAGTAATGTAAATTTTGGGGGGATGGTTTGAGACAGGTTCTGGCTCTGTCTCTCAGGCTGGAGTGCAGTGACACTGTCACAGTTCACTGCAGCCTCAAACTCCTGGACTCAATTTATCTTCCCACCTCAGCCTCCTGAGTAGCTGGGACTACAGGCATGCAACACCATGTCTAACATTTTTGTATTTTTTGTAGAGACGGGGTTTCGCCATGTTGCCCAGGCTGGTCTCTAACTCCTAGGCTCAAGCGAGCTGCCTGCCCTGGCCTCCAAAAATGCTGGGACCACAGGTATGAGTCACTGCACCTGGCCTGTAAATGATTTTATATAATAAATAATGTTTAAAAGTTACTGAAAGGCAGTGACTATGAAGTTTGATTCAGGCACAGGCTTGTAATGTGTCCAACAGATAATCTAAAGATGATAGTCCATATAGGGATGTGGCTTAATGTGTTCATGTCTTCAGGCTTTGAATTTCTTGACTCCTGTCAGGTACCACAGTGTTAATTGAGGACAGTGGAGTATTATGAGATTACGGTATACTTGTATCAGCTATTTATTTAGTTCATGGCAATTTAGGCTGAGCTCAGCTGGACAGTTGCTCTGATCTCAGCTGGGCTCCTGCATGTGCCCGTGCTCAGCTGTAAATCAGCTTTAGGTCAGGTCTGTTGATCTTGGCTGGGCTCTCTAACGTGTCTGGGGCCTCTGTTAGCATAACTGGGCCAACTTAGTTCTGGTCCTTGTGGTCTTATCCCCTAGCTAGTGACAGAGGAAGGAGTCCCAAGAGAATAGTCTGAGAAATTTCTTAAGTGCTAGTCTGGGTACTGCCACATCATCATTTCTGCCACATTCTATTGGTCAAAACAAATCACAAGGTAAACCCCAATTAAAGGGATGAAGAGATAGATTCCACTTCTTGATTAACAGATCTGTGAAATCTCATTGCTAACAGCACGGACACAGGGGACATGAACTCACTGTCATGGCTATTGTATGTGCCTAGCATAGTGCTTGGCTTCCCTGAAAAAGTGTTTCACAGGCTAATTAATTCAATAAATGTAAATAACCCTTCTACCCTAAGGTTGTCTTAATTAACAAGGTGAAACAGACTAATCGAATTTTTCACTCCTATTAAATTATATTTTAAAAACACAATACAGAGTTGAAATCTTAGAGAAAATGTACCTGGTCCTTTCAATTCTCATTTCTCATACTTTGGGCAGTTAAGCATTTCACAATAGCCTGTGGGTTGCTTTATGCTT
This sequence comes from Homo sapiens, assembly GCF_000001405.40. Classification (NCBI taxonomy): domain Eukaryota; kingdom Metazoa; phylum Chordata; class Mammalia; order Primates; family Hominidae; genus Homo; species Homo sapiens. The sequence goes on along the minus strand of NC_000004.12, from coordinate 148,472,527 downwards.
TCCTGAAGGCAATGCAGAGAAAGTAGCAGCAGTGTTTGATATGATATGAATTTGGCTCTTGAAATCTCTAATTGAACAGCCTCATAGGAACTCAGGCAGCCTCCTTCTGGAAGGTGGTCCAATCATCTTTATCAACTGGAGGTTGAAAGATGTAAAGTACTTTCAGAAACACTTCATTGTAATAGGTAATAGGATCCCTGGTTCTTTATTCTGTAGTTTATGTCCTAAAAACTGTTTGAAACCAGTATTTCATTAAGTTCTCCATGATAAGTAGTTTGTTCAGATTAAGCATTTGAATTATTTTCATTCACATTCATATGATTAGCAAGATAAAACTTGAACTCAATGTTAAGAGTCTATTTCTGTACCATACAGCTTTATTCATCCTACTTACGCCTTACAGCAATGTTGAGTTGATAATACACATTTTAAGAAATAAAATTCTGTTTACCACAAATGCCTATTTATCTGCTATTTGAAAATACTGCTTTGCTTTTACTTTTTGCACAAAAATGTGAAATGTACTTTTCTAAGTAACTTGTCTTATATATTTGTCATTTCTGAAACCTCAGTCTATGGAGTTTTTAGCATATTTGTTTGTTTGTTTTATATACTTTTTAAAATATTCAGATTTAGATCTAATGAGGCTGATTGAACAGGCAGATTCCTTTCCTAAATGTTCAGATGTGAGGTGATATGGTGACCTTTATTTGACTTTTTTGGTGGACATTGAATTATAAACCAGGAATGGAGAGCGGCTGTTTGCTGGGGCTTTAATTAGAATTTCACTCATTTGACTAGTTAGCTTAATAATTAAATGCTGCCTAGTTTAATATAAGAAGTTTGCCAAATGATGCTGATTTATGAATTTATGAATGTATTAATGTTTTTCACCTTTAAAAATAAAAAGAGCAATACAAAAATGTATTTAGTACATAGCTAGATTTTGATTGCTTCTACTTTAATTGAAAATAGGTGCAACCCACCAGATATATATAATTACACAAGAAACAACAAAAAATCAAGTAAAAAACAAAACCTGACTCAAGATTTGAATATTTATGTATGTAGATATCTATAATACAGCTTTTTAAAGACAGCGTAATTTTTTTATCTGCTTGCAGTATATTTTAAGTGAAAAGTAAGAAACTGATTTCAAAGTAATTTTTCAATTAAATGTAGCAGTTGAAATTAAATTTTAATATAAGAAATGCTGTTTCCCAGCATTATGAATTATTTTAGGAAGGAGAGTCTCAGAATCAAAATTAGAACTTTTAAAGAGTCATTATCAATCTCCAACTAAAATAATACAAGAATCTTTTGAACTCAGCATAACCATTTTCTCTTTTATCAAATTGGAAAACTGAGTCTACTTGGCAGACCAAAATGAAGTGTTTTAGAAGTGGGGTCAGGGAGGGGAGTTGGAAGCACTAAAGGGAGGAAGAAGGGGAAGTGTTAGAAATCGTAATTTAATGTAAACACAGATAGTAAAAAACCTGTAATTACTTCATTTTATAAATAATGGGGTTCACACTTTGAACTCTGTGGAGGGTTTTTTTATTCTGACTTCAAGGCAATAGGAATGATTAACTATAGAGATAAAAAATAATGTCCCACTCCAAATCTCAGCAGCCATTCCTCATAATTTAACTAAAACATCTATTGACAAGAAATCATTATGTGATATATAACTTAAAAGTAATATATCTATGATGACACTGTGATTTTATTCTTTAAAATTAATTTTTTGTCTTTATGGCATGACAGTCTCTCAAAGGACACAACTTCAAGTCAACATAAAATATGCAGATTTCTATAAGTGAGAGATAAGCCAACTACACAATCACAATGACTTTGAACTCTTCATCCCAAAGATGCATTGGGTGCATTTTTTATAAATTGAAATAATAAATAATAGATTGAGTCTAAAAGTAATCTGTGTTTTTGCTGAGCCATCTACTCCCAAAATATCTAGATTCTGAGTCTCTAATACATTACACTAAGAATTTTATTCCAATCTCAAGCTTTTATGCACACAGGCAAAGACAAAACCTTGGTAGTTTTGTGTTCTTTTTAAAGTTTTTGTCTTTTCTTCCTGTCAACTAAAATAGTTCTTTCTTCATTCAAAACATATAAAAAGAAGCAGGGGAGAGATTAGAGATTATGCAACATTCTGCTCCATCTATTCCAGCTTGTCCACCACTCCAATTTATTAAAATATAGAGCTCTCAATAGAAAGAAGTAATTCTTTAACTCTTGTCTAAATTCTTAAAAAAACAAAACAAACAACAAACATTTTCTAAAGGCACAGGCAGCCGTCTGCCCTGCCTCCTCATTCTGAGTGAGCCATTTTCTCAGCCAGCAAGTGGTGCTATAATTTGCTGCAATAATAAGGCAGGCAGGCAGGAAAGCGTTTTTTGGACTTTGCCTGATTGGGAAATTGGCAAGTTTCCTTTTGTTGTCTGATGCCATTATGGAAATATACAGAGATGCTAATTATCCTAATTGTTTGTGCTTAAGATTTAAGTTCTTATACATCACACTTCAAGAGATTCAGAATAATATCAAAGAATGATGTGTGACTCAGTGAATCTTTGATTCTGAGATCCAATATATGGAACGTAGTTACTAACTCTGGCCTTTACTCACTGTGTGATCTTAGACAACCTCAATGTTCTGTCTATACCCACTCATTTGGCAGTGGTTATTTTCTAACGTTTGTTGTTTTGCTTTTTATGTGTTTGCATGTTATCTTTGAAAACATATTGCCAGCCTTAGGTAATTAAGGACCCTTTAGCCAATACATACGTATTTGTGTTTCACATTCTCTATATTCTACATGTGTGTTGATTGATTTTGAAGCCAGTTGAATAGTTTCTTTACACGTCAATTCTATTGAAATTTTATGCCTGTAGAAAGGCTGTTAGCTCTTGGACCCATTGTAAGTAAGTCCTAGTTCCATTCTCTTCACTTCCAAGTAGACCCGCTGGATGTGTTTAATTTGCAATGGAAAGTGGAAGAATGCTTAGGGCATACTTTCCAAAAATGTGTTTCTCTGTCAGATGTTAATAGATGTTATTTTTAGGATTCTATAGTCAAATGAGTTTGTGAAATGGAAGATTAAAATTAATTAATACAGGTTTTTTAATGGAAAGAGTGCTTAGGAAATTTAATATGCCAATGAGCAATTATAAATCCCTGAGAGAGTGATAAAATACGCGGTTTCCTACTTAGTTGACCATAAAAACCAAGATTTTGGAGAGCAGCTCACATGACTAGTTTTCTACAGAACACATTTTGTGAAATCCTGATTTTCGAACAGGATAAAAAAGAGTGTTAAGTAAATACATATGGCAAGAAGAAGAGAAATCAGACATGGTAAAAGTGACATTTGCAATCAAAAGGTGGTATCAGTCCAAACATGTAGGTTATGCTGCAGTGGCAAATAACCCCAGTATATCAGGTATTTACAAAAGAAAATGTTTCCTTTTTGCTCATGCCTCATGTTGCTTACAGGATGGCTGAATGCACTGATCCACATTATCTTCATTGAGAAACACAGCCGGAAGAGCTTCTACCACCTAGAATGTCACAGATCCCACGGTAGTGGGAAGGAAATTTGTAGAATTACATTCGGACTATTAAAAGCTTCTACCTAGAGATGACCCATGCAACTTCTGCTCCCATTCCATTGGCCAACTCTAACTTAAAGGACATGGGAAAGTATAATGCTACCACATTTCTAGGAGAGTAATGGAATATTGGTGTTGAATGTTCCTAATGATTACACAGAGACAGAGGAGAGCTGCCTCCTCCAGGTCATGCATTTTCCTATCATCCAGTGACCATTGCAGGGCTGTAAAGGCAAGGGCCCTCACCTCAACTCAAGACAATTCTGAAGGGTAATCCCAGTTTCAGAGGCCCGTAGAGGGGTTGACTGAGGTCTTTGTTAGGTCTGCATCACAGCCCAAGCTCCCTTCTGTGCAGTCCTCCTTCACCTCCTTTCCACAAGATGTTGTTCCCAAAATCACTCACTAAAGAACCTCTTCCTTGATAATCTCTATCTTAGAACTTACTTTTTTGGGAATCCAGTCTGCTATACTATACAACATATGTCCTTCAATGATACAAAATATTGTTTTGTGTGTTTTCAAACTTTATGTAAATGGCATAATGCTGTATACACTCAATTTGCTTTCTTCAAATTATATTTTTTGAGGTATATTCATATTGACTCACATAGCCCTAATTAGTTTACTTTTAACTGTTTTTTTTTTTAAGTACCACAAGTTATTTATCTATTCCTTTGTTAGTGGGAATTTGGGTTTTTCCCAATTTTTTACAATTACAGTCTTCCAGAGATATAACTACTTGTTCACATATACAAGAGCTTTTCTAATACACACATATACCTTAAAAAAGAATGCCAGGCCAGGCGCAGTGGCTCACGCCTGTAATCCTAGCACTTTGGGAGGCTGAGCCAGGTGGACTGCCTGAGCTCAGGAGCTCGAGACCAGCCTGGGCAACACGGTGAAACCTTGTCTCTACTAAAAATAAAAAAAATTAGCCGGGCGTGGCAGCATGTGCCTATAATCCCAGCTACCTGGGAGGCTGAAGCAGGAGAATTGCTAGAATCCGGGAGGCAGAGGTTGCAGTGAGCTGAGATCACACCATTGCACTCCAGCCTGGGTGACAGAGCAAGACTCCATCTCTGAAAAAAAAAAAAAAAAAAAAAAAAAAGAATGGCAATAAAATAGGGGATCTGTATTCTCAATTTTATTAGATGTTGTAGTTCTCTGGATACTAGCAGAGAATAACATAAATGGTGATTTGTTTTTCTGTTTCTGTGAATTGCCTATTCATACCCTTGCCCATTTTTTTCTATTTAATTCTTGTCTTTTTCTTATTGAGCTTAAAAATATATATATTCCTGATATCATTCTTCATCAGATATATGCTTGAAATATCTTCTCTGTCTGTGACTTGCCTTTTAATTTTTTTATGATGTCTTTTTATAAATAAGCTTTAAATTTTAATGCGGTCAAATTTATTCATCTTTTTTCTCTTGGTTTATGCATTTTCTGTGTTGTTTATAATATGTTTCCCTATCTGAAACCTTGAAAATAATCTGTATTTTCCTTGAATGTATTTATAGTTTCTGCTTTTTACATTTGCATAATTAATCCATCTGAAATTTTTTATTTTTATATATAATACAGTAGATATACTTTTGTTTTATACTTTTAGCCAATTGTTATAGCACAATTTTTTCCAACCTGTTATTCCATGCTAATTTTTTTTGTTTAGAAATGGGGTCTCGCTCTGTCACCCTGGCTGGAGTGCAGTGGCATGATCATAGCTCACTGAAGTCTCAAACTCCTTGGCTCAAGCCTCCCATCTAGCTAGCCTCCCATCAGCCTCCCAAATAGCTAGGACTACAGATGCATGCCACCATGCTCAGTTAACTTTTTTATTTTTTGTAGAGACGAAGTCTTACTGTCTTTACCAGGCCTTGTCTCAAATGCTCGGGCTCAAGCAATTCTCCCACCTCTGCCTCCGAAAGCGCCGGGATTACAGGCGAAAGCCACTGTGCCTACCAGCCCTATACTAATTTGTAGTGTCACTTCTGTAGATACAGAAATGTATGTTGGGCCCTCTGCTCTGTTTAATTAGTATGCTTGCTATCCTTGCACTAACATCACTTTGAATTAATTAATATGACTTCACAATAAATCCTGGTATCTGAAAAACCAAATTGCCTTTCCTTCATTCTTCTTTAAAACTGTCTTGGCTTTTCACAATCTTCTGTTCCAAGTGAATTTTGGAATCAATCTATTAATTTTCACTAAACAAAATTATCTGTTGGGATTTTGATTGGACTTGCAACAGATTTTTATATATGAATTTGAGGATTATTGATATCTTTATGATATTGAACATTTCCATTTATGAAAATGGTACCTCTCCAGAGAGATTCCATTTTGCTATATACATGCCCAAGTCCCATGTTTTCTGTATTGTGATACACTCAAGGGAGTGTGGACATGAAGGAGCAGGTTATGCATCTACATGGCTACCCTGTTTTCTCTTTCAGTATAAATGGACTAAATTTGGCACAAATGTGATTTGAAATAAGTGCTGTGCTTTAAGACTGACTGACACCACACTGAAGGAGCTAGGTAGTGGCATTTGAAATTATCTAAAAGGCTGAAAAATTCAACAAAGGAATTGTAATAGAGTCAAGGGAGAGATGAAAAAGTCTGAAATAGTATGTGGGAAAGAAAACAGATTGTTCTGCACTGCTGGATCTCATAAAGGTTGGCAGGCTGTTATTCATTCATTAATTCATTCAATAAATATTCACTGAGTACCCACGATTTTCCAGGCAAGTTCTGGCTTTGGGGGAAGAGTAGGAAACAAAACAAAGCCCCTGTCCTTGGTGAACTCATTTAGGGAAGGGACTTAGAAAACACTGAGTAAGTACTAAGTACCTACTACATGAAAATTACAAGTCACTATTTTAGTCCTCAAGCTGATTATGAGAAGACTGGCCATCATAAAATCACCAAGAGAACAATAATGAATGTCATTGGACATAGTACTAACTATAAATGCAATTAAAATGGAAATCAAATAGATTTCTTAGGGGAACTCCGTCTCTCGCTAGAATTTGAGAACAAGCAGGATTTGGTAGGTAGAGAGGAGAGTGGAGGGTGTTTCAGGTGGGAACAGCAGCATCAAAAAGGACACTGAGATGAGACTCTTCATGCTATGTGAGTAGACAGAGTGGAACTCGATATTCCTGGAAAAGAGAACCATGTGGGCAAAAGCAGATGAGGTTAGATAAACGGAATGAAGCCAGATAATGGAGGAATCTGGCCACCATCAGGAGTTTAACATCCAGAGAACAATTACAGGGCCCTCCTCTTCCCCTCTCCTCTTTTTGCTTCTTTTTCTTCTATAGATCTGGAAACCGACTTGATAAAAGCAAAATTGTACCAGTTATCGGCCCAACATTGATATAGAGAAGCAATGGAAAGTGGAGAGACAAGGTATATAAACAGTTACTTTGAGCTTGACCCAGTGTGAGAGACTTTGAGACAGGAGAGACAACATGGACTCTACTCATGGGACTTATCATCAACATGGGAAGGCAAAAGTAATTTGCCTACTACCAAATGAATAAACACTTATAACCCAGATGATTGTTGAGACATGCTGCCGTTTGGCTTGAACCTCCAAATCCAGACAGTTAAGTCTTGAAACTCTCCTCATGCTTTCTGCAGATCCCCAAGGACAGCTATCTTTCATGGCCACTCTGCCTACAGCACCTGCATTCATGTGTGTCTCCTCAGTTTTCCCCCTTGACAAGTCAAAACTCTATTATCAGTTTCCATAAAATATGCATGTTCTCCAAGCACTTTATGAGTTTGCTTTAATTTCCTGAGGTATTGGGAACATGGAGAATGATCACATTGGGTTATACACAACCTCCCAGTGCTCGCTGCTCCACTCTCCTCCTTTCTCCCAAACTTCCAACTCTGGTCCTCATTTCTCCCTTCTGGATTGCTTACAAGAGTCTCATATTCTGCTCTCTTTTTTATGTAGATCAGTTCAATTCTCCTCTACTCCTCACCCAAAATGGTCATGCCCAAACAAATCAAGGCATAAGTAACTGGTCTCATCTCAGATGAGAGTCTCATCTCAGTGTCCTTTTTGATGCCACTGTTCCCACCTAAAACACCCTCCATTCTCCTCTATACCTACCAAATACTGCTTGTTCTCAAATTCTAGTGAGAGACAGAGTTCCTCCAAGAAACTTATTTGACTTCCAATCTCCAATTATCTTTCTTCTCAGACTTTTAATTGCATTTATAGTTAGTACTATGTCCCAAGATAACTGATAACTGGTACAAGTTTTTAAGTAAATAAACACACGAAAAAAAATCTTACACACAAAATACATAGCAAAAGAAACCAAGGCAGAAAGATAAATATGTTTCAGACCATGTAGAAAAGCTGGGAATAAAAAGGCTACCATAGTTCAGAGAAGGAAAAGATCAATCAAGAAGGGCTTTAATAGAGCAGATAGATGTTGAACTAGACCCTGAAGAAAGGCAATAATTAGTATTACAGAGAGAGGAGGCAAGAAGTCATTCAAGAAAACCACACAACTGAAAATGAGCGTGGCATCTGGTAGAAGGCAACTCTTGACTGGGAAGCTAGAAGCAAAATAAGGCTGACTGGTGCTGGAAATGCAAGATTGTCAGACTCAAGAGTTTGGACCTTATCCAATAAGAACCAGAAGATGCTCTAACAAATATGCTTTGGAAAGCAAGGAAGCTTTGGGAGTGGTCTCAGAAAAAAGAACCAGGGGTCCAAATACTATCAGAATTGTCTGTTTCTGATCTCTGCTTCTCTGTATAGGTTGGTTTTAATTTCTTCTCCTGAAAATGTGCTTTCTTTACCCAGGGGCTGGAGTGATTCAGCAGATTTCTGGCTCACTATCCATGGGGAAAAGGCTTTTACCTCGTTCTTCAGCTCCAAAAAATCAAGAGAAAGATTCCATTTGTCCTGGTTGAACCAAGTGCCCATTCCTAAAAGCATCATGGTATTCAGGAAGGTAAGTTCATGGAGAAAGACAGCAGTTCCTAATGGACCACATAATAAGTAAAGCACGACCAGATCTGCGGAAGGGAGAAAATAGAGAGTGAAAAAGTATCTCACTCCACTTCTTTATTCCCTATGTTTTCCCTTCCTCAAATCCAGACATCACTATTAGGGGAAAAGTTGTGAATAAGGAAGCAACTACAGTTTGTTTCTAAGATTGGACCCACTGACAAAATTTATATAAGGAAAATTTATTTATTCTTCAGTAAGCGTTTTTTGTTGACAATCTACTATTCTTTCTCTCTTTTAGAGAAAGGGTATTACTCTGCCACCCAGGCTGGCATGCAATGGCACAATCATAGCTCACTGCAGCCTCAAACTCCTGGGATCGAGCGATCCTTCCACCTCACCCTCTCTAGTAGTTAGGACTACAAGCATGCACCACCATGCCCAACTAATTTTTTTTTTTTTTTTTAAGAGATGAAGTTTTCCTGATACTGAGGCTGGTCTTGAACTCCTGGCATTAAGCGATCCTCCCACCACTCCCTCCCAAAGTGCTGGGATTGCAGGCATGAGCCACAGCGTGCCCAGCTGACAACCTACTATTCTTAAGTTTCTATTACATCTTCCTTATTTTTTCCTCACTTTTTTTCTAATTTAAGTCATTACCCAACATTTTGTGCCTTCTTTTAAGCCACCTTAAATTCTTTTTGAGAAAAAGGGAAAAATATTAAAATCAACTACATAACAGCTGTTATGAACCAATTATTATGTTAAGACATAGTTCTTGTTTTCAAACAGCTCTGAGTCTAGGAGCTATTTCTGTACACTATGTACACAAATAGCTATTACAATGGAGAAAAATGATAATGCCATTAAGGAGGCATAAATAAAATTCTGTGAGTTCAGAGTTTACCTTACTAAAAAAAATAGTATCATTGGACCAATATTTTAAAGTAGAATAGAATAGATCAAATTAAGACCTGAAGATATGGCAAAGAAAGGCTTTCTATACAGAGGGGCAGCTTGAGCCAATAGCATGGGAGTGCTCAAGAGCAGAATGTGTTCAGGAAACAGTTCATATTTGACAGGATGAATCTGGGACTAAAAGAGGAGTGGGCCAAGAGAAGTGGAACCCTGCCATACCTGTGGCCAGGCGACGTGACAAAGGGACAGTTCTAAATTTTTTATACACAACTTTATGGGACAATGTTTATAAGGTAATAGAGGAAGAACTAAGCTGAAGTCAAAGAGACTGCAATATTTTGAGGGTGAGGAGCAGGAAAATTAGCAGTGTCTTGGGGCAGATTCACCTTACAAGGTAAAGATCATCCTCACAATGAGAAGGGATCACCTCCCATTTCTGGAAGAAATTCCAATCCTAATCCCATGAGAGATATGGGTAGAGGAGAAGAACATCTTCTTTTCCTCCCACATTAACCCTTGCAGAGGTTGGTGGTGGCTCTGTATGGTCTATGGCAGTGGTCCCCAACCTTTTTGGCACCAGAGACTGGTTTCATTGAAGACAATTTTTCCGGGGTGGTGGGATGGTTTCGGGATAAAACTCTTCCACCTCAGATTATCAGGCATTAGGTAGATTCTCATAAGAAGAAAGCAACCTGGATCCGTCGCATGTGCAGTTCACAATAGGGTTCATGCTCCTGTGAGAATCTCATGCCACAGGTGATCTGGCAGGAGGTGGAGCTCAGACAGTAATGCTGGCTCCCCCGCTGCCTACCTCCTGCTGTGTGGCCTGGTTCCTAACAGGCCATGGACCGGTACCAGTCCCCTGGGGACCCCTGGCCTATGGAAGCCACAAGTCATGGAGTCATGAAACCACTCATGGTGTCACTGAGAAGCCTCCACACCTCAAAGATCCAGATAAGAGCGTTCAAACCCATAATCCATGCCTCATGGAAAGTCAAAGGCTTTTGTGTCATCCTTGTTGGTTGTAGTTGGGTCCAAGATGCCATTTCATCTGAATTAAGTAAACTGTCCATGTGGGTCCCTGTTCCACATCATGTCAGCCCAGATAGGGGACTCATTCTCCTCCTTGATAGCCATAGGTTAATTGCTCTCATATGATGTTAGTATTTACAATAGACTTGACTGGAGGTTTGAGAAATGGAAGGTGGCTCATATAAGAGGAAACTGCTTCAAATGGGATTTTAGACATATATATTGTATATATATATATTTTTCTTTTTTCCTTTCTTCTTTTCTTTTTTATTATACAGAGTCTCGCTGTCACCCAGGCTGGAGTGCAGTGGTGCCATCTCGGCTCATGGCAACTTCCACCTCCCAGTTCAAGCCATTCTCATGCCTCAGCCTCCCTAGTAGCTGGGACTACAGGCATGCACCACCACACCTGGCTAATTTTTGTATTTTTAGTAGAGACGAGGTTTTGCCATGTTGCCCAGGCTAGTCTTGAATTCCTGGCCTCAAGTGATCTGCCCACCTTGGCCTCCCAAAGTGTTGGGATTACAAGAGTGAGCCACTGCACCCAGCCTAGACATATATATTACATAAGCCTCCAACCATCCCATGACTAAAGGATTTTCCAAGGCCCCTTCACCTAACATAGTGCCCAGTCTTGCTCCAACTCCAGCTCCATCTCCATATCCTCTTTTCATGTCTCCCATTTAGAATTTCCCCTGAAAACTTTCAAACTCTTCACTCTATTATAATGAGCAGTGTTTTTCAATCATGGGTGATACCTCCCTCTGCCCCCAACACACACACTGACAAAGGGTGATTCGGCAATGTCCGGAGACATTTTTGACTGCCGTAACTTTGGTGAGATTACTACAAGCATCTAGTGAGTTGAAGCTGGGGATGCTGCTTAACATCCTACAATGCACAGGATGCACAGGACAGCCAGCCACAATAAGGGACTATCCAATCCAAAATGTCAATAGAGCCAAGACTGCAAAACCATGATATACAGCAAATCAGTTCTCTCCATTCTCCATACTCCCAGATATGCAGTCTTCTTCATCTTTGTATGTTTTCCACCTATGAAGTGTCCCCTCCATTCTATCAAAGGAAATTTCTGTTACAGCACACAAAGGCACCTGAGACCTCAAAGCTTCCTTTTACATGAGCTGCCCTTCTAAATTGTGGTTTTAAATAGCATATTTCCTCAATACGTATAGAATAAAGTTCTCATCCATACTCAATTATACTAACTCTGCCAGGAAGAGAAAGAGAGAAATAGGAGAATGTAAATAGTGTGGGTGATTCTGTCCCACGTTCCCTAAAGCATATGCCCCAGAGGAGCGCGAGAAGGGAGATGTGAATCTGATGTTCCTTCAGTTGGTCTCAGTTCCTGAATTGCTCTCATAGTATGAGCATCTCACCATGTTGAGTGTGATTCAAGTGTTTAAAGATAAATTTTTTTCCTTGTGCAACATGGCCCCCAAATGCAAGCCAACTACTTTATCAGGTGTTTAGCTGAGAAAACAGCAATCTGTTCCAATGCTGGAGGAAAAACTGGCTGAGTTGGATGGTATAGAAGCCTCAAACACGACGCATAAAAACAGCCATGTATGTTATACTTTAAGAGTGAATGAAGGGATTTTTTTCCCCAGGGTATTTCTGAATTTATATGAATGTTCACCTCACTTAATGATTTTAGGGCCAAACTCTATGTAAAATGCAAGTCCACATTACCAGGGAAGAGGGTCTGAGGGAGTAGCAGAGAAGTAGAGGTATTGAGATAGAGCCTTGAGGGATACTACAGGCTGGGATGATGATAAGAAAGAGAAAAGAAGGAATGGTGAGCAAGCATCAGAAAGGTAAAGAGGACTGAGAGATCACATTGCTACTTTATCAATTTTTAGGGACATCTATTTGATAATTGAAAAGTTTGCTAATTTTATAAAAGGAAAGCTGTGCCACAGAGAGCTTAGTTGGTTGCAGTATTGATCTTTCAAAAATATTACTGTGCAGTGTAGAATCAAGGTCTGTAAACTTACAATGCAATACCTGTTGAATTGTTAATTCTCTTTCTCTATTTGCCTAATGTGAAATGTTAGCAGCTAAGCACATTTATCTGTTAATTTACTAAGTAATATATATGTTAACTTGGTTTTTTAATTTAAAAAGCTACCAAGTATATCCCATAAATTCTAAATACTTTGTTTAAATATTAAACAGCAAGTGACAATGGCAGCTTTTGCAGGTGTGCCTTTGAAGTCTGTGTTTATACTGTGGTGAAAGTGACTGTGTGTGAGTGTATAACAGCAAGGTTGACAATTTAGTGGTCGCTAGGTATCTCTAACTTTGTTGGCACAGTTTCTGCCAGTGGCCCACCCTCAATAATTTAAAATCGAGATTATTCTTATTGCTGAGATGATATTACAGGTCATGATTCTTCTCTTTCTCTCTTTCTCTTCCTGGCAGGGTAAGTAAAACTGAGAAGTTTATTCTATATGTACTGAGGAAATATGCTGCTTAAAACCACAACTTTTTAAAAGAAAGGCAGCTTGTGTTAAAGGAAATTTCAGGGTCTCAGCTGCTCTTGTGTGCCATAACATGGGGAAAAGGCAAATTAACTCATAAATATTTTATAGGTCAAAAACTGTATGTGAGGTTTTGAAAGATAAATGCTATAGTAATCATTTCAGAAATTCCCATTTTAATTAAATACAATATTTTCAAAATTGTGCTGTGGTGCATGGCATAGGCTTTTTAACGGGAACTTTCTGAATAATGCACTAAATAAAGGGAAAATTGTTCTCTACTAAGTACTGTTTTCGACACATAAAATTTTATAATGATTTTCTTTCATTTGGGCACAAATTAAGGATATGGGTACTTTTTCTGGACCAAATTACTACCCTTTGTTTTCAAGACTTTAGTTCCATGCTCCTATGAAGTAAAATTTCTAAAAAGTAGTTGAGAATGTAGAATCTGGATTGGAAATTAAACACTGGATTAGAAATATTGGGGTACTGGGAAGTGCACGGAGATAGAAGAGTTTACCTAATGGGTCTTAGTTGACTTATCCAATAATACTATTAGAAATTATTATTTGGATTCTAGAGGCAGAACATATGAAAGTCAAAGCTTACACATGTTTGGAACAGAATTTGAATCTGGTTCTGTGGGATTCTACAGTCCATATTCTTTTCTCTACGACACGCTGCTCAGCTACTTGACACTCCATAATGTGTTCAGTAATAGTTTCCTAGTAGAAATACATTCGAACTTCACTATAATACTCTCACTATAGACTTACATTCTGTCCCCATTTTCTTATTCTGTACCATGTAAATTAATCAGGGCAATGCATTAACATATAAACCCCAATGTCTCATGGGGTGCACACAGTAAAGATTTATTTCTGACTCATATCCCAGTCCAGTGCAATGCAGGCAACTGTCTTTGGTAGCTTTTCTCCAAGAGGTGATGCAGGAGTGCAATCCCATTTCAGACTGTGATGCTACCATCCTAAACGTGAGGCCTCCCAGGCATTCATGACAAGGGAAAACAGCTTGGACAATCATTCGGGGTGGGGGCGGGTTATGATCAGTCCAGGAAGTAGAACACATCGCTTCCACCAAAACAACAGGATCTACACTCAATCATTTGGACACAACCTAAATGCAAGCAACGGTGAAACATGTAGCCATCCTGTGTGCCCAAAAAGAGGAAAATGAAGTCAAATTTGGTGAACCCATAGCACTGTCTGTTTCACACCATCTAAGAGTTTACTTCTTCAAATAGCAAAAGAACCCTATATATATTATCTAAAAGTTGAAGTCAGGTTCATTTTATGGAACACTGAGGGAATAAAACTGTGCCATAAGAGGAGCATGTTTTGCAATGGGTGGGTTGAGACATCAGAAGAGGATATGCCTGAATATTAGTGAGAGGAAGCCAGGCAGATAGCCCAGAATACCAAATAACCCAACAAAGAAAATACAAAAAAAAAAAAATAGGAGAAATTATTGATAAGGTCAGATGCCAAGTGAACGGAGAATAGGAAAGTGTACTGCTGTAGGAGCAAATGGTTTAGGACTAACAGTATATTTAAAATATCATAGCTAACACTGTTTACTATAAGCCAGCCATTATATAGGTTGTTAATCTCCATAATAACCTTATGAGGTAAACCGTGTTATCTGATTTTGCAGATGATGAGGTTGAGGCACAAGGTTTAAGTAATTGACCCATAGTCACACAGCTACTCAGTGGCAGAACTGGGATCCAAACCCAGGCCAAGTCTGGCTCCAGGGTCTATGCTTTTAACCTTCATACTTTACTTCCACTATAAAAGACAAACATTGCTGGGTTTCTTCTTTTATCTGATACCTGGTATATGACACAGAGGCAACTTTTCAAAAAATGTCCAAGTTCCAATGTACTTTACTACCCGCCAATTTATCGGCTATATTGGCCCTTTCTTTCTTCCTGATCTCATTTCTTCTGTGCAAAGTAATTATTTAAAAAGCTAAACCAAATGGATAGACACCTTACTCCATCACTCTTCTTACACATTCTTCTCCTTGCCATTCCAGGCAAAGAAAACTCTACTTTTAAATTCCTCCAGAGTAGGAAGTTCATAACTTCCTTTGTAACCTATATCAGTGTTTGGCACTCTGCAAGTAAAGTAGACATACTGCATTTGGAATGTATGGGAAATCTGGAATTATTCACCAAAATTGCAGGAAGGCCAGTAAATCCCGGATAGCATATAAACCCAAAATAGCAGAATGGGGTATGCTTTCTGCAGACCTTTCACACTTCTCTCAAACAGGGGCTGACAAATAAATCTGGGTGTTGTCTCTTTCCTTCTCCTTTGTATCCATTCCAATGGTCAAGTTTTTGCATCTTGGAAAGAAACTACTAGTTTTTTTCTTAGGACTCTTTCCTTGGCCACTTGTGGTCCAGACGTCTCTCAAGAACATTCTGAACAGCCCATGGAAGCTGGGGTAAGGTTGACAATGTTTAATACCATGTATGGTGGCACTGACTGGCCAGGTATGGGTGTCAGCCAATGAGAATGGACACTGGCTGTAAGCACAGAGTCTGGCTGTTCTAGTACTGACCAATTGTACATCAGCCCACCCCTAACCTTGTGCGATGGTGTTGCAGCAGGCACACTAAAGGAAACTGTAACCTCCTGCACACTCTCCCCTGTGCTAACATACACTCAGTCAGAGGCCCAAATACTTGCTTTCTCCCTGTGACAAGTGTAGATTAAAATCTGTGGGGTTTTTTTTTGGCTCTTTATGGAATAGTATTACTTGCATTTCAAACCCTGCTGATTAATCTCATATAGCTGAAATTCTTGTTATCTTTCACTGATTATTGTTTGAGACTGGTTTGAATCGGGTATGTTTCTTCTCACTTTAGAAAACCATTAATTGAATCTAGCCTGTCCTGCAAACTTAACATGTGGCTCAATGAAAGATCAGCTCATCTTCACCAGAATATTTAGCTACCTGATTCCACTACCTCTGTTTATTGCAAATGATGGCCTCCCTTGATTTGGAGATTGTAAATCCAGATCCCAGTGTCTGCACTGAAGTCCCTGAATGCATCCCGCCCTCCACTCATCATTTCTTACACCTCTCCTTAGCGATAACATTAGATCTTATGCCATGGTTCAAACCTATCTGCCCAGTAGAGCTGGTCAGCACTTATGGCAAAAGCCATTAACTGCCCTCCTGTATTTATGCTTGCCTTTTTCTTTTTATAGTAGAACTCTAGTTTTATTAGGGAACATGGCCAAATCAACCTTCCTTGAGGTTTGCTCTGGCTAATGCTATGTAAGCAAAACTAACGAATGCAAATTACCAAGTCAAGGTTTTTGCTTTTTAATAGAAAATTATGGCCATGGAGCTGGCAAGGCAGCCTCCACCATACAGATAAAGTCATTACTCTATGAAACTGGGGAGCAACAAGGAACCTGGCTTCCTAAAGACCTCATGTATTAGACTGAGTTCTGCAAGGAGTGAAAAAAAGAAAACCAAAGAAACGAAAAGAGAATAGGAGAGGAGAGGAGAGAAGGAGGGATGGAGGGAGGGAGGAAGGAAGGAAGGAGAGAAGAGAAAGAAAGAAAAAGAAAGAAAGAGGAGAAAAAGAAAGAAAGAATGAAAGAAAGAGAAAGAAAGAGAGAGGGAGGGAGGGAGGGAAGGAAAGAAAGAAAGAAAAGAAAAGACAAGAGAACGACCTCATGTAGCAGAAACACCTACCCACTCTGGCCCACATTCATTTATCTCAACTTTATGTGGTATAGAATTCAACTTTTCCTATTTGAGCCTCTGTAGTTTTTGGAGAGTCTCTTTTCACAGGAGCTTTATCCATACCTAATACATCAGTATATATGAAACACTTCAGTATTATTTCTAGGTTAAATATCAGCATATTGGGCCGGGCACGGTGGCTTACATCTATAATCCCAGCAATTTTGGGAGGCCAAAGCGGGCAGATCACCTGAGGTTGGGAGTTTGAAACCAGCCTGGCCAACACGGAGAAACCCCGTCTCTACTAAAAATACAAAATTAGCCGGGCATGGTGGCACATGCCTGTAATCCCAGCTACTCGGTAGGCTGAGGCAGGAGAAGTGCTTGAACCCAGGAAGCAGAGGTTGCAGTGAGCCGAAATTGTGCCATTGCACTCCAGCCTGGGCATCGCAGAGAGACTCTGTCTCAAAAAAAAAAAAAAAAAAAAAAGATTAGCTTATTGCCAAATAAAGTGAGTTGTTAAACTCACTGAATTCCTAAGCCTTGTCCAGTCTGGACTGAATACTTTTTTCTAGGATGACAGTCAAATGACTTAGCAATTCATACAATTTGGGCTGACCAGAATAGTTCTGCTAATAACTTCAGATCAGCATGCAATGATCTACATTATCTCTGCCATTGGTTGACTAAAAGATGAGTCAATTAAGAAGAAAGAAGATTGGAAAGTGATCCAAAAAGAGTGTCATTGGAATGCACTGAATTTGACTTGCTCTAAGAATCTGTATTCCCCTAGGTAGGCAGTTCTCCTTGCCCTAAGGTCATCTTCATTGCTGTTTTCACAGGGAACAGTTGCTTTTTAAATTCCTCCCCTCATCTGAAACCATGAGCTGGATTATGTAGCAGTCCCCATCTGAGTGTTGTTTGGACCTGAATGCCTGGAGTCATGCCACATTTTGGATATATTGAGAAGAGATTCCCTCTTCTCAAGATCTGGGGCAAGGAGTGACTGCAATACTCAGGGCTTATAACAAAGGATATAAACTCCTAGGTGATGAAAGCCCTAACCCGCTGTAGTTTTTGCTCCCTCCCTCTCCAACAGTAGCCCCCACCAAGAAATGGGAACGTATCACTTTTACGCGTTTTTTTTTTTAAAAGGAGTTTCGCTCTTGTTGCCCAGGCTAGAGTTCAATGGCTCGATCTAGGTTCACCGCAACTGAGTAGCTGGGATTACAGGCATGCGCCACCCCGCCAGGCTAATTTTGTATTTTTAGTAGAGACTGGGTTTCTCCATGTTGGTTAGGCTGGTCTCGAACTCCCGACCTCAGGTGATCTGCCTGCCTCGGCCTCCCAAAGTGCTGGGATTACAGGCGTGAGCCACTGCACCTGGCCACTTTTATGCGTTTTTATACTTCCATAGCAAATATGACAAAATGTTCACAACTGGTAATATGAGGGTGGTGACTACTTTGGAGCCTGTGGGTTTTTCAATTTTTTTGTGTGCTTGAAACATTGAAATTTTACAAAACATTCATAAACGTATGAGATATTTTATGCTTAATATTTGTAATTAAATATGAATATAACAATATTTGTAAAGAAGCCATCAAAAACTCTAAGTGACTTTTACAATTGCAAAAAATAAAATTCAATGGGCTACTTGATTTGTTACAATTAGCTTTCTATGATGTCACTATCACGTTAAAGAAATCTGATTTTTTTCCAAGTAAGCCTTCCTTTCAAAAACTGTTAATGATGTTTATCTTTCTTTCAGAACTGTTTCCACAATGTATGGATTATCTCTGGATAATGCTCCAATCAGAGATTACTACTAATTATAATACCGACTTTCCTCACAAGCGAAATATTGGGCATTCCTTTTTAAATGCTGCTTACTTCAAGTTTGATTTTAAGAAACACTAGGAATGAAGCTTTATTTTATTTCTGTTGAATTTCTTT
Source organism: Homo sapiens (assembly GCF_000001405.40). NCBI lineage: Eukaryota > Metazoa > Chordata > Mammalia > Primates > Hominidae > Homo > Homo sapiens. The sequence goes on along the minus strand of NC_000004.12, from coordinate 148,453,766 downwards.
GATTATTCATCAGGTCTGCCTGTATAAAAACAAATTTTATTTATCTTGATTGAATTTCATTTTTCAACTTCTCAAAGAAGTAAAATCCTACGATGTCAACATTGTTTCCTAATAAAGGGATAAAATTGTTATAGAAGTAAACAGAGGCTTGGGTACCTGAGAAAAAATATGGAAATCCTCTCACACAACAGTTGGTCAAATCCTAGGAATGTTCTGTTTGCAAGATGAAAGGAGTTCTGAATTGGATGGTGGTAATGGTTGCACAGCAATATGAATGTACTTAATACCACCGAACGGTACACCTAAAAATGGTAAAGGTGGTAAACTTCATGTTTTGTGTATTTTACCACAATTTAAAAATGTGTTATTAAATTAAGAAAACAAGCTAGGAATGGCCACTGGCTTTGTTAAAAGAGTATCACATCTAATTGATCTAAGCCTCCCTTTTGATAAGGTGAAAACTGAAAAAGGAGCATTAGTTAAAATCTACCTCAAGAGTAATGAGCCCATCTTTATGACATACTCAGGACAGAGGGAGAAAAGTGATCTAACTTGACCACAGTGAACTGTCTGGAAAGGTAATTGAGCTGACAGGATGTGGTGGCTCATGCCTGGAATTCCAGCATTTTGGGAGGGCAAGGCAGCAGGATTGCTTGAGCCCAGGAGTTTTAGACCAGCCTGGTCAACACAGCAAGATCCCTGTCCCTACAAAAGAAAAAACCTACTTTTTTTTGTAAAAAAAAAAAAAAAAAAAAAAAACGTAACTGAAGGAATGAAGTTCATCAGTTCTCAACTTCTCCAAATAATTCAAAGTTAATTAGTGCCTTAAAATATAATAAAATAATAGGTACTTTAAGAGGCTGAAAATGGTAAAGTACTTCCCAAATACTGATTCGGGGAAAGAATCAAGGAGTCATTAAAAAAAATCAACATATAGTCTGAGGGCTGTGTAAAGAAAGAGAGAGGGAAGTCCTCAACTTCGAGTTCAGCTAGCCAGTCCCCTTATGCCAATGATTATGTGACTGTGAAAGCCCCCCGCTTTTTTTTTTCACTACAAGACACTTGCTTTCTTCTATTAACTCCTGCTTCTCCCTGACTCCCAGCAGAAGGTGCCAGTGATAACTTAAACTCTGCAAACGAGCAACTTAAGGGCAATTATTTTGTTTGCTATACTCTAGGGCAATGGTTCTCAAAGTGTAGTCCCCAGACCAGCCCCATCCACATCAACCTGGGAACTTGTTAGAAATGCAAATTCTTAGACTCCACCCAAGACCTACTGAACGGGATACTCTAGGGGGTGAGGCCCAGCATGCTCTTTTACCATGTTCTCCAGGAGACTCTGATGCATGCTAAAATTGGAGAATCATTGTTCTTGATTCTTAGATGTGTGAAGTGCTTGAGGACCCAAGCTCAGGCTTTGATTCTCAAGGGACCTCAAAAACCCTTTGAATTGGCAGTGTGATCTTCAATCTCCCAAAGAAGTATTTCCCAGAGAAATACGGTCTTGGTTTTCTGTAACAAACTTTCAAGTGTAGACAGGTAAGATTTTTTGAGTGCAATAACCAGATACATGTACTGTGGTAAGTACTTATCCCATTGTAGTATCAATAGTCAATACATGGCTGGACGTGGTGGCTCACACCTGTAATCCTAGCACTTTGGGAGGCTGAGGCTGGCGGATCACCTGAGGTCAGGAGTTCAAGACCAGCCTGTCCAACACGGTGAAACCCCATCTCTACTAAAATACAAAAATTAGCCGGGCATGATGGCAAGTGCCTGTAATCCCAGCTACTCAGGAGGCTGAGATGGGGGAATCGTTTGAACCTGGGAGATGGTGATCGCAGTGAGCCGAGATCACACCACTGCACTCCATCCTGGGTGGCTGAGCGAGATCCCATCTCAATAAAAAAAAAAAAAAAACAATGTTTCCCAAATAAAGAAACTTAAACTTAGAATAAGTTATTTGACGTGGGTCATAAGTAAGTGACGAAGCCAGAATTCAAAGCCATTCAATCTGACTCTACTGTACTGCTTGATTTGCTTGTCCTGTGAAAAGAACCTGTGTAAAACACATCTCTAGGCTGAAAATTTCTGCTTAGACTTTTTATTAAGAAGACCTAGACTTAGGACCCTTTCTTGCACCTTGGGCTTTTTGAATTCTCTGCAAAACTTAGTGTTTGGTTGAGTTTCTTCATGAGTATACTTGCTGTGATTACCTTGATTTACTTCTCGGGTCTATTGCTTGTTTGTTTGTTAAGGTACCATTACCTGCCTTCTAGTACTGGTCTTGTGATGTCATGGAAATAACATAGTAGATAAAAAGATATGTATATATGATATTGCATTTTGTTCCTTGGTAGTTGTTACTGAATTATAACAATAATTTTGTTTACAAATAAAGGTAATTAGAAAACTGTTAATTATATTTCAGACAAAACATCCGTTCAGTGGTACTCAAATTCAAAATAAAAACAACATAATTTATAAATGAAAAGGTAATAGTATACAACTGATCATGTTGAAATGATGTTATAAAAATAATTTTCTTAGAATTTTTTCTTCTTTAAGATATGCAATTATTATAAAATTATGTGTCTTGTATTAAAAACAAAAAAGGAAATGTTTCGTGCACACATGGTCCTAGTAAAATCCCAACCCTTTAGGTACTTATTTGGTCCTTTACACAAGGAAGCAATCAACACTATCACACTATCATCGTACATTAGCATTGTTAAGTCTACCCAGCCTTTGCTTACGAGATATGGTTCTGCCACATTCATGGTAAACACCATTAAATATATATATATATATATATATATATATATATATATATATATAAATTTAAAATTTTTTTTTTGAGTCGGAGTTTTGCTTTAGCTGCCCAGGCTGGAGTGCAATGGCGCGATCTCGGCTCACCACAACCTCTGCCTCCCGGGTTCAAGCAATTCTCCTGCCTCAGCCTCCCGAGTAGTTGGGATTACAGGCATGTACCACCACGCCTGGCTAATTTTGCAGTTTTAGTAGAGATGGGGTTTCTCCATGTTGGTCAGGCTTGTCTCAAATTCCCGACTTCAGGTGATCTGCCTGCCTCAGCCTCCCAAAGTGCTGGGATTATAGGTGTGAGCCACCATGCCCGGCAAGAAATTTTTTAAAGTACTAAACTAGGTTTATTTCTAAACATGTCTACTTGTTTTGATAAAATATTAAGGTCTAGTTATAACTAGCACTAACTACTTCAAAATAGCTTATAGTTTAAATATTTAAGAATTGACATGTCATATACCTTCCATATAGAAAGTGTTCATTTTAAACATTTAAACATTTTAAACATGGATATTCAATGTCAAAATGTACATATTAATAAAACTATATAGTACTCTGTGAAAAACTATCAGCATTGAAAGATTTGCACCTGGTTAGAGGAAGGGATAGCTAACCTTGACTTTTACTAAAACTGTACATGTCTTTTGAAAAAAAAAATCCCAAGAAGCAATTAAAAAATGCTTCATATTGAAAGAGCTAATAGATTAGCAACCCCAAAAGGATTAGAGAACACAAATGCAATATAATAAAAATATCATTTGATATAAGAATGCATAAACTCTCCACTGTGCCAGTTAGATGAAGTAGGAAATACTCAGCTGCCTTACTTGGGACAAACTCAAAAGTTGGATTAGGTCTTCGAAATGAGCAGATGACCTATGAATAAGAGGATTCAGTAGGCTTCTCTAATATTATACCATTACCCCTACTTCTCATGTAACAAAAATCACTCGATTTGGGAAGACTATAGGTGAAAGGGAAATTTGACACTTGCAGATATTTAGTTTTAGTTTGTTTTGTAATGCATTACCCATAGCAAATTTACCTCTATCTTTAGGAATAAAGATGACATCTGTCATGAAGCTTCTTACATTTTTTGTTTGCTGCTTCCAGTGTCATATATCTGACATGTGATAACCTCCCTCTATTAACTCTAATGTTAGGGAGAAGGTTTTATTCACTTTGGCTATCTACATGGCTATTCTTAACCTAGAATTATAGTGTCTGTTTCTGACACTGAACACACATTTTAAGAATTATCTTTTTAAATTATCTTTCTTATGTATACTTAGGCATCAGAAAATTAATTTTTGTTTTGTTTTGTTTTTGAGACAGGGTCTTACTGTGTTGCCCAGGCTGGAGTACGGTGGTGCGATTATGGCTTACTGCAGCCTCAACCTCCTAGGCTCAATCTATCCTCCTGCCTCAACTGCCCAAGTAGCTGGGACTATAGGTGCATGTCACCACACTCAACTAATTTTTTAAACTATTTTTTAGAGACAGGGTCTTGCTATGTTGCCCGGGTTGAGAAAATTAAAATATAAAAATTCAAGTGGACTCGTTTTATGTGGATACCTTATTGCCTGCCGCAATGCATTAATAATATTTTATATCACACTAACTTTTTTTATGGCTAAAGATTAAATCCTGAAGCATTTTTTTGCAATCATCTTTGCTAGAGTTTAAAAAATAGTGTTGACAAAGATGTTGTCTTAGTTGCTACTGACAGCTGTTAAAATGTTGCTAAAAATATAGTGCCAACTACTGAAAAGCTAACTGCTCCTGTGAAGTCCTAATGAGAAATTCTAAATGAGTGTTTCATCAAGTTCAACAGAGACTTACATTTCCCACACCTGACCCATTGGATTGTCTCACTTTTTTTGCGGTTGTTACTGTACATAATATTGCAGAAACAGCTTCAAGGCATAATTTTAATGAGCACACAAATCATGCAATTATTTATGTAAGATTAGCACAGTTATTTAAAGGTGATGAATTTCTTGTACTAAACCAAGAATATATGAAAAAAAGAGGAGAAATTGAAAATGTCTTTATTTTTATTAAAATATACTGCTCTAAGTTCCTCCCCTTTTTCAACTACTGTACATTATTTCTAAATTTAGAACATCAGTGTAGGCACGGTGAAATCTGATTTGCTTCTAATAATATGGCATACTAATTGTGATGCATGTGCTGTTTGGTGCTCTGTCATCTCAAAATCTGGCCATAAAAATGTATTAAGTTTGCATATTTTCTATTTAAAATGACTACAGATGGAATTAAGGTAGCCAGATGAATAAATAATAAGGTAAACAAATACAGAAATTAATGAATAACCAAAGCTAATACAAATATTCCAAGTAGTCTAGAAAATTGAGTTTGGGCTATTTTGGATATTAACAAAAACCCTGATATGTTTTGTATTTATCTTCTGGTCTACAATTTCTTATTTACTTGCAGTGTTTATAAACTGTAACATGTGTGCTTTGCAATAAACAAAGAAGAAGTTTTATCTTATATTATTCCTCTATTCATCTTCTCTCTCCAACACCCCCCTCCTTTCTCTTTCTGACTCTCCCTGTCTTTCTCAACTCTTTCCAACAGCTGGTAAGAGACTGAAAAAAAAAAAAAATCCCAGCTTTTTAGAAAGAAATAAAAAAAAATGCCAGCATGGCTAGGCTTATTAATGAAGTTAACTAGGACCAAATGCTTAGCCTTTAACTTTTAAAAATTATTGAATATGATTAAATTATATGATACCTATTGGTCTTTACTTTCTTGTCAGTAAATAGATAATGGAGAAGTACATAATACATTTCAACATATACATGTTCAATTTTTTTTTTGGCTTATAATTTTACAGCTTAACTCCATGGCTTTCCCCCCACCCCTCAGTGTCAGCTGTTGAAGGAATGGATTCGGAGCAGAGAACTAAGGGGTGGTTCTGCTAAAGCTGAAATAGAGAGCTAGGGAGGATTTTTTTCCAACACAAACTTAGATGATATTAGGCTTTGTATCTGAAGTTACATAATAGAGGATGTGATGTCACACATGTAAATTGCAAACGCTGAGTCGTGCACTTTAGTGGCAAACCTCAGGGAGTTTGACATTAATGGGATGGGGGGGAGGGAGGTGTCCTGAGGTTCAGCGACTGTGAATAGAGGGAGAGCAATTGTCAAAAGGGAGATGTCTGATGCTGCTTCAAGCTTTCAGCTATTTGGCAGCTACATAGGAGACGAAGTTAACGTCCTTTTCCGTACGATAATTCTCCCTTTTATTTTTCTTGAAAAAATTTCTATCCTTTTGCAAGGAAAAAATACACTTACATAAAAAGACGAAAGCAACAAACTTTGTTAAGGGACATCTCAGAAAACAACTAAATATTGACATTTACTAGGCACACATATTTCTGAGTTGATCGGGCTCTCTATGAATGGGCATTGGAATGAAGAGTATTCCTAAGCTTCTAAAAACCCATCTTCTTTGAAGAGATCCCTCTGAGGCATCACTTGTGGGGTGATTCCAAGCAAAACCAGTGCCACCTTCTCTTCAGATGAGGGAGACTCAGATCTTATCCCAAAGTTGTTCACTTTTCAGGGTGTCACAGGACCACCTTTTGTCTCTCAGCAGAGGAAAATATAAAAGTGGTTTACCCAGGGGAAACTTAATCATTCAAATATTTGGGCAAATGTTTAAAGACTCAGATACCAAAAAACAAATAAAGCTTTGCCTATTAATAATTGCAAGATCCCCTAACATCTCTCCCAAGGGGTAAGATAAGCTGATACTGTAAATAAGGGCAAATGGACTCCCCACAAGCTATTTTGTGAAAAAGTTTCAAAAGAATATCCATATCTGCTTAAAAATTCAATCTTAGCTTTGTAATACCAAACTGTTTTAAAAGCAGGGAAGATGAAAATTTGAGAACAGTTTGTGTGTGTGTGTGTATGTGTGTGTGTGTGTGTGTATGTATAAAATGGACAAAAGAAACACAGGAAGAAACCTTATAAATTTCTAAAATGTTGCAGTTATAATAACCCCACTGTACACCCTAATTTGATCAAATTGTCCTTAATTGAAATCATTGATTAAAATAGTGGTGGGAGTACCTAGCTTAAGAATTGTTATAGAAAATCATTTTGTAAAGGAGGAAACAATAATCAATGCCCAATTTGTAAGTTTTGGAAACAATTTACATTATATAGGTTACCTTAAGTGGGGGGGTTCTTTTTATCCAACATTGTGTTATGAAAAATTTCAAACACACAAAAAAGCTGAAGGAACTTTACAGTGAACACCTGTATACTTAGCACTTATATTCTACTATTAATATTGCATTATCAACATGTTTTATCACATATCTATCCATCCTTCTGTCCATTTTATCAATCCACCAATGTTGCTGCATTTTATTTTTGATGCACGCACTTCCAAATTAGTTTGCAGACATCAGTACACTTCCAAATGGTTCTTTTTAAAACTCACTGAATGTTATTTTTCAAAATATCTGATACGTAAATATTTTCTTGATCACCATCTTAAGATATACCTTAAGAATGCAGTAAATATGAACCTAGAAGCCTTTCCTACAAATAAGAAAAGCCAAAAGGTTGTTTTACTAGAGGCCAAATTGTTACCTTGAGCCAGCTAAGAACCGAGTCGTGCCAAAACTGTGTAGGTGATGGAGGCAATGGGAAGCTCGCTGTCAGGACAGTGGGAATGTGGAAGGAGAAAGGCAGTGATTGTTTTAACAGGGCACCTCGGTGTTTAACACGGGTCTATGTGGGAAGGGATTAGCAACTTTCACAGCTATTTAGGAATAAAACGGGAAAGAACCCAAAGAAGGGCGGGGGTGGAAGGGGGCAATAGAGCCTGCAGAAAAAGGAGTGTTAAGCCAGAAAAGGGGTGTGTGTGTGGTCAGTTGGTGGGGTTTAACTGAGTCAAAAGGGACCACAGCAGGGGAGCCGGTTAACTGGTAGTGACACTCACACTTCTCCCCCCTCCCAAACCCCCAATCTTCCATCTAAGGGTGTGTGTAACGGTGCGGGGGAAGAGTCTGGGGCAGAAGCGTACCTCGCACACGCGCGTGAACACGCGCGCACACACATGCACACGCATACATATCTCCTGACGTGGTGATCTCCGTGGCCGGGGTGGGGGCGTGGGACTCCGGGGAGGCTCCGCAGAGGGGCAGCGGGCGCGGGAGAATCCCGGGATCCGGGTTCACCCATCCATCCTCTGTCCCCTGCCGCGTGCCCGCGCGCCGCCGGCCGCCCGCCTGCCGGGCCCAGTCGCCCCCCTTTCACTTTCGCGTCTGCGTAGGTGTCTGCCCGAGCGGGCACGAGGGCGCGGGGGCGCGCCAGGAGACGCGGGGGCGCGCGGCGCGCCGCGAGCGGAGGAGGAGGGGTCCCGGCTCTCGGCCCCTTCCTCGGCTTGCCCCGCCGAGCCGCCTCCGCGGGCGTCTGAGCCGCCGTCAGAGCGAGGGGACCGGTCGCGACCGCAGCGCCCCAGCCAGCTCCCCGCACGCCTCCGCGCACAGACGCCCGCTCCCTCCTCGGCGCCCCCCCACGGCGGGGGTGGGGCAGAGGCGCGGCGAGCCCGAGAGGGGCGGGGAGAGGAGCAGCCTGGCGGGGTGGGCAGCCGAGGAGCAGGAAAAGAAAACTTTTCCCTCCCGCCCCCCGCGCGAGGTCCCCAGCCCTCGCCTCCCCCCGCAGGTGGGAACTGCACCTGAAGCCGGGCGCGAGGTCAGGGCCGGACTTTGGAGGGCTGCGGGCAGGGCTGAAGGGGGTGCGTGCATTTGGGCTCAGTTTTCCTTTGGCCTCCAGGTTGTCAGTGGCCGTAGTGGGAGGGCGGCTGCCGGCGCCCCTGCCCGTTTCCCACCCGCGGGTGGCCGGACGCGGTGCCGCCTCCTCCCGCTCGTGAGGGCGTGACCCGGGGAGGGGGGCGCAGGCTCCCCCTGCGACCGCCCCCTCACACACGCGCTCGGCCGCCGGAGCTGTCACCGGCCACCCAGGGCCCGGGGAGGGGGCGCGGAGAGTGGCGCTGCGGAGCGGCGGGCGCGGGATCCTCCTGCCGGACTTCCCGGCTCCCAGGGACGCCGCTGTCAACGCCGAGCGGACGCGCAGCCCCGGGAGAGGGGCCCGCCAGAGGCCCGGCCGCCGCCGCTGGGGGCGGGCGGGTGCCCGCGTCCCCCTCTGCGCGATTTGGCGCCGCTGCCTCGCCGCCTCTTGTAGGGTAACAGCACTATTGCTCTACCCACCGTCAGCAGGGCGACTGCCACTGCCGGGATTATCATCCTCTCCATCCTCACCGCCGATCAGCCAATATTGGACTTGCTGGTGGCGGCGGCAGCAGCGGCGGCGGGAGTCTAGCCGTTCCCCTTCCCCCGCCCCAGCCTCCCCACCATGTCCTAGAAAAGGTGAGTGCAGCGACAGTCACTTTGCGCTGACAGCGGCGAGAGGGGGTCCGGAGAGCGCAGGGGCGGCCCCGGGCAAGGCAGGTTGCGCGCCCAGGGCAGAGGGCGCGGGTTGGCGAGCGGAGGTGGGATGCGGGCAGGAGACGAGTTGCCCGCTGGCGGCCCTGGGGCAAGGGTGCTGGGTGGCGGGCGAGTGATCGCGGCGGCTGCCCCTGCACGGTTCTAACCTAGATTTTGCAAGAAGCTGAGATCCAGGGCAAGACCGGCCCTCCTCAAAGGAGATAAAAACTTAGTAAAAGAGACACGTCCATTCCTTTAATAATGAATAATTCGGCAACGCTTGCGGAGCCGCCGCCGCCTCGCGTGCCCAGGCTCTAGGTCCGGGACTCCCCTTGCTCCCGCCCGCCGCCCGCGCTCTGCCGACGTGAGATCGATGCCCAGTTCGCTGGGCCGGGAGAGTGCGCGTGACGGTGGGCCCCGCGGGAAAGTTGGGACGCTCGGCGGGGACTCCTGGCTGCGGGGACGCCGGGGGCAGCTCCAAGCTGGGGACCGAGGGGCATTAGAGTCTGGGGTCAGGACCAGCTCGCGGCGCTGCCGCTGTCGCCCCTATCTCCAGGGAGTTCCTGACTGGAGCGGCTGAGAGTTCAAGTCTCAGCCCTGGGTTAGGGGTCCGGAATCCCGGAGCTTAACTAACTGTTAAGGAGAGGAGGGGCCTTTGGGCACAGGGTGTCCCCCGGTCCCCCGCCTCGGGCTTTGGCGGGCGCGAAGCGAGGGTGAGGCGGGAGGCCGCACAGCTGCCGCCGCCGGGCTGCGGGTCGCCGAGGGCCGGGGGACCAGATTTAGGTGTATACGTCACTGATGCTGACTCCGGGCCAGCGGGGAGCCTAAAACGGGGCCTTACATGAGAAGCCTAAAAGTCCTTAGAAATCAAAGTTAGGAACCCCATCCTTTTGCTTAGTAACTGCAGCATTTGGGTGGGCGGGAGGAGAATCGAGGAGGGGGCGGTTGGAGGGAAACCGAAATTTCTTCATGCAGACAACCGATCCTTAGAAAACAGTTTGGTTCCTTCCCCCCTCCTGTCTGTTTCTCCCACTTATGTGACCCACCCCCTCCACCCATTATAACGTGAATATCCTCGATGGTAAGCTTGCTTTCAAATTGAACTAGTGGAAAAATCCAATACTAAAGTAGTAAGTACAGTGACAAAATTATAAGGAAGTAGAGGAGCAGCTCTTGACCCTGCCACTTCTTTCATTTATCTTTCTCTCTCTCTCTTTTTTTTTTTTTTTTTTTTTTTTTTTTTTTTGGTGTTAGGGGTCTAAGGGATGGGAGGAAAGCTGTGTTTAAAGGGTTTTTCCAGCACGGTTAAAACAACTAAATTCAAATCGAGTGAACGTGATCGTCTTGCTCGCTGGCAGCGAAGGCTGCTGCTGCTCTGCTGAGAGGTAACTCTGGAGACAGTGGAAAGGGGCTGGGAGAGGAACCTCGAGGGTCGGGTGAAGCCCACCCAGAGTCCTCCCCGCGCGCGGACGCTGTTGGGCGGCGCCAGGGTCTGGGCTGCAGCTCACCTGGAGCTGCAGGTGGAGAGCGTGAGGGGACGACACTTTGCTCGCGGAAAAACCGACTTCTTCCGCGTCAGCACACTTTTCACATCTCTCCAGATATCCTGGGGTCGGTCAGAAGGAGAGCAGGGTGGACGTAAGCAAGTTTGGGGCGGCCGAGCGATGGGGGTGGGGGCAGCGTGCGGAGGCCGCCTGATGTAGCCACCGCCCGGCACCCCAAGCTCCCGCCGCGGCTGCGGCTTTAAGGAAGCTGCCGAGTCCAGGCTGTGTCGCAGCAACTTTGTATCAGTCATGTCGCCCGCCTGGTGACTGACAGCCTGGATTGTCCAATAAGAAGCCCGCCTGACCCGTGCGGCGTGGAGCCTTGCTTCTCTTCGGGCCAATAGGAAGGGTTCAGGGGGGCGGGATAGCAACCTGAACTTTATCTGGACATGTGACCCGCTTTTAAAAGGGCCAGCCCTCCAGCTGGCCCACTCCCCCTCCGGGCTTTCGCCCGCCCTCTCTCCCTCCCTTTTTTGCCCGCCCTGGCCCTGCCCCTGCCCCTGCCCCCTCCTCTCAGCCCCTCCGCGCCCGGGGTGTCATTGGGCCCGGGAGACGGGAGCCAACTTCAGGCTGCTCAGAGGAAGCCCGTGCAGTCAGTCACCTGGGTGCAAGAGCGTTGCTGCCTCGGGCTCTCCCGCTGCAGGGAGAGCGGCACTCGCTGGCCTGGATGTGGTTGGATTTAGGGGGGCTCCGCAGCAGGGGTTTCGTGGCGGTGGCAAGCGCTGCAACAGGTAGACGGCGAGAGACGGACCCCGGCCGAGGCAGGTGTGTAGGGGCGCGCGGCGGGGCACCGCTTGCCGTGCTCGGCGTGCGGCCGCGGCGCGGGAGCGTGCACTTTGCAGGGAGAAGTGGCTGCGTAATCCGGAGGCACAGTCAGTATGGTGCTGTGTGCTTGTTGTTTTGTTTTGGTTTTCCACTTTTCTCCCCCTTTGGCCGCCAGAGGACTATTTTGGGAAAGTTTGGCCACTTTGGATAAATGCCCTCTAACTAGCAGCTTTTAACTGCCTTTGGCAGTGGGAGGTCTACCACCCTTCCCTTTACCCAAAGATGAATTTCGGATCATTTTCCCTGTACAATTTTTAAAGGACGTTTGAATAATATTTCTTTCCTTTATCAATTGCGGACGCTCCCAAATCTCAGCCGGAGGTGTAGCGCATAAGGGCAGTTGAAGGAGATATAGATCCTAATAGATCCTGTATAAAAGGGGCTCTGGAAATTCGTGCATTTCCCGTTCGCTAGCATTCGCGAAACTCTTGAGACAGGCTACGCTTCCTATGGCATCAGTTGGAATTTTAAGGGCAAGGGAGAAGGGGACGAAGCTTCTTTTGGTGGCATCCTTACTCTGCTACTGAATTTTAGGTGCGTGGCTTTGCCTACTCAATTTAAAAAGACCAGGTTTAAATAATAATGGTTTATGGCACCATCAGTTTTAATTATTTATTATGACATAGGAGTTAGGAAAACTTTTGATAGCAGACGAGCTTTTGAAACCGCCGAATTTTAAAGGCACCAAATTGCTTCCTAACATTTTGTATTGCCATTTCTCTAGGTGCTGTTATTGATGATATTTACATAGTAATGATAACAGCATTCTCCATCTGTGAAGTCCTGCTGTGAAGTTTAAATTTTATGTTTGACATCGTGGCAGCTATCATGGAAAAGCTTGAGAGGAGAAGTTTTAAAAAATAATTTAAAGTGGAGCTTTTTCCTTTAAGGGAGGCATAGTTTTGTTTGGCGATTTTTGGAAAGATCAGGTGGCTCGGTAAATTAGGTGAGTGAATAGAAATCAGGTGTGCTCAGTTCTAACTGGTTCTCCCGCTCTCTCAGGTGACCTTGGGCAGATTTCTATCATTTACCTCATCTATAAAAGAGAGGAACATAATAGTTATGTAGTGGGGAATGACAAAAAATAGTTACATATAGTGAACTTTTACAACTATGCAGTCTATAGATGATTGTGAGATTCTTAAGCTTTAGTCTTTAAAGTGCCATCTTATAGTCAAATAAATATAAAAAAGATGCCTTTTCTATCATTTCCATCATGATGAGATTGGGTTTTGGGGGTTACTAAAAGTGAAAGTGTTTCCAGATAAAATACAAATTCGCAAGGATCTTTGTTAATATTCCCGAAAAAAGTACTTCTTTATGGAAAAGGGCAATTTAACACAGACTGTAAAACGTAAAACTTTAAGGTTTTCCTTTGTGAAAACAGCATTTCTTTTGTGTTTGAGAGCATATGTATGGCTTAAAGTAGCACCTCCACCAGTGCTTTTCCTTTAGTGAATTTTTTTTTGTGTTTTGGGGCGAGGCCCATTTGCATGAAAATTAAAAGTTCATAATGTTTTTTGCATTTGTCCTAAGAGAATCTTTGGTATGGTTTCCATTGTGAGGCAGGCAAGCCTGATTTTTGTTAGTTAGATTTGTATACCTCTATCTGCTTCATTTTATACTTTAGTAACATAAACTTTTTCTTTATCCTCTAGATATTAAGTTCTATGAGGATCATATTCATCGACTAGTATTTTCAGTATTCACTAGTTAGTACAGGTTGACTGAAATTCTGCTCAAGCCATGGTCATTGTGCCAGTTGCAAAAAGATAACCTCTGCTTCCTGGATGACATAGTAAATAAATTCCTAACTGGACCCATTTGTTTACAGAAAAGACTAATTAAAATACTAGGGAGACTCAAAATATTTCAATAATGCTATTTGAAAAATATCTGATCTTAAAAAAATGTTTGTGTAGAAGCCGTGCAGATGCTAGATGTCTTGTATTCTTTTGTGTTTGACTATTGCCAATCTGTATTGTTTCCTTTGTTGAGAGGTGCATTAGGTTGGTAGATGAGAATACCTTAAACAAAGTAATTTAGATTTCAGCAAAGCCTTTTGCAAATTCCTTAATGAGACTCCTGTCAATAATGTGGTGAAACACAGCCTATTTTATGTTATTAAGGGAGTTCAAGGTTAGCCAAACAGGACTTGGAAAGTTGTGATCAGCTGTATGATGTTAGCTGGTAAGGTGCTACCTTGTCCAGGGCTTTAAGACTGTCTTTGGTACCCATCATCTCCAGTATAGATTCTCTTCAGGTCTTCCGTAGCCTCACAAATGTGGGATATGGTTCTTGCTTTAGGGCAGAGTGCCGAAAAGTGCAGAATCTTAGTAGATGTTCTTTGAGAAAAAGGTGGAGTGGTCAAATTATTTGAGGAATGCTGGATTAAAAAGTAAACAGAATCTCCCAGAGGTTTTGATATGCAAATTTATATAGGGAAATTTCAAAAAAGCCAAGAGTGGACCGCCCTTCCCAAAAGACAATTTGGAGAATGGGTTTTGGAGAGGGGTCTGGGTGGGGGTCCCCTTCAGACACGGGACAGAGAGCCCTCTTGACTATGACCAGGAAGAGAATGAGGCTATGTGAGTGACGCAGAGTGTGCCAGTGAAGGCCTTCAGGTAAAGCTGTTGAGACAAGAGTAACTTCCAGGCATCTGGTTAGATGGTGGTGCAGTTTGCCAAGAGAGCGAATGTGAATTTGGGGGTGTGTGGGGGGAGAGATGTGCAGAAAGTGTTCAGTTTTGAATACAAATAGACATATTTATTGTGTTGTTTAATGGATTTGGATCTGAACCATTTATACCTTAGCTATATAGTAATTTATCTTTAGTATGGGGAAGACAAAATATTCTTAGGTAGAAATAGAAGCAGCATATAATATTTACTGCTATTTTTCAATACATAGCTATGACTAAATGGTTTTTTAGTAAAGCATAAAAGGCCAGTCTTAGCTATTTGGATCCCAATTCACTGTTTTTTAGTTTAGTTTTCTATCAGCTTTTACTTGGCTTTCATCCACACCAAACATTTTGGCTGGAATTACTATTAATAGATAACTACCTCAACCTTTGTAATTTTATTTATTTTCTACTGTTTTGTGATTGATTTTTGATTAGGAATTCATAGGATGTTCTTTAAGTGAAAACATACTACATAATTGGTAGATTTTAATGTTTGGAAATTGAGCATTGATATTATAATAGTTGAAAATTTTTTCAATGTATCCACTTGGGATACTGTAGTGAAATTGATCATTTCTGCCCTTTGAGAAGGTAAACTCTAGTGTAAAAACACAGAAAAGTAAGAGGTAATTATAATACTTGGACAATTTGGACATTAAATTTCTTCATAGGGCTTTGTGCTATCTAATGCAAATTTATTTATGAGTCCAGCTAAGATTTATCTAATGCAAATTTATTTAGTAGCATTATTTTTCAATGTTAATACATATTCTGTAACAAAAGGACTTCGTGTTTTTTGTTTTTTTTTAAATGAAGGGAAGGTAGGCAGGGTGGAGATAGTGACAAAGAGGGGAAAGGATGAGAGGCCAAAAATAAAACTTGTGTATAGAATGGCAGAAACAGCATCTTTTAGATCAGGACTTTTTTTGGGCCATAGATTGTTTACAGACTTTGAAATGTTTGAAAAATGCATAATACAGATTTTAGGAGTTTTAAAATACTAAAATGTAAAAATAAAATTTTACTGTGAGTGAGTTAATTTCCTTTAAGATATGTTTCTTTACAGTGGTGGTTGTCAGCCAAGGGTGATTTTGCCCCCCATGGGCATTTGGTAATGTCTGGAGACATTTTCAGTTGTCACAACTGGGGAGGTGGAATGCTACTGGCATCTAGTGGGTAGGGGTTAGGGATACTGCTAAACGCCTTAGCAATGCATTATTGACCTCCACAACTAAGAATTATCAGGCCCAAAATGTCAATGTGCCAAGATTGAGAAACTGTATAGAGAGAGACTTGCGATCAAATTGCAGCTCCAACACTTGGTTGTGTGTCTGGTGCCTCAGTTTTCACACTTGTATTATTTGGATAATACTTTTATCAGTCATTCAGGGTTGTGTGTAAGGATAAATGAATTAATATATGCAAGAAGCTTGCAATACTGCATTAAATTATATGGGTAAGAATTATATCAATATAGCCTATTATGAAGATTCTGTCTGTGAAGTAAATTGATCTATAGAGCGCATGGATATGGTTATATATCTGAAACAACCTGGTGGGTTGCTTGAGGATGGGGATTGTGTCTCTTTTGTTTATCACTGCCTGTTCACTGACTGGTCTAAGGCCAAGGGTGTAGCAGGCACTTGGTAAATATTGTTGAATGAATGAATGAATGCTTAAATTTTCGGGGCTCCTCTCAAAAGTCACCATTTACCATTGAGAGTAAACATTTCTGGTTGTTGGCAGTCGTTCTAGCAGAGGTACCACTGGTACCATGCACAGGTCAGGGTGCATGTCAAAGTCCTTGCCAGTACTGAAATACAGAGAAGACACCAGTCATTCCTGAATTGTCATACAGCCCTTCTGAGATATGGACCATCTTTATCAGAATGTATAGATCTTTTCAGAACTGACATTAAATTATCTTCATCACTAATCTAAAGAGAGTCTTACTTTTAAAAAAATCAAAAATTATTTTTCCTATGATAATTCACTTGGTATGTTTATGTTTGGAAAGAGTAACTTTAATTACATTTCCATATTGTTTTTAACAAGGCCATGAATTAAATATGGAAGGCAGCTTCTATATGATCCAAAGACTCCAAAGGCATTGGAGTCAAAAGATTTAGATTTAAACCCAACTTTGTCACCATGTCTTTGACTTTGGGCAAGCCACCCACTTCACTAAGTCCTCAGTTACCTTTTTTTGCCTGCCTTAATAATTCCCAGGATTACTTTGAATATCTAATAAGTTAACATTTGTAAATATTTTTTGCAGACTCTAAAGACTGTATTATAGCAAACATGTTACTTTTATTTAGATCCAAAACAGTTTTATATGATCGCTTCTCTTGTTCTGACATCTCGACAAGCTGTAGTCAATACTCTGTTATGTCAGCATCCAAAAAGGTAACAGTTTTAAATTAGCTAGAAATGTTGCTCATAATAAGTAGAATATGTTTTGTGGCTTAGCAAATGCAATTTTAGAATGTCTTTTAGAGTAATATTGCTATAACTGACTCTAATTTTTTAATGTAAATTTATTTGTTAGCGATGGAGACCAAAGGCTACCACAGTCTCCCTGAAGGTCTAGATATGGAAAGACGGTGGGGTCAAGTTTCTCAGGCTGTGGAGCGTTCTTCCCTGGGACCTACAGAGAGGACCGATGAGAATAACTACATGGAGATTGTCAACGTAAGCTGTGTTTCCGGTGCTATTCCAAACAACAGTACTCAAGGAAGCAGCAAAGAAAAACAAGAACTACTCCCTTGCCTTCAGCAAGACAATAATCGGCCTGGGATTTTAACATCTGATATTAAAACTGAGCTGGAATCTAAGGAACTTTCAGCAACTGTAGCTGAGTCCATGGGTTTATATATGGATTCTGTAAGAGATGCTGACTATTCCTATGAGCAGCAGAACCAACAAGGAAGCATGAGTCCAGCTAAGATTTATCAGAATGTTGAACAGCTGGTGAAATTTTACAAAGGAAATGGCCATCGTCCTTCCACTCTAAGTTGTGTGAACACGCCCTTGAGATCATTTATGTCTGACTCTGGGAGCTCCGTGAATGGTGGCGTCATGCGCGCCGTTGTTAAAAGCCCTATCATGTGTCATGAGAAAAGCCCGTCTGTTTGCAGCCCTCTGAACATGACATCTTCGGTTTGCAGCCCTGCTGGAATCAACTCTGTGTCCTCCACCACAGCCAGCTTTGGCAGTTTTCCAGTGCACAGCCCAATCACCCAGGGAACTCCTCTGACATGCTCCCCTAATGTTGAAAATCGAGGCTCCAGGTCGCACAGCCCTGCACATGCTAGCAATGTGGGCTCTCCTCTCTCAAGTCCGTTAAGTAGCATGAAATCCTCAATTTCCAGCCCTCCAAGTCACTGCAGTGTAAAATCTCCAGTCTCCAGTCCCAATAATGTCACTCTGAGATCCTCTGTGTCTAGCCCTGCAAATATTAACAACTCAAGGTGCTCTGTTTCCAGCCCTTCGAACACTAATAACAGATCCACGCTTTCCAGTCCGGCAGCCAGTACTGTGGGATCTATCTGTAGCCCTGTAAACAATGCCTTCAGCTACACTGCTTCTGGCACCTCTGCTGGATCCAGTACATTGCGGGATGTGGTTCCCAGTCCAGACACGCAGGAGAAAGGTGCTCAAGAGGTCCCTTTTCCTAAGACTGAGGAAGTAGAGAGTGCCATCTCAAATGGTGTGACTGGCCAGCTTAATATTGTCCAGTACATAAAACCAGAACCAGATGGAGCTTTTAGCAGCTCATGTCTAGGAGGAAATAGCAAAATAAATTCGGATTCTTCATTCTCAGTACCAATAAAGCAAGAATCAACCAAGCATTCATGTTCAGGCACCTCTTTTAAAGGGAATCCAACAGTAAACCCGTTTCCATTTATGGATGGCTCGTATTTTTCCTTTATGGATGATAAAGACTATTATTCCCTATCAGGAATTTTAGGACCACCTGTGCCCGGCTTTGATGGTAACTGTGAAGGCAGCGGATTCCCAGTGGGTATTAAACAAGAACCAGATGATGGGAGCTATTACCCAGAGGCCAGCATCCCTTCCTCTGCTATTGTTGGGGTGAATTCAGGTGGACAGTCCTTCCACTACAGGATTGGTGCTCAAGGTACAATATCTTTATCACGATCGGCTAGAGACCAATCTTTCCAACACCTGAGTTCCTTTCCTCCTGTCAATACTTTAGTGGAGTCATGGAAATCACACGGCGACCTGTCGTCTAGAAGAAGTGATGGGTATCCGGTCTTAGAATACATTCCAGAAAATGTATCAAGGTAAGTTGGTTTTCTCCATTTTTTTGGAAGTCATGGCTTTATACATGTTGAAGGTTAGCATTATCTTTACAGTTGATAAATTTAAACACATTTCAGATTACTGTTTTAAGGATGGTCATATGTTGCTCCACTTTGCATGTTGATATAATGTTATTTTTTTGAAGTAGAGGGAAAAAGCATTCTTAAAATGTCTTAGAAAATATCTGCATTGATTTTGAAGGGGCATATGTAGGTGTCCCGCACTCCCCATTTCCTGTTTTAGGTGTTCGGAAAATTTATGTTTTACTGCCAGTTACTATTGTAAATACAGTAATTTAGCAGACCAGTACTAGATTTTTTTTCCTTTAGCTGTTTGCCGGTTTACTAAAATTGCTTTAAGTTAGTTTATTTGTGGTCTTAGTCCTTTTTTTTATTATGGCTTTCTTTATTAATCATCACTTCATCGGTTGTGAAAGCTAAAATTGAATCCTGTATCTGTTACCCACAGGCTTCCCTCCCTTCTGCCCTTTTCTAAGTAGGTTAATTATATGAAAGTTGTGGTTTTTCAATACAAATAAATCATTTCCTTAACTGTTGAGAGCTTTTAAAGACTCAGCATATCTAAAATTACTAAGTGGACAATCTTGCTTTCTTACTTATATTGGAAGTGAAATATGTCACTGCAGTTTTGAATTGGTATATTTATAACTTTTCAGATCTGCAAGAAGACATATTTTATTTACTGTAAAATATCTCTTGGCTTTCCTTGTTGCAGATAGCATGTTGTATATATTTAGAAAAAACAAGGAAGAGGTTTTAGATATGACTATAAAGGGTGGTTCTAAGTTATACAGTGAATACTTGGATTGGACTTTGCTTCAGTACTGTTTTTATTACATGGTTGTGATAAATTATTCCTTTATGGACTATATAAAGAATAGATTTCCTTAGTATAGTTCATTCCTTTGGCATCCAGAACTATGTGGATAGTTTCCTTTATTTCATTAAAAATTATTTTGTGGGGAATATGTCCATCCCATTAACAGGATATAGGGTTTACATGTATTGCTGTGGCTTTCTCTTATTCTATTTTTTTCCAAACCAAAAGCAAAAACTTTATGTATTCTTCTTATTGTCATTGCCTCAAACCTTGCTTTTCTTGCTTATGGAAGCAAACATTTCATAAAGGATACATTTTTATAGTTTCCCCACAGCATGAACTATTTAATCATATTCTGATGCTGTCTCTTAAATTATAAGTTCTAACACAAGTCATGAGATAGCATGGCTGCCATCAGAACCAAATTGAGCATGTGTTTTACTGCTAGTGCTTTGCTTTACTTTTAGAGAAGGACTTTTTTCATGTGTTGTGAATATTTTTGTAAATGATGTTTTTAGTGAGCTGGTATGAGGTAGTATAGCCTGGTAGTTAACAGCATAACTGGTTGAAATCCCAACTCTGCTACTTAATTGTTTAGTTTTCTCAACTGTATAAGGGGATTAAATAGTACCCATCTCAAAGGTAGTTAAGACAATTTAAATGAGATAATTTATGAGAAATACTTTGAATTCCTTCCAGTATGTTAGTATGCATTGTATATGTTTTGCTATTATGAAATTGTTTTATAATTTTTAGTTTTCATATTTTTAGTTTTCTTTTTCTTCATTGTATGAAATTCCACAGAATCTTATAAAGAAATACTTAAAATATTTAAGCACTTGTTAAAGTAAATATTTGATAATCTCTTATGATTAAACTCATATTTTAAAAATGATTATGCACTATACCTTTGTTATTACAGTTCTATTTATGCTTTTTTATTTTTGAAAACTATTGCTTTGAGTAATGATGTTTCTGGTAGAAATATTACAGATGCAGTAAGCTCAAATGATTGTCTCTTATGTTTGTTCTATATCCCTATTTCTACTATTTTAAATGTAGTTTTCATGCTCCACTCAAGAAGCCCTCCTGATGGTCCAATGACCCGTGCATAGCCTTAGACATGTTAGTATGAATTAGTGACCTTGAGCCTATCCTGCATTCATAGGCACAGGAAGCATTGTCTTGTGTCTCCTCTTGAGTATTCCAAAATTCCTTATGTATTTGTTAATACAGTCAACAGGGATTCATTCTGCTTATATACATACTAGTTTTGTGCCAGCTAAATTTCCTAAAAACTTTAAAGCTTTAACGTGATTTGATATCTCTTATAGATTAATGATTCTTTACAGCTTTTCTTGGTGAATACTATCCAAACCTATTTGTTTTGATGATTACCAGAGTAAAAGCTCAAGGATCAGAGGAAATTTAGTTGTTTTTCTAGAGTTCAGTCTACATGTTATAATATTTAATTTAACCTTGTCCAAGTATCATCCTTAGTCTCTTATTTTGAACAAAAAACCCAACCTTTTTGCCTATTTCTTAAAATATGATGATAACTCATTTCAGGGAATGTTGAATAGGTTAATGAATTAAATATCATAAAGGATCAAGGCAGTGTATACTGCTTCTAGGTTTAATAGTATCCTTCATCATTAGGTTGAACCTTGAACTGCAGTATTTTCTGGTAGATGTCAAATCATGGTTTGAGGGTTCCTGAGACCTTTTCAAGGAAGTTCACACAGTCAGAAATCA
This sequence comes from Homo sapiens, assembly GCF_000001405.40. Taxonomy (NCBI): domain Eukaryota; kingdom Metazoa; phylum Chordata; class Mammalia; order Primates; family Hominidae; genus Homo; species Homo sapiens. Next base: position 148,432,489 of record NC_000004.12, on the reverse strand, counting down.
TGCTTTGTTAAAATATCCACCCAAAATGGAACACAGATCAATGGATTTTGATATAATCTTGTATGAAAATTTCACTGATGTTGTTTCAGATTCCACATTGAAACTAACCTTTAAGGAACTATTCAGTGTTATTTTTCAGTATAGTATCAAAGATTCATATCTACAATTATCTGAAATGACCATTAAAATATTCTTCCCCTTTCCCAACAACATATCTATATGAGATGAGATTTTCTCTATGTACTTGAAGAAAAACATAGCACCACACGTAGCAATGAAAATCCAGCAGTCTTCTATTAAGTGTGACAGTAGTCTTGCAAAAATGTTAAACAGTGCCACTCTTCTCACTAAGGATTTTTGTTTGGGGAAATATTGTTTCATAAACAGTTTTCATATTGTTTATGTTAATATGCAATCACTTATTTTTAAATGATTTTAAAACATTTGTTTTAATTTTTAATTTAAACTAATTTAATATTAGTTTTAATTTTTAACTTAAATAATTTAATTTTAGTTTTAATTTCCAATACAGTAGCAATAACTGTAACTCACATAAACAAATGCTCTTTGGGATCCTTCATACTTTTTAAGAATGAAAAGGAGTTCTGAGATCCAGAAGCTGAGAACTGCTGGTCTGTTCTCTTCTATACACGCTTTGGAGGTTAATGAAGAAAGAAGACATTACATTATTTGTATTAGTGTTACTGAATATTATTTTGAGGAAGGAGTGTTCTATTCAAATAGGAAAAATGATTCTTGCTCAGGTTAATTTTTTAAACTGACAGAAATGAGTAATGGCTGTGAGGTGTGTGTTGTCTTTATTTCAGTCTGTGGGCATTCAGTGAGAGTGGTGACGAAAGTCATCTGTTAATAATTTCCAGTGAATGGATTGTCTGAGCACCAAATTGTAAAGTAAATTATGACAAAGCTAAATGTAAAGCCCTTAGAATGGACGCCGGACCTAGTTGTGTCAGGTGGATTAGAACTCCCCTGTCTGCTTGGACATCAACAAAACCGCTCTGAGCCTCAGTTTCTTCATTTTAAAGTGATTAAGTTGAACTAATCATTTTGCTGATCACTAATGTGCCCCAAGAGCTGCCAGTGTAATTTCCTTTGAAGAATCAAAATAGAGTATCCTTTAACATACTTGCTAATTTAGTTTCAAGTATTTTGTATACTCAAGTCTAGCTTCATGGTTTTCAGGGTAGTCTGGGGAGAAAAATATCATTTCCATTTACCATTTTAAAGTAAAAATGAGGAGGGGCGATCTATGATTTTACTTGAAAAGAGGAGCAGTTGTGTTTTTTTAAAACCAGATTTAAAGAAAAAATAAACTCTGAAACTTACTATGAATTCCTTGTTCTTCTTATTTATACAATTCCTCATGGAAACAGGGCATTTCTGTTGACATAACACTGGCTGTTTATGGCGATAGTCATAGTCACTTTGATAGCATCATAACACAGGGCTAACATTGACTTAGACTTTTAAATGTAAAGTTTACTATTTCAAAGGGCATATTCTGGTAGGTTACAAGAACAGTAATTAGGATTTATCTTAATATGTGCTGATTTTTTTTCACGATAGAATGAAACAGTTTAGTAAATAACCTATATTTATTCTTTTATTTTTCAATTGCCCCTGAAGTTTCCTTGAAACTCACATTATATGACAAACCAAACATCAGAATTCGGGGAGTTTGTGACAAAGTTTGCCCTTTTACTAAACTTTCAATATAAACAGTTGAGAAGGAAATATTTCCATGTAATGCAATGTCTGAAAGAATGGTAGGGTGTGTGTCTGAGAGAGAGAGAGTGTATTGGTGCTTACTCTAATACATAAATCCATTACAGCATTGCTTAGGTCATTTGGGAATGAAAACATGTAACTTTCTTTTACTTATTATTTGTCTCATAATATTTTGATTTTGAAATTGCTAATGTACCTAGAATTTCACCAGGTAAATATTTTAAATATTTTTGTAAATTATTTTAAAATGAGAGTTGTTTCTCCTGATATTCATTTTTCATTCGCTTATATTTCTGGGAAGAGTGGTGATAATAAAAAAATTAAGTGTTTTATAATACACAAATCACTATGTACAGTGTACTTTTGTGAGTTTCATTTTTAAACATCACAAATATCGTAGGTTTATATGTCAGTATGTCTGCCTCTTATCATCTAAAATATTGGTTTATTATTTACATCATACTTTAAAAATGATGCTGAGATAAAAGCCATGGTTTCAGTTAGATAACCTCAAATTATTCCACTTAATGCAATTTTCATACCGGTGACATACTACGGACTTAGACTTTTGAATGTAAAGTTCTTACTATGGAGATATTACTTATAGATTTGATATTCCATGTTGCCTTTTGCAATATTGAAATTCTAGGTGTGTCTGACCTTTTCTGTCCTTGGAATGTTACAGTAATAGCAGATGTTATATTGATCACCACTAATTTAGGAGCAACACTTTGCTTCTCTTCATACTTTGATGTCATTATGTTTTTCTGCAAAGTAGTACTTTTTTCTTCACTTTCAGCTGTTGCTTTAGTTTTGTACTGTTCATTTGCTGATAAAAATATACCCCCACTGCTAAATAATATATCATTTTGTTTCGTTTACTAAATTCAAATTGAGAGAAAAATATTAGCTTCTTGATTACATTTAAATATAGCCATTAACTTGGATATCTTTGATGACATTCCAACATTTATTAATGAAAACCGAGGAAAAATAAAAGCATGTTAAATGGATAGCGTCTTCATTTTAAACATTAGGGTCTCTGGTTTTAAACTTGTGAAGTATAGGATTTGTTTTTAGTTTTAAGAGTTTTATTTTGTTCCTTATATAGTAAGGTGGTGATGAAGTTAAAATGTAATTACATATAAGCACTTGTTAATTTATGCTCTAGAAACTTCTGGATTTATGATTGTTAGTGGTATGGCTAAGGCCAAAATTTTTATGTAGAAAAGTGGTGGAAATTGTTTGTATTTTGTGCTAGAAATAGAAAACTGTAGTTTAAGGAAGGAAACAGGACAAAAAAAAGTAATTTGAATGCTTAAAAAGTTAATACCTTAGGGAGGGAGTATGAGATAATAGCTGGCCATCTGGATTCATAACTGTGGCTATGACTTAATTTCATTTCTGATGAATACTTCATTGGTATGTAACGAATATTCACCTTATATATTAGGAGTTTTTGAGATAAATATATGAAAACTCTGATATGAAACTGAAATTTGGCTCGTAAGTGGCAAAATTGACTTTAGATATTCTGGCAGGGAGAGGTTATATGGGCAAGTCTTGGAAAATGGGGAGGTGGGGGATGATCAGAGTTGGTATTTACACTTAGCATTGAAAATCTTGCAGGGAGTGGGTAGTGGGTACTTACTGGAGGAGGGAGCTCTGTGAGCAAAATCCTGGAGATGGGGAGAAAACACTGAGTGTGGTTGAGCCGCGTGGTGGGCTGTGATGTCGGGGTTGGGGGTGAGAAAACCTGGAAGAGGCTAGTTGGAACTAGAAGGGAGTTGAATTTGAAATTTACACTAAGAAATTTGTACTTAACTTGGTAGGTAGTGAGTTGTTATGGAAATATTGGAGCAGGACATGGCAGGAGAGGAAGTGCACTTGGGGAAACCTTATTGGGCAGTGTGTTTGTAGGGTGGATAGGAGTATAAAGAGCCTTGTTAAGAAATTATTTCAGCTGTGTAGAAGGATGAGAGCTAGGCTTTCTGGAGTAAAGATGTTGGGGGTAATAGAAGGGGACAGGTTTGAGATATTACAGAAAAAGCCTATGTAAGCGTCTATCTTTTGTATAAAAATTGATTTTGAAATAATCACAAATTTACAAAAAAGAAAGTATATTATAGAGAACTCCTAGCATCAAGGACATTCACTTACATAATGAGAATATAACCATTAAAATCCAGAAATTAGTATGGGTAAGTTACTGGCATCTACTCTTTTGCTGTTTGTCCCAATAATGCCTTTTATAGCAAAAGGATCCAGTTCAGAATTATGTATTGTGCTTAGTTGTCATGTCTCTTTAGTCTGGGATAGTTCCTCAGTCTTTTCTAGATTTCATGACTTGATACTGCTTTTGAAAATTAAAGGGCAGTTATTTGGTAGAAAGTCTTTCCATTGGGTTTTCTGGTATGTTTCCTCATGATTAGATTCAACAGATGTACCTTTGGCAGGAATATCATGGTCTCCCCAACCTTAACATCAGCTTTTGTACCACTGTCTCCCGCTGGAATGGAATGATAATGTAACAGAAAGACAGAAGGGCAGGATTCTACTCCCAGCTCTGTTTTGTGCATTCTTCTCATTGCATCCTGTCAGGTGGCATGTGATTTCTGTTTGGGTTATTACTATACTTAGACCACTTGATTCAGGTGCTGTTTGCAGGGTTTCTCCATGATAAAGTTACTCTTTTCCTTTTGCTATTAGAATATATTTTGTGGAAGGTACTTTGAAACTGTGTAAGCACCCCATTCTTCATCAGACTTTGTTTATTCAGATATTTATGTATATCAGCATGGCGTCATTGTTTTTTGTTTTGTGAAGTGAGTTACGTACATACTGTTACTGTCCTAATTTTTGATGGTCAGAATATTCCTGATTAAGCCAATGGAAGCCCATTGAGAGTGGTTTCTGTGTCCCTTTGCCTTGTCCCTATCATTCCTTGAGCACATCCTTGCTTTAGGCCCATCTTGTACTTTTCCTGACCCAGATCTGGAATTGGCCATTTCTTCAAGGAGGGTTCCCATCCCTGAAGACACTTTTCCTCTTTCTGATTACAGTCTAATGCCACATTCTGGGTCATAGGGACACCCCCCCTTTCTATGGCTGCCCTCCTTATCCCACCGAGGCACAGACTCCCGTGCTGGGCTGTCCTCACCCTGCTGGGGTTCGGACACCCTCCACTAGACCACACAAACACACAGGTGCCCTCCTGTCTCTGCTTGACTCTGACCTTCCACATCAGGTTTCTGAGCCACCCTTGGGCTTGATAGACCCAACTATAAGCCACCACAGTTGGCCACCCCCTTTCTTCACTGTGGATACCTACTTTGCTGTGTCTTATGTAATGATTTTAGGACTAAATTGTTAAGGAAGAGGAAGGGGAGGAGTTGATATTTGAGTAGAAATAGTAAAGTATGTGGAAAATCGGCAAAAACATCATGTTATGAGCTTAACTCCCATGGATAATGGTGAGTAAGAGAAATGAAGAGATCAGCCAGGCACAGTGTAATCCCAGCCTTTTGGGTGGCCAAGGTAGGCACATCACTTGAGGCCAGGAGTTTGAGACCAGCCTGGCCAACATGGTGAAACCCCATCTCTACTAAAAATACAAAAATTAGCAGGGCATGGTGATTTGTGTCTGTAATCCTAGCTACTCAGGAGGCTGAGACGCAAGAATCGCTTGAACGTGGGAGGTGGACGTTGCAGTGAACCGAGACCGTGTACTACACTTCAGCCTGGGTGACAGAGCGAGATTCTCTCTCAAAAAAAAAAAAGAAAAAGAAAAAGAAATGAAGAGGTCAATAATAGGTTTGGAGCAGAAGTACTGTTACTTTGGCTACATGAGTTTTAAGTGCCAGACCTACCTATGATTGGAAACATTCTTCATATAGGTGGCGATGTTGGTCTGGAGGTCAGGGAGGCCTCTTCATAGAAATTGCAATTGAGGGAGTCCCTGTGGATGCTGTTAGACTGGTGCAAAAGTAATTGTGGTTTTTGCTGTTAAAAGTAATATTACCCAGGGAGGGAATGTATGTAGTGACTCAAGTACAGTTTAAAGTGCATTTTGTTAGGAACTTGGAGGAATAGTGCCCCACTGAGAAGATGAACAACGCATCCTAATGAAGGAGACAGAATTATGTAGAGAACCAAGATCGTGCTTAAGTCATAGATGCCAAAGGGAAGAATCAGGTAGTCTTAGAATTTCCAGTAGAAGGGCTCCAAGACTATCTAGAAATCTGACCCACTATGGGCATGGATACTGAAACTAATGCCCAGAGAAACAGCATGGCTTCTCCAGTATCATACAAAGTAGCTAGTAACACAGCTGGGAATAGAATCCTGCCTTTTTGTCTTTGTTACCTTATCCTTTTCTTCCAGTGGGAGATAGTGGTTTTCTACCAGAGGGTTGGGAAGACCAGGAATAGAACCTAAGAGCCATTGACAGATGGGTGCTGGTGATTTTCAAGAAGGGATTGGATTGGATTGTGATTGGCTAAGGAGTAAATGAACATTGAAGAGGAGAACCTGGGGCATGGGGTGGAGGCACAATGCTTACTCTTGGGAGTATATTTGCTTTGTCATCTGTTTTGGTGACAGCAAAAGTGGTTAAATGGAGGAGATGGTAGCGCAAAGAAATGGCAGGTTCAGAGTAAGGATTTTGTTTGGCAGGTGAAATATGAAGAGGGCAATGGACTTGTGCTGAGACTGAAAATGTGAGAGAGACAAGAGGATTGATGAGGCAGTGTCCTGGGAAGGTGAGAATAGAAATGAGACTGCAGTCAGCCTCAGAGTTAAATATTTAACTGTGAGAGTTTTGGCACTTGCTGGTGACTGCCGTCACTATTTTACAGATATGAAAACTGAGACGGAGACAGTATTCGTGATTTGCCTAAGGCCCTATAGTGAAGGCAAATGAAGAAGCAGGTATTTGAGATAGAGAAGAAGAAAGCAGACTATCCTAAATAATAGGCAGCCAGATGGATCTTTTAAAAACGTAAATCAGATTATGTGGCTGATAGTTTAAAGCCCTCTGGTGGCTTCTCATTGCAAGCAGCAGAAAGTAAAATAATTTAGGGTCTGTAAGACACTAAATTACCAGGCCCCTGATTGCTATATTTAGTATCTGTTCCTCCTTGCTCATTCCCCACACTGACCTTTCTGTGGTTTCCACAAACCAAGCCCCCTTCCTTTTGGGGTCCTCTGTACTTACTGGTGCCTCTGCCAAGAAGGCTATGCCTCCTGATTTTGGTTTCCTGCCTCTTTCTTGTCACTTAGGATTAGTTCAAATGTCACCCTCCCAGAGAGGCCTTCCTTGATCTTCTTATTGAAAGTGGTCATCCCCTGCCTTCTAACACATCACCTTCTTTGTCTCTCTTCATAGCAGTACCTGTCAGAATGATCTTTCTTTACTTCATTTCTGCTAGTTAGCATGTAAGCCTCCTGAGAGAAGGACCTCATCTGGCCTGTTACTTGTACATTTTCCATACCTGAAACAGTGCCAGGTCTGTTGTTCATGTTCAGTAAATATTGAGAGAATGAATGGATGGATTGACTAGCAGAGGGGGTGGGTATATATCTGGCATGACTAAATATTGGTGATTATGTAATATTAATAAAATTATTAAATGACAGAGTTCTACTGAGTTCAGCAAAAAAAATTGTTTTGACTTCTGTCAGCATATTTTTAGAATTTTCCACAAAATAATTAACAAATACTGTTCTTCCTTTTTCTCATCTCAGTATAATACAGTAGTTGGTAATGATATATTCCAAGATAATTGATGACTTACACTCTTAGTCTGCGCAATGAGATTACTTATTTTTAATTCTTACTATAAAATTCACTCTTTTTGGTGTTCAGTTCTACATGTTTTGTGAAATGTGTAGTCTTGTAACCACCACCCAATTGAGATGCAGAAGAGTTCTATCATTCACTAAAATTCTCTTGGTCAACCCTTTTCCTCACTCCCAAACCGTAGTGACCACTGTATATGCCCTATTGGTATAATTTTGTTTTTTTTTTTTCTATGTTGTCTATAAACTCTATGTAGCCTTTGATTCTTGCTTCTTTCACTCAGTATAATGCACTTGAGATTCATCCATATTATTGCTTATTTCAGTAGTTTCTGTTTATTGCTGAGTACTATTCCATTTATGGCTATATCACATTTTATTCATCCATTTACCTGTTGGTAGACATTTGGCTTGTTTCCAGTTTTGGCTACTACAGTTAAAGCCAATATAAATATTTACATACAAATATCTGCATAGACATATGGTTTTTTTTGTTCAGTAAAAACCTAGGAGTGGAATCATTAGAATATACAATAGGGGTAATTTCAATTTTTCAGAGACTATCAAATTGTTTTACAAAGTGTTTGTACCATTTTAATATTCCCATCAGCAGTGTATTAGAGGCCCAGTTCATTACATCCTTTCCAACACTTGATAGTCTTTTTAAGCTTAGGCATTATAGTACATGTGTAGGGATATCTCATTGTGGTTTAAATTGGCATTTCCTAATATCTTAAAGACACCAAACATCTTCTCATGTGCTTATTTGCCATTCATATGCCTCCCTTTCATGCCTGCTTACTCTTGCCCATTTTTATTGTGTGTTTTTCATCTTTTTGAGTTCTGTTATCAATGTACCTTATTGTAAACTTTTTGATAGAAGACCTAGAACTAAGAGTACAATAGATATTTAAAATTCTGTATTGGTAGGCTGGGCGTGGTGGCTCACGCCTATAATCCTAGCACTTTGGGAGGCCTAGGTGGGCAGATTTTCTGAGGTCAGGAGTTTGAGACCAGTTTGGCCAACATGGTGAAACCCCGTCTCTACCAAAAATACAAACAAATATTAGCCAGGCGTAGTGGCGTGCAACTGTAATCCCAGCTACTTGGGAGGCTGAGGCAGGGGAAGGGGAATTGCTTGAACTAGGGAAGTGGAGGTTGCAGTGAGCTGAGATCGTGCCACTGCACTCGAGCCTGGGTGACAGAGACTCTGTTTCAAAAATAATAATAATAATAGGCAATTTTCAAATTATTTAGTCCCCACTCTGTCCTTAATGTGGGTGAACAAAAAAATGAATATGAAACAAACCAAATGTCCCCACTGTATTCCCATCTAGTTGGGGAAGATAGCTCACATGAGTGTATACAGCTTTTTTCCCCCCGCCAATTATGTGTTTGATTGTGTGATGGAGATAAAAGTTGTCACCAAAGATTAGAGAAGGAAGAGTTCCATGTGGGCTAGAATAGTCAAGGAGACCTTCATACAGGAGGTGAAGATTTCAGTAGATGTTTGAAGATTGGTAGTACTTGAGGGGAAGTAGGGAGAGTATTCAAGGAATAAGTAATAGCACAAGTCAAGTGCTAGGCAGGACAAATGAAACTTGCCTGGATGGGTTTAATGGTAGTTGGGGAAAACTAGATTATAGACATTGGTGAATGCTGAAATGAAGTTTTGGGCACTGTTAATATAGCACATTAAACTTTTTTTTTTTTTAATTCAGGAATGACATAAAAGGGGGTAGAAAGGTTAATCTGGTAAGCGAAGGAGAAAATAAGGATTGAGACAAAAGCACAGTGTAGAGGCTGTCATATTGGTAATTTAGGCAGATAGGAGCCCAACTGGTTGGGATGGTGAGCGAGAGGTAAATACTAGAGACAATTTAAAGGAAGAAATCATTGAATACAGGTTATTGGACCCAAAACCTGTTCCTTTTCCACTACATGACTAAACCATGTATGTTAACAGCACCACAAAAAGTAGATTGCCAAGGAGTATAGGAAAGAAAAACACAGGAGTTTATAGGAACAAGGAGAAACTTTAAGCAGAGTTATGGCTCTAATGTAAGAGAAGAGGAGCAGAATAGTTTTGTTTGAATGAAGGTAAAACTTGATGATTTCAGTACCAAAATGGAGTACCTTTTATTAGACTACAGAAAAAAATACCCCCAGGAAATGGAAACAGGAAGAGCCAACTACTGGTTTGGCAGAGTTGGAAAGCAAACTGGTGAAAGATTATGTAAATGAATTAGAAATAGTGACATATGGATTTTGATATGCATACAAGATCTAGGCTTGTTTGGAAGTCTATTAATTGTGTCCTCAAGTAACTGGTGTTTGAATTCACAGTACTCTTTCCAGAAGTAGAAATGTGCTTATTTTCTTCCATCACATGGTGAAGTTTGTATTTACTTAAAAAATATTTTTTCGATACGTTTGAAATTCTAGATGCAAAGTTTCAGGGTATAGAAATGGAATTGGGAGTAGATATTCTTTAGTTTATGCCAATTTGGATTCTCAGTATTTTTTTTTGAAATGGAAATTATATCCTGAGAGGCTTTTGTTCTTGGAAATTTGAGGTATGACTAAAGAATTTATGATCATATGATACAAAGGTGTTTTTTTTTTTCCTCAATTCCTCTGTCATTTTCATACCCAATCTGGTTAAGTATACATGTGAGCTATTCCCCTGAAACTTCTAAAAGCATTCTGGGCTTTCTATATGTGGTAGAAATGATAATTTCATTGACATATACCCTGTATTTTGGACTTGGTTGCTATGTGTAAGGTGAAAAATAGCATTTTTCCCCCTCTTAAGTACTGTTTTTTAGGGAACTGAAAAAATTAATGGATTCCTAGAGTAGAGGAAGGAGGAGTTATAAGCATAGCAACCTTTCATTGTGAAAACCTAAAGCTCCTACATTTGTATGACTTCTGAAACATTCAGATCCATGGGTGGCCACTGGATGTCTATTAGCAAATACCTCTATTTTTGAGCTAATTTTCATTTAACAAGCAAAAGATTTTTATGAGAGAGTATAATTTCATGAACTGTGCATTTCATGAACTGTGCATTTTTTGAAGACTGAATTTGTTGCCAGTACCTGAGAATGGAAGAGGTAAAGAATAGAATTCTGTGAACATGGCCTAGCCTCTGTGATTTCATAATGCTGAAGTATGCTTTTTTAAAAAGTTAAATTCTTGCCAATTTTACTGTAGCGGGAATAAATACATCTAGTATTCTGAGAGTTTTAATGAAACTAGACATAAAACAAGTTAAAATTAATGGGGAAAATGGCTAGATGTCCATGACTGTCAGAGTCAGTACATTGTCAGTATCCTCCAGAAATGTCACTGATATTAACCAAGCTGAGTTATTTCCAGGCGTTGAATCCATGAAGAATGATAAATGTTTTCTCATCATACTTATTCTTAGAATGTTGTGATACTTTTGATATTTCAGTTACTCGTCTTTAAAAGGGGAGTGCCCTTCCCTGGGCCTTGCCTAAGAGAAGAAAGAAAGACTATATTAAGACAGAAAACATGGACATTTTAAAGAGACGAATACACTGCTATGTGAAATACCAGTTCTACTCAGTAAACTCCCTGTAACCTATAACAAACAACAGTGCACATTAAAAGCACTTAATCCAAAAAGAGTTCTGAAGATGGATGGTGGTGATGGTTGTACAACAGTGTGAAAGTGCTTAATGCCACTTAACTTAATGGTGAATATGGCAAATTTTATGTATATTTTATTATAAAAAAGGTAGTTGAGTCCTAAAAATAGGGAGGTGCTACATTGTCTAATAAGTATAGTGTCATATATGTGCTCTGTTCAGTACTGATTTTCTTTCAGCAAGCATTTATATAAACACTTGACTTGGTCAAAGCCTAGTCCTGGGTGTATTAGTCTGTTCTTGTATTGCTGTAAAGAAATATCTGAAACTAGGTAATCTATAAAGAAAGGTAATTGGCTCGTACTTCTGCAGGCTGTACAGGAAGCATGGAGGCATCTGCTCGGCTTCTGAGGAGGCCTCAGGAAACTTGCAGCCATGGTGGAAGGTGAAAGGGGAGCCAGGCATTTTACATGGTTGGAGCAGGAGCAAGAGAAGGAGTGGGGAGCTGCTACACACTTTTGAATAACCAGATCTCATGAGAACCCTATCACAAGACAGCAGCAAGGGAATGGTGCTAAACCATTCATGAAGGATTCACCCCTGTGATTCAATCCCCTCCCACCAGGCTCCCATCTCCAACATTGGGGATTACAGTTTGACATGAGGTTTGGGTGGGGACAGAGATCCAAACTATGTCACTGGGTATGTGGTCAGAGTGGAAAATGAGGAAGTCCTCACTTTTAGGAACACCCAATCTAGATAACATTCAAGATCCGGTTACAAAGTAGGTTGTGGTAGGTGTTATTCTGGAGGTACCAAATAATGTTTTGAGAACATAGGGAGGGAACAGTTAGAAATTAAATACTAATTTCGTTAATAAAATTATGTGATAGTTATAAGTGAATGTAATATGATTAGTCAGTACTCTTGGTTTGCAAACAGCACAAGGACCCGTCTCATATTAGCTTAAAGAAAATAGAATCTCTTGGCTTAAACAAATGGGAATTCAGGAAGTACACCTCAGGCTTGGTTAGATCCTAGGTTTCGAATGGTGTCATCCTATAGTTTCTTTGTCTGCATCTACTAGGGCTTTACTTTTTTTATTCAGTTATATTTTCTGGCCAGCGTCACTCTGGGCTTTTATTTTCATTCGTTGTTCAGGTTAAAAGGAATAACCTTTCTCGACAGATTCTGATTGATCTGGCTTGGGTCACTCATCCAGCCTTAAGTAGGGGTGTTGCTTGTGTGCTCACGTGAGTGGACGTGTATGCATGTAGGTGGTGGGGGTTTGGTCTCACCCAACCCCATGTACTAAGAACACAGGAAGATGTGTCTTCAAAGGGTCTGGCCAAACAAAAACTGTACCCTACATCAGTTTCAAAAACTGATCATACAGTCATTGATTAATTATTCCCTATTTAAATAGGTTGGTCACATTGCTTTTCTAAGCATTATCATTAGTAAGACTTAATTATTATTGAAATGAACTGTCTGGTAATATTGTGAGCTGGTGGAGAACAGAAAATTAATGATTGGAAAGGGCAAAAGCAACATGTTTTTGGGAGGAAGGATCTGATAGTTTCTTTTACAAAGTACATTTACAGATGCTTTAATAATGAGAAAAATTAATGGTAATCAGAATGTTTTCCAAAACAGTACACTGCAGATTGATCATCAGTCACTGATATGTAAAGAATGTTGCCATTAATATTATTCTAAAAAGCTCATTAAATTGGTCCCACGAATAAATATGGCTCTAGACTATCCAGCTCATTATCATTATCCACCTAAGAGTACGTAAGAAGTATTTTATATCATGTCTTCTTTGGCCTTTTCACTGAGGGCCTGTGCCATTCTCGATGCAAATAATCTTTTCTGAATATGGGAGAATTACTAACAAATTTATACCTGCTCACCAGGACGCTATACATACTTGCACATGTAATTTTGCTTATAGCTTCAGAAGATTCGTGGGCCCTTCCTTCGCCAACCATTTCATGAACCCATGAGCCCCAGATTAAGAACTCTTTCTCTTGGTTGTTGTTAAAATATAACTACGTAGCAGGAAGAGGACCATTGTGATCCACTACCAATAGAACATTTATAGTTGAAAATGCAATTTGAGTTGTTTGTTCACCAGTGATGCTATGTTATGCATTTGTTTACATCTCATAACATGTGGTAAATATTTATGCAAGATGGCTAGCCAGACAAAAAGAAAAAAAAAAAGGAAAAACAACCGTGAAATAGAGAATGCAGGGTGACCCATGTAAACAGGCTAGAGATACATTTGAAAAAGATGAGGGTTAAAGAGTGTGTAGATGTTGGCAGGTAAAGAGATAGCATCCTCTAGGGAGGATATTATCAGGAGTCAGAGTAATCTTGGTAAATGGGAGAATATGTAAGAAATGAACATGTAGAAGAGTGGAAAGCCAGCTTTTAGGTCATACTTCCACTTGCTCATCATATGGCCTTGAGCAAGTTACCTATCCTCTCTAAGAATGAGTTTCCTTCCACCTCTGTAAAATAGTGACACTAACAGTCCTTCCTCCTATGCTATTGGGAAATTTTCTGAGCTAATCTATGTAAAGTACTGGCATGTAGAGAGTGCTCAATACAAATCTTAGTTCTTATTATTGTTGATTGTTATTAGTTTCAATTAAAATTGAAATAGAGGAATAGGAACAAATAGGAACTACAATGGGTAAATAATTACTCATATGAGAGTATGACCTAAGAGATTCCATTTTGAAATGAATTAACAATGTAGTATTAATAAATTCAACCTCTAACATTATTGTAGAGAGAGGAAATTCTTCTAGTTCTTTGTGAGAACTTAATTGAGAACTGTATTCTCTGAACTTCAAAAATAGAGATTATCATGAAGATATCTTAGTGATTTTTAAACTCTTTTTTTAGAGCAATACAAATGAAGATTAACATTTACATATATCACATGCTCCATGGTGGTTTGATTGAAAAGCATTGTGTGGGTATGTGTGTGTGGGCAGTAAAGCAAATAGCACAAGTTTTGTTTTTGTGATATTCATAAAAATCAATACTCAGCATAGAAATATGACTCAGTAAGAATTGCTTATTATGGACTATAACATAGATAAGATAGGCTGCACAGTGATGTACTGTGATGGTTTTCATCTCCGCCTCTTTTCTCACTTGTGAACACCATCAGAATGTAAACGAGAGTGGCTTTATTATAGGAAGAATCATGGACCCTTCCTGTGTTTCTGTTTTAACAGTATGTCATTCACAAACATCAATATTATTAACAAATTACTTGGCATACAACTCAAAACTGATCATGCCCTGTTGTCTAGTGTTCTGATTATAGGGACCTGTGCTTTAGAGGAAAGCCTGAGAATCCAGTAAAAATGTCAGAAATCTCTCCCTCTTCCCCACACATTAAACGTCACTAAATATATAATGCTATTCAAATATAAGCACTGTTAAGCAGGTGATTGCAAAATATATAGTATCTTCTTTGGACAACAGAAATGAAAACAAAAGAAACCCTGTTAGGGATTTAAATCAGCTATGAAAAATCTGCTCATTTTATATTATTGTTAAACACTGGGCTGGAATTATTGTTTTGGGAAAAGGCCCATGAGAGTTTTTGCTCTGTGGGTTTTTAAAGGTAAGAATAAATTTCGTGTTTGAGATGTTTTTGATGTGCCTGTAACCAGAATAGAAGTGTCTTAGATTATAACTTTCTCTCAGATTGAGTAATTCTGTTGTAATAAGTCAGCATATGTTGCCATCTAGTCTAAAAACTGCATGAAGATAAAAACATATTATATAAAACCATCTATAGTATCAAGTCTTTACAATCTCACTATGCTTAAGATATAATGCCAACACCATACACTAGATAATTTCCAGATGGTTTAAAGAGAACCTCAATTGAGAAAAACACTGAGTTGAACACATATCTGACTCTTGGATAGAGAAGTCATTATAAGTCTTTATAAGAAGAGAGCGGTAGAAGGAAGTACGTGTGTGCACGCATGCATACACACATGCATACATACACTGAACATTTTGATTATATAAAAATTCAAAATTCCCATATGCCAAACAAAATTAAGACAAAATTTGGGAAATGATGAGTAGGTTGATATCTCCATAATAAGAGCTAATACTTATCAATAAGAAGACCATGAAGACTTCCAAGAGAGGAGGGAAAAAACAAGGAAAAGACATGAACAGGCAGCTCATAGAAAAACAAATACAGGCCAGGTGCGGTGGCTCACGCCTGTAATCCCAGCACTTTGCGAGGCGGAGGCGGGTGGATCACCTGAGGTCAGCAGTTCGAGACCAGCCTGGCCAACATGGTGAAACCCCGTCTCTACTAAAAATACAAAAAATTAGCTGGGCATGGTGGCAGGCACCTGTTATCCCAGCTACTCAGGAGGCTGAGGCAGGAGAATCACTTGAACCCAGGAGATAGAGGTTGCAGTGAGCCAAGATTGTGCCATTGCACTCCAGCCTGGGCAACAAGAGCAAAACTTCATCTCAAAAAAAAAGAAAAAAAAAGCAAATACATATGGAGTGTATGAACTTCTAAACTGTTTAATCATGCTACTAAATAGAGAAATAGAAGTGAAAGCAACAATTTGGTATCATTTTAAATTGGATTTTCAGAAAAAGCAAATGGTGGATAGGGAGCATAGAGACCATCGCTCTTGGATGGCATCCAGTGGAGAGTAGAAAGAGACACAAGTAATTTGGCAGCATGCACTATCAGAAGTAGTGTAACTTGATTCCAGAGCATGGACTCTTCAGCCAGGTGTCCTCAGTTTTACCACTTTATCAGCTGTGTGATCTTAGGCAAATTATTTATTAACCTTTTGGTGCCTCAGTGTTCTCATCTGTAAAATGGAGATGATAGAATGTACCAAACAGTATTGTTATAAGGACTGAGTTAGTTAGAATATGTAAAGTGCTTAGAAAAGTGCTTGTCCCATAGTAAGTCCTACATAAATGTATTTGCTATATTATTATTATCATTGTCTTTATATACCTCAAAAGATCCAGTTTCTAGGAGTGTGTCATCAGGAAGTTGTTATACATATGGAAAAAGATTTATGTATGATGATGTTAATTTAGCATAATTTACAAAAATTTAAATAACTTTTTTCCCAGTGAATTGGCGATTAGCCAAATCTTGGTAAACTTATTTTTTTCTTATTATGATATAAAAATGCAGCTATGTCTATGAAGAAAATTTATAGGAAATCATTACAATTTATTTTTTATATTTAATATTATGATATGCAGCTCTATAGACAGAATTTGTGTCTGCTCAGTTACGTATGTGTATATTTTATTCTCAGTGGGAAGAAATGCATGTATTTTTTTCTTAGTGGAAGAAAATGCCTCGAAATCAGTGGTGTTTGTCTATGAGTAATAGGATTACTTGCTTTGTTTATTTTTCTTTTTGTATTTACCAAATTTTCTACAATGAGAATGTATTGTTTCTAGGACGAAAAATTATTAAAAGAGCAGCAGTAATGATTTTATTTGAGAGTGTAATAAATCTCTCACATGTAAGAACAAGATCATCTTTGCCTCCAGATGGCACTACCATTTTCACAGAGAAGTAGAGAGTTCTGGGCTGATGAGCATTTTGTTCAGTTAGGATCTAGGCTTCATGGATACATTTGTCTTGCTTCCTAAACCAGCCCTAGACAGACGGGTGGAGGGAGGCATGGACCCTGCACATGCCCCCTGAGAATGCTGCTTTTTTTCTTGCAGGTTTTTGCCTGCTTCTAGATTCTTTAAAGTTATGGGGCCATTTGTTGTAACATCTATTAAAACCACTTGAGAGCAAATGAAATTGTTTGTTTATAATAATCTGAAAAGCAAGCATGATGAATAAAATACATTTTTCATAGTATAGTTTATTTCCTAAGCGAATAGAGCAACTTTAAAGAGCTATTAGGGCAGAATAAAAATACTACATAAAAATCATTATTTCTAACATTTATTTCTCCTCTATATTAATGATCTTTCCTCCTGCTCCATCATTCTATCAGGCCTGAAATTTGACTCCTTCAGTTCCTGCGATCCTGTAAGAATGGTTCTTTCAGGTTCTTAGGTTAGATCGACAATCCTTTGCTTTTTCTTTTCTTTTCTGTTTATTATTTTAAGTTGCACTGTTCTTACATAATGATCCTTTCACTTAGTGAGATAAGGCAAAGTTAACTGAGTAAATAGGAGGAGTTTTATTTATTAATTGGTATTAGGTGAATCACTGGAAATTTTGAGCCTAACAGATTTTTCTGTAGGCAAATCAGTTGCAAAATATTTTAAAGATTTGCATTTATGCATATCATGAAAAACTGTTTTAAAAATACTTTTGTTAATAACCCTAATACTGTTAATAACTTCATGGTTTGTAATTGGCCTGCTGACTGAATATTCATGGAGTCTCTGGACATGGAAATAGTGACTTATCTAGATTTACATTTATGATTTATTCAGCTGTTATTGCTAAGTAGTATTTTTATAGTAAAAACTAAATATTTTATAAGGCAAAAGGTAAAGGAAAAATAATTATCACATAAATTTCCTTTCAGAAGCTCTCACGTCTAACATCAGTATAAGTGACAAATTATTTTCCACAAGTCTTTAATGTATTTAAGTCTGACCAACTGGTAATAATTTTTGAGTATTTTTTTTGAAAAATAACATTAAGGTCAAAATGCAATTTATTTGAGATCAGTAACAATCAAGGTGGATTATAGTTATCTACTGGAAAGTTGAATTAGTTGAACTGAACAGAGGCCATATCATCTAGACAGTGGTTAGGAATTTTCATATGATGCCTTATTTATCTCTTTATTATTTTTAAATTAATTAACAAAAGCAAAATTATAGTACTCATAATTTGCTCCCCAGAGTTAACAAATGTTAATTTTTCATTGGGTTCAGATCTTTCTTTAAATGAGAGACAGAATATTACAAAGTTCAAATCAGATTTGGATCCCTTCCCCACCCTTTTCACTTCCTCCCTGTCTTTGCGGAAGCAGTCCAAGTCAAGAATGTCATCTGTATTTTCTGCCCATGTTTTTATCCTGCATATATAGGTGTATGCGTATATTTAGCAATTTTACATAAATGGAATCTTACCCTTGCAAAACATCTAATGATTTTTGAGCTTTATGTGTGATGATACATTTAGATGTAGTTTATTTTACTGTAATTGCCTGATAGTATTCTATCGCTTATCTGGTTCCCTATTAATGGACATTTAGATTGTTTCCAGTTTTATTGCTGATAAAAGTAGTGCTGCAGAGACAAATTTTGTAAATGTCTGCTTATACCCAAGAGCAAAGATTTCTCTAGGATATATAATTAGAAGTAGAATTTCTGTGTAATGAAGAAATGTATACATCTTGCATTTTATAAACTTTGCATAATGCCTGCCAGTAGCCAGTATGTTTGTACTAGTTTACGTTCTCATCAGTATGTGTAAGGTACTGATTTGCCACATCCTTGCTTACGCTTTGTATTGTGGGTAGGAAGTAGTGTATCATTTGTAATTTAAATGTGAATCTCCTCATTACAGGAAAATTGGGCATATTTTCATAGGTTTGTCAGACTGAGTTTCCTCTTCTATAAATTGCTGTTCATATCCTATTTACCTATATTACTTGTGAGTTAATGTCTGTTTATTGATTTGTCAAAGGTATTAATCTGCGCATTAAACTTTTGGTTATGTGAGTTGAAAATATGCTCTCCCAGTCTACTGCTTGTGCTTTAACTTTGTTATAATGTTCTTTTTCATACAGATGCTTTAAATTTTGATGTCATCAAAATTTCAATTTTTACTGCTTAAGGTTTGTGCTTTATATCCCTTGCCTAAGAAACCCCTCTCTACTCTAAGTTCATGAAGGCATTTTTCAATGTATTCTTACAGCTGTATTTCTATTTTTCTTTAAGTCTCAAAGCTTTTCATGTAGTAGTGGATAAAAGAATTTATTTTTTGGAAACATAGTAGTTACTTTAGGAAATGATGCATTTCTACCACCATCCTCTAAAATAATCCTCACAGTGATAGGGATGATTCCCTATGATATTTAAGAGGCTAAGAACAGAATACAGTTATACCCTGTGACTTACGAAGAGTGAGTGCTATATAGCTATTTAGAAGCTTTCAATAAACACTAGGTAAAATACAGAAGTTGGGGCTGTTTATTTCTTATTTGGTTTTGAGGTTCAAATATTTATGAAAATATTATGCTTGTGTGGAAAGATAACATAGGGGACGCTTCTAGTTTTGATCAGTTATTCATTGCAGATTGAGATTGCTGTCTTAAACTTCTTTTGAAAATAAATACAAGGCCACACAGACTGGAAAAGCTCAAGTGATATGTATTTCTGCTCTAAACTCTCAACAGTTTGTCACCTGGGGTGTGATGGGACACTCAGTCATCCTTTTGGGATGAAGCATAACTAAGGGGTGTGTGTGTGTGTGTGTGTGCGCACATGTGCACCTGTGTATGCACGTATGTGCATATTCACAGTGTTGTGGTCTGGGTCAGAGAGGGAGATTTCAGTCACAGATTAAAAGATAAAAATTATGTGCTTTTAGAAAATATAAATAAGTAAAAGAATGTAAGCCTAGAATGTGCTGACAGTTGAGTTTTTGAAAATACATTTCAAGTTGCCATTATAAGACTCTTAGATGAAGCTAATTTTTGTTCCTAATAAAGGAAGGAGCATTTTTTTTTACTCCTTCTCCACATTTCTCTTGTTTCTGCATCTCTCTTCCAATTAAATTACCAATAGACAGTGCCTGCATTTTATTATTGAAAGGCTAAATCTGAATCTCCAAACTGTGAATACTTAGCCAAAAATCTAGTTAGAATTCCAGCTTGATCTTTTTTTACTTCACTTATGTATTCTAATATAGTTTCAGTCTTCTGAAATTTAACCAATTTTCACTGTAATTTTAGGAATAAGTCAGTCCCAGGAAAATAAGTGATTAAGGGGATACATTGCTTTCCTAACAGTAAGAATGGCACAGCTCCACCCACCCCTCCCTGCAAAGAATGAAAGCCACCCACTGATGTCTGCAGCGGAGGTTGTGTGCAGCAATGGTCAGTGCTGCCTTGGATGTTTATTGTGTTCACCGAGTCTCAGTCGTGATGTGCTTTCCAGGCATTAGTCCCTATGGCGACCCCAGGAGACAGGTGTGATAACCCTGCTTTGCTGATGAGGAAACTTACACTTTTGAGAGGGTGAGTAGCTTGGCCAGGATGACACAATTAGTAAATGCAACAACTGGATGTGTTATAGCCCAGCTCTGACCAACCCGGAAACCCTCTTTTTTAAATTGATGCTGTCTCCCTAAAATGTGCAGCGTTAAGTTTTATAAGTGGATTTTCTTGTTCTTTACTTGGGAAGAATGTGGAAGGAGAGGAAGAGGAGGCCTGGAGTTCCTTCATCTTGGTATGTGTTGCAGAGGAAGCAAGATAAAGGAAAACTATTTATTCTAGCAACACTGAAGTCTAAATTTTGCCTGCTTAGTAGTTAATCTTAGAGCTTGCTCTGGTTGTCTATGCATATGGCACCTTACATAAGTATCTTTTGATGTGACATTGTCTGAAGATGATGTGAGTAGGACGACACTGTCCAGAAGGTTTAAGGATAGATCTCAATAGCATTGTGTTGAATTAAAAAGAAAGAAAAACCAGTGTCGAGCAATATAGACCTTGTGATGCCGTTTATATAAAAATCTAAAACCACATAGAATATGTCCATTTGTTTATGTGTGCATATAATGGAAGTATAAAAATACAGAACAAAGATATCAAGCAAAATTTAATTAGTGCTTGACCCTGGAGAGGGAGGGACAGGGGAACAAACACATTACCCTTGTCTGTAATATTTTAATTTTATTTTGAAAAATATTTGAATTGGATTTGGATTTCATTAAATGTTAACATCTTTTAAATCTAAATATTAAGTATATGGATATTTTGTTAGATGCTATATTATTGCCTGTCCTCTTCTGTATTCGAAATTTTTCCCCAAGTGACAGCAACAACAAAATGTGGTTATAGCCAGGATGATTTGCTACCAATTGCTGGGCCCCAAAACAAAAATAGTTTGGAACCTAGAACTAGTTTCTTTGATTCTTTGTTTGGGCCAGTGGTGGGTGGTGGGCGGGTGGGGGACGGGCAGTTGATGCAACCAGCCAAAATGAAAGACATTAAGCTCTTGCTACAACTAAAAAATGTGTAGTTGGAATATAGCAAGAAACTGCAATTTAGGTCTCCCAAATTGTATAAGATGACATTGAGTTGAAGGTCGGAGTACTGAAGATTATCTAAGGTTTCCTCGTAAGGTTTAGTTTGGCTTATGTCTTTGGTGACTATACGTGTTCTGTGTATCTGAACCCTGACAGTAGTCTGTAAAGCATATTTTTGTCACTACTCCTGGCCAAATGATGTGTGATACTCTTGTACTGTGTGGGCACATGAATTATAGCATTATTACCTCAATTATTTTAGGTAAGAAAGAAATCTGAATGGCCAGTATACAAATACTCACTGCTTGGAGTGACCTTTTTTCACCTCTCAGTCTAAGATGTTCATGTTAACTTGCGGATAGGTAAGAAAAATACATTCTTTTAGGGATTCTGCTTCTTTGAGTTATAGTGAAAGGTCCCTGGCCGTTGTACATAGGTCACAAGACACCAGGTTGTATTTTAATTTTATTTCTGTATTTTAAACTTTGATTTAAGCTTCTGCAGTTAAACTAGGATGTAGTGTTAACAGTTCCCTGAATTAAGTCTCCATAAGTTTGAAGCCCATAAACTACTGTTATTGCTTATCTAAAGGGGAATATACTGTGAACTGAAGATTTGAGAAAATCTGGATTTGTTAATTCTTGGACGATGGTGTAGTTTCTTGGAGACTTCTCTGTCCATTGCCTCATTTTAATCACTTGTATTCAAAACTTTATTATTAGATAACTTAAGTACTGTTTCATTCATTGAAAGCATAGTTAACTTGACTTGGAATGGTATGGGTGAGAAGCAGCCAGCTGGTTTGAGATGAACTGAGTTTAGATAGCATTTGATTACAACTTACATTTCATAACAATGGGAAATTTACATGTACATACAAGATTATTAGCATATTTTCTAAAAGTTGGACATGGTTTTTGAATTTAACAATTCAAACATTGAAAAATAAACATTGTTTTTTAAAGGTACCTAATTTTTTATGTGACGTACTTAATAGCTTTTATAGAAAACATCATGTATAATGGTAGTTATTGGAATTTATGTAGTTTAAAAAAACACAGTTTAAAGGACTTTATAGACATTATGTCATTTAGATTCATCCTTCTCTTGTGATTTTAGGGAAATTATCCAATTTTCAATTATGTGTAGGGGAATTTTTAGCGAAGAGAAATAAAGTATATTTTCCTTACATTCCTAAGGAAAAATCACTGGTTAAAAAACAGAATTTAGGACTGAGTTAGTAAATTACCTACTTTGGGACATTGTACCGTGAACTTATTTGAGATATAATAGTTAAAAGGACCTGCTAGGCAAAAAATATTTTGCATGAAGTTTAAATATGGATATATTTTCATTTTAATATATTTTCAATAAACATTTTATTATATGCTCAATTTTCAAACAACTAACTTGGAAATTCTTAATAATTGGAGATAATTTTTTAGGTAGCTAATTCTTTGGAAAAGAAAAATAACATTTCTAATATGCTTTCTGTCACCTAAGGAAAGGTCCATCAGAAAAGGTGAAGTTTAGGTTTAAAAGTTTTGACAAAGATAACATTATGACAAGACAGATAAGGCCTAAGTCTAGTGGATGAAGACTTGGGAACATGTGACTATCCTTGAAGGTGGCAAGTCATGGGTTATTTAAATTAGGTGCTGAATAGTTCATGGCTCAATTTGATAAGGAAAAACACCAAGAATTTTTAGAGACAGAAGAGAAAATATAAAAGGCTAATAAACGTAAGATTTTATCTCAATATCAAAGACATAATTAAGACAATAAAACCTATTCCTTGCTTTTCATATTGACAAAATTTTTAGAATAGTTTGCTTTTATAAATGAGAATGCACATATTCTCCTAATGACAGTCTAAACTGGGATATCCTTTCTGGAAAGCCGTTTGGCAATATGCTAGGAGCCTTGTTTCTTTACCTTTTGACCCAATATCTCCACTTCTAGGAAACGATCCTAGGGGAATAATGAGAAATTTGGACAAACATTTACAACAATTCATTGCAGTATTAGCAAGACCTAGAAAACAACAACTAATAGGAGAATTATTCAACAAAGTTTGGTATGTTGCTATTATTTAGGACTAGTAGATGTTTTAAATATTTCTAATAACTTTCAAGATACAGGAAAATGCTGTTTCTTATAATACTGAGTGAAAAAAACCAGGATATAGAACAATATATAAGCATGATCTCAGTACTTCTTATATATGCAGAAATACACAGTCTTAAATGTATTAATAGATCAATTAGATGAAATACACTAAATATTTCTCTGAATGGTGATATTATGGGTTATTTCATTTTTTCTTAACACTTTTATTTTCTGTTTTCTACTGTCTGTTTTCATAAATAGATAATTAAATAGTTAAAATGGTTGCCTATTGGTAAAGATACCTGTTGATCATCAAGAAATGTGGTTCAGCATTTTTTGTAAAAGAAAGTATCTTTGAATTATAAGGTTTTAGTGGTTGACTAGATCATTTCAATGAGTTTAAAAACCTGAGTTTGATGCTGTGGAGTATAAAGAAACAGAATGATCTCTGCCTTCCAGGTATATAAAACTTGGTGGGGGAATCAAGATAAAACTCTACTGAAAATCCTACAAATAAAATATCTGAATTTTAGAGAACCTACCTCTATAGTCACCTTAAAATAGAGGATGGAAATCTAGTTTATGTTCCTAGCACATATTTTTGTTTTTTATCAGTTACCTGATAACTGGCTAGCACTGATCAATATAATTAATTATTTTGATCATTTTCTCTAATTCGTTGAGGCCTGGCTTGGCCCCTCTGTGACATGTAACACCCCTTTCCTCTGTTTTGATGAAAACTTGAAACACATTCACTTAGAGGTAGTGGTCCCCTGCTAGTTCAAATGTGATAGCTAATAAAGAACCTTTTTATTTTGTAGCTAAGGGTATTGATTCAGCCACATGTTGGGTTGCCTCCTGCTTCAGCACAATAGCCGGAGGAGGCAGGTGGGAGGGAGTGCTCTTCTAAGGGTGTGTGTAGTTTCTGCTTTTGGTGTGCTCTGAAAATCTAATCTAAAAACTGT
The DNA here is from genome assembly GCF_000001405.40 of Homo sapiens. Lineage (NCBI taxonomy): Eukaryota > Metazoa > Chordata > Mammalia > Primates > Hominidae > Homo > Homo sapiens. The sequence goes on along the minus strand of NC_000004.12, from coordinate 148,407,974 downwards.
TGCTTTTTTAACTTCCAGGAAGGTTTTACTGAGAGCATGCTAACAGGTTATCGGGACTTTCTTTACGTTAACTTGCTAATATATATTATTGGAAGAAAATAATATTAGTGTTCAAAGTCAGGATTGAACATCATTCCAGTAGTAAATAGTGATGGGACAAGGATATTGATATGTGCCATTTTACAGTACTTCAATAAGACTAAAATAATTAAAAGAACTCCTAACTAATGTAAAAATGGAATGATGAACTAATTTCTTTAGAAGGATGTATTCCTAATGAAGGGGGGGCCTCTGATAGATTTGAGTGATTTACATTCATTTAGATTCATTATGTGCGTATGCTTGCAAATGATATTCTAGAACTATGAGAAAAGCTTTTTGGCATACTTGGAAGTCGACTGAAATCCTGTCTCAGTGGTAATTTATACAGACTTTAACACTGTTTTATTTGAAGAATAAGCTGTTTAATGAATGGATCAATAAAATTTCACAAAAGTAAACCAATCAAAACTAATTATATGTTTGAGAAGCATGATAAAATTATTTTTATATGGGAAAACACATGAAAAAGATACATTTTTACAATCTTATAAACCACTTACGGCCATTGACTCTGATTTTAAGACTTTCTTTAGTTGAATAAAACAATCAAGTGAACCCTACATGTAACAGGGGTTTCTGTTGTTACTAGACCACATTTCTCCTGTATTATAAATGCCATCTTCCTAACAATCTGTGACTTTGAGTACTGTGTAGTGACTGGATTGAAATTACACTGCTTGGGTTTGAATTCTGGCTCTGGACAGTTGTTAGTATTGATCTTGGAAAAGTTATTAATTTCTATAAGCCTCAGTTTCTCCATTTGTAATAATATGCTTAATTTACTCGGTAGTTGTGAAGAGTAAATGAATAATACCCACAGATACATTTAGCGCAGTGCCTGGCACTTCTGTAAACGTTAACTCTTTGCAAATGGTTGTCATGATTTAATTAAGACATATTTTTAATACTTGCTGTTACATTTTCTTAGGCTAAAACATGTAAGTCCAATAATTACGCAGCTTAAATTCACATCTCACTGAAACTATTGACTGTCAGACTTTAACACTGATCCTGGACTTTGCGTTTTCTAGGCCACACATTCTGATGGTTAAGAAATTGAAACAGATTTTTTCTTAATAATTATCTTGGACAGCAATGAATTGTTTTATGTTAACATTCTTAGAGTTTAGTATTTGAAAACTCCTAAATGTAAATATTTAGGATCCTATCAGTCAGATTCTTAGTTAAAGCTTTTACCGGCCTCCTATTTCTCTTAGGATAAAAAGACCAGACTTGTAATATGGCCTGCAAGACCCTGGCCTGGCTCTGAGGAGCTCTTTGTCTCATCTCTTACCTCCTCTCTCACAACTTAGTTCCAAGTGGGCTTAATTTCTTCAGGTTTTCCAGCAGTATGTATATACTCTCACTTGTGGGTAGTTTTCTCTGCCTGGGGTAATTATCTTTCCATACCTCCTAACCACCACAACGTCCTTGCTCACGTCTGCGTCCTATCGGCTAGAACTCCAGGGATCAGCTTAAACTGCTCCATCCAGAAGGCATTCCGAACTCTGACCTTAAATTCCCCTTCTCTATACTTACCACTCTTCATATTTCTCCATCAAAATGTGTATATTTTTAATATTGTTATTATTAGTACTGCTATTTTATTATTACTTGTTTAACTCTCCTCCCTTCTAGAATGCATGCCTCATGAAGACAGTGCTGTTACCCTCTTGTTCACTTTTTTTGTTTGTTTGTTTTTTTGTTTTGAGACAGTCTCCCTCTCTTGCCCAGACTGGAGTACAGTGGTGTGACCACAACTCACTACAGCCTCAGTCTCCTGGGCTCAAGCAGTCCTCCTGCCTCAGGCTTCCAAGTAGCTGGGACTGCAGGAAGGTACCATTGCACCTGGCTAAATTTAAAAATTTTTTTTTAAAAACCCAAAACCCTTTGCAGAGACAGAGTCATGCTGTGCTGCCCAGGCTGGTCTTGACCGTCTGACCTCAAGTGATCCACCTGCCTCTGCCTCCCAAACTTCTGGAATGACAGGTGTGAGCCACTACGCCTGGTTGACTCTCCTTACTGAGACTTAGGAAGTCTGAGTTGGAGAATAGTGGCAAGGCCAGCAAGGCCAGTGACACTGCACCTGTGCGTCAGACAGACTCTGAGTCCCCCACAGCAGTTCACCTGCCCTTTGCGTATGAAGCAGTTACTTCCCTTTGGAGATTTTCTCTAACTTCCCCTGAGAGGTTACATTTTGTAAAGTGCTTTGAAATTCCAAAGGTCTCTCAAGTTTTTATCAGTATAAAGCACTCAAACGTGGCTGGAAATAGGCCAGTTCTTAGTGTGGGTAAAACTCAGGTATAAGTAGTTCAAGGAGTCTTCTTTACTCCTTGTTGCAGTGGAATTTTTTTCAACTTGGTAACTTTCAAAAGTGAAATCCTTCCCTAGGGAGAAGCAAAGTCTTTGTGCGTTCCCTACAAGTGTAGTGTGGATATAACAAGAGGTGATGTGGTCCTGGTGGTGGACAGGTATGCCTTGAACCTACTGTCCCTTTCCTAGTCCCAGCTTGGGAATGTGTGAGAAAGAGATGTGTGTGTACACATGCTGCACATCTGCATAGTTGGCAAAATATTTGCAAGATATCTTTACCCTTGAGAGTTGGAGAGAAAAGGGTTATGGCTATGTCCAATGCTCTTTTTGTGTAGCCCTATGGTGAGACTAGTGTATCTTTCTATACAAAGACATATAACATGTCAAATTGTCATTGTTATGATCTATTTCCATCGATTGGCTCTTCTTTAAGAAAAATAAGTTTATTTTGGATTTTTTGGATGTTATGTGAGCAGAAGACAATTTTAACACCAAAATCTTTCTAGAAATTAATCTTCAAGAATATAAAGTATTTGAAATTTAATAGTTCAGTAACTTTGTATACTGACATAATTTGGTAAACATCTAATACATGAGTTTGGAACCATCTAATTCTCCACATGCATTGAAGTTTATAAGCTTTGAAGATTCTCCTAAATTTATGCTTTTATTTCTGGTTATTTTAAGTCAGTTAAATTTGATTATAATTTTTTCCTTCAGGTAACATTCTCAGAGGCAAATATTACAAATAAATTGTGAATGTAAATTAAAAACATTACATAGATTTTCATCATTGCCGAAAGTATGCCCCTAAGTACATTTCCTCCTTTTTTATTGTTTTCTTGTGCTTTGATATTATGTTTTAAAATCATTTTATCATTTTGCTTCCAAAAAATTCATCAAGATCCATGTTTATTAGTTTGAATTTTAATTTCTAAATGAGATGGTAGATCATAAGTGCTGGGAAGTGATTGCTTGAAATTAACAGAGCATTACACTAGCATTATACTTATGCTTATGAGGAGACCTAAAATATTTTGTTTGCATTTTTGTGCACAGATAACGTGTCCCTGCTCTAGACTCCCCCCAAAAAACAAACAACACAATAAAGACTCTGGAAACCTTAGAATGGTCTTTGACCTGTAACAAAATTTTGACTATTAGTGTACCACATTTAATTAATAAATGTATTTTTATTCTTCTTTTGTTCCACATGTCATAATTCAAGTTTATTCAGATGAACACTTCTTTTAAGTGAATCCTGTTCTAACAAAAAATATTATCTAATATAAATAATCAGTGAATAATTTCAGTTTTGAAATGTTTTTCAAACTGGAGTTTTCAGTTATTTTATGCAGGTGTGCCAGGCCTTAAGCCTGATCTATGAAATGAAATGAAGCCAACTTGGACATGAATTTTTACTTTACAAAATAGTTCCAAATAAAAAGCATCAGAAGAGCAGACTTTTAAACTCAGATACATCTGAGTTCAAAATATGACTTGATTCTCTGTCTGAGCAAAATGTGTAACTTATGACATGTTAGATTCCTTATCCAAGAAATGGGGATAATACCTATCAAAAAGAAAAGGCAAATAACATATGTAACATTTGTTGTGGAAGGTGAAACTTTACATATTTAACAAATTATCACTGCCATCTCTAGGTATCCAAGTTCTCCTAGTATGTTTAAAATAGAAAGTACATAAATGGGAACTTGAAAACTTTTGGTATTACTTCCAAAAACATACCTTCATTTAAAACATAAACTAGTTATCAGAGGAAATGTGAAAAAGTGCTCATAATTTTTAGAATCTTGAACTTCTACACTGGTACTTACTTTCCTCTTTATATTATTTAGGACATTTAAAATTGCAAATTACTGTGATCAAATCTAACATAAGAAAAAGGTTGTCTTAATATTATTGCCTTATTTTAAAATCAGTATCTGGCTCTGCATAGAAATGTATTTTCTGAAGCATGGGAGCAATCTGTAAAAAATATTCAGAAATAAAATCAAGTTACATTATGTAGAGAGGGCAGGCATTGAAATAGATATTTTTCTCCCTGTCATTAGAAAATAGAACATTTCCCTAAACTTGTATTTTTCTATGGGCTTGATCACCTTCCTTTCAACACTTGGCTACTTTCTAATGGAAAATTTCCTTTTGAAGCCATGAGGGATTTAGTCTGTAATAAAGATATTACCCAGCAAATGGAAAGCAGACCATAACAAAGTGTAAAAAATTAAGGGCTAGTGGAATAGAGAGAACTCCTTCTTTTTCCTTTTCAGCATCCAATATGTGTTTGGATCTCAAGTAGTAATTTATTGAAACATAAAATTGAAGCTTTATAGTAATATGAGGGGAAATGTAAGGATTTTATACTGTAGACTATTTTTGTAATTTCATTTTTTAAATTAGACTATTTGGGTAATACACTTTCATCAGGTAATTTAAACAATTATTTTAAGTGCCTTATAGAATCTGTGTTTAAAAATGTGTATGAATGTGTATATGTATATATACACATACAAATATATATGCATATTTGAAATACATAGAATTTTATGTAAACTAAAAAGTTTCCTATTGCTCCTCATTACAAAAAAAGACACCCTCAAAACCAAAGGAACCACTATTGTGTATCCTTTAAGACTTTTCTATAAATTTACTTGTTTACAGCTTGCCATTTTAAATTTAATAATATATTTTGGACTTATTTTCATGTCAGGTGGGAGTGTCTTTTAAGCTTGTTTTGCTTTCCATTGTATGTGTATGTTTTAATCTTAATGCTGAAGACTTTTAAATAAAATTGAGGCATTTCTTGCCTCATATAATATTTATTGAATGCCTATCATTTGCTACATAGGTACTAGGGATATTGAAATGAAGATATTGAAGTTCCTTACCTCAAGGACTTATATAGCGATTGTTGTGTTCATATACAAAAATAATATAAATATCGAAGACATGTTCTAACTGTGAATTTAGCAATTCATACCGAAGAGGAGCCCAGTGACTCTTCATCAGTCTCTATACCAGTCCCTGAAGTATTTCACTCCCAGATACTTTGTGTGAAATTATGTCTTACAGTAAACCTGAAACTCAGTAAATACCAGCTTGATTTGAATATAACAAGACATATCTGGGTCAGATATTTCATTATATCCTCTGCCTACAGTACAGTTGTAGTTGCTGATGTTTTCCTTATTAATTATTGAGTGTCTTTGGTATTAAGTGCTTCACCTTGATTAGCTTCTCCTCCTTCCCCTACTTCCAGTTTTTCCTAGTTCAGAATAATTACTGAAACATAATTTGATCTGGCAGTTTATTGCTAAGAATTCAAAGCCTAGAAGGTAATTGTTATGTCTGTCTACTGTCCGTGAGGCTTGTTACTGTAATATAACACTGACCACACCGTTGGGCTAAGATTAAAAACCTGTACATGGCCTGACACCAGAGCCCCATTGTGGAACCTACAATCTGGGTACTTCCATACTGAAGATCATGTACCACAATTTTTCTGCTTAATTTAGCCCTTTAAAGTATTTACAGTTACCCCATACCATTTAGGACCTACCTCAGACTGTAACAGAGACCTTACAGTGGCTTAATCATGATTTAGGATTATTTGGTTTTGACTCATGAAAAGCTGGTTGCTGGCATGGGTTTAGAAGCTCAAGAGCATCAGGGCTGAGTCTTTGTGATCCCTTTGGCCTTATCCTCCTGGTCCCAAACATTAGGAGGGAAAAAGGCATGGAGAAAAGGATGGTGTCTATTTCAAGAAATACAACTTTAGGCCGAGCGTGGTGGCTCACACCTGTAATCCCAGCACTTTGGGAGGCAGAGATGAGCAAATCACAAGGTCAGGAGATCGAGACCATCCTGGCTAACGAGGTGAAATCCCGTCTCTACTAAAAATACAAAAATTAGCCGGGCGTGGTGGCGGGTGCCTGCAGTCCCAGCTGCTGGGGAGGCTGAGGCAGGAGAATGGCGTGAACCCAGGAGGCAGAGCTTGCAGTGAGCCTAGATTGCGCCACTGCACTCCAGCCTGGGCAACAGAGCAAGACTCTGTCTCAAAAAAAAAAAAAAAAAAAAGAGACAACTTTATCAGAAGTCTTTAGTAAGCTCCTGCTTGCATCATTTAGACCAAAACTGTGTGATATGACCACCTCTAGCACTGAGGGAAGCTGGGAAATATAGTGTTTTAGCACATTGCCACCCTGAACAAAACAGACCTTCTGCTAGTAGGGAGACAGGAGAATGGATATTCTCCTAGCAGCCTCTGCCATGCTTCCGCATCAGATGGTAAGCACCATGTGAGGATGATTCCACATAGTAGATGCAATGAAAGAGAGAGATGTATTTTCTCATCTAGTTGGTTCACATGGTGGGTATACTGTGAGTCTCACCAGTGTGTTGCCACCATGGTGATTATAATGCCTACTTGGTGAATTTGTTGTGGGAATTAAATGAAGTAATGTGTAAAACATCTGACCAGCACCTGGAACATAGTGAATACTCATGGTGTTTGATGTTGTTATTAGTAGCTCAGTAAATAATACTTGGTAGGCAATAAAGTGTGATATTAGACATTCACATTAAATGTATACAATATAATTCTATGTATTTAGGGTATGCAACATGATGTTATGGGATGGAGATTCCCCAAATCACAGAATAGAGGAACCCAAAATTCTGTGTTAATTGCTAAAGCAAATTTATCTTGTATTTCTACACCAAAGCAGTCTCTCTCTTTTTTTTTTTTTTTTTTTTTTTTTGAGACGGAGTCTCACTCAGTCGCCCAGGCTGGAGTGCAGTGGCATGGATCTCAGCTCACCACAACCTCCGCCTCCCAGGTTCATGCAGTTCTCCTGCCTATTCTCCCGAGTAGCTGGGACTACAGGCATGCATCCCAATGCCTGGCTAATTTTTGTATTTTTAGTAGAGATGGGTTTTCACTGTGTTGGCTAGGCTGGTCTCGAACTCCTGACCTTATGATCCGCCCGCCTCAGCCTCCCAAAGTGCTGGGATTATAGGTGTGAGCCACCATGCCTGGCCACAGTCTTTAAAAATAATGTAAACTCTCTATATATATATGTATGAAAATATAAGATTGGATCTCTTACTCTCTTATGGATTGGGAACAATCTCCAAGAGCAAAAAATCAAGGCTGGCTTTCTGACTTTGTTAGGTTTTAAACAGAGCTAATGTCTACTTCCCAAGCCACAACTATTAGTATACATTACTGTAAGTAGAAGGCAGTCTAGAGAACAGTCTAATTGTGTTTCCAACCCAGCTCCCCACTTCATGTAGATACACTGCTAGCTCAGCCCTTGAAGGTTTTTGAATTTTTGATATTTGCCTTAAGAATGTGAAAACAGTAGACCTGGACATTTAATCAAATCCCAGACTATTGGGCTACAAAGAATTCCTTGATGCTTGAAAAAGCGTCAGTTTCTGACAAATGCCAGTATAATTCTCCTTTACACAGAGAGACATAAAACGTTTTAAATTGTATGGCTTAAAATACAAAGAGTTTCTTGACAAATTAAGATAAGTTGAAAGAAGCTGCATTCTAAATCACTGTTAAATCACCGTTCATTGATGTTTTTGGAAGACATTAAAGTAGAAAAGTTTATGGTTTGCATCTGTATTCCAATAGCCACACAGTGAGCTGTGCCAGATTTACAGTTCTAACCTAGTGTGTGTTAGCACTCATATCTGGGTTGATTGTCCATGGGCTTGAGTAAAGTAAGCTTTTTAGGATTATTAATCAGGAATAAAAAGCCATGGAAGGATGCCTAAAATATTAATATCTGTGATTGGTGAGTTTGTGTATATATGTATGTGTGTGTGTGTGTGTGTGTGTGTGTCTGTATATATAGAAACTTTGTCGATGATGGAGAGTAGTGTTTGTTTATGTAAGGTGTATAAATTTTTTTTGAAATATGCTAATCTTGAAAATTTTTATTTTCCAAACTAAGGTTAAAATTATTTTATTTTCTCTTAGTATTTCATTTTGAAAATTCGATATGGATAACCCTTCCAGGAATTAAAAGTTTGCCATAATGAAGATATTTGTTTTATCATTATGTAGTGTTTTGAAAAATTATGTTCTTATTAATTATATATAATACACTATATGTATGTCATTTAATATGTAGTGTATTATATATAATTAATATAGAAAAACAATGTTAAGTATTTAAAAGTATGTGAATGATAATATAGTAAATTATGACAGTATTCAGTGGAATATTATGTTGCCATTTTAATGCAATCATGACATTCATGCAAGTGTAGAGAATGTTTACTATATATGGAAGCAGAATGCAATCTCTGGAGTCTGAGTACAAGCAGGCCTACTGAGACAGTTAACACAAAGGCCAGAGGCAAGAGGCCACTGTTTTAAGGGATGCAAAGCAATGCTAAATGGATGGCTGAAGAATTTAAGTTGGGCAGAATGGTGAGAAATGACCCTGGAGGGATAACCAGGACATAGTTTACAAAGAGTCTTGTCTGTGCCATCCTAAATATGCACTTGTTCACTTTTCCTAAAATATTCTTCCAGTGTTTTTATGACTGCTTTGCTTCTTCCTCAGGCTATGGCTCACCAATTACTCCTTAAGAGGCCTTCCCCAAACACACTCTCTGAACCCCTCGCTCTCATTCAAACACAAACATGCGCATGCACATGTACACAATCGTTACTCTTTATCTCACTACCCAGGGTACTTCTTTTTTAGTGCATTACAATTGGTAATTATTTTGAATTTCTTAACTTCTTGTCTCTACTAGAATGTAAGCTCCATGAGGGTAGGGGTAATCTGTTATGTTTACAGATTTATATGTCTTACATACGGAGCATTCAGTAAATGTCTTTGAATAAATTAATCAGGAGTTTGAACTCTGTCCCCAGCACCTTTCTGTGCTGTGTGGTCTTGGGCAAATTACTTTTGAATCTGTTTTCTCATTTATGAATTTGGGATACTTATACCTTAGTTTCTTATCTGAGATTATAAAATGTGAGTTAAGGTGGTATACAAATTCAAGATTATTGTATAGAAATACACATACTACAAATAAAATTACACCCCAGTGGTTTCACAGAAGTGATATTTTATATATCTACTTGGATACTTTAAGGGTACACTGATCAAAAGAATGTACTGCCCTCAATTTCTCATACTTACTTGATTTGCAAAAGCTGACCTGGAGTTAAAATATTCTAGGTTAACCTGAACTTGTTAGAGAATTAATTATGCAGCTTTTGTGAGCAACACCTGTAGTGGGTTAAGTAGCATCTCCTAAAAAGATATGATCACGTCCTACTGGTATCTGTGAATGTGACCTTATTTGGAAGTAGGGTTTTTGCACATGTAATTAAATTAAGGGTCTCAGGATGAGGGAATCCTGAATTTAGAATGGGCTCTAAATCCAATAGCTGGTGTCTTTATAAGAGAAAGGAAAGGGAAATTTGAGATAGAGAAACACAGGGGAAACCATATGACAATGGAGGCAGAGACTGAAGTTAAGCCAAGGAATGGGAGGAGCCAGCAGAAACTGGAAGAGGCAAGGAAGGTCTCCCCCAGAGCCTTCAGAGGGAGTGTGGCTCTGCAGACAACTGGATTTTGAACTTCTGGCCTCCAGAACTGTGTGAGAATAAATTTCTGTTGTCTTAAGCCACTAAATAAATGCGTGTATGGTACTTTATGTCAGCCCTGGGAAATGAATACAGTATCCCAGATATTTTAGGTTTATTGAAAACCAAAAGAAGTTTAGGCGACAGCTTCCATTTTTGAGCTCTAGCTGTATGTATGATGAGCTGCTCACTCTCAGTTTAGAGCAGAAGAACTATTCACATTTATAAGAATTCCTTCAATTAAAAAATTGAAATAAGGTGCTTAGGGGATTAGGAAAAGGAAAGGAGTTTTTTGTATTAGAATTGTTAATGAATTATGAGAATGCTATCAAGTAAAATGAAGAATAACAATAAGGAAAGACTTTTTGTTACTTTGTGTGTGTGTTTGCTAAAGGTGTGATAATACATTTTGGCAGGATTCCCGTCTGAGAGATTGGTGGCTCTGTGTATTTTATCCACAGCACAGAGATTATCTGACTGGCCAAAGGCCTCATAGTTCTTAGGCACTAGAGCTAGAATTAAAACCCAGGACTCTGGCTCCAGACACTTTCCTATTTTCACTGCACAAGGCTGCCTGAAGGACAGTCAGCCACGATGAAAGGACAGTCAAGATGAAAGCCCATGGCTCACCCAGGTCTACATCCCAGGCAGAGGCCTTGGTGTCAGGAGTGAGGCCACCCTCCCCCTCAGGGTTGCTGGGCCCTCCCTGGTGGTCAGAACAGCAGGTCACGGGGAAATGGTGGGGGCTGGTCTTTGCTGGCCACATTTCCCATCATGGGGACCCAGAAAGGATGTTGAGTGAAAGCAGCTGTTGTATATAATCCATGGTGTATAATGCCTAAGTAGCTATTTACACTTCAAATTTCAATAGGGTTCCTCTGGCAAATTTGATTTTTCCAGAGAACATTTGTACAAGTTAATGTTTAATACTTAGTCTTATAATCCATGAAAAAGAAGGGTTCTTAGATCTTTAAAAAAAAAATGAGCAAAACATCAACTTCTATAAATTTAGTTGTCCTTTATATGCAGAAGTAGGGATTGGAGAGAACCAAGTTCCCTTTGGTAATATACTTACTGTGTAAAGAAAAGTTTAGTAAGTTAATGAAATAATTCAAAATTGCTTTAGAATTATTCAGAGTTTATTAGAGTGTAATGTTTTCAGCTAATCATTTTACTTCATGAAATACATTAAAATGGTCTGTTGTGTGATTTTTAAATGAATTAAGGAACTTTATAGGAACCTGTTTTCAGGGACTCATACATTTTTGTCCCTATATTATTATTCAGGTTGAAAAACATCCCAAGTCATGGTATGAAGGTTGTGCTTGTTTTTCATAGTTTAATGAAACTCTTCTCCTCAGCTTATTTGGTTGACTATAGAAGGAAAATAAATATTTATTGCTTTTGCAATTAAAACATTCAAGTAAAGCTTCAGTTACCTTTCTAAAGTCTTTGTTAACAAGAGGTGCTTTGTTATAAAAAGTTGATGGTAATTTAGACATGTACAGAATGGTTGGATATAAATTTTTCTCAAATTGCCTTGAAATTTTAATGGATGAAGTGAAGAAACTTTGCCCCAGGGAAAACACAACTATTTCAAGTTTTATTACTCGTAAGTACTAACATATGAATTTTTAGTCTGTTTATATATGAAATTTATGTGCTGCTTTATATTTATGTGATGTATCATGAAATATTGCATATGATAGGTTCAGTACAACTTTGGTGTTGGGATTATTCCAGAGAGCTGAGCATTTGCTTAAAATTCAAGACTATTTTGTTTTAGACATTTGGAATAGAAATCTGTCTAAAATAAATTGCCCATTTTCCTGTCTTCTTAAATAGATGGTACTGACCAAAACCTTTCCTTGATGAATGATCACACTATGGTTTATTTTAAGCTCTCTGGGAGCTTAGTTGCTTTTGTAAGCATAGTGGAATGCCTTGTCCCAAGTATAGCTTCCACCTCTAGCTGCCTGTAAGTATACTGAGGGCAGGATTAACATTTTTAAATTCCCGGCACATCCAGCACAACACATGGTCAATCATTTTACTTGAATGAATGAAACCATTATGACAAAATATGGTGCCCCTTAGGATCAGCTGATATATTTAGTGTTCTTTGCCATCATAATAACACCAGACTGCTGTTACTGCTACCTGCTTTGGGGCTGTTATCTTGTCTGGCTTGTATAGCTCAACATAACATAACATACCTTCTTACTCTGTCATGAGTTTGGAATATTTCATTGAGTATGGTTCAATATTATGTACAATGAGAGCAAATAAGCTCTAATAGCCTGACTTGGTATCTGTGTATGAACACGTTTAGCACACACATTTGGTATTATCTGCTTCAATCACAGAAGTCTATTTTACTTAATTTTTCTGCCATTTGCTTCAGTCCTTTTCTTTTGAGAAGTGCATCTGTTCAGGTTAGGATAACCCTTGTGGTACAGTTGTAACTATGACTCCGTGTTGCCGTGATCCCCACCTTATTGGGAACTTTAACTGATGCCATGTTTCCAGAACCCAGAGTGAGGATTCATCTAGATGGCTTATCTCATTGCTGCCCCAAAAAAGTCCATATTCTAGAGGATTTAGGGGCAGAGCCCTAAATCACAAGCCATAAGAGTAACATTTCTTTGAAGTTGTATGTTCTTTCTTAAAAATTAATGCCAATTTAGAGTTTATACATACTAATTAATATTTATTTTGATGTAAAACAATATTTTAAGTAACTAGTGGGAAAACATTTCCTCTCTCCACACATACACACACGTGTGTATTTAAGTACATATCCTATTTTTTTTTCTACTGTTACTCTCACCTCCCCCATCCCAACACACACATTGGTTACCTATCATTTTAAAAACTTTGAGAATGAGAGAGAGGTTTATTTCCAACCCACCAAATCCTGGACTGTTTCCCCCACTACATTCTGCTTGCAAACTGAACAATTTCGTCTTTAGTTGATCTTTTTTTCCTCCCTATGCCTTTATCATAGGTAGAAACCAGATTATATTTTCAGCATCCTGTCTAGAAATCTTCTTAGCCAGATCTATAAGTTCATTTCCATCTTTCAAGTAATCTCAGGCAAAAATGTTACCAATTATTTCACCACAATAAACTGTTCTTTCCCCAGATTATCTTTCTATAATTTTTCCTGCTTCTGTGTAGTACCCAGTTCCAAAACTGATGCTACATGTTTTTAATTTTTATTTTTTGAGGGTCTTGCTCTGTCCCTGAGGTCGAAGTGCAGTGATGCAGTCACAGCTCACTGCAACCTTGACCTCCCAGGCTCAAGTGATCCTCCCACCTTAGCCTTCTGGGTAGCTGGGACTACAGATGTGTGCCACCACACTCTGCCACTCTGCTATTTTTTTTTTTTTTTTTGAGTAGAGTTGGGGTTATGTTATGTTGCCCAGGCTGGTCTTGAACTCTTGGGATCAAGCATTCCTGCTGCCTCAGCCTCCCAAAGTCCTGGGATTATAGGCATGAGTTACCATGCCTGGTTGTTTTGTTTTTTGTTTTTTTTTTCAAGATAGTACTGTACTTTCTGGTACCAATTTCTATATTGGTTTTCTGTTTCTGCTTAATAAACTCTCCAAAGTTATTGGTTCAGGCAACATCTATTTATTTGCTGGTAATTCTGCAGTTTTGGGTGGGCTTGGCTGGACAGTTTTCTGGATTTAGCTGGGCCCAGTCAGGCAGCTCTGGTCCTCTGATGGCTTCACTGGGGCTGGAGAGTTTCAGATGGCCTCATTCATGTGGTGGGGGCCCCAGTGCTGGGCAGTTGCTAGGCAGGCCCTTTTCTCTCTGTGTTCTTTCACTATTTAGTAACCTAGCCCAAGCTCCTGAAATGGCAGCAGGAGTATTCAAAGAGCAGAAAGGTGAGAGCTGCAATGCCCTTTGAGGCCCAGTCTCTGGACACACACAGTGTCACTTCTGCCTAGCCCTGCTGGCCAAAATAAGTCACAAGGCCAGCCAAGACACAAGGGGTGGGAAATAGACCCCTCGTCTTTATGGAAGGAGCTGAAAATTCTATGGCCATGTGTTTTAAAACTACCACCCCACCATTCCATACCTTCAGAGTATTCCAGTCAAGAAGCGAAAATTATTCAATAATGTTGATTTTCTAGACCAGGGATCACAAACTGAATGCTTCAGTGTGATCATTGGCATGTTTAAAAAACAACCCAACATTTCAGCATCAGGAGGTTTTACCTTAAGCTGAGTCCTGATTTCTGTCTTCTTATTAACAAAATGGAAATCCTGGTAATACCGGGCTTCCATCCCTGTGTCCCTGAGGAGCTGGAGCTAAGTAGGCTGCCACCTTTAGGTGGGGCGTGTCTTCTTTAGTTCATCACCGTCCCCACCACTGCCCATTCACTTGGGCAAGATCCCCACCCAGCTCCCAAGGTATCTGAGCCCCGTGACAGCTCCTCATTAATCAGGGCTGTGAATCAGAATCATTTGCAAAGCTTTTAAAATGGCACATTTCAGGGATCTACCCAAGACCTCTGGAGTTCTATTTGCTGGCAAGCGCAGTTTGGGTGTAAGCATTTTCACAAAGCTTTGCACGTGCTTCTAATGTACACCTGTCATCAAGAACCACTGATTTAGGATAATATTCCCACAGACTAGTGTGAATCATTGAAAAATGACTGTACTTTAAACTTATTTCCCTACTAAAAAATGTCAGGTGCGTTCACATTTATTTCATTTCCCTTCCCAATTTCTCTGTGAGGAAAGCATGTGATGAAACAAAGATAAGGAAATTAATTTGTGAATTGCTGGGAAATCTAATTTTGTCTCCTGAAACTCTACCTTCTCCATATTTCAAAAAACAAAAACAAAACTTCAGCATTTATTACAGCCTGAGGGATCTTGCACTTGTAGGAAACTTGTATGGAAACAATACATTTTAGTAATGATCCTTTTACCAGCACCTGAATGTCTACCTACTGAAAGATATATATATAAAAATGGAAGAGAACTGTGAACATTAGCAGCTGCTGACTACCTATGAAAGATACTATGGAGGTGTATCATTCACCACAAAACCAAGGGGAAAGCCTTACATTACTTTAAAAGGACCAGAAAACATGCATGTATTTTCGCAGATGTACATGTCTCAGAAAGCAGCTTCTGTTACAGTATTTTATTTTGGTAAAATACTTTTACAATGGTCAAAATTATGTTTTTTAGATATAGTGAGCTCTAATTTGAGATTTTTTAGAAAGAACCATGTTTCCTTGACCTGCCTTCTCAGTCTTGGTAGCCAGTTCTCTCTCTCTGTTCAGTACATGTTCATAGAGCAGTAAGTAAGAGCTGAGCTAGCTCTGGGGGACCAGCAGAGCATGCCTGCCCTCAGTGAGTGCAAGTGCCGTGGAAGAAAGGTACAGTGAGAAAAGTTACAGTGCAGTGCAAATGCCCTAAGAGAGAGTTCCGAATCACTGCTTTAGAAGGCAGTGGGAAAAACACAACTTCAATCTTGCTTACAGCAAATATTTCAGAGACACTTGGTTTCCTATAGTGAATTCAGTAAAGTCTGAACCTTAAAAGGGGGGTAAGCACATTATTATCTTTTCTATTTCATATTTTAGGACATTCATAGAACACCCGAAATGATAATATGATGTGAAATGATTGTTAAATGGTTTCTTTAGAATTTCTACTCATGGTCTATCTCTTCTAATTCAAGCTTCTTTGTTAATATTTGGTAAATGGATCTATTTGTCCTGTCAGATCTTAAGTATATTTTGGAAGCTGTGTACGTTCAATAGATTTGGCTGACCAGATTCTTTTCAGGTCTTTGAAATATTACCCCAGATTTCAGGTGTGGTGCTTTCTGTTTAAACCAAGCACTTGGTAATAGTTATTAATTTTGTATTGAAAAAAAATTTACTATCTTGAAATACATAAAGTTTTTATTTCTCCAAAGGTTTTTTTTTTACTACGTTATTACTTGTAATGATTTATTGTATAAAAAATTCTCAAGTCTCTAGTGAAGGAGACATTTGACTTTCTTTTTTTTTTTTTTTTGCAATGGAGTCTTGCTCTCTCACCCAGGCTGGAGTGCAGTGGCCCAATCTTGGCTCACTGCATCCTCTGCCTCCCGGGTTCAAGTGATTCTCCTGCCTCAGCCTCCTGAGTAGCTGGGATTACAGGCGTGCATCACCATGCCCAGCTAATTTTTGTATTTTTAGTAGAGAGAGGGTTTCACCATGTTGGCCAGGCTGGTCTCAAACTCCTGACCTCAGGTGATCTGCCAGCCTCAACCTCCCAAACTGCTGGGATTACAGGCGTGAGCCACCACTCCTGTCCTTGATCTTTTATTTAAATACTACACATATTACTTATTAGTATGTGATTTGTCAACATTCTGCTAAATTTGGATCAAGGCCATGGCTTTCTTTCCTTTCTCTGGGGAGCAGAAATATCTACTTTACATGCTCCAACTATTCAATGGATGGATGAGGTTAAACAAAATAGTATCAAGGCCAAAGACAGTATTTGTAAGAATTATACAAATGCTATTAAAAGATTTTCTAAAATTAAGAAAACCTTGATTTTTTTCATATTATTGTAGCTCACTTTAAATATGAGATGTACAATTCTGACTCACAGTGAGAAATAGAACAGAAAACCGTTTGTGTTACTCAAGCACTGTTACATGTCATGGTTCTGTGAAACAGATTTTATAAGCTTTGGGATCTAACAAGAGGCTGAGACCCTGTTTGGTTTATAAATATGTGTGGGATATTATTTAGGTCTTCAGAAATAAAAGCAGAGAATCATTTCCTTATGCTATCAGTTCCTCTATGGGAAAGCATATTAAAATGTAGAAAATATAATGGTATATAATTTAGCAACATAATATACAATGTGGGTTGAGAGACAATTACAGTGTTTTATTTCCCTATACTTTCCATTTTAACTGAATGCATTTTAGCAACAATTGGTTTCTGGCTGTAACATTATTTTAGCTGTTTCATAAAGCTTTATAGCAAATTACTGTGGTGTACCAGATAAAATAAATTCCCGACTTCACTCTTAAAAGTCATATTATGAGCAGACATAATTTTTTACTTTTATAGGTAAGCATGTATTTTATAACAATTTTTGGGGCCTGTCAAAATCTGAGTTCAGGATTGCTGTTGCTAACATTATTTTAGTGGTTTCCTCTGTATTTAAGATTAAGGGTTCATTTTATGCAACAAATCAACCGTCTTATGCCAGTTTGGTTCATAGTAAGCTGATGTATACAGTGCTGAATTCTGGGGTCACACATCACCAAGTAAACAGCAGCTACTTGAATAGAACCTTGTTGTATTTTTCATTCACACAGTGCCCGTAGTGTACTGTCTCCCTAGGCAGCCCTACCTTGCCCTCCTTTCAGGTGATTCTGGAACTACTCTTTGGCCCTTGTGAATACCTTTCCTGCCTGCCACCACCCAGAACATTTGAATTCTTGCTACCGTCTCACACTTCTTACCTAACCCTAAACCCCATTTGGGCATGTTTTCACCTGAGAATATTATAACTCCACCCCAAGATACTTTTCTGTTTGGAAAAGACTAGAGAAGAATAGAACAAACATTCATGCATTCATCTCTCAGATATAATTGTCAACATTTTGCATATTTCCTGCAGACTTTTTTTTTTTAAGGAATGTATACTTGAAGGGTTCCTGATCATATTTCCCGCAGACTTTTTTTTTTTTTAAGGAATGTATACTTGAAGGGTTCCTGATCATATTTCCTGCAGAGTTTTTTTTTTTTAAGGAATGTATACTTGAAGGGTTCCTGATCATATTTCCTTCCCTCCTTGCCCGGACGTTACCTCTCCCCTGGTGTGTCCCTCTCCAGTCTATGTTTTATCCTTTTATCATATTCCTATCAGTCTGCAAACAGTTTGAACGATTGTATTACACGCTCTTAAATTTGTGTATATAAAAGGTAATGATTTTAAAAGTTGAGGCATAGTGTTACAGTCAGATTTTTTCAATAGTCTGATGTTCTCTAGAATTTTGATCTCACAATTCATGTTTCTCTTTATGCCTTTAGTATTAATATTTTTGTCCTTAATGCTCTGTTATAGTAACCAAAAGAATGCCTTTTATGAATTTAAATGAAATAATGTATATGTAAGACTTGATAATCTCGGTGTAATCACCTATGGAATGTATAGAAGATATAAGATATATTTTTATCAGTCAAAAAAAGTGCTTTTTGGTACAGTTTAGTTTTTAAATTCTACACAGATTCTCTTATTAAACTGGCACCTTCTTTTAATGAGGGCTTTTTCCTGTAACTATTAAGAGATGAAAGCCCCATCTCACTCCATAAAAGTAATACTAGGAGATAAATGAGGAAAGAAACGAGCAAAGGACAAGAAGACTTCTAAAAGTACAAAAAACTCAGTATGTTTTTAAGTACTGTATATACTGGAAAGAGGAGAGACGGTAAATTTTCCAAATTACTATTTCGAAAATAGTGCATTTACCTTTGAAACTCTTACCTGGTGAATCCTGAGCTGAACACCTTTTACCCGTGTCCTATAGCATTCTGGCAAAGCACCTGCCATCTTTCTATTCCTACACAGGTAGGCCAAGTTCTCTCTGCAGTGAGTCCCTTTTTTTTATTTTTGTTTTTTCAACCTGGGGCCTTGCTTTTTCTGCAAGGCCTGACCAGGCTCCTCACTGCTGTTAATTACAAGTTGGATTGCTTCAAAAAACCTGGTTGTGTAGCTGAGAGAGGCTTTCCTTTACTCTTAAGAAGAGCCAAGTGTAATGCCTTGGTAGATGAAAGTGGAAATTTGAGATGAAAGATAGCCCTCTATGTTGAACATTGAGTTAATTGAGGTATAACATGTGTCTTTACAAAATTGATACATAGCACAATTAGGTATAATCTGGTAGCCAGGCAAAGCTTTCTCCTGTAAGCTAGCAGGCTGTAGGGTGTCCTGCAAAGGCAAAGTGTATGAGAGCATTTGTCCCTTTCCAACTGCTTGCTATGGATAGATGTTACCCAGGTCCCTTAAGTGAGGTTGGCTGATCTACAGAGGAGTAGGGAAAGTACACCTTCTCCTCTGGGTCTTCTGCAAGCCTTGCGACTAAAGAGTACTTTCCAATTGTCAGCCACCCCTACTGGGTCTTCTCACTTATTACCCTTTTATTAGTATTTGGGCATTCCAGTGACTAAGTGATAAACAATTTTAAGAAATAGATTGGTTAATTCTGAATAATAAGTGTTTAATAGTCTCCCCAACTTATTATATCTAAGCATTTAAAAAATTTTCTGTCTGATTTTATATGTTAGAATTGTTAAATGGTTGATATAGTTTGATGTGATGATGTGTTGTGATGTAAATATACCTTTGGAAGATTGAAATGTTCATAATTTATAACTTAGGAGAGTGACTAAGGCAGATGCATTCTCTCCACATAGGTTGAGCATTTCGAATCTGAAAATAGGAGATCTGAAATACTCCAAAATCCAAAACTTTTTGAGCGCCAATGTGACGCCCAAGGGAAATGCTCACTGGAGTGTTTTGGATTCAGATTTTTCAGGTTTAAGATTTTCACCTATTAAGTATGATGCAAATATTCCAAAATTTTAAAAAGTGTAAAATCCAAAACATTTCTTTTCCAGGCATTTTGGATGTAGCATGTTCAGTCTGTACTTTATTGTTTTCCCTAAAATACTGGATTTTTATTGACTTGTCTAATATTCAGGGAAAAAGTAAGCTACCCTAGCATGTAAATTATTTTCCGAAGCCATTTTCTCATTTCAACTTATTAGAATTTCCAAACAAGACACAAATAGAGAGGAATGTCTCTGGAAGAGGTGGCAGTTCAGAATTCTTGGGTAGCTCAAGAATGACTCTAAACAAACTGACTTATTAGAAATGCAGTGTAGTGGCAAGATTTTCAGTGATGTGTTCATATTCTGACCAGGTTTCTGGCCACAAAATATTTGATGGTAAATAGGTAGCAGGTTGTCTTGATGTTCTTTGTACCACCTGTAAAATACTGCTTGCTCCACATTTCATAATTAAGACATTCGTAGTTGTGTAGAATAAAAACATATCCTTCTGGGAAAACAACATGCCTAGTTCATATATTGGATGATGCTGTCACTGTTAAATTCTTTGGGATTACCACAGTTACTGATACAATTTGCCACATCTTTTCTCAGGATACAACCATTTTTAACACTTTATGCGTTGAGATGAGTGTATTTTACAGGGAGACATATTGTTATCGCCTCCAGAACCCCCTCCCTTTCAGCGATTTTGTCATGTTGCTTTAAAGAAGTTAGCATTCAGTCAGTGCTTGGTCTAAACATGTGACCAAAACAATTTGAAGCATACAATTGAGAGTATACAGTTGTGATTTTTTGTTTTTGTTGTTCTTGGAGATATCCATTAACATGTGATATATCCATAAAAAATAATTCCAGCTGTATGTAACAGAAAACTCAGGCTAAAGTGGCTTAATCAAATGGGGGTCTCCCTTTCTCTAGTTTAGAGGAAGGCAGCCCAGGGCAGGTAGGTAGCTTTGTAATGTCGTTGGATCTGAGGTTCTTTCTGACTTTCTGTTCAGCCTTCTTTTTGGTTGTTCAGCTTTCATCCTCATGCTTGTTGCCTCATGGTGGCAAACTGGCTGCTGCACCTCCAGGATCCTTGAAGGTAGAAGTCAGTGAAAAGTCAAAGGTACAAACCAATAAAACCTGCTTTAAGCTTTCTGCAGGAAAGAAAAGTCAAATCCGCTTAAAGAGCTTTCCTGGAATCTCCAACTGGTAACTTCCGTTTATATCACATTGACCAGAAGTAGGTTTCTTTGCCATCCATAACTGCAGTGAGGTTGAGATATTTAGTTTCTCAGCTGAGAAATGTTGCTCTGCACAAAACTGGGTTAAGTCACTAAGAAAAAAGGAGGTTAGGACTAGACTAGACAGGCACAGGCTGAAGAGTCCATCCCACAGTGCCTGTGTGCCAGAGACTGCGGAGTAGAGAGGCCGAGATGAAGTCCAGGAAGAGGGCATGTATAAGAGAATGACATTTTTTTCTCACTGATTTAAGAGCAAGACAAAACTCTACTATTAGGAACAAAGGGTAGAAAGAAGTTAACATTCTGTGGTCCTTTCTCTTGAAATTGACCACAGGGAATTCTTGAATTACAGCAATTTGTAGTGTAATAGAAATTTTGCAGGCCCTGAGTTAGGCGACCGCGGGGCCTGACCCTAGATCTGCCAATATCTGACTTTGTTCTGCTGAACAAATCGCTTCATTCTTGGCATAAGGGTTTCCTCCTTTCAGCTCTAAAATGAGGGCGTTGAACTCATCACTATGATCCCTCCAAGGTAAAGACTTTTTGATTATCTGAGTTTGTTGTTTACAGTTTACTCGGTTTGACTCCAAATCCAGCTCTCTTTAGACATCCCCACACGTGAAGTTGGTTAATCATAGTGTTTGTGGCCATTTTTATGAAAAATTACCATCAGGTTACTTGTTTGCCTTAGTTGTTTGTATGGAAAGCTGAGGTATGCTCGTTTTCAGGAATGTTACCCTTTTGAGATTTGCCTGTGGCTCAGACCTGTGACCACACAAGGGAGTGGCCCTGTTAATTTTGGTGTTAAAGTTGGATTTTATTTTCTGAACCTTCATGTTCAGAGCTGTGGAGAGAGGGGAGAGGAGTCCTCAATTTCATGTGAGTGAGGGGAGTTTATTCCCAGGTTCATTGTCATTGGTGTTAAAGTAGCTCCTCTCCTGGGGGCTGGGAGGAGGAGGGATTTAGAGTGGTTTCCATCTTGCACACACCAATAGCATTCCTCTGTTTGTGTTGGCATTCCAGTACAGGACCACCTTGGGTCCTCCCCTTATCCCTGTCTGTGCCTCCAGCAGAGAGCACCTCTGGCACACCCACGTATCTGAAATAGGAAGATGATTAAACTGATGACAATTGCTCCATCTTTAGTGGCAAAATGTGCCTGAAAGTAACTCAAGGAGGCAGTGGTGGTGTGAATTCAGATAATCCTGAGTAATGATGGGAAGGAATGTGGGGGTCTTGCCTCAGCAACACTTTGGTCAACCTTCGAGGTTGTAGCAGGTCCTAGGGGCTGAGAGCAGCATAGGGTGTCTGTGGATGCAGGTGGCATGGGGGAGTATGTGCAGCTGAGGTGCAGGAGGAGGACCTCTGTGGAGATTCTTGTTTAGGATGATGAAATTGTATATCTGTCTTTCTCTCTCTCTTTCCTCCTTTCCTCTCTCCCTTGCACTTTCTTTCAGGCTTTAAGTTAGTATTTCATTCTAAGGAGATATATCTTTGTGTTCAGTTGAAAATGGTGGACAAAAATTTTGGTCTCTTAAGGCATTTGCCCTTGAATAAGAAAAAAAGATTTCAGTTAGAAATCTGAGCAACCTGAGGTTTCTGTATGGAATATAAGAGGAGTCACAATGAATAATTAAGCAAGTTATAGCTAATAAAATATACAGCACATTGCTTCAAACTAAAACATTCTAACTCTACCTCAGGGATGAATGCTTTTCATTATTTTTTAATTGTTGCCAGGGTTGACCTTGAAGGTCTTGTCTGGCAGATAATTTGTTATGGTAAGAATGAGATCACTAAGCATTTTAGATGACCTACATGATGCATAGAGTTTCTTCCTATTATATAATGGTGATGTGATAAGTCTGTTTACTTGGGAATTTATTCATTCATTTGGATGGTATTTTATTTCTCAGAGCCCCTCTTTGGCAGTATCATTGTTGCTGTACTACAGGAAGATCTCCTTAGCCATGATGCTGATTTCTGAGCTCATGTCATATGCATTTTTAAGTGACTGCTGACTCCTGATGGTCCACAAACACCAGAGGAGCAATTATCCATTTGGACAAAATGGACATGGGAAGATCTAGGACATACTTTCTACTCTTAGGAAAATGGTATTCTGGAAGATCATTCTTACATGAGTAGAGTTGTACAGGTTTTGTGCTGATGGCCTAGTTATGTAGCCTTTGTTACTATTCAGTCTTCCTTTGCAGCTACTACAGGACCTGGAATTGCAGAGTGGTTCAGTAAGCCTAGTTACTGATGTTTTTTATAGTTGATTTTGAAGAGAAATATGGTAAACAGTAATTCAAGGTTGTATTAACTTAATTCACTTTTTTCCATTTATATTGTATTTTATGAAGGACAGTTAATAGAACATTCTGGCTATAGAATGATAAACGCATGGGGAAAAACTGTAATTTTCACTAAATAGAACAAGAAGAACCTGTCGTATTGGGAAATTAAAGTTAGCAAATACAGTTTCTTGTTTGTTTGGAATGTGTACTGAATCTTAGACTTGAGTATTAAGTTCAAAACCATATGTTGTTGATATGCATAGTATTTGTGGGGTTTATGTGTACAATTTGAAAAAAAACAAATTCTTATTTGTGGATTGTAATATATAGTATGTCTTTGTTCAGTATTTTCTCTTAGAAAAAATAAAGCAGTAATACAATTCTCATGATACTCTCTTCTGGACAAAGAAAATCCAGTGTGCTGTTAAATAAATAAGATTTATACTGTATGAGACATATATAAGAATAAGAAATAAAATCACTACTAAGTATTCTCATATTGATAATTTGAAAATTATCAATTTTAAGTTGAAGAAAATTTTAGTTCCTATTACTGTATAGAAAATATTTATAATTTAAAAATATTTTTGGTAATAGAAAATATGAATCATTTATTATAAATGATCATTTAAATTCTATTTTGAACATGTAGAAAACTAGATGCCAAGTAGAGTCTACATAAAATGTATTGTTTTTTCTTCCTGGTAATTGCCAGTGAATCCTGGTTCTTACAAACCAACAAAAACCCAATTATTTTACTAAATGTGTAGTTCCTTATTGCTGCCATCCAATTTTAAAAGGTGCTTTTTTTTTTTTTTTTTTCCCCTGAGACAGAGTCTCGCTGTGCCCTGTAGGCTGGAGTGCAGTGGCACCATCTCAGCTCACTGCAACCTCCACCTCCCTGATTCAAGCAATTCTCCTGCCTCAGCCTCCAGAGTAGCAGGGATTATAGGCACAGGCCACCTTGTCCAGCTTATTTTTGTATTTTTAGTAGAGACGGGGTTTCACCATGTTGACCAGGCTGGTCCTGAACTCCTGACCTCATGATCCACCCTCGGCCTCCCAAAGTGCTGGGATTACAGGTGTGAGCCACTGCGCCCGTCCAAAAGGTGCTTATTTACAGACCCTGTGAAGTTAAACTGTGTCCTTGGATTATAGTGTTAAAGTTGTAAACTTAGACCATTTGCACTGGTAATGTTAGTTTACATTTTGGTATGGTAAATTCCTACTCAAGCAGCTGTTGTTTAACATTTTTAAAACTTCATAAAATTGCAGCAAAGGTATCATGTTTGATTTCAGATACAGTACATTCAAAGTATTAAAAACCCGTAATTTTTAACCAAGGGCAAAAGTATGAAATCACTCTAACAAAAGCAAAAATCTACCAGATTTCTAGGGTACTACAAACTGGAGCATAGGAAACACATAAAGTAAGTTGTCTTGATTTTATATAAACATAAAACACCTCTTTAATACTGTAGACTTATTTCTTCTTAATGCCTGATGCTTGATTTTTTCCAGCTCAGAAAGGAAAATTCTAAAAAATCATTCAAAATTGCAGCTTTAAATCCTGTTATAGCTACTTTTTATGTAGTATAATGAAACATGTAGTGTGATGACATTTCATGCTATTCTACATGTCACAAATTAAGATATCAAGTTGTGAATATTTTATTTTTCTCAGGTTTATTTTGAGATTATTTTGAGTGTTTTTATCTAATTTATAGGACTTATTTACACTAAGGATAAATTATATTTATTTATCGTTGCAAACTGGATTTTATTTTCCGTGGTTTCTCTGATGAAATTGAGGCATCAGCCATTTACATTTTTTAAGGATTGAGGTGCTGGCAGATCTATTTTTTATTGCAGAGAAGGGATAGTACCATTCTACTGCTTTATTTGTAACTCAGCTTCCTTCGTGAGATCCTGTTTCTTCCTTTTAATATTACTCAAAGTGACTTTTACTTTACTCTTTTCTCCAAAACAGATCTCTTAGTTGACAGTAGGTAACCTACACATAGATTGTGTTGTAAAACTCAGTATTAAATTGATTACTGCTATATATAGCATTTTTTAAAGAAAAGATGTTATTAATTAAAATACCTAGACTAGCCCTTTTAATGTATGATGTCATGGAAATTATAGACATTAATTTTATGTGCTATAAACACTCAGTTATTGCATTTATAAAATATATATTTGATACCTTTCATAACTCCCACTGAGTTACTTGTAGCATTGTGGTTCAGTGGCTTTGGAGTTGAACAGATCTGTGTTCACATTTAGGCTTGCTTACTGGTTGGTTTTGTGAGCTTGGACAAGTACAATAGCATTAGGGTCTTGTTGTGAAGATTAAAATTAATGTGCATGTGGAACAGCTGTTACATAGTAAGTGCTTGATTAATATTAGATATTAAGTGCACGGACCATATTCTTATTTTTATCCTTAGCTCCTAGTTCAGGGTTTGGCACTGAGGAGGAGGTGAAATAAATGTTGAATGAGTGAATGAATAAATAATAACTAACTCATTAGAGATCCTAGAGAGGACTGCCACTACTTTTCTGCCTTCTAATTTGGAGATTGTTCTCTTTGACTTGACTCTTAACTTCATAAAGGCTTATGTAGAAGGGCTTGGCCTTGTCCTCAGTCAGCCATGCTGGAAGCCTGAGGGTCGGGCTTGATTCTTCAGAATCAAGCTTCTTTTACGTACCGGTGAATTTAATTGCCTACACTGATCTATGCTGTGTCTATTGGGTGGAGGGAATGGTCAGGACCAGGTTTATATAAAATAGGAGATTTGTATTGGATCTAGGTAAATGACAGTGGTGTGGGAAAAGAAAACTGGAGAAAAGAAAATTCTAGGCAAGGAGACTTGCATGAACAGATGCATAGAGGGTGAAGGTATATTGGGGTGGTTAGACCAGAACATCTGAAAAATACACACAAGCGTTAACAGAGCTCACCAAATGGGTTTGGTACTTTCAGTGGAAAAACTATGGTATCATTTACTAAATGATAAAGTGAGCATACCCTGAGTGAGTTAGTGATCCTAGACTGAATGAATTTACTGTTGCCATAAGCAGTACTTTGAGCTTTTGATTTCTGATTTTGTGTTTTTAAAAATAAAAACATTTTGATTGAATTTTCCATGTTTTAAAGATTACTCTACACATGAACTTTTATTGCACAGATGTCTTGTTCGTCATGGGTGTGGACAGAAATATATTTTGTCATATGGGAGAGTATACTTTCTGGTATCTAAATTAATAATGAAATGTTTCTGAATATAATTCAAGTTAATGTTTTATTTTGGTCTAGCAAGTAGAAGGGTCACAGAAGTAGGTTTTAAAGCATTTAGAAACTTTAACAAGTGAGGAAACAGTGATTAGCATCAGGACATTTTTCTAGAGAAACAGTACATGGCATTTGAACAACTGGGCTAGCTCACTTACACCATTTACTACTTTTGCCATAAGATATTGAACTGCTTTTTCCAGATTTATTCTTATCCTAATGTTCTTCCTCTTTTTTTTTTTTTCTTTTGAGACAGGGTCTCGCTCTAGTGCCCAGGCTGGAGTGCAGTGGTGTGATCTCAGCTCACTGCAACCTCTGTCTCCTGGGCTCAAGCGATCCTCCTGCCTCAGCCTCCTGAACAGCTGGGACTACAGGCGTGTGCAACCATACCTGGCTAATTTTTGTATTTTTTTGTAGAGACAGGGTCTTGCTGTGTTAGCCAGGCTGGTCTCAAACTCCTGAGCACAAGCATTCCACCCACTTCAGCTTCCCAAAGTTCTAATGTTCTCTTGATTAACAGTTTTTAGTAATGCAGGATAAAGTATATGTGTATTATATGTGTATAAAATTTTATATCAGTGTGTATAATTTTTAAATATTATGGTTTTTTGGTCACAAAATACTGATTAACTGTGTATAAGTCTGTTAATGAGGTCTAAATATGTAAGCAAAATTATACAAGAGTTTTAAAAACTCATCATTGTTATAGCACTTGTTAGGTCAATCTAAACTATACAGAAGAACTATGCTTCTAAAAATCTACATGCTGAAAAGATGCTCAGCATCATTAGTCACAGGGAGATGCAAGTCAGGACCACTGAGGTACCACTTCGCGCCCACTAAGATGAGTATAATCAAAGAGACAGTAACAAGTATTGGTAAGGATGTGGTGAAATTAGAATGTTCATGCATTGCTGGTGGGAATGTAAAATGGACAACAGCTTTGGATAATAGTCTGGCAGTTCCTCAAAAGTTTAAATATAGAATTCCCATGTGACCCAGCAATTGCAAGAGAGCTGAAAATATATGTTCACACAAGAACTTGCACACGAATGTTCATAGCAGCATTATTCATAATAGCCCAAAGATGGAAACAACCTAAATGTCTATCAACTGATGAACGGATACACAAAATGTGGCTTCTCTTTAAGAGTGGAAATTATTGAACCATAAAAGTGGATGAAGTACTGATACATGCTACAACATGGATAAACCTTGAAAACATTATGCCCAATGAAAGAAGCCAAGCACAAGAGGCCACATAGTGTCTGATTCCATTTATGTGAAGTACTGCATAGTTTCTTATAAAATAGTTGTACAACTTTGTGAATATACAGATAATCACTGAATTACACACTTTAAAGTCATGAATATTATGGTATCTGAATTATATCTCAATAAAAAACAAAAAAGTCTATGTGCATTTATAATACTACAGCCATTATATTTACCCTAATTACATTTTTTAAAATATACCTAATTTTCCCTTATACCTTTTTGAATAATGCAAGAATCATTTAAATGTATTTTTATGAACTTTTTAATATAATCCTTAATTTTAGTTTTCCAAATTAGGTGGGGATAGAGGATTAGTTGATATTAAAGTGTATTGAAACTGAAATATGGACTTAATAAGTGAGCATCTGTGAGGAAGAACAAGATCAGAGGCCAGGTTTAATGTTATCCTGCTTCTTATTATCGTTAAGCTTTGAAAATATATTTTCTAATTATGGTTTGAACCTTTTACTGCATCTCATCTTTCTCTTTATCATTGGCATCATTAGAAAATGGAAGGTGCTTATTTATTAGCTAATATGACACAATTTTGTTTTTCTCTCATTTCAAAATTGGCCTATTACCTCTTGTCAACTCCTGTTTCTGAATAGAAGCTTACTTTTACAAATCAATGGTTCCTTAGACCCCTTTGGAAATTCAGCTTAGGAAATCTCCTGGTTCCATGTTGGTGCTTCTCCACAACCTTGATTCTCTCTTCAGATATATCCTGGCTCATCCCCGGTGGGACTCTGGGAAGGGAGGGTGAGCTTACTGTGCATGTTGCCGTTCTGCTTTGCAGTTCTGCTCTGACCATTTGCACATCATGGTTTGAATCCTTTCCTCTCATCCTAGTGGGGAGGTAGGGGAGCAGCTAGCTATATGCCTGACAGGATTCATTGATGAATTTCTAACGACTTCAATTTGAGCATTTCTGGTATTTAAAAAAAAAAACACTTGATTTACATCCCTAAATTGAATTATTTAAAAAATTATCTTAAGAATATGCACATTCTGAAAGAGATCTAGATTTTCTAGAGGGTTAAATTTAGACGTATAATTATGAGATCAATTTTAATTTCCAGTCCTTTTTTAGTAGTGCTTAATCTCTTGTTAGTGTTGTCTTCTAGTTTTTAATCTTCATGTATCATATTGTATGCTCTTTTGTAACTTGCTTTGTTTGCTCTTCCTTCTTTTGAAGTTTTTGCTGGTACAGGTTGACTTAGTGAATTTGTTTTCATTGCTATATAATATTCTATTATTTGAACACAATTTTGTTTCTTTCGATGAAAATTCTTTGTAATCTTTATTCTAAATCATGGTGCAATGTATCCTTTTATGTATTTCTGTGTACAAAGATAAAAAATTTCTCTAGTGTATGAGTCTGTTCTCGCACTGCTATAAAGAAATGCCTGAGACTAGGCAATTTATAAAGAAAAGAGGTTTAATTGGCTCACGATTCTGCAGGCTGCATAGGAAGCATGACAGCATTTGCCCAGCTTCTGGGGAGGCCTCAGACATCTTACCATCATAGCAGAAGATAAAGGGAGAAGCAGGCACGTCTTACATGGCTGAAGTATGAGGAAGAAAGAGACAGGGGAGGTTCCACACACTTTTAAACAACCAAATGTCCTAAGAACTCTATCAGGAGAACAGCACCAAAGGGATGGTGCCAAACCATTCATGAGGGATCCACCCCCATGATCCAGTCACCTCCCACCAGGCCCCACCTCCAACACTGGAGATTACAATTCAACATGAGATTTGGCTGGGAACCCATATCCAAACCAATTCAGTGCAGGGTGTGTATATTTTTTTTTTTTTGGTGGAGGTGGGTGTGGGGTGTATATCTTCATTGTTTTATACACTGTTGCCCAGTTCTTCTGCAATTGACAGTCCTACCAGAAGTGTATGAGTCTTCCTCATTTCACATTCTTGCTAACACTGTTATTAATTTAATTTTTTGCTAGTCTGAAGGGGATGAATGTTTTCTTATTGTTATCTTTCAATTACTTTTTCTTTCTTAAGATCCCCCGCCAGCCCCCAGCAACCAGATTGTAGGGAATTTCAATCTTCCTGGTTCATACTCATTGATATTCCTATAACAACCTCTATGGCTCATGTGAAGGAACCAGTGATTAATCGGAGTGGAACATTTGATGAGGTCCCTCTGGCTTTAAGTTTACACTTATCTCCCTGTATATCTGGCATGCCTATTATCTAAGTCTGGGTAACCCTTTGCATTGACACTAAGGCTTCCATGCCATGCTTGCCCGGTCTTCATTTGTACCACACACCCATTTCTTTCTCAGGTTCTGCTGTCTCCCGGGAACTGGGAGGCCCTAATGCTTATATCCCCGAGAAGATCTCTTCTCCACCTGCCACCAAAGGCAAGGAACAGAACAATGGAAACAGAACAGAAATAAAGTCTCAGGAAACTACTCTACTGCAGAAGTATCTGACATTGCCTTGGTGATTCCTCTACTTAGTATTCAAGCTCCCATGAGATGCCTCTTCCAGGCTGTAAGAGTTTATCTACTCTTTACAAATGTTCACTGTCCTGCTGTTATGATGATTGTTACTATGATATAGGACACTACCTCAAAACCTTTTTTCTTTGCATCATTTCCCAGCTGCCTACTGCTTTGCTGCTTCCCCCAAATTCATCTGCTTTTTCCTTACCTTTTCTCTTTCACATTCTTGCCAGTTGCTGTGCCCCCTCTGCCACTGAGCCAATCCCTTGTCTCAGTTTGTGGACAGCATCTATTTTTAAATAAAACTCTCTTTGCTGTCCCCTACTTTTGGGAAGAGCTTCACAATAATTGAAAAGACATGTTTATTCCATAGGAAACACCATCATTAAGTTTTCTTCTCCACATTAGCCACAGGCTAGTGCCCTCATACCATGCAGGTGTGGATGCCACATTCACCTCCTGAGACACTTTCCTTGAACTCTTATCTAAAATTTTATACTCTTCTTCCTGCCCCAAATCACATCCCCTCATTCCTCGTTTATTTTTTCTCTTTAGCAACAATCACTATCTAATAATCTATACATCATATGTATTTACCTTTCTTTTGTCTTCCTTCCCTACCAGAATAAAATGTCAGTGAGAAAACTAAAAGTTAAATTAGAAATATGTTGTCTTTTATATTGGTAGTCAAGATTTAAAAAGTGTGACCTAAGCAAATATGTTACCCCAGATATAATATGTAAAGAAATTGAAATATTAGTATACTTAATTTTAATTTCCATTTTATTTGGGCATAATTTCAAAAAAAGTATAACTTTGAGGAAAAAGAGTTTTTGTTGTTGATTTTAATATGTTGGTTATAAAACTAAGTTTTCATTACTGAAAATAAATTAGGAATATCCTGTATTAAAGTACTGATTGACTCTCTAATATAATTTTTCTGTTATTTAGTCTATTTTTAAAAATTTCTAATAACATAAGGATATGTATTAAATCTTACCAACAAAATTTTAGTTAAAGCTTTTGTTTCAGGTTTAGCTGCCCTTGGACGGCAGAACTACCTGTACTGCCAAACATCATGCTTAAGCTTTTGAAATTCTAAAGTTAAAACTAAATTAATAGATAGGTTGCATTTTTATAAGTAAAATAAATGATTACTGAAAGTTTAAGCTAAAACTCTTGGAGCTCTCTCTTACCCTTTTAAAGACTCATTTGGCCATATTTTGAGAGTCACTGAGGACAGAGAAATGTAAAAAGGAAAGGGTCTATTGCATGTGGGGCTACATTCCTTCTTTCTTTCTACAATATTTGAAACACACAAAACCAGCAGCACTACACTGAGCCCTTTGTTCTTCCTGTTGGGCAAAACACTAGATAGCTTACTGTAAATATGGCCAACTGCCAAGCTGTGGCGCAGATTCTTTTTTTTAAATACTGTAAACTGGCACAGGCTCAAGAATTACAGTTCTTCCTTCCTTTTATTTACTTTCTCCTTCTACACCAAAGAGTTTCATCTATGGCAAGAGAGAAAAACAGTTGTTGTGGTTAAAATGCCCAGTCGTCGTGGGTTTTTTTTTTTTTTTTTGCCTTACTCCTGACCTTGAATAGATTTCTTTTAAAATAAGCAGAATAACGTTATTATTCTTAAATTTTAAAAGAGCTATGTCCTTTCATGACCAATGTAAAGGACTGAAGTAGAAAAGTGGGATGAGAACTGAGTTGAATTCATAATATTTGTTAATAGCATTCTACTTTAAAAATTGATTTTGTATTGGTGACTTCCTAATTCTCTTTTGTTAATGTCAGAGATATTATCTTGGTTTCACTTATAGTGATCTTAGAATACTTTGGTCTTAGATTTCATTTTTAATGCACCTGCATTATTTTTGACATTAGTAACTTGCTTCCCCTTGTGTTGGAATTTGTATGGCTGCAACTGAGTTGAAAAGAGGCACAGGGAAGGGTGCGGAGTTCTGCTTTTCAGCTGTAGGGTGTGTCTCTTTTGAAACTGTTTTTTTTAATTCAAGAAAAAGCTTGGAAATTTTGTATTTTTTGAAAGAATTATTTGCTATGCGTATTAAAATAGACGAGCAAAACACCAAGGATCTGCATTATTAAAATGACATGCCTCTCACAAAAAAGAGAGATGTCAGAAATCAGTAGATACATTTTTGATGTAAATACCATCTTGTCAAATATATTTTAAATTTTTGATATAAATACCATCTTGTCAAATACTTTAAATTTTGCAGGGTTTTTTTTTTTTTCTTTCTTTGAGATAGAGTCTTGCTCTGTCGCCCAGGCCAGAGTGCAGTGGTGCAATCTCAGCTCACTGCAACCTCCACCTCCCGGGTTCAAGCAATTCTCCTGTCTCAGCCTCCCGAGTAGCTGGGATTATAGGTGCCCACCACCACGCCTGGCTGATTTTTGTATTTTTAGTAGAGATGGGGTTTCACCATGTTGGCCAGGCTGGTTTCGAACTACCGACCTCAAGTGATACGCCAACCTCGGCCTCCCAAAGTGGTGAGGATACAGGCGTGAGCCACTGCATCCAGCCGATTTTGCAGTTTTATTGATGAATTTTGTACAGGGAAACTTCTAGGTCTGAGTAGAAATTAAATGTATATTGTAATTATTTTTTCAAAACATCAAAATAAGATTTTATTTATTGTCTTTACCCAATGCACTGACCATTAAAATTATTTTATACAGTAGCCACGTGACAACATATTTACTTTTTCATTTCACTCATTAATCTGTTTTCTTTTAAGAAGGAAATCTCACTAGATGTAAATACAAGGATATTTGTCTTGTTTTCAGATATAATGAAAAGTAGAGGGTGTTATGTTTATAATCAGATTTTGTGTCAGTCTTTTTGGGAGATACAGGGGGATTTCAGAAAGCACAGGTGATTAACCAGAGATAGGGAGCCTGCTTCTACTAAGCTGCTCTACCAGTTACTGGGATGAATTTTTCAGTAGTGTCATATATTTTTAATTTTAGGGGGATTTTCATTGGACTGATTGAAAATAATTTTAAAACTTGGGTAAAATATTGGCTACTTTGCCTCAGTTCCCTTACACAAATGAAAATTTAGGTTATTATACTGAGGTCTGAGCATCCAGGAAGTTCTTTTATACATTGACATATATAATTAACAATTGTTATTTTTTCTATTTTCTCTAGAATTTTCATGTACAGTTTCACCTGTATACTGGATAAAGTTATTAAGCTGGGAGTTAAGAGGCAAGCTTCTTACCCTGGCCTTCATTGAATAATAATCTGACCTTGAGGATATTGAGTCTTTCTGGGCCCGGTTTCCTCATCTGTGAAATAATGAGTAGGACTAGGCCTTCTTAGAAGTTGCTTCCAATGTGAAGAGTCTAGACAAAATTCTATGATTATTTTGCCTTTTTAAGAGACTGGAATTTATGAATAATGAGAACATGATATTCTAATGTAGTGAATATTTAATTTATATTCAAAGAATGTAGGTGTAGAGTGTTGCATAACTTGAGGAAATTTTTCTTGTATCCTTAGTTCCCACTGATTTTAGGATCATTTTTCTTTTATGATAGGCTATTGTTATTTGATATCATTCATAGAGAGAATGTGAGTAAAAATGGCTTACAGATTAGGATATTTGGTAATTCTGAAGATGTTCCAGTACAGATAAAATCTAGATGGAGGATACCATTTCATATCTCAAAAGGCAGCTGTAGAGGTCTGTGCAAGGCTTGGAGTGCAGACCTGCATTTAAATCCTGGTTCTGTTGTCCAAGAGTTTTCATTCCTAGGATAACTCACCAAAATGTTCTGATTCTGAATTTTCTTGCTTCTAGAATAAGGATAATAGGATGTCTGTTTCACAGATATATCCTATTAACTGAGTTTAAATTAGATTGTGTGTGTGACTATACTTAACTTCAATTTTAACATTAAAAATGTCATCCTGGCCGGGCGCGGTGGCTCATGCCTATAATCCCAACACTTTGTGGGAGGCCGAGGCAGGTGGATTACAAGGTCGGGAGATGGAGACCATCCTGGCCAATACAGTAAAACCCCATCTCTACTAAAAAAATACAAAAAATTAGCCAGGCATGGTGGCACGTGCCTGTAGCTCCAGCAACTTGGAAGGCTGAGGCTGGATAATCGCTTGAACCTGGGAGGCAGAGGTTGCAGTGACCCAAGATTGCGCTACTGTACTCCAGCCTGGGTGACAGAGCGAGACTCCATCTAAAAAAAAAAAAAGAAAAAAAAAGTCATCCTTTAGTTCAAGTCAGCAAACCTTTGTTGGGAATCCAAGGTACTCTGCTTGGGAGAAGCATATACCTACCTGGATAACAAGAATGTAAGGCATGATACAGGATAGTTGGTTGTAAATCAGAAAAATCTGAGTGTGATGTAGATGGAACAATGGATTTCAATAGGTGAGATTGTGCAAGACTGCCTAAGAAGGTAGAGTTGAGCAAGGCTTAAACAATTGGTAGGATTTTACCAGTGGGAGAAGGCGGGGAGAGAGAGCCAAGAGAGGCTTCTAAGTAGAAGGAAGAGTGCCATCAGCATTGGAGGGTTGAATATCTTAGTGGAACTTGGCTTCCCTTAGAAAGACAAACAAATAAAAGTTATTCAGGAGGAAATCAGAGTATAGCATTGCTTTAAGAAGTAATGTTTAATTCCATTAGAAATTGATTCTACTTACATAAAGTGTTGGTTTACTCTAATGTCTTCTCAAAGATATCTACTTTCTTGGGTATGTGTATGTGTGTGTATAAATCAGATACTGCTGAAACATCTTTCAATTTCAAGCAGTATATAAATTCCTCTGCTAGTAAGAGAGGGTTGCACTCCTGGCTTTTGAACTGATTAAAGGAAGAAAGTTCTTAAAAGGGGTTAAACTATCTGAAGCATAGTCAGAAATCAGTGGAAGGATTAGCATATTTAATCTTGGTTATTATCCCTTAAAATCATGCTATAACTTAATAACTTTTCTTTAGAATTGATCCAGTGAATGTTTGACTTCAAGTGTTAATGTCTTTGAAGAATAAAGAAGTTATCAGGTTTTTCCTTTTATGTGCCTTCCATTTGGAAACAAGCCACTTTTTATAATGTTTCATAATGTATTATTTAAAATAAAGTTGCTGTGAACTAGATTGCTTGTAGGCACATTGTATTTCTGGCTGCCAATAGGAAATGTTTTTCTCACAATTTGAGTGGGTTTTTTTTTTAACATGTTAAGAATGCCTCTTTGGTTTGTGACCTCATCTGTTCATTTTTGGGGATGCTGAGATTGCCGGTCATATCACCTTCAAGGATCTGAGAAACAGTGGTCAATATCAGGGCTTTTATGTGAAGAGAAGATTAACTGGGTATAGAAATGAGAGGGAATATGACATATTTTAAAAACAAGATAAGAGTATAGTATCTAGAATTCTATTCCTGTCATTGTCATTAAGTCATCAGAACATTTTCAGAAAATTAAGACATCTTTCTTTTTTGGTTTATCCAAAAAAGAACATTTTTAATGAAAAGAGGATGATATTTAATGTTATTATGTTTGACCAAGGAATAGAACTTACTTTAAATACATTCTAGTTTAAAGGACTAATCTTTATTTGCTAAAACTTCATGCATGTGTATTTTACTTCAAGTTTTAGAGTCCGCTAAAATTATGGACATGAGATTTTTATACATGAGCAATAGTTTATCCCTTGTTATTTCTGTTCTGACTAGGAGGCCAACTGTAGTTGGTATATGATAGTAACAGATATTTCTGGAATGAATAAATGAAAAAAATCAAGGGCATAGAAATAAGTGTTGTCATTGAAAACAGTTGAAAGTTTGTCGGTCTCCCTCTACTCATTCTAATTTTATACTGTTTGGCCTCTGTCACTCACTAGCTTATGACTTTAAGCAACAACTGTGTGTAATATATATAATTTTTAGCTTTTCCAGTAAAATCTCTATCACAGTATCTGTCTCTCAGGTTAGTGAGGATTAAGTCAGGTACTGTTTTTATTTTATCAAAAATTTAAGGAAAGTGTACAGTGTAAATTTGGTATCTATTTCAAATTTCGGGTGCTTTTGAATATCTTTTCCTCCTTTTTTTTTTCTCTTCTAGTGAATTAGACACTACATTTAAAGGGATTGGGTGCACACAAGGTCACTAGGTATAAAATTTTTCACTTTCAATAACATGGGATATGGTTATTTAATTAAGTGTTGTAATGTCTCTGAGAGCCTCCTCTGTTTCTGTATTTACAGAATTGTAGAATCATTAAGTCATCAAACCCCAAGGGGGTCTCAAGCATTTATCTAGCTCATTCTGCAGACAGGACTGGAGAAATGTTTATCAGCTGTCTCTTCTATTATATGATTATAAGAATTAAAAGTAAAGGCAAGAGGGGGTGCAAGAGAAATGGAGATGGTTAATGGGTACAAAAAAAATAGAATGAATAAGACCTAGTATTTCCTAGCACAATGGGGTGACTATAGTAAAATATAGTTGTACATATTAAAATAACTCAAAGAGTATAATTGGATCATTTGTAACACAAAGAATAAATGCTCGAGGTGATGGATTCCCCATTTACCCCAATGTGATTATTATGCACTGCATGCCTCTATCAAAGTAACTCGTATAACCCATAAATATATATACCTACCAAATACCTACAAAAATTAAAAATTAAATACAGGGAGCCAGACATGGTGGCACATACCTGTAGTCCCAGCTACTTGGGAGGCCAAGGCAGGAGGATTGTTTGAGTCTAGGAGTTCCAAGCTGCAGTGAGCCATGATTGCTCCTCTGAATAGCTACTGTACTCCAGGCTGGGTGGGGAATAGAGAGAAACTTCCATCTCTTATTGGGGGGCGGGGAGGAGAAGGAAGATACTGACCCTCAGTGTAAATTGGTGAAAACTTTTCTAAAAGTAATGAGAGGAACGTTACGTTTGTAATTTCCTAAATAAATACTTACTGGTAAAATGGATCCCTCTTTATTTTATAGTTAACCAGACTATGGGAGTGTCATGTGCTTTTTCCAGATATCTATATTTTAGCACCCCCTCCCATTCATCCATTTTAATTTCTTATAAACTTCATAGTTGGAGAAACTCCAACCAAAACTCCTGATTTTGACAGCATTTCATGTAATTTTACTCCTAACAATACACGTCTGTTTCTTTCATATGTAGACATACTAATACACGCACATACAGTATTTGAAAAAAAGTTATGTAGGAAGGCTAATTATATGTTTCATCTAACCATAACACTTTCATGATTACATTCACAGAAAAAACTTTAACAAAATAAAAGTGAATAGCAACCATCTCCTTGCTTAGTATTTTTTTTTTACTGTTGAATTATCCTAACTGATGTGCAGTGAGGTTGCTCCAAATACTTATCTGTAGAAAAATAAATATTCAGTAGACAGAAAATTTGCCTTCTGAACACTTGCCTTCATTTTTGCATCTTCCATGGCATGTTTGACCAGGTCAGTAATGGGGCTCCTAGGGCCCAAAGTTCAGGTTTCCTTTCGTAGGAAGCAGAAGCTCTGCTTTGTTATGTGGTCACATTGCATGGCTGACTCTGGCCAGTTGTCTTGCACCTGTCACTGGCCATCTATCCCTATGGGACAACTTTTACCATCCATCACCACCGCTAGAAAAACACTTCAAAGTGCATGCCTTCCTGTGGATGGGCTGGCTGCATCATCTCGGAATACAGGAAAGCATGTTATTACTGATTTAGAAAGTTACTACTTCTAAAAAGGTGGCACTTGGTTCCAGCCCCTCAGTGCCCATCAATTTCACCCGGTTCTTTGCAGCATATGGAGAGACTGGGACAGCCAGCATGGCTCCCCTTGAGCTCAGCATCAAGTCTTGTTGCCTTTTGCAATATCACTTTTTTATTTTATCGCCTTCACTGCCTTTCCTTCTACAAAACAGTTGTATTTGTTTTGTCTTGTTCTCCTCTTTAAGATCCTGCCAGAGGGGCACATAGATGTCTCTGGATATGGGTTGATTTAATGAAATCAGAGTGGGCACAATCCATTTGCTATAGAGAAATGGCAGATTATACTTTAAAATGAAGAGAAACCATGAAGAATTTAAGAGAAACAGCATAGTGATTATACTCAAAGTGCTAAAGAAGTATTTAAGTATCACTTTTCAGATCTCTTAGCAGTTAAGGTTTGTCAGTTGATTTTATTTATTTTTTAATCTAGCTCTAATTTGTCATGCCTCAAAGTGAAGTATATGTTTCTGATAATGCTACCATTTGGGGCATTTATTTCTGTGGGCAAATGCTATCATCATAAAGCACGTTGGGGAAATACAAATTAAACATATTGGAAGGGGCTTATGTATGCTAATATGAAATGGTATTGTAATTTCTCCGAAATTCATGTTATGGGTACTTTAAGAAACAAACTTTCTAAAGAGATCTTCATTTTGTCAATTTGTAACAAGCATTTTGAAGCCATAAAAAATCGCTAATGCAATGCCATGTACAGAATCATGAGTTAGATATTTGCCCTGGTAATCCATTCTGGATTAGTTTTGCATGAAGCAGAATGAGGGAAATAATTATTTTCTCTGCTGACAGGTAGTTGCCAAGTGTGACCAGCCCCAGCCCCACTTCTTCCCAGGAATTCTACAAGTACCTACTCTATTTTTTACAGAATGTAGTTAATGGTGTTTTTTACAGAATGTAGTTAATGGCAGCAAGTGGGTAGAAGAGGGGAGCTAGAATGGAGCTCACTGAAGCAAACTCAACAAAGGCCAAGAGGGAAAGCTGGTGAGGACGCTGAGGGAAAATGTCTCCAGCCTAGTGTCAACAAGTTCTGTCTCTACATGGCTGTGTCTTTTGGGAAATCATGCTGGACCAAACAGAGCAGAAGATTTATGAATTGAGATTAACCGCTTTCTGGGGTCTCCCTGTGGGTATCTCATAAATACTCATTTATGCCTTTTATAGTGTTCTATCTTTTCTTTGACTTATTCTCCCCATTGCTGGTTTCCATACCAATCTAGTCTTCAGATATCTTCCTGCTGCTTCCTTTCTCCCCACATTTGAAATTCAGCGAACCATTATATATTGATGTAAAGTTCCAGACGCCTATTGTGCATGCAATAGCTAGGGCCAGGGAAGGATTAAATACAAGATTGTATATATGAAAGTACCATGTTCATTTTATTAATAAAAATATACCACTGTCATTTGTTACTGCTAGTGACAATAATGTGTCATTATGATGTAATAACAATAGCAGAGACAGGGTGGGGAAGCTATTTTCTTCCCACGATTCGATTTTCTTCTTTGAAGAGGTAGTAATTCGGTTGTACACACTTAATATTGAAGCACATCCCAACCCAAGAACTAAGTAACTATTGTTATTACGCATCCCCTTCCCACACTAAGGGATTTTTAAGCTGAAACCGCAAGTGTACAAAGGCTCAGAGGTGAGAGACACAGCAAGAATCTCAGCTGGGGTTTGTGGGGCTATGGGATTTGAGGGAGTGTGGTGGAGAGGAAGAGGTAGAGGTGACTGGCATTGTGTGGAGAGAGAGGGGTCCACCACCCTCACAAGGGCATCAGGAGAAGTGATGAAGTGATGCATCTGAGAGACATTTAGGAGGAATCAATAGGGAGATATGGAACTGATGGATGGTGGCGCCCAAGGGAGGGGAAGAAGTTTAAGATGATATATGGGGACGAGTTTTGTGCACCTGGGTAGGTTGTAGAGGAAATACAGCAGGAGGGCGGATGTGAAAGACGGTTGCTCTGGTGCCTCTCTGGGTGAAAGGATAGCAGGTAACTTGCAGAAATCCCCCTTGACTTTTTTTTTTTTTTTGAAAGGGAGAATGTATTTCTTTTTGAAGAAGTTTACATTGAACCTAGGAAAAACACAGGTTTTCAATGTTTTTTTTTTTAAATTGGATTTCTTCCTCAAAGACTGTTCTAGTTCCCCCTTCACTGTCACTGAAGTAATGCTGAGCATAAATCTTTCTTGAATAATGACAAATTTTTGTGTAGTTCTATATTTAGGAGGTATATTACACTTGCCTTTGTGATTTTATGGATATTAGGTTGGGATTGTGGTTAAGCTAATGAACTGAAGAACTCAATCTGATGGTCTCATCATTCAATCCAGCAGCCTGTCTTAAATTTCAGGCTAATATCTATGTTTATACATGATTGCTTAGCTAGAATTCTTTAGGTGTGATAACATTGTTCGTATTCAACCCAAGCTGAATTTTAATACCATGACTTTTTAAAGTTCATTTAAATATACCTTTAAACTTTTTAATCTTTTATGATTTTCACTTAAATTATGGCATTGTTGATTTAACATTATGATTGTATTTATATAATATGACATAGACCGATAGAGCAATTATCGTATGCCAAAAGTATATGTATAATATTTGGGTTGCTATATTGGCTCAAGCAATTGCATTCGTTGAAACCACCTATTAATTTTGGGGCAGCTTTTGAAATGTAGCAAAGCACACAATCTCATGACAAATCCACTTTATTATGTATTTTGTTTCTTTTGGACAGTGCCTCAAATGTAGAGGTACTGAAACCTTTTTGTGTTTTTCAGATGACATGAACACTTGTTTAAATGGGCAAACCTAGAAGTGATAAAATGCAGTTCTGGGTTTATAGAGTGTAACACACCTCTTTCTGCCTTTATGAGGGATGTTTCTTACTTATTAAAATAGTATACAGGCTTAGCATACCCCATGGAAAATAAGCAAACCTTTATAAATCATAGGAGTGAAGTAGTTTTTTTGTAGGTTGGTGTTATTGAAGTCATGTTGCCAGTGTAATTATACATCTAGCTATTCTCTTATGAACAAAATCTTAATATAGTACAAGGTCATGTTATTGTTATGATAGCCTAGTAAATTAATTTCTGCTATGATTCTTGCCTGGGTTTTTTTGGGGGGGTAATTTTAGCTTTTGATATTCAGGATGGAGAGTAGTCCCTCTGGATTTAAGTATGTGGGGAAAGAGAAAATAAAGCAGAATTTTTGATGATTTGACAGGTCTTATTTTTGCTTCGTATGCAAGGATTTTGAATGATGAGAGAATAGAGACATGTTGTTTCATTTTGTGTGAATTTATCAATTTAGACTTTGTTGAATTGGTACTTGTGTCTTGAAATTTATAAGTGAATTCTAGAGCCAATTATTTTTTCCCTTCTAGAATATCTTAGTATTCTTTTTTAAAAGTGCTGAGTACTTTTTAAAAAGTATTCTTTTTTAAAAGTACTTTTAAAAAAGTATTCTTTTTCAAGGAGTGAATTTGGGGTTGCTTTGAAGTCTCCTGACATGGGGTACCTTGGTATGCTTGGTAGAGCTATGACAGGTTCTGCTGAAGCCAGGGAGCAAGCCATGACTGCACAACATTCTTGGAGGGAAGGGCCCAAGGAAAAGGATTTGGGGAAAGGCATGGAAACAAATATATCTTTCTTCATAATTGTTAATATCCTTGTATGTGGATACACCTGCTTTGTTATTTTTTTTTGATTTGGAAACCAAAGTAAATTTGTCTAACATTATATATTTTCAACAGATTAGGTGTTTATAACTCCATACTTCCTGAAATCTTTCTAGAAATTTATACAAAGATTTGGAATATTAAGATTGGCAGAAGTTAGGAAATAAAAGGTTTGAATTTATGAGATGTACAGTTTTCTGGGGTTTTTTTGTTTGATTTTTAGATTTTGATATTACGGATAACTTTTGTTATACATTGAAATACTTAAAAAATTTCTGTGGCTGTCTTATAAATTGGTGAGCTTTGTTGGGAGAGTTGACAAGAGTCTTAGTGGGGTCAGTGCCTGGAATTTCCGGGAGTTTGTGAGCTTGGATGGGAAAAAGTTATACTTGTATTTTCACTAATATCTGATTGAAATTTATCATTTCCCTTAATTATGAATGTAGGCAAAAAATTAATAAGAAAAACTGTGACTTTGCTGCTAATAGAAATTATAGATATTTTCATATCACATGGTTGTAGAGATCTCAAAATATTTAAGTTCATCACTACTGTAAATTACAGTATTTATTAATTACAGCTGGATCTTCTTATTTCCCACACTAATAAAGCAGCATATTACTGTATCACATTTTAAAATATTTTGATACCTGTCAATCTGATTGATTTCTCAGTAATCTAGTTATGATACTTAAGAAACATAATTTGATAAGGGTTACGTAGACTTTATCAGGCTGCCAAAAGATCCATGGCACTAAAAAAGGTTAAGAAATTCTGGGTAGGGGAACCAAGGAAATGAGTATTCTAGAGCTGGTTTTACCAGTACAGGTTGAGTATCCCTTATCTGAAAATTTGAAATCTGAAATGCTCCAAAATGCAAGACTTTTTAAGCCCTGATATAATGTCACAAGTGGAAAATTTCACAGCTGACCTCATGTGAGAGGTCACAGTCAAAATGCAGGTCCCCAACACAGTATATTCAGCATCCCCAAGGGAAGAAAGGCTTTCCTAGCCCCCTTCAACTGTGATGTATCTTTTCTGCACATGCCAGATATGTGTCTCATATTTTTTATTGTGAAGTACTTACATGGAAATAAGTGTTAAGAAAAGGATTGCTTATTGGTAGCATATAGATTTAGAGTCAGGAATGATGGTGATTTCAAACAACCACAGATTGTCCACATGGGTGGCTGGCCAGGATAGTGACACCTTTGCTTTCTAATGGCTTAGTGTACGTTATTTTGTTTCATGCACAAAATTATTAAAAATATTGTGTAAAATTAGCTTCAGGCTCTGTGTATAAGGTGTATATGAAACATAAATGAATTTCATGTTTAGACTTGGGTCCCATCCCCAATATATCTCATTATGTTTGTGCCAGTATTCCAAAAAAAAAAAAAAAACCCAAAGCCAAAACACTTCTGGTCCCGAGCAATTTGGATAAGGGATACTCAACCAGTCATCTCACTGTGTGACCTTGGACAGTCAGGCCATAT
Organism: Homo sapiens; assembly: GCF_000001405.40. Taxonomy (NCBI): domain Eukaryota; kingdom Metazoa; phylum Chordata; class Mammalia; order Primates; family Hominidae; genus Homo; species Homo sapiens. The sequence continues at coordinate 148,364,721 of NC_000004.12, read as the reverse complement.
GGCACATTGTGCCACATGATGACTACACCCATCAACATAGGAAAGTATTATAAAGATAAAACAAAGGAAATAGCTTTGAAAAATTTTAGTATTATGCATGCAGAAGATGTTATTAAATGGAATTGTTTTTTGCCTTTGTAAGGACCTAACACATATTGTTAAGGATTGTTAAGAGGCATCTAATATGAATTCTGCATTCACTCTACAATTTCAGAGAGTAGCTCAGTATCATTACTCTTTATAGGGAACTTCTACGGGAACAAGCCAATTCCAATATAGTTCCAGAAACATTACCATTCATGGAAGCAAAGAAGATTACTTTTCTCTAAATATTTCTTCTAAAATTGATTCCTGTAATCTCCAATTCTGTAATCCAAACTGACGACTTCAGTGCTCCCTAAAGCAGTGTGTCAGTCAGGCAAAGCATGGGAGAAAAGCGCATGTTTCATTTCCAACACACTGAAGCGTAGTAGTATGGCGAAGCTCCTCGAGTTATTTAAAGGTATTAATCAAGAAATATAAGAAATGGCAGGAGGGAAGAACATACTGAGCACTATGTATGGTGTTTTACAAAAATGTAGTTTTCATTACAATCTTATATAGATCATAAATACTATGGTGCTTAACAGATAAGTAAACTAAAATTGGTAGGCAGTTTACTAAATGGTCATCTTACCCAGAAGTTATGAAACTTAGATTCAAATTCAAGACTAATTGTAAGGGCATATGTTTGAAATAAAATGTAATTACTGAGTAAAATTAGGTATTAATTTTGAAATGTGAGATCTTCTTTAGAATTTTCTATCTGTAACACACCATTTTCCATTGACACGAGAGACTGAATACAGTTTGAGCAGAAGAGTATTTTTACCCCTTTGAAGTGATAGGTGAGACTTGATGTAGAGATATATGAAAAGTCGGCTGGGCGCGGTGGCTCACGCCTGTAATCCCAGCACTTTGGGAGGCCAAGGCGGGTGGATCACAAGGTCAGGAGATCGAGACCATCCTGGCTAACACAGTTAAACCCCATCTCTACTAAAAATACAAAACATTAGCCGGGCGTGGTGGTGGGCACCTGTAGTCCCAGCTACTCAGGAGGCTGAGGCAGGAGTATGGCATGAACCCAGGAGGCGGAGCTTGCAGTGAGCTGAGATAGCGCCACTGCAATCCGGCCTGGGCCAAAGAGCGACACTCCGTCTCAAAAAAAAAAAAAAAGAGATCTATGAGAAGTCTAGACTTTAATGGTTACGAGTAGTGCTGTAATTTCATGTAAAAAATCCTGTCCCCGATGCCTGTGACTTTGATACATAAATATATTTTGAAGTCTGTGAAGTGAATAAATGACTGAAAAATGGAAGGAAGGTGTGTTCTGACAGGTCCAAATTCTGACTAGAAAGAAAACAGGACTTTGACTTGGGATATTTAAAATCTCTCTGCTTTTCAGACAACGCCAACAGCCCTGAAGAGATCACTAAAAGCAGAAAAGAATACAAAAGCAATATGTTGTAGGAAAAGTAAATTTGTACTCTTGATTAGCCCCTCATGGTCACTCAGGGCTTCGGCATCTGTCATTTCACGTATTGTCCTTACTCACAGGAACTCTGAGGTGTGGTGGTTTAAAGCAGTGTCCTCTCCACTTTATGGATGGAGCACAGGAAGGCAAGGCAACGTTGTCACCTTTATAGATGACACTCACTGCTAGGTCTTCTGATTCAAAATCTAACCACTTTTCAACCGCATCCCGTTGTAGTTGTGTAGTATGGGAGAAAGAGAAATGGAATAAATGAAAAGTGTTTGAACGGCATGTAGAAAGATGTCATAACGGAAACGCCATGAGAGCCATAGAGGAGGGCCTAAGTCGCTCTTCCTACAATTCCCTGCTTAAGTCAGCCCTTCCCTCTCTCCTTTACCCACCCCTCTGCAGTCAGGTTTTCCTATTATAGATTCTCTCTCATATACTCCACAGCAGTTATTACAATTGTAATTATTTACATGGGGAATTTTTTGGTTGAATGGCTCTGTCTTCTTTGAGTCTAGATTGTAAATTCCATAGCAATGGGAACTGTGCCCATTTTCTTCACTGCTGTATAGTCTCGGCACACAGTCCCTATAACTCTGTAACTTTTGAGCAGATGAAAGCGGGAGTGAATATGTACAATTCCGTAAGTGAATGGAAATAATAGAACAGCCAATGTGAAGGTAAAGGCTCAGACTTCAAAAAATTTCATTTTTAAAATTTTTAATTTTTAAATTTTAAAGTTTTAAAGTTTTTAAATTGACAAATAATTGTACTTATTCATGAGGTACATAGTGACATTGTAATACACATATAGTGATCAGATCAAGGTAATTAATACATTCATCATCCCAAACATTTATCATTTTTTGTGTTGGGAGCATTCAGTATCCTCCTTCTATATGAAACTGTATAATACAGTATCATTAACTGTAGTCATCCTAAAATGGTACAGAACACTAGAACTTATTTCTCTTACCTAAAAGGAAATAATGCAAACAGCCTGAAATCTTGGGATACGCCACATGTCTTGAATTTTCCAGGAAATCTGTATATTAAATTTTAGGGGCTGGGTGTGGTGGCTCACGCCCATAATCCCAGCACTATGGGTGGCCTGAGGCCTGTGGATCACTTGAGGTAAGGAATTTGAGACCAGCCTGGCCAACATGGTGAACCCCCATGTCTACTAAAAATACAAAAGTTAGCTGGGCATGGTGGTGTGCACCTGTGGTCCCAGCTACCTGGGAGGCTGAGGCGGGAGAATTGCTTGAACCTGGGAGGCAGAGGTTGCAGTAAGCCAAGATCGTGCCACTGCACTCCAGCCTTGGTGATAGGAGTGAAACTCTGTCTCAAAAACAAAAACAATAATAACAACAAAACTTTAGGGTAGTTATCTGGTTATGTCCCTCAATTTTTGGTTCAGAAAATATGGTTACCTATACCTCAGTAACCATTAAAAGTAAGGTACACCTTGTAAGAATGGAAGGAGAAGGGAGGACCCTGAAGGCTGTGAAACTCTGTGATAGTCCCGGATCAGGTGGTATTAACTCCAGTTTAACAGCTGGAGAGATGGTGGACCAGAGAGATTTAACTTGTCCAGGATTCAGATAATAAGGTGTCAGAGTTGAGATTAAAACCAGAGCCCACAATTTCCTATTAATGACATAATGTTGGAGGAGAATGGAAAAGGACAATCTCAGAGGCCCCTAAGGGCAGTAACTTACAGAGCTACTTCTGGGCAAGGTTCAATCTGGCAGTCTCATTCTTTGGCTTCTTCAAAGTCCTGTCTAATGATGATGTTGGCAATAATTACTGAGACATTGACAGAATGTTAAATTATATTACATTTAAGAAAGAAAAGAATATCGTAGCCTAGAGATTTTTATTCAAAGTGATTAAAGGTTTAGCATTTTAATTCTGATGTTGAGGATTCTTATGTCTAAATTGATTCTGGGTAACTGATGTGGGCTGTCAATTTAGAGATTCTCTATTTTTATTTAAAATTTATTCTGGATGTGTAATCTTTGCATTTTTAAAAATCCTCAACTTCTGCTGGAAGGTTATCTGAAAACAAACACTTCACTGTTTTTATTTAGCAGAGATTCATTATCAGGCGCTAGAATACACCATAATTAATACATGGTCTTTGTCTTGCTGGAGCTTACAATCTAGTAGGGGAAAAAACACAAAGATAATTACAATTCAGGGTGTTTATGTTGCAAGGGGCCTTGGGTGGCATCCTGAGGAGGCAGTCTATGAGGGTGACAGCTGTGGCCAGTCATACACTTTATTATCGTGGAACCCCAGACTTTATGGGTGTAACATGTAACTCACCATTACTGTTTCTTGCCAACCCATACTTAATATTGTGTTATAAGTGATGTTAGCATTATATAATTAAGATGAACACTTACCTGAAAGCATCTATTAAAATACCTGGCATATAGGATTTACAGATTTTTAATTAATTCTCTCATAAACCCAGTTAATTACTCTGTGAATTGGAAAAATTTCAGTCAGAATCAAAATATTTCAAACTGATTCAAATTATGATTCTTTTTATAATCCAAACACATCCTAAATCCAATAGGGATGATATTAATATGTCGGATACTTATAACTTTTTTTAAAGGTTCTTAAGGGAAAAATGGGTTTGTTACTGAAGAATATATACTAATATAGTTTTTGTGATGCTTTTGGCTGAGTTGTTTGTTTTGCCTATAAGCACTTTAGCTTTACCGTAAGAGCCTTTAATACACAGAGCATAGAGTAGGAAAGTAATGAGCACACTGAAGGCAGTTACACAGTGTATAGATCTTGGACTATGTTGCTATGATCCACTTTTAGTTGGAGCTTTTTTGTTTTGTTTAAAGAAGAAAGCAGAAAGCACATAGTGTCATGTAGGACAAAGAACATGTGTACAGCATGCTTATGTATATATAAATTAATAATGTCAATTATATTATTTTTCCAAAGTTCTCTACAGTGCTTGATGCTAAATAAGCAAAATGATAAGAAAGTATAAAGTAGGGGCAGATGAGCAATGTATTTATTTGTATTGCCAAGATTTTCTAAATGGCTTAGGATATCCCTTTTATGTTTTTGTACTTGAGCAGTCTTGCTATAGAAAATTCCATTTCTTCTTAGCCACTCTTACTAAGAAATTCCTTTCACTTTGTTCTGCTACCTTGTCTTCCTGTTTAGAAGGAAACAAAGCAAACCCCGGGGTTGCTCCTCCACCACTATGCACCAATTCCTTATTTGCACCTATTCCTGCCTTATTTTCTCAGCCTGAATGCTCACCTGGCTCCAGCCTCTGTAGTTACATGGGATAAGCTGATTGTGTGTAAAGATTTAGCTCTCCTGTACATTACATTGCCATTCTTAAGGTTTATAAATTATCAGCTTGGAGGTTTCTGTGAGCCTCTTGAAATGACACGTAACATTCTGTATACATACTACATGGGAGAGTCTGGGTACACAGCTTGCACGTGTTTCTCAAAGGGGTCTGGGACACCATAAAATATGGAGAAAGTGGGAGGTGACTCTTAGATTTCCACCTGTACCACCATAGCCCCTTTTTTAAAAGAACAAAACTCTTTAAACTCTGATACTTGGACAGCAGTGAAAGATGTACTGATGACTAGTTTATTTTGGCACATATAAAATTTATTGATATTCATTTGTTTATCCCTTAGTTTCGTAGATATATCTGCCATTTGTGAATGGTAAAACCAAAGGTCACTAGAATCCTTTGTTGTGGGGAAGGTATAGATCGTACATCTAACCCAAGTGGATGTGTATCACCTATATGATGATAAAAATCCTAACTTCTATCAGGAACATGTAAGAACTATGTGGTCTGATACATTCTAAAAATTACATCTAGGTTACAAAATGTTCAAATTATTAGCTTTCTTTTTTTTCCCCCCTTTAAAAACCCATGGTGAGGGCAAGGTAGAGGAAATAAACACATTTGGTCAAATGTTGGGTGTAGTTCTAAGGAAACCAACTTATAATCTTTTCAGATGATATTTAAGTTGAATGGGTCAGAAAATAAAAAAAAGAGAGAGGACTATATAGGGAAGTTGGACCAAAATCATAGATTAGCAGAAGCATTTCAATGATCAGTTCATTCAAGCATGAATTTTTTCTTTTTACAGCTCTCTCCTGGTAAATGATCTGAATGAACGATGCTTGAAAAATGATTCTTGCACTCTGTGTGTGTGTGTGTGTGCGTGTGTGTAAATTGTGGTTTAGCTTATTTTATGTGATCCACTTAGTGTTTTTGTAGATGTTTTCTTTTTCTAAGATCAAACTTGGCTAATGGAAATACTCTTCTTGGTATGTTATTACTGTGTTTTAAGGAAATTACAAATTACAAATTAACTTATTAGCCAGGTACTCTAATGGATTAATTATAAGCATAGCTATAAGTGTGTTGAAAATGCAAGCCTTTTTTTCTTGAGATTCTAAGACTACTACTTTTAAAACCTCAGTGATTAAACAGTTTCATATAATTTAAATTTAGCAAAAAAGAACGGAGATATGGCATTTTATTTTTTTTTTTATTTTTTATTTGTTATTATACTTTAAGTTCTAGGGTACATGTGCACATTGTGCAGGTTAGTTACATATGTATACATGTGCCATGCTGGTGCGCTGCATCCACTAACTCGTCATCTAGCATTAGGTATATCTCCCAATGCTACCCCTCCCCCCTCCCCCCACCCCACCACAGCCCCCAGAGTGTGATATTCCCCTTCCTGTGTCCATGTGATCTCATTGTTCAATTCCCACCTATGAGTGAGAATATGCGGTGTTTGGTTTTTTGTTCTTGCGATATTTGACTGACAATGATGATTTCCAATTTCATCCATGTCCCTACAAAGGACATGAACTCATCATTTTTTATGGCTGCATAGTATTCCATGGTATATATGTGCCACATTTTCTTAATCCAGTCGATCATTGTTGGACATTTGGGTTGGTTCCAAGTCTTCGCTATTGTGAATAATGCCGCAATAAACATACGTGTGCATGTGTCTTTTTAGCAGCATAATTTATAGTCCTTTGGGTATATACCCAGTAATGGGATGGCTGGGTCAAATGGTATTTCTAGTTCTAGATCCCTGAGGAATCGCCACACTGACTTCCACAATGGTGAGATATGGCATTTTAATAAGGGATTTACCTTGCGTTAGGAACACGTAGTTAAGTAAATATAGTCCTTTGAAAGAGGATATTTTCAGTGCATTTTCACAATTTAAAGATATTTGTATTTTTTCCTCTTACAACAGCATAAATCAAAAGGTAAGAACTTCCTATTCCTGATGTTTATTCATTTTTTTTAACCCTCCTCATCAAACCTTTGCCTTGCTTTTAACATGCCAGGAACTAAAGTGGCTGACATCTCTGTTGCACTTTCTTTTAAAATGTCAAAAGGAAAAGATATAATGGAGATTGATAAACAGAAAAATCAATATAATATGGTATTATTTAGCAGAAATAATTAATGTTAAATGAAGAGCCTTTGGTGGAGGCTTTGTTGTATGTAACATAAAAGCTTGTCATGTTGGTATTTTCCTAGATTCTTCTAGGAAGAAGTTTAAAAGTTTTCGATATCACAGAAATGTATTATATTTGGAGGAATATGTGTAGCATTATATTTGCATAACTGAAGTTATGACTTGGGGGAGACTTCCATGTTATATTTACCATATTAAAAGAGATGTATAGTCTAGTCATTTCATAGTGTACTGAATTTATATTGAGAGATATACCTTATGTAAAGGAATCTGATTCTCTGACTACAGAGGATGATAATGATGACGATAACATTAAAAAGCATAGGTACTCTTTTCAGTAGAATAAATGAGTTTGTCTTGGATTATACTAACACTTTTACTACAGAAATGAATGGATTCTAATTTTAAAGGTTTGTAAATGAAGACTTAACAATCATTTTTGTAAGCTCATTATAAAATAAAAGAACATGTATTTTTTGATTCAAAAGTATTTGCTAAGGATTTTCCTCCACATGTGCCAGATCAGCCTTGGAACACACACCCCACTATTCCTTCCATTATCTACCATGGGATTATAGGTTTTTAGAGTATTTATGAATATATAACATTTTGATTCAGAATGTTCAACCTATATGAAATTGTCACTGAAGGTTTATCAATCCCTCCCCCATAATAGCAGGTGTTCCTATGAGGACTCTGTAGTACTGTGTCTTCTAGATTGCAAACAAAAAGCATCCCGTAACACACACACACACACACACACACACACACACACACAGTCGTGCTTAGTGTGTGCTTTTGTTCATTGAAAATATAAGCATATGTGAGAAAGGCTCCTTTACCACAGACTGTTTGAATGACTATTTCATTTTAATCTCTGATTTCTTGCATCAGAGAGTTGTGGGAAAGTGAATTTTTATTTTAGTAACAAGACTTATTTTTATGTACACACACATACATAGGCTACTGAGATAGCATTTTTGTAAATTAGTCCGCCCTTGGGATATGTACCATATACATTAGGCTACTTTAAGAAGCTGTCTTTTTGATTGTGAAAAATAATTTCATAGGTTTATATGGTTCCTAAGTGTTCCTTTAGCAAATTCCAACTTACAGTAGTTTTATATTAAGCTCCCGATACGTTTACATGTAGAAAATTGTGGCTTAATACAGTATAGCATAGATGTGACACCTTTATGAATGGCACTACAGAAAAACGTCACTTTTTTCTCCCCCAGATGTCTATTTCACAGATGTCTGTCTTCTTCAAATGAGAAGTTGCTGATTGTACATTCATATAGTTTTCTTCCAATTTATATAATGTGCATGTAGAGGCACACGCAGAATGTGATGGAACTAGCAACATCATTTGTACATTGACAACAGATTTTAGTTTTCATCAGTATTTTAAGTTCATCAAATTACTTTTTAGTACCTTGAATAACATTTTCTCAAATATGCAGTGATCATACTTTATTACAGCAATGTGGCTTTCTTTGATTAATATAACATATAAAATGTTTTTTAAATTTGTCTCTTTTCATTCCCTTGCATAATGAGAGTTTTATTCTGTAGATCTGAAGTTTACATGTGAAAATTATGTGATTTTTCACATTCAAGATCTTGATTGATAGTGGCACTCAGTAAACACTTGCCACTTGTTAGATACTAGTCTGAGAACTTCATGCACATGACTGATTTAATACTCACTAAGCTAATGTGGTGGGTGCTAGCCCTGTTCTCATTTTAAAAACAAGGAAATGACAGGCCCAGAAAGGTTAAGTAATTTGGCCAGGGTCAGGTAGCAGGTCCAGGATGTGTTCTACAAAACCGAAACTTTGCTTTTCCTCTTTAGATTTCTGACAAGAAACCTATTTATGCGAAGTGTTATTGTTAACATTGTTTTTGAGCTTTGTTAGTAGATAACTTGCCAGTATCCTCCCAGTGATCATAGTGGACCTCCTAGCTTTAGCTCAGTTTCGGTGACATTTGTTGTTTGCTAATGATAAACAACTGACGGGATGGCCCTGCCCTTCCTGTAGGGGATGAGAGCTGCTGCAGATGCCAGAGCATCCAGTGAGAGAGGGGTGCTGGCTTTGTTCCCAGGTGCCCCAGGAGTACAGAGGTGGCACTGCCTGGGAAATTCAGGAAGGCTTTCTTCTGGATGTTATACCAGGATTGAAGTTAAGCAGTCAGCTGTCTGAAAAGAATCAGTGTGGGAGTGGGGTAGAGGGTTCAGAGTGGGAGTAGGGTAGCGGCTTCTGGGCAAAAGAGAGACTGAGCAAAGATGGAGAGGCAGAAACATTATGATAAATGCAAGGCCGTTAAGTATATGTTGGTGCTTATGTGTCAGATTTTCTTTGAAGCATTCTATTCCATAAAATAAACTTAACGGTGTGTGCTGTAGTTTTCCTTGGGGCCTCTAATCTCTGGCACTACTCACTTTCCCCAGAAGATATATGGATCTCACCTTGAGAAGCCTGATGTATAAGTAGATATCATTCTGATGTGGGAGAGGTTGAAGAATCTTTACTATAGAACATTTACACTTAGTTTCTCAATAAGAAAGCTCATTTTAAACCTTGGAATGTTATATAAACAAGTGGTAATTTAATTTTGTTCAATTCCATTAAAACTGTTATTGTCCTCCCTTTATTGAAATAATTTAGTGATATTAGTTTTGTGAGCTATATTTATTTTTTTTAAATAGCATAAAATTGGCATAAAATCATGAAATCACTTATTACTTTCCATTGCTAATTTGGAGTATAATGTTTTTGTTCTAATTTCATGTTTCTCCTAGCTACAAGACATCCATTTAATTTTATACCTCCAAAATGAAAATATCCTTGATTAAGATAATTCTATATCCTTCATGATTGAATGTTGAGCAGTTTTATATTTTTAATAAAAATAATTTCATGAAATTTGTTTCTTTTGGAGATACTTTATATACGAATGTCATTGAAAAAATCTGTATTTTAAATATTAATCTTCCATTATTGTTTTGTATCAGGATCTTGTTATTTTAGAATATCTATCTAGTACAGGCCTGAACAAAAACATGCCTTGACAACTATTCGTTCTGCAGAACAGTGTAATTCATTTTGTTAATACAATTCTTTGGAAAATATATACACATATTTTCAATTATTTATCTTCATTGGGTGAGTGGCTACCTGCAGGATTGGATTGTGTAGGTTTAAATATAGTTGACTCTTGAATAATGCAAGGGTTAGGGACACTGACAACCCGGCACCATAGAAAATACGTATATAACTGTTGACGCCTCCAAAACTTAATGACTAATATCCTGCTGTTGACCAGAAGTCTCACTGATAACACAGTCAATTAGCTCATATTTTATATGTTTATATATAATATACTGTGTTCTTATAGTAAGGTAAGCTAGAGAAGACGAAATGTTATTAAGAAAATCATAAGGAAGAGGAAATATACTTAACTGTTCATTAAGTGGATCATCAAAAAAGGTCTTCATCCTTGTCATCTTCATGTCAAGCAGGCTGAGAAGGAAGAGAGTGAAGGGAATAGATGGTCTTGCTGTCTCAGGGGTGGCAGAGGTGAATTCCCATGTATAAGGACCCCTGCAGTTCCAACCCATTGTTAAAGGGTCAACTGTAATTTTGTACATGTCTAGCAGTATAATATCTTAGGACCTGTGATTTGTAGAATAATTTTTCAGGCTCTGTAATACCATTTTTAAGGGATGGTGAAAGAGGTATTCATCCCTAAATTAAAGAGCCTTTAAGTAGAATCCATTAGGTATGCAATGGACATCACTAGGAATGGTTTCTTATTTATGTGGGTTGGCCTAAGGTGAAACTCTGTCCTGCAAAACAATAAAATCTTGATAAAACATGTAAGTCAGTAAGAAGAATGATATTAGATCCTCTAATATGACTCACATACAGAGAGTCTATTGTTCTGAGCAGCAGTGATGGTCTTTTCATATAGGAATATAATTATAAAAACAATATGCATTTGTCTTAAAAATATGGTTTTCTACTCTGTAAAAGTAAAACTCATTCATCATAGAAAACTTACAATTCCAATTTTTGCTTTCACTCCTCTATACCTGTCTATACATATTTTTAAAAGGAAAAATTGTATGCTTTTGTGTAAGCCTTTAGTAACCACTTGCATTTGCGGTATCTCATGAACATTTTCCAGTGTTATATATTCTAGAAAATGTATATATGTGTGTATATATGGAAGATGTATATTGTTGACAAAATTATATTGACGTATTTAAACAATCTTCTATTATTAGGTGGTTTCTTATGATGGTTTTGATAAACTAAATTTACCATAGACTCTTGGATTTCCATAATTTAAAAATTAAAATGAATTTGTATAATGAAAATATATTGGTGCTTCAAGTGTATTATTTTATCAGGGTTTTTGAAATTAATTTAACTGTAGGGTTTTAATTATAAGCCTTCTTACATTTTTTAGAATAAAGCAGGCTATAAATAAATACTAAAATACTATATTATCTGGATTAATCATGTCTTGGGAGCATTTTGAGATTGAGTCTACTTATTTAGACAGAAAAATAAGATCCTTCTAATTTTGTAAAAACTGACGCATTGCCCTAAAGTAAGTACTTCACTTTTTTTGCTATCTGTAATCTATACAAACAGCTTTTGAAGTTTTTAAAATAAGATCTGCCTTGTCACTTCTGGTGTTCTCATTAATGTTTATTCATTCATTGTTTGACTTTATATTTTATGTTATTTTAGAAAATGTGTTATATAGCTTGTTAGCTACTTTACATCTTTAAATCACATTACATAAGAATCTTTATTTTTAGGGGTTTGCTTTGTGAGTTTAGTGGTTAGATTATTTGCATCTCTCTACTTAAAAACAAAAACAAAAAGAACCTGATGGTTGGCATTTCCAAAACATTTATTAAAATATGATTTTAAAACTATGAAAAATCTTTAGTTTGCTCTCTACTGGGTTTCATTGTAGAGGGAGTTCGTTGTTGTTTAAACTTGAAGATGATTGATTTTAGGAATAAGATAAATAGAGATCAGCGACCAAATGTACATGATGTCTCATCTTTTCCCAACACCCTGCTGTTGCCAGTAGGAGAAAATACACAGTGTCACATTGAGATGGGGTCTTTCAATTCCATCAGAGTGGCAGCCTGCGGTGAGTTTGCAACCCCTGGGTGAAGAGAATCTCAAAGATGCCAAGCATCATTTTGGCTAGATGAACAAGGAGATAGATAGATAGATAGATAGATAGATAGATAGATAGATAGATAGATAGATAGATGATAGGAGTTGTATGTAGAGTTAAGATTTATTATTTTAGTTAACACAGAAAAGAGAAGGCAAATACTGAGTGACCTCAAAAATAAAGCATAAGGTAATATCCCATAAGCTTTACTCTACAAATCACCCTTTCTCAAGATGACTTTCAAAAACAGAGAGAGGAATCCAGAAAAATGTTTACAGATGTTTCATTGCTGGAAAGTGGGTAGTACACTGTTCTCCCAGGACTTATGTCGCAAAATACATCCTCATTGTTTAAGGAAGTCTGCAAGGGAACAGATCTGATTTCTCTATCAGCCCTTCTCCCTACAGCAAGTTAGAAAATTAAAAACCTATATTTCCATTGGTTATTTAAGAATAATATTCCAGAATTCCCTCATTTTTCAACCACACATTAATCTACCTACTTTTTCAATATCCTGAGTTTAGGATACTGAGGAAACACATGGTGTTTCCACATAACCAGCCAAGGCTTAAGAACAGAATGGGGGGACTGCATTTTAAGAATGTCACTCTTGAGGCAGTAATACCACCTACAATATCTAGGGTCACCTTGTAGGTAGGCATTTATCACCCTTTTATGACTGATGAAACCTAGACTCTGAGTTTATCACTGTGAGTCAATTTATTTGCTCTTTTATTCACTCATTTACTCAAAAAGCATTTGCTGATTGATCACTTGCCAACTGTCCTGGGAAGATGCTGGAGATGCAAATTGAACAAGATGCTGCCCTCGCCCTGCTCTCAAGTGGCTCACATCTCTTCCAAGGCTGTTACTAAGCCATGAGGCCTGGGGTCTGTAGAGGGCTCTTTCCAGGATCCCACTGCTGACAAAGGTCAATGGTAGGGCATCTGCTGAAAGGTGAAGTAATAGATGGTCCTGATCAGAAAGAAGAAAGAGGCAAATGTTACATATTAGAAAAGACAAATTAGGCTGGATGCGGTGGCTCACACCTGTAATCCCAGCACTTTGGGAGGCCTAGGCAGGTGGATTGCCTGAGCTCAGAAGTTCAAGACCCAGCTGGGCAACATGGTGAAACCCTGTCTCTACTAAAATACAAAAAATTAGGGCATGGCAGCTTGCGCCTGTAATCCCAGCTACTTGGGAGGCTGAGGCAGGAGAATTGCTTGAACCTGGGAGATGGAGGTTGCAGTGAGCTGAGATTGCACCACTGCTCTCTAGCCTGGGTGAGAGAGCAAGACTCCATCTCAAAAAGAAAAGAAAAGAAAAGACAGATTAGCCTAGAATATGAAATCAATGTTAGAACAAAAGATTAGATTGCATATGCAACACTATTTAAGTGTTAAAAATTGAAACACAGACACTTGAGGCTGGTTAAGGGTTTTTTGGTAATCCATTATATTTTATTGAACACCTATATGTTCAAATGAACATGTATTTTATTGAACAACATTATATTTTATTGAACACCTAAAGCATATTTTAGCATTCAGGGTTGTATACAATGTAGTTTCTTTCTCTCAAGATGGGAAAAAGAATAATAGAAGGATATTTTATGCAAGATTGAGGGCTATTAATTTATTTCATCTCAATAAACATTTATTGAACAATAAAACTTGTTTCTTGCCCTTGAGCTCACAGCCATTTAAGACACCTGTGACAGGTGCCAGCCACTAAGGGCTCTGTCTGTATCCCTTGCCAACAAGATTAGAGTGTGGTCTGAATGTGATGGGAACAACTGAAGGCTTCCAAAAGCAGAGGAGGAGCACATTTAAATTTATGTTTTAGGTTTACTATGGTGACTTTGTAAAAATGGATTTGAGGAGATGGGTTAGGAGACTATTCTAGTAGTCTGAAAAAATATCATGACCTGAACCAGGGTGTAATTTGGAAATGTAGTTAACTGATTTAAAACGTCTTTTAGAGATATTTCTAAAATGTTGAGATTTTTTTCTATTAATGTATTAGTATCAGTTGCTTGAAAAATTAAAGGATATCTAGTTTGTCTTTTCTATCCAAGTACTTATTAATCAAAAGTCTTACATGTTATGAATAGCATTCCCATTAGTTTCAGTCTTACCACCTGAAATGTCTTGGAAATTCCCATATTCAGCAACAGAAAGTCAGTACACAGATGACTTCAAAAGGGCCAGCCTGCAAGGGCACTAACTTGGGAGAAAACAGACCTCCTTCTATACTTTGTAATTAGGTACATTGGCTTGGGCAATTAATCTTTCTCAACCTCAATATTCTCATCTATAAAATGGAGATATGCCGGAATTCCCTGGCCTGTAGAATTAGTGAGGATAAATGAGGCACTGAGCATAAAGCACCTGGGACAATACTAGCTCACTTTCTAAGCACCATTTGTTTTTATTTATAATAAGGTACTTTCAGAAAAGAAAACTATATTGTATTTGGTTTACTCTGCCACTTGCATAACAGGACACTTGTTTTGCATATTTACTGAATTTTATGTTTATCTTTCTTTTCTTTTTCCCCCAAATGTTTTCCTGCAGCCTTATAACATTACCTTGGGAGCGGTAAACTGTAGTGTTATTTGATACCAACAATATAGACCATAAACCTTTCTTTTACACTTTTCTGGAGACTCAAAGAAATTTAGCAAGTAATGAAAAAATTGTCTAATGGGAAATGGAAGTCATGAAATTAACTGTGATACTGTTTGTCATACATTAACATCAACAACAAAACATCAAATGTGTTATAAACACTAAGGAAAGTAGTTATTATGAATTTTTTTTTCCCCAAGCCACCACCAGAACCTTTGCAGAAAGGAGAGAATTCTCATTTAAGAAGGTTTGCTTAGTCGTCAGTCCAGGAAGTGTCTTTGTAGGTATTTGTCATCTATTTTGTAGGAACCTTTATGGGGCTACCCTGCAGAAGGTTATAAGTCCTTCTTTCTCTGAGTACAATTTCTTTTCTTTTAGGTTTGTTTTCTAACTGACCTTGACAGCATTTCCAACAGGCAAAATTATGAGTTGTCCCTGGAGAAGTGCTTCATTTCAGACCCAGGTTATAGTACAAGAGACATAATGAAACTAGAAAAAAAAAATAGAGAGTCAGCCAAATAAAAAGATCATTGACAAAAAGGGACTCTTGTGACACAGGATGCTTTTAATACCAGAAATGTGAAGACTCATTTTGCGTCGTTTGTACTGGAATTTTCAACAAGAGGTGACAGAGTATGTGAAACCATTGTTTTATCTGTGTCAGGTTCTGGGTTAATGGTAAGGAAGGATCTGCTTCAGGCCTGTGATGTTGTTGCCACTGCTATGAAACAAATGGGTAAATTAATTGAGTAATTCAGCAAATAATGAAAAAACTGTCTAATGATCGTTTCATTTTCTTTCTTGAGTTATTTTACTCTTCTTTCTAGAGCTATTTTCCTTGTGCTTGGTAATACTAATTTGCAGCAAAAATAGAGTAACACTTAAGGTAACCTTAACACTTGAATATGGTTGAAAAGTCGGAAGAAGGGAGGAGAGTCATTCAAGCAGTTAAAATAGGTAGAAGAAAATGTCTGCAGTAAGGCCCTTTTGATAAAGCCAATAAACAAGTAACAGGTTTCTTGGATTATTGTATATTAGAAGGAGCAAATTAAAAGCTGAGACCATACATACTGAAAGTGGTAGAATAGGATATTAAAACCCTTACAAGTAGACATAAGCACTTAGCACAGCAATTAGAGAGCTATCTGTTATCCAGGCAAAGGATCCTATAAACCTCATTAGCTCCCCAATGACACCTCTGTGTTTACAACCAAGTACAAAAATTGGAGTTCATAATGATGACCCTGGGAAGGTGTAATTACATTTATCTCATGCTATACAAAAAGGCAGAGAAGAATAAGATTTCTCTTTGGATGGTAAAAATAAGAGTTTGGGCAGGTACATGAATAAATTTCGTGAATTTGGAAAGCTGACTTTCATTTATTCTACTAATATTTTCTGAGCACGTCCTATGCTCTAGATAGTTTCTAAGTGCTGGAGATATAAAAAACAGATACAATCCTTGCCTTCATAGAATGTACAGAATAGTAGGTGAATTGGACATAAATCACATAGTGTAAATTACCACCATGGTAAGTGCTGCTCTGGGAGGACAGAGCATATTGTAACATCATGTTTGTGGCTGATAGGGCTGGTGGGGGAATGTAACTTAAATCCCCAACCAAGTGATTTAGACTTACCAAAACAGAGTGTGACTTGAGACCGGGCTGCTCTGAGATGAGCATTGCATGCTCCAGTCTCTCAAATTCTCCAGAGGGAAGGAGAGAGAGACACCAACCGAGAGTGTCCATTCCTCTTCTCTTCAGAAACACCTGGGGTGGGAAGTAATGTAAAGGAGAAGTGCATGGTGCTGGGATAATTTATAATCCTGATCAAGGTCTTTAGAAGCTGTATTCTCTTTCTTTGCCTTGATTTTTTCATCTGTAAAATAGGCAAACAGGGGTGGCCTATTGTAACTCATGAGTTTGTTGTGAGCTTCAAATGAAGTAATTGGTGTGAAGTGCTTAAGGATGTAGTGATTGGAAATTGTAAGCCATATAAACCACCGCTGCTACAGTGGTGCAGTGGTGGTTGGCTGGTTATTATTATTATTACTATGAAGGAATGGTATTTATTTTTGTGTCATGAGGTTGTAAGCTCAAAGAGTGCAAGAAATTTGGTTTGTTCACTGCTGTAGCCCCATCGGGGCATGCGTAGGTACTCAGTAAACATTTGTTGAATAAACGCTTTGGGAAAGTTAGTAGGGAAACAGTGTGCAAATGTTTATTCCCACTGGTGCATTTACTGAGGCCAGCGTATCTTGAGAGAACACTGATTTTATTGGGTATGGAATGAAGAATTATGGGGAAATTAATACTAGACATACATAATTTTAGAATTTGAAGAATTGTAGGGATTATCTAATCCAAGATTCTATAGTGGTAAGCGAACGTGACCCAATAGAAGGGGTGAAAGGAGATGTCGGTTGAAGATAGAGTATTCACTTTTTCTATTCTTTAATTTGTTTTCAGACATGGTATCTATTTGATATTTCAAATAATACTGGAGGAACATTTCTGGGTGGTTGGCAAGAAGCATGGGTGGGTTAAGGAAAGGTGAAAAACGCTGATTTAAAATACATGCCAGTTGGAAGGTGATGCAACAAAAAGTTGGAAATTTATACAAAAATATACATAAAATGCAGGAAAATTAAATTACAGTAATATAGTTATTTTTCACTTATTCCTGTTTCAGAAGCCATTTGTTCTTCTACCTGTGTTCTAGCTTAAATATCCTTTGCAGTGCTTTTCTTACGTGGCTTCACAGCAGAATTTGACCCTTAGGTCTACTTCCTGGTTGCTCAGAGCCTTCTTGCCTTCCACTGTACCACATTGTCTGGCTTTATCGGCTTATTCCATGTTTTCAGCTCTTCCTCGTCATACCACTCCATGTGTTGAACCCCACAATTCTATCAGAGACAAACTCTCATTAGTGCTTCTTTTTACTCTTCCAAACTTCAGTTACTATCTGTATCAGTGCTGCCCCATAGAAATAGAATGTGAGTCATAATGCAACTTGACATGTAATTGTAAGTTTTCTAGTAGCCACACTACAAAAGTGAAAAACTGAAGAAATTAATTTCTATAATTTGTTTAGCCTGGTATATCAAAATATTATTTCAACATATCAGTATAAAAATTGAGATCTTACATTCCCTTTTCATACTGTCTTGGAAATGTAGCATGTATCTTATTTATAGTACATTTCACTTTGCCCTAGCTGTATCCCAGGTGCACCATAGACAACATGTGGCTAGTGGCTACCACAGTGGGAACCTGTATGCCTGAGGCTCACAAATACCAAGTATTTGTCTTTAGTCCATAACTTTCACTGGGCTCTAAACCCATGATCCAGTTTCCTAGGAAGCACTTCAGACTCGGCCTGTCTACAGCTAAGCATATCCTCTTCTCTTCCTTCGCCCAGCCTGCTCATCCTCCAGTGTTTGCATCCCATGAAAGATGCCTTCATCTACAAAGGATCTGTTCGCTGTTCCCCATCATTGCCAGTTCCATGGACCATGTCACCACCGTTTTCTATCTGGGCTATGTTGATAGCCTCCTAACTGCTCTTTCTGCCTTCATTCTTGCCATAACACAATGTTGCTCACAATTCCTGCATTGTTCTAATAGTCTCCCCAAGATATTTTCATAGTTTCCATTGCCTTAGTATAAAGTGCAAACATGCCTTATTGTATCCATCAAGGGTCATTTCCCTGCCTGCCTTTCTGGGCTTCACCCTCCCCTCTCTCCATTTCAGCTATCTTTGCTTTCCTTCACTTCTCACTCTCACTATTGTCTGCCTGGAGCATTCTGCCCTCTCCTCTTATGTAGCAACATTCATTTTGTCCCTCAGATGGTTTTGGTAGAGAAGTCTTTCACTGCCCTTGGCCTAGATCGGTCTCCTCACATCCTCCATAGCTCTCATCATTTGTAAAGCCTTGTGTTTGTCTTCTTTACTGGGCTATAACCTCTGAGAAGGGAGGGACTGGGTCCAACTTTTGCTCTACCATATGTGTAGTGTGTAGTAAGGTACCTGGCCTGTAGTCAGTATTTCGTGAATATTTAGAAGGATGAGTGAATGAAGACACCCAGAAAGAACACAGTATTAAAGTCCTCAGGTTTAATTAACCTTTACTCCGGCACACGAATAACCTTTGGAACATCGCAGCTTCTGCTTGAATACCTAGTGACAGAAAGTTTACTAACTAGAAGAACATTTCTTCTTTCGAACAAGTCATTATTAAAAAGCTGTTTCATTATACATAGAAATTATGTCTTATGTAAGAAAATGGTTTGTAAACTTTAAAGGATTACCCCCCTCAAAAATAAATCCATAAGATAGAGGTTGTATTATTCTAAGTATTCTGTTTTAACTTGTCATTGTTGAGTTTGGTTAATAGATGCATCATGAATTTTATTTTCCATTGAAAAACGATGTATTTTTTTTACTCTTGCCAATTATTGTCTACAATAGAGAAATACAACATTGCCACCTCATTTTTCATTTTCTGTCTTATTTACATGGGTCTGTGTTTATATATGTTCATGTGCACGTGTGTATATGTATTGTCTCTCTCTGAAATTAAAAAAAAACTAACTAAAATATCCAGTGTTTTCCATTAGGTCTCATTTGTTACACATTTCTACTTTTAAATTACTTCTGAACCACAGAATCTGGCAGGCCTTTTTGGAAGGCATTTGAGGATAACTACTCTATCTGGAATCCAGCCATTTACAGTATTTGGAAGCAAAGAACAAAGCAAAGCAAATTGAGATTTTGTTGAATGTTTAAAAGTTTTGGAAAGAACAGTTAAAAAGAAATCCTTCATGGATGCATGCTTTGAAAACACCAAGTTTTCTCAACCTTTAATTTTGTGCATCTGAAAACCAACTTGAATTTGTCTTTAATCCCCTGCTAGTCAGTGGAAAGTAAACAAGCAGAATTGCTAATTCTATATGGCCTTGGAATAATGTTTAAAGGAACAGGATAGTTTAATGGATTAATTACTCTTCTTTACAGTATTAGATTCAAATCCAGCAGAGATGCAACTCTTGATAATGTGTGTCATTCCCGTTTTTTCTCAAGATAATTCATACGTAATTGTCTGATTTTTAGAATGTCTAAAACCTCTTGATAATGTTAAGCATGTTGAACAATAGTAGTAATGTTGACCTCACACTAATAATAGAGAAGCAGTGGAGGTAAACAGATGTGGACTCAAGTCCTGGCTGGCTGTGGGCTGTATTCCAGCTCCTGCTAATAGCAGCTAACATTCATTGAGTGCTGACCAGGTGCCAAACAATGCACTGGGTGATTTAGGTATGTTATCTCATTCAACTTTGAGGACCATATTGGTATCTCCATTTTATAAATTACAGAGGTTGAGTAACTTGCCAAGTTTATGTAGCTCCCAGTGGAGTTTGAACTCCATTCCTGATGTTTAGCTTCAACGCTCATGCTTTTTTCAGCCATCCTGTCTCTATGTTGTTTAGATTTATTATCTTTGTCGTTACTTATAATTCCAGTATTTCACTATGTTAGATATACTTCTAATCATGTTTTAGTTGACCTGAATATAAGGAATACATTTGAGTATTTTCAGAAAGTTTAAAAAACTCTAGCTATTAATATTTCTGAAAATATAAACCTGCAAATGGCCATTTATGTTATTTTAGAGAGAAAGTGGGTAGAAGTTTCTCTTCCTTGTTGTAGTTAAGTCAGTCCTAAAAAGACGAATAAGGACTTTGGAACCATTCTTTACATTTTGAATAAAACATATGTCTATCCCCCTTCCTCTAGATATAGCTTATGCGGTAGTTGCCATTTAGCAATTAATTTAAAGCTATGTCAGGAATTGTCACCAACATTAGTCCTGCTTATTATCCTCGAGAGTCAACAAACAGTAATACAACTGGCCTCAGAATTTTTTTCAGTTGAACCACAGGCCACTCTGCAACCTGTCTTTCTATGAAGCAGTTGTAATTTAACCCCAAGATTCTGAATGTCCAGACCTCAAAAGGAGAATAGTACTTATTACACCTTCTTTCTCCTTTGCAATTTTTTTCGAGTGTGTGTTTGTGCGTGTGAGTTTGTCACTGAGTGGCTTTTGCTACCTAATCTGACCTTTTAAACTTTCTCATATACCTTTAAAATGATTCTTAGGGGGAGTTTAGTTTGCCATTTAAAGGAAATTTTAGTTCTAGTTTCAGCAAACATAGGTTTGAATTGTCTGCAAATCACAATGAGAAATCCAGGCTTCATAACCTCCAACCCCACTTCAAACATTGATTTAAAAGAATGAACCTAATAATATTAATGAATCCCAGGGACCAAAAGCATGCCAGTCAGAATGGGCATCCTGGGGAACAGGTTAACCAGTATTCTAACCTCTCTGCCCTTGAAGTTTAAGTACATTTAAAAAAAAGGGGGGGTCGGGGGGGCGGATATCCCGCTGCTGCCTTGGGACTTGAATCCGTGAGATGTAATGAGCCTGTGTTTGGGCCAAAATAAAGGGTTAAACCCTCTTACTTAGCAGTTCTTTCAATGGCACAGAAAGTGAACTTGAGATAAAATAACAAGGACCAGCAGAATGAAGGACAGCTAAGTTACACCTGATCATGAGGCCATCAGTTTTTGCCTGAGTCCTATAGAGTTGGCATAATGAGTATCTATCTTTGCTTTGTAGTTTTCAGAGTTTGGGCTGCTTAGTAATCTTTCCTGAGTTTGATTAGGGAAAAGATGCCATGATATTTGATTTAATAATTATTGTGGAGTCAGATGAATTTCATTCTGTATCCAGCTACCATATTAATCTCCAAAATGGGTTATATTTTTCTTTCCGGGATTGGGCTAAAAATCTGTCCTTGTCTTTAATAAACTAAAGAAAGATTACTTTATATCTGAAGTAGTTGCATTAGTAATGGAGTCATTCCAGGCACTTTGAAGTTTCTCATACCCTGTAAGAGATGTCAATTAACCTTATAGCTAAAGCAATTTCTAGTAAAAATACAGACAAAACGACTGAAGTAGTATTTCTGTGAAAATCTTACTGTTACTGTTATAAAAATGGTGAGATTTAGAAATAAGATAAAAAATTTTCACAGTTCTTTAATGCTACTGCACAATAATTGTATGTGTTAATAATAAAGGCATAGCAGGGGATTAGAAGTTTTAGTCACTGCTAATAGCAGTTTAAAAAAATCCCCACAGCAGGTTCAGATATGTGGGAACGGATTATAGTGAAAGCTCAGCTTAGCTCATAAGGGGCTTATTATGGATCAGCAAACCAGAGCTTCATCAGATATGAAATACAGGTGTATACTCAGAATTGTTTCACTTTGTGCCACTTGATACCTATCACAATACATGTATGGAGCACTCTACAAAAACAACAGCTCTTGAACCAATTCTTATCAGGTGTTTATAATGGCTCAGGGCCTTGCGCATTACAAATTTCCTATAAATGTTTGTTGAATTAAACAGAGATCTGTCTGAAATGTAATGCTGACCGTCACGCACCTTTGTCCTGAGAACATAGGGCCGTGATTCTGTGTGTGTGTGTGTGTTATGTTATTTATGGTACTAGTTTGAACTATTGTGCCGTGTAGAAAAGCCACGTACTTCGCTATCCACTGAGCTCTGGCGATGTGACCCTTCATCAAAGGTCTCAGGCTCTGACGTTTGACTCCTCGTAGCCATCTTCTTTTGTATCATTAACTCTGTTGTTATCAGTGGGACTGTCTTCAGCAACCCCTCCCTCATCCCCCCGGCTGGTTGCTAAACATGTAAAACCAGAGTAAGACAAGTCAGAAGAGGGCAGCAGAAGAGACTATGTAAATCCAGTGTGTGAAGTTGTGACCGTAATATTTTCTGCTCAGGAGCTGTTTTGCTTGTCAGTTGTTTTTGACTAAGTTGCAAATAGGCAGGGTTTGGGTATACCTCAATTATAAGTGCATGAGTTATTTCCTAGTTTTCAAGTACTTGTTCTTTAAAAATAAGTGAATATATTAAAATAGTGGTGTTTGTATGTATATAATGCAAGGTGTTTATTTCTGGGTAGCCATTGCTGCTTATGTTTGTTTGTTTTTATTTTTTTTATTGATGCATAAGAGCTGTACCTATGTTGGGGGTACATGTGGTGTTTTGATATATGCATACAATGTGTAATGATCAAACCAGGGCAATTGGGGCATTTATTACCCCAAACATTCACCTCTTTTTATATTGGGAACATTCTAATTCTCCTCCAGCAATTTTGAGCTATACAACAAATTATATTTATTATAGTTGCCCTACTGTGCTTTCAAACACTAGGTCTTATTCCTTTTATCTAACTGTATATTTGTACTCATTAACCAACCTCTCTTCGTCGTTCCCTCTCCCTACCCTTCTCAGCCTAGATAACCACCAATCAACTATCTCCATGAGATCCACTTTTATTTAAGTTCCCACATATGAGTGAGAACACATGATATTTATCTTTCTGTTCCTGGCTTATTTCACTTAATATAATGCCCTCCAGTTCCATCCATATTGCTACAAATCACAGGATTTCATTCTTTTCATGGGCGAATAATATTCCACTGTTAGTATCACTTTTTAAAAATCCATTCATCTGTTGGACACTTAGATTGATTACGTATCACGGCTATTGAATAGTTTGGGCTATTGTGAATAGTGCTGCAATAAATATGGGAGTGCAGATATCTCTGATACACTGATTTCCTTTACATTGCTGGATTATATGGTATTTCTATCTTTAGTTTTTTGAGGAGTCTCCATATGTTTTCCATAGTGACTGTATTAATTTATCTTCCTACCAACAGTGTACAAGTGTTCCCGTTTCTCTTCATCCTTACCAGCAACTGTTATTTTTTTTTGTCTTTTTGATAAAAGCCATTTTAACTGGGATGAGATGATATTTCACTGTGGTTTTATGTGCATTTCTCTGATGCACATACATGATGTTGAGTATTTTTCATACACCTTTTGGTTGGCCATGTCTCCTGAGGAATGTCTGTTCAAATGTTTTGTCCATTTGAAACAATTGGATTATTTGGTTTTTTAAATTTATTTGTTTGAGTTCCTTATATATTCTGATTATTAATCCCTTGTTTCATGGATACTTTGCAAAAAACCCTTTATGTGGGTTATCTCTTTGTTGTTTCTTTTGCAGTGCAGAAGCTTTTTAGCTTGATAGGATCCCATTTGTGTATTTTTACTTTTGTTGCCTGTTCATTTGAGGTCTTACCCAACAAATCTTTGTCTAGGCCAGTGTCCAGAAGCATTTCCCTAATAGTTTCTTCTAGTTGTTTTATAGTTTCAGGTCTTAGATTTAAGTTGTTAGTTCAATTTAAGTTGATTTTTTGCATATGGTAAGAGACAGGGGTCTAGCTTTATTCATCTGCATGTACTTACTCAGTTTTTCTAGCACTGTTTATTAAGGAGACTGTCTTTTTTCCGATGTATGTTCCAGGCACCTTTGTCCAAAAGTGAGTTAGCTCTATTCTTTTTCATTGGTCCATGTGTCTGTTTTTATACCAGTACTATGCTGTTGGGGTTACTATGGCTTTGTAGTATATTTTGAAGTCAGGTAGTGTGATCCCTCCCCTTCTGTTCTTTTTGCTCAGAATTACTTTGACTATTCGGAGTCTTTTGTGGTTCCATACAGATTTTAGGATTGCCTTTTTTCAATTCTGTGAAGAATGTCATTGGTATTTTGATAGGGACATTTTAATGATACCAGTAATTTCCATCCACGAGCATGGGCTGTCTTCCCTTTTTATGTCCTCTTCAATTTCTTTCGTCAGTGTTTTGTAGTTTTTCTTATAGAGATCTTTTACTTCTTTGGTTAAATTTATTCCTTGGAATTTAATTTTTTTTGAGCCACTGTAAATGAGATTGCTTTCTTAATTTCTTTTTTAAATTGTTCACTGTTGGCTTATATAAGTGCTACTGATTTTTTTGTATGTTGACTTTGTATTCTGCAACTTTACTGAATTCATTTACTGGTTCTAACAATGTTTTGATCTAATTTTTAGGTTCTTAAATATACCATGTTGTCTTTGAACAAGAATAATTTGACTTCTTCCTTCCAAATTGGATGTCATTTATTTATTTTTCTTGTCTAATTGCTCTGGCTAGGACTTACAGTGAAAGGACTTTTTTTTCCTCTCTCTTTTATATTTCAAAGCTTTTATAGACGTTGTATCTGAGTTTAAATCACAAGTCTATATCAATTAGTTCATTATGCATTTTAAGTTGTAATTATGCAGCTCATCTCTAATATGCCAAATTCTCTTAAACATTACTAATGTTTTATAATTACCAAATATGAACATAGCACTTGACCAAAAGCATCAATAAGATTGTTTTAATTCTTTTAGACATTTCTGTACTTAATTCTAAATTTTTCTAGGGTTAATGTTTAGCTACTAAAGGAATTATGTCATCTCCATCATTTTAGAGTTGCCTACTCATCCTGCTGGAGGTTGTGGTTGTATATCATCTAAAGATTTAAGTCAAGCCATTCATTGAATTCTGACAGAGCATACTGAGCCTTACTTAAGAACTTAAAACAGTGGTCCTTTCATCCTCTTACCCTGGGAAGCTAAAGTCCATGGTGCTTGGAATAGCTCTGTGTCTCCCTTCCAGGCTGATCGTCTGCCAGGTTTAACTTTTCTTTTAGGACAGAGATTGTCTTACCCATCTACCTCCAAAGGCTGTAAAACTTGGTGGAATCCTGCATTCTCTAAATCAACTTCCATACTTAATTCTTACAGATACTAAAATAATAGGAATTGGAACTGAATATTTTCTCATGGCTTTTTCTTTTCAGTCACAAGTGAAAGGACTTTTTTAAAATTAAATTTTTTTTTCTTCAAATACTGCAAAAGGGATGTTATTGAAAATATTTTAGGTGTTTGGAAACACTTATTTTGTAGTTTACAAACTGGCACCAGTGCTAGATTTGGCCCTGAGATGTGTTTTGTTTGGCCCCTATGCTTTTATTGTTAATTAAATTAATTCCTAACTTTTAGAACCAAGTTATTTCTGTTATTGGGAGGATGGAAGGATCAGACTATTCCTTTCAGCATTATTGGATTTGAATTCCTGCTTGTCCAGAGAAGATACCCTCTTGGGGCTCATGTCTCCAGTTCACTGCATTCACCCCATTCCCTATTGCTCCTTTGTGCCGTGACCAAGGGTTTGTTGCCATTCAGCAATGGGCTTACCCTGTTCCATCCTGACAACTTTCTTCCTGTATTTTAGCTGCATAACCCCTATAATCATTTGATTTTTGACCTGATTTTTACATGAATAAACCAATCCTAGATAAATCATTGGAAAACTTTTACACCACTGGCAAAATGAAGTGCATAGTAAGATTTCATCATCTCTACTATTTAAAAATAAAACCATTATGTACTTTTCCTTTTTTGGAAATAACATTTTTAAAAATCCCATAACATTTAGCTCTTTAAATATTTTACCATTGATTATCTGTCTGTAACTACATAGTCCAATAAAGGGGAAAAAGTTGATAACTTTAGTGATTTTCTTCTAAGATAGTTATTAACACTGTAGAAATAACAGGAATTTCTGAAGGGAAAATGAGTTTTGTGAGTTACATTATAGTTTTTCTGTTCCTTGTAATGAAGGGATGCTTTCCTTTTTGAGAACAAATCCTATTCCTAAATAATAACAATAATAGAAGAGTCATATATTGTGCTAACTCTCTATGACCTGTACATATAGCATTAATCCACATAGTACATTAATGAGACCCGTTTTATTTAATCCCAATGCTACAAATAGGGAAAAACTTAGGTATGTAAAGTTTAGGAAACCTTACACTGGATCACAAAACTAGTGAGAAATTCAAGATACAAAGTGCAGGTTTTCTGTTTTTATGAGCACTTAACCAACATCTATACCATTTTTCCAAAATTAAAAGTAGAAACACCCTTTATTCTACGTCCTTTCCCAAAAAAACAAAAACAGAAAGTGAAGTCCCATTTTGTATACTGAAATCATCGCATTATAAATGTGCTAATGAGGATATGGATTTTCTTTGCCTGAAATGTTAGCTTATTTTAGAAATGTACCATATATTTCTACTCATCCATAGAAACATTTTTAAGATTAATATTCCTTTCAGTTGTTAAAAGATAGCCAAACCTGCATATTTACCCCATCTTGAAACCAAAGCTTATTAGACCAAATTAAATCATTTTAACAAAATAGATAAATGTTTAAACTTAGCACCAAATCTTGATTGTTAAATATATTTGAAACTCAATGCATTAATAAAAAGAACTTTTCTTCTTTATGTTTCAACTTTGTAGCATCCCTGCTTAAAATTTGATAAACCAATCCTAAACTGTAACTTCTATGTCAGAAGTGGTATTATGAATGTCAGGAATAATAAAATAATCAGAATGCCATGTGAACCAACAGTCAACTTGACTTAGGTTTGAAAGGGAAGAATATTCTAATCACATGTTCATTTTGAATAGTTTCTTATTTTTAAAAGTAAGATATCCTTATTGTAGAAAAAAGAAACAATGTCACCTCTTCCCATGCCACTGAAAAAGAGGAAACAGCAGGTATTGGCATTTGATATATTTCCTCATAGACTTTTTTCCTGTGTGCTTTAAAACAACAACAATGTGTGTTATCATATTTCCATATATTTTTGTATTCTGCCTTTTTTCTCCATAATATTACAGTATGAAAACTTCGTGGCTGGGTGTGGTGGCTCACGCCTGTAGTCCCAGCACTTTGGGAGGCCACAGTGGGAGGATCACTTGAGCCTAGGAGTTCAAGACCAGCCTGGGCAACATGGGAAGACCCCATCTCTACAACAAATGTAAAAAAAATTAGTCAGGCACAATGGCATATGCCTGTAGTCCCAGCTACTCCTGAGGCTCAGGCAGGAGGATTGCTTGAGCCTGGGAGTTGGAGGCTACAGTGAGCCGTGATCATGCCACTACACTCAGCCTGGGCAACAGAGTGTGACCCTGTCTCAAAGAAAAAGAAAAAAACAAATCAAAACTTGGCCTAATTATGTTTTTATATCATTTTAATGATTAGGTAATACATATGATTCTTAATCCACAAACTAGGCTATGTAAGATACCTGTACTTGCTTTCATCCAAAATCTAGAAAACTCTGTTCTGTCAGGTTAGGGAGAGGGATGTTCAATTTCTCAGCTGTAGCTTACTTCTCCTGGGGCCTTGCAAAGATTCCATGGTGTGTGTATATGAGGGTCTTAACATAGCACTGTGTAGGCCCCCAATTATGCTCTCGCCACTAAAGTCCCCATTGTCCAAGCCGCCATTTATCCCATTTATC
The DNA here is from genome assembly GCF_000001405.40 of Homo sapiens. NCBI lineage: Eukaryota > Metazoa > Chordata > Mammalia > Primates > Hominidae > Homo > Homo sapiens. The sequence continues at coordinate 148,336,482 of NC_000004.12, read as the reverse complement.
CAAGTTCCCATTTATCCAAGTTCGGCTAAATCATACCAATTTAGCTGAACACATTGGGCACTTTGAAGTCCTTGAGATCCTTTGGAGTTTGATGGCTCCATGTCTTTGGAGCCCTCCTGGGCATGGGAATCCTGTCAGATCTGTGACCTCTGGAGCTCGGGGCTCTGCCTGCATAATCCTAGCATGTAGCCCTTTTTCCTAGAGTGCCGCCACTGCCTTAGGTCTTCCCTATTCTTAACACAGATAGCTTTAGTGCTGCCATTATCCTGCAGCTCTCAAAGGCATGCTTCCCTTGCCACCCGTAGGAACACTTGTTCTGATCCCTTCTAGGAGCACAGGCTGCCAGAAGATGTCGGGAAATCAGGTTGTCTGTGAGGGACGGCTCTCTCTGACTCTCTGAGACACTATCACTCAAGGCAAGAGAGGGAAATAGCATGCTTGGCCTTTGGGGAGAAAAGGAATTAGAGGAAGGTCACAAAACAAAAATCAATAACTTCATACGTTATTCAATCTCAGTTGCATAGTATACTGTGGTTTTGCATGATATACTTGGGTATACTATGGTTTTCTAACCATTCCATTTTCTCTGACAACTGTTTTTTTCATTGTTTTCTGTGTTGTAAATAACACTACAGTGAAAATTTTTGTGTATAAACATTTTTCTCTATGATTTTCTTAAAGTCTCAGAAGTAGCGTTATAGGTTACAAAGTTTTTTTTTTTAATTACTTTTTAGACACATAGCAAAAATGTTCTCTAACCCTGAAATTGAAAACTGACTAGAACATTCGAGGGGGTACAGCTGTGTAGTGAGGAGGGCAGCCTGTCAAATCATTTTCTTTTTCAAATTTTTAAAAATAATGAATATTCAAGCAATTCTAATATTACTTTAAATAAATTTTACCAATTTAGCCGAACACATTGGGCACTCTGAAGTACTTGAGATGATGCTCTCATTGGATGATTCAATGGCTGCTGTTGTGTCCAGACTGAACAGTAGTTCTTCTGCAGGCGATCACTCCTGTAGTTTTACCTGCTTGGGATGTGGCCTCCATCTGCGCATGTCTAGAAATTTTCTCATTACGAGAAATTCCTATTTAGTTAAACATTTGTTTAGTATTTATTTCAGTTCTTTCGCAATCATCTACTTTGTAAGTTTACATGTCTCATAGATGTTGATAAATAAATACAGAAGTCAATGATCAAAATTAAATGGTACATTGTTAACATCCACCAGCTTTAATCCAGCTATAATGGGAAAGAATTAGAATCACTTGGTCTGTTACCAGTTGTTATGGGCTGAATTATCTTCTCCCACCCTGACTCCTGCCCCAATTCATAGATTGAAATCCTAACACCTAATATATCAAATGTGACCTTGTTTGGAAATAAAGTCATCGCAGATATAATTAGTTACAATGAGGTCATACTGGAATAGAGTGGCCCCTAATGTAATATAACTGGAATCTTTATACAAAGGGGAAATTGGGACACAGATACCCACGGAGCGAGAATGTCATGTAAAGATGAAGGCAGAGATTAGAGTGATGCAGCAGAAGCCCAGAAGGCTAAAGATTGCCACAGAACACCAGAAGCGAGGAGAGAAGCAGGGGGCAGATTCTCCCCCATAACTCTCAGAAGGAACCCAACCCTGCTAACATCTCGAACTCGGACTTCTAGCCTCTAAAGTAGAGAGAATAAATTCTCCTGTAGTTTAAGCCACCTTGTTTGTGGTTCTTTAAGGCAGCCCTAGCAAACTAATACACTAGTTCAAGAATGTTTTAAGATAATCTGTTTGATAGCTACAGACACTTTTTTTAACCTTTTACATTGGTTGTTCCTTTTCTTTGCCATCTAGAACATATTATGGCCACATCAATGCCAGAATTTGTTGTGTGTACTTCCTCATTTGTGTAAGTTTTTTTGTTTGTTTGTTTGTTTTTGAGATGGAGTCTCATTCTGTCACTCAGGCTGGAGTGCAGTGGCGCGATCTCCGCTCACTGCAACCTCCACTTCCCAGTTCAAGCATTTATCCTGCCTCAGCCTTGTGAGTAGCTGGGATTACAGGCAAGTGCCACCACACCTGGCTAATTTTTGTAATTTTAGAAGAGATGGGGTTTTGCCATGTTGGCCAGGCTGATCTCGAACTCCCGACGTCAGGTGATCCACCCACCTAGGCCTCCCAAAGCGTTGGGATTATAGGCGTGAGCCACCGCGCCTGGTCCATTTGTGTAAGTTCTATAGCCTTGAAAGATGCTTTAAGCAAATTTTTTTGTGTGCTTTTGTACTTTCTCTAAATCAAAGCCTGTCTCATTTTATCCATAAATGTTCCTAGTATTCTTCATAATTTTTCTGAAGACTTCTGTAATCTTTATGCTCAAGTCAGTTACGGTACTTCATGACATCTGGTTGTTGGGAAGTCCACCTTATTGTCTGTCATATTCTCCAAAGTTATTTCAACTTCACAATTCGTTTTCTAATTATCAAACCATATTCTCAGTTGAAAATAAATTTTAAATTTATTTTTAAATAGATTTTGTATAATTGAAAGTAGAAATAACATGGTTTTTGTCCAGTCTTTCCAAGCTAGTTTTAAGAAAAAGCTAGTTTTGCAGGCTTTCTAGGACTAGCCTTGAAATGGCTAATTCCAGCTTTTTTATTCCCAGGGACTAGAACTGGTCCAGCGGGCAGGGTCCTAGACACAGTCTGTTCTTGTGACAAAAACTTGTCTGGCTCACTTTGAAACAACTCTTGCACTAATACTGCCTTGCTTTTCTTGATTTTATATCAGCTAGGGGTAGGTTCAGTTATAGATACAAAAAAAATGTGTCTCTCATGTAGAAGAACCTAGGAGGTGACTGTGTGGGACTAGCATGTGGGACTTGGCATAATCTTTGGAGACTCGTGGTCCTTCCAACTTTTCATTCTCCAATCACTAGGGAGATTTTAAGGAGACTTTCTGGAAGTTCCAGGAGATAGCTGTGCTTATATCTTATTGGCTAGAACTTAGTCACATGGTTATATCTAGCTACAAAGGAAACTGGTAAATGTAGTCTTTTAGGTAGTCAGCAATGTGCCCAGCTTAAAATCAGAGGTTTGTTTGTTTGTTTGTTTTTCCTAGGAATGGGAGACTAATTATTAGAGATCAGTTGATGATACAAAAATGAGAACTTTTCTAGTTTTTCATAACATAGAAAGGTTTTCTTTTCTTGGTTTTTATTTTTTCTGTGGCCCAGACTGGAGTGCAGTGTCATTGTGTGATCTTGGCTCACTGCAACTTCCATCTCCCGGGTTCAAGCAGTTTTCCCACCTTAGCCTCGTGAGTAGCTGGGACCACAGGCACATATCACCATGCCTGGCTAATTTTTTTTTTCTTTTTTTAGTAGAAAGGGGGTTTTTCCTTGTTGCCCAGGCTGGTCTCGAACTTCTGTGTTCCAGCAATCTGCCCACCTTGGCCTCCCAAAGTCCTGGGATTACAGGCTTGAACCACTGTGCCCAGCCAGAAAGTTATTTTTTATCCAGAGTGTGTGTCTTGTTATTTTTTAATGAAAAATACACAAAGTTAAAACACATGGAAAAGTAGGGATTTTATGTATAGCCTTATGTCGAAACACATACACATACACACTCTAACACACCCTCCAAAAGAACTCTTTGGAAGAAAATCAAAACCTTGTCTAAAACCAAATAAAATTGATATTCCATAAAGATGTACTACTTGTATCCCATGACTACCTCTAACACTCCATTGCACCATGTGCTCTTTGTAACACCAGTATCTTGGTGTGGGAGGCAAGGCTCTAAGGTTACATGGAAATATTACCCTTGTCTTGCTATGCATGTGAGATGTTTTGACTAAGATGCTTTGCAGATGTTAGCATACCAAGGACAGTCTGGTAGCCATTTTGGTACGGAGCATCTTGACACAAATAAAAAAGCAAAAGCAAACAAACCTCTCAGAGATAACTATTGCTAAGAAATGTTTGTGCATGTTCTCCCAAACTTGATAAATGGGAGGGACGTATATTCATAGAGATATTGTCTAAGTATTAGGGAAAAAAGACATTCCCAGTCGATTGTACATCAAAGGTTATATCATAATGGTTTAAATTTTAAAACAAAAAATGTCCTCCTAAAAGATTGAATCCATTTACGTTACCAGAGGTAGTGATCATTATAAGTACTATAATCTCAGGCAAAAAAGTGATGTAGTTATTATTTGCAGTTATTTGTTGCCATGATTATATGCTTGCATAGATTTATTGAACATATTTCTTTTTCTGAGTTTTATTTAGATATAATTCACATACTATACGATTCACTCAGTATAGAATTCAATGATTTTTAGTGTGTTGATTATCACAATACTTCTTTTTAATAGTTTTATAAAGATATTTTGTATTAATACTATTTTCAAGTTTGTAAGTATCTTTAGTATTTCTGCTTTCAGAAAATTCTTTCCAATTCAGAGTTTATGGAATGATTCTCCTAAATTTCCTTTTAATACTCTTATAAACCATCAAACTTTTAGAATTTTTTAAAGCAAATAATGTATAAAGCAGATACTCTTACTGCACCTCTTCAACCTTGTGAGATGGAGCTGTGAAGAAGAATGAATGAGCACCAAGGTGAGAGTTGAGTTTTTCTTATTATTCAGTAATAAGAGATGGTACTTGGTATGTGACAAGTTCACTTGTCCTCTGTAAGATTTTATGCTTCATCTTATCACACCCTTTGTTCATCTGGATGTGAAACATCAGAATATATAGATACTATCTCTCTTCACCTTGTCACCACTTCTCTTTAGTAGGAAGCTTCTTTCTGTTTCCAAAATGAAAGTCTATGCATATATATTTATGGAAATGGCAGTTTTTCATAGGATTTGTAGAATTTTTACATAAGTGTAGAAGAAAAAGTTCAATTTAAACTGTACTTTGTGGATATATACTTTATGTAACTTTCATCCTGGGAATACCTCTGATATGTAAGTTTTCTAATTGATGTGTCTTTACTTTTTTGAATCAGGAGAATTACCTTGGCCATTAAATGTAATATTTACACTTGAAAGGCATTGTTGCCTCTTTATACTGCACCATTATGTTGATGGATGTAGCCCTGTGAGGGGATTTTTCCTAAACTCTTGCTCTGCAAATTCTTTTCATGCTTGGGAAATCTTTTTTCATATTCATTTTAGTTTTTCGTTTATCCCACCTGCTGCTTTTTTCTTATAAGAAGAAAATGTCAAAGATTTCTAGGTATAACTTTTACTACTAGCAAAATGACATATTTTTTTTCCTTTTGCACTTGTCAAGTAACCTTATGGATGACAAAGTTTGGGATTAGATCTATTGACCCATTTTGGACAATATATGTATTTCCTTTATATACTGAATTAGTCCATTTGCATTATTATAAAGGAATACTTGAGACTGGGTAATTTTATAAAGGAAGGAGGTTTAATTGGTTTATGGCTCTGGAGGCTGCACAGGAAGCATAATGCCAGTATCTGCTTCTGGTGAGGGCCTTAAGAAGCTTAAAATCAAGGCGGAAGGTGAAGGTGGAGTAGGTGAGTCACATGGCAAGAGCTGGAGCAAGACAGAGGGGGAAGGACCCAGACTTTTAAACAACCAGATCTCATGTGGACTATCTCATCGCCAAGGGAATGGTGCCAAGCCATTTATGAGGGGATCCGCCCCCATGATCCAGACAACCTCCCACCAGGCCCCAACTCCAGCACTGGGGATTACATTTCAACACAAGATTTGGAGGGGACAGATAATCCAAAGCATATCATATACAACGTGTGTAAACCTTTGAATATAAAGTCAAATGGGAGAATAACAGTGTTAGAGTATTTCACATTAGTGCGAAACATAGGCCTACAGGTTAAAAGTGTGTGACATATTCTTTAGTCTTTATTTATTAAAATCAGTGAAAGAAAAATATTTACAGGATATAAAAAGACTACATTTTAATGTCTAAATTGGGTTGCCCCTGCTTGTCACAGGAAGAGGGTTGTTTTCTAGGATGCTACAATATTGGCAAGGAGAGAGCCTGCTGGGACCTCTGTGAATCACTGGGCTATAAATCGATAAAATAGAGCTGGTTATTTCATCAGGACTTTGGATGGACCAGTTGTGCTTCTAAGGCTGTAATTCATAGTGTGTGTGGGCCAGAGGCGTCGTCAATTGTGAAACCTCAACTTGTGTGGTTTGTAGATGCCTATTGAGAATGAATTCCAACCTGACGTGTATTGTGGGGCTTTCATTAGGATTAATTAGTTACTATTTGCTGAGTCTTATGAAGACAAAAACAGTGTCGAGGTGTTAAAAGGCCTGTTATTTTTTTCTACTTGCATTAACACCAAGATATTTTCTAGATGAGAGATTAAACCTTAGAAACCCCCAGTTGAATTTTCAACTCATTCATTTTTTAAGTACTTATCTCCAAAATAGCATTGCAGAAATGTTGACATTGTTGTAGTGCAGCCTCCCTGGCTGGTCAGAAATAGATACCAGGGGATCATTGGCCAGACATGGAACTGCTCAAGTGATTAGAGCGAACAACCCATTCAACACCTACTTGTGACTTAGGTTTCAAGTTAAACTAACATGTTTAGTTATAACTTCTCCAGTTAACGATTAAAGTTCATGGAAAAATCACTCCGTATTTTTAACTGAGCGAATTGTTGCCTTTAGAATTGTTCGGAATTCAAGTCCAGCCTCCATCATCTTGGGCAAATTGCTTAAACGTTCTCAACTTTAGTTTCCTTACCTATAAAATGTAGAAAGTCCTAATAACTTAAAGTTTTTGCAGGAGTTGCATGAAGCTGTTGTATGTGAATGTCTACATGGTGGATGTTTAGCAAATGGCAGTTGTCCTTTTTCCTTTTTTTATTACTTAAAAGCATTACCATTTAACAAATAACTCTTGTAATGAAAAATATGTACTGTGGAAAAAAGGGCAGTGAAGTTTTAGAAGGAAACAAAAAGTGTAGAATCTGTAAATAATGTAAATGAAAGAAATCCTAATTGTTCTTTGAATGACTTAGAAAATGAAGATGTTCCATTTTAGATGATTTGTATAAAATTAGGAGTTAGGGGCTTAAGTGCATTGTGTATATATATGTGCATATATGTGTATATATATGCATGTGTATATACATATATATTCACTTTAGTGCATTCTGAGATTGAATCAGTGGCAGAGAAAGAACAGAAAAAGAAAGATGCATAAAAGATAAATACACAACACTCATGGTTCTTACATTGGAAAATTCTGTAGACCTTGTGCCCTTGGGGGTTGAGGGATATCACCATGCTACTCCATTCACCAGGGCCCCTATGTGCCCTGGAGTCTCACACTCAGGCTGGTTTCATCATGTATGTGACCAGCTTCCAGACCCCTGAAGGCTTTTGCAATTTTGACCTATGATTGACCTTCCTCGCACCATCTTATTTTCTAGTTTTTAAAATAATTTTAGAGGTTTTAGATGTCTACAATGGTAATGAATGAAAGGGGAGAAAATAATGTAGTTTTATCATCAAGAAATCTAGCAGAAGTATATTTGGAGACTCAGTGAACCTGCACATTGAAGTCTGGCTTTGAAATCACCAAGAATTCATCTGGACTCAGAAAGCCCTGGGTTAGAATTTATCCTTCACCATGTACTGGCTGCGAGGCTTTGAATAAATTCTTTAAGCCAGCACAGCCCCAGGCTCATTGGTGGTACTTAACCTGTTATTAATTTCTTCCCTTTGTTAATTGAGAGTTGAATACAGTTCTGTATTAATGATGACCTCTTTACTAATTAGACCAAAGGATACCAATGTAAGAATCTAGATTGGCTGGGTAGATAACTCCTGAATACAGAGGAGAGGACAAGAAGTTTGGTTGCTGTTATTCAGGAGAGGTCTTTTGAGGGGGGCATGGTGAGGTCTCCTCTGATTCCTTTTATGCCAACCTGAGTTGGTTACCATTTCTGTTTCTTTGGCAGGGGAAGACCAAGGAAGATGCTAGGATCTACTTGAAAGTCAGGGCTTTGGCTTTGTATCTTTTCTCCCTTTTGAACATAATTGTGTCCACCTTGTAAGAATGAGAATTTGTGAAGTTTTCATGTGGGGAGCAGATCTGTCTTGTGTCACATGAATGCCTTTCTTTCCCCTACGCATACCTTCTTCCCATGCTGATTCCTCCTCCTCTACCTCCTTCCCCTCTCCTCTGCATTGGGAAATAGAATCTGCAGCCATTTCATGCCACTGTACTATGTGGGTTTATGCTGCTACAGGCAAAGAGGGCAGTAGAAGGATCCATTCCTCCCACGGCTGCTGCCACCTCTTTCCTCATCACTGCAGTCATTGGTTTAGCAAATGGAGCCTTGGCTACAAATGGCAGAGTCCTGGCAGCAAGCCGGTGTTGAAGTTAAACCCAGAGCTCCTGGGGCCCTCTGTTGCCTCTGGAAATGGACAAGCTGGGGCATAGTATTAAGGCAACAAAAGACAACTGCAAAGACTAAAATCCCCCCATGAAAAGGAAGAGGCTTTAAGGGCTAAGAATAGGAAAGCACCTTGCCATTAATATGCAGGTGCACATGATGCTGTCTGGTTAAGCTGTATAGCCCTGCATGTAGGTCAGAGGGTGTATGTGAGAGGGCAGATATAACAGAACCTGAGAGATTAAAGCCAAGCAGGTTAAGTCTGTGCTGAGAGATGAGACCAAACAATTTCATCTCAGCTTGGTAGTAGTATTAATATGTCAACCACTAGCAAGAACAACAATTTGCATTTGCTTGCTGTGACAGCATGCACCCACTCTTGTTCAAGCCCTTTGTTCAAGCATATGCACTACTGTTCCATCACTCTTATCACTTCCTTTAGTAAAATCATTAGGAGGTCATTGCAGAGGGACTTTGGGAGCTCCAGTGCCTGGATGTTATCAACTGATTACTGACTATGGGGAAGAACAGGCATTCCATACCTTTAGAGGTGCTCCAGAACACACAGTTGCCACAGTAATTGTCCCCAGGATCCGATTAGGGTTTCTTTTTGTTTTTGTTTTTAGATTGAGACTGTATAAGGTTGAACTCGCATTTCAGGATTCACTTATCCTCAACCAAGGTAGTTACATATCCTTAATTTTAAACTGTACTTTTAAAACCTCCCCTCCAGTTTTTGATGTTTCAGAAATTGAAATATTTCTTTCTGTCAATAAGAACATAATATAGGTTTCTTTTTTTCCAGACAAATCAGTGCTGCATTGTACCACTAATCATGACTTAGAATTGAGGAAATAAGATATTTTTATTTATATTCCTGTTGAGCTATACCAATTATTGAAGATTAATACCCTAACCCCTCTCACATCTTTTTCCAATTTAATTTTAATTTCTCCCCATTATGTAACGTGTACTTACGTAGATCTGAAACTCTAGAACTGAATAATCAAAAATAATTCTTATTCAACCGTGGACTTTTCTTGGATGGTATATCCATAAAGAAGAATTTTAAGTATTATTTTAGATCTTTTAAAATTATGTTTTTAAAGTATATTTTAGTGGTATTTGTATTACTGAGCTCTTTGAATTTTCCTTTTCTATTAATTTACACAGCAGATTAATTTTTTGGGAAAAAATAAAAATATTTAGCTGTGAGAATTAGACAATGGAATACCTAAGCCCTGTGGCACAAGCTTCCTTCATGAAAGGAAGACATTGTTAGTAGTGGTGAAGCTTCACCATCACAAAGGTTAACTCTGTCGTCCTTGTCTCTAATGTATCATTTAAATTTATATGTTATGTAAACAGTTGGTGTCAAAATCCTGCAAGCCCTAAAGAAAAAAAAAACTTGAAGAGTTGGACTTTTAAAGATTGACAACTTGCCTACTATTAAAACAATAAAATAATGGGCAATAATAAAACACTAGTCTGGACCACCTCTAGCTATGTGTCACCTTTTCCTTTTCTCTGAAGAAAGCTCTCACCTTGGAACACTAACATGGGCAACTTTAAACTTTACAAATAGCTTATACAGATGCTTCAAAAATATTTATTTTTTATTTTTTATTTTATTTATTTATTTATTTATTTGAGATGGAGTCTCGCTCTGTCGTCCAGGCTGGAGTGCAGTGGCATGATCTCAGTTCACTGCAGGCTCCGCCTCCTGGGTTCATGACATTATCCTGCCTCAGCCTCCTGAGTAGCTGGGACTACAGGCACCTGCCACCATGCCCGGCTAATTTTTTTTTTTTTTTTTGTATTTTTAGTAGAGATAGAGTTTCACCATGTTAGCCAGGATGGTCTCGATCTCCTCACCTTGTGATCCTCCCGCCTCAGCCTCCCAAAGTGCTTGGATTACAGGCGTGAGCCACTGCACCCGGCCCAAAAAGTATTTTAAAATGAAACATCTGTAGTTTTTACCCCAACCTGCGTCCATTGATCTTGCTGGTTGAATTTCATGTTAAAATTGAATAATAAGTTAGCAATTAAGTATATTTTTGGGGATCAAATTATTTTGTCTCCAAACATCTTAACAATCTTGTGATTCAGTGAACAAAATTAAAAACTTACAGAATCTGATAAATGCATCCAAACTAGCACACGTCTGTGTGTATCTCCTACTTAATGGAAAAAATAAAACAAGATATTGGATAACATCTACTGTAAGGATTCACCCCCAGATATACTGAAGGATAATCAATCATTTGATTACATAGGTAAGGGGAGGTATGTGGTTTTGTTGATACAGTCATTGGGGAAAAACTTACCATTTGCTACCGGCTGTGTACCCAACAGTAAAAGTAGAAGTCTGGGTTTTCTCTCCCTGGTGAATAAATTATGTATGTTTAAATCTGTTTTGATCTTACCCTTTTTATGCAGTAACGCACTTGGTAGATGATAATCACATGTATGAAATACCTCTACTGTCAGGAGAGAATACTAAGATTTCAAGCAGTGTTACTGCACATTAATGTAATGTCATAACTTCATGCTAGCCTTACATCCATTTCTTTCTCACTGACCTACAACTTACCTAGATGTTGAGGCAAACAACAGGGACAAAGTACTAGAGATTAAAAAAAGAGAGAAGTTAAAACACACATACACAGAGGCTGCTCTGCAACTTTAGTTACTTTGCTTATTTTTCTCCCACGTTTTGTAATTTTGGTGAATTGTAATATGTAGTATGTAAGGACATCATTTTGCAGATGAGGATACAAGGCCAAAGATGTCTTGCTCAAAGTTATGAAGCTATTTGATAGCAGAACTGAGAGAACTTTGAGTGATGAAAATGTGTGATTATTTTTGTACTCTCCCCACACCACACACACACACTCTGTCTCTCTCTCTCTCTCATTCTCTCTCCCTCTCTCTCTCTCTGTCTCTCCACTATGCTCCTTGCTTAGTTATAGCAACAGATCTCATGATGCTTGTATTAGAGAATTTTCATGATAAATTTATGGTTATACGAATAATCCAGTCATTTGTAGATATGCCTCTAATATGATATTGGTTTTCTCTCTCATGCCCATGTAATTTGTAAAGCAATGTTTGACTTTTGTCACAGATATTTTGCTATGTCTTTAATTTACTGGTTTGTGGCAGTGAACAACAAAAAGATTTCTACGATACTTGTTAAGGCAGGCAGGATGATTCTTCCCCCCATTCCCAGCTTTTCTGAGATATAATGGATAAAAATTGTACATATTTAAGATATGAAATATGTTTTGATATGACATGAGTACCACAATAAGGCTAATTATTATATCCATCACCTCATGTGGTAATCAGTTTGGGGTTTTTTTGGTGGTGAAAACACTTAAGATTTACTCTCAGCAAATTTCAAGTATATAATACAGTATTATTAACTGTAGTCCCCATGCTGTATATTAGGTTCCTGGAACTTATTTATCTTATAACTGAAAGTTTGTACTCTTTGATCAACAACTCCCCATTTTCCTCTCCCTGCAGTCTTGCCAACCACTCTTCTACTCTCTGCCTCTCTGAGTTTGCAGCATTATTCACAGTAGCCAAGATATGGAAACAACCTAAGTGTTGGTCAGTGGATGAATGGATGAAGAAAATGTGCAATACAGACACATACACACAGGAACACACACACAAACACACACACACACACACACACACACACACACACAGAGGAATATTATTCAGTCTTAAAAAAGAAAAAAGTCCTGCCATTTGCGACAACATGGATGAATCTGGAGGATGTTACATAAAATGAAATAAGCCAGACACAGAAAGACAAATACCGTGCGACCTTATTTATATATGGAATCTAAAGACGTAGTATGGCTCTTTATCCAGTTAAGGATGTATAGTCTTTCTCAGGTTGATGCTGTTTTCTCTGGTTAATCATGGAGCATATAGGAAGATAATGTGATGGTGGTAGATGATGGTCTCACCAGCTGCTTGTCATTTGCACCAGGATTTAGATTTGTTCTTGGTGGAAACACCTAGAGGGCAGAGGTGAGAAATTTGTGAAATGGAGACAGATACAAACATTTTAGATTATATAAGGCTTAGAAAAGCTTGGGATTGAAGACTCTTTAAAAATGAGATAGAGGGGAGGAGCCAAGATGGCCAAATGGGAACAGCTCCGGTCCACAGCTCCCAGCGTGAGCGACGCAGAAGACGGTGATTTCTGCATTTCCATCTGAGGTACCGGGTTCATCGCACTAGGGAGTGCCAGACAGTGGGCACAGGTCAGTGGGTGCGCGCACCGTGTGCGAGCCGAAGCAGGGCGAGGCATTGCCTCACTTGGGAAGCACAAGGGGTCAGGGAGTTCCCTTTCCGAGTCAAAGAAAGGGGTGACTGACGGCTTCTGGAAAATCGGGTCACTCCCACCCGAATACTGCGCTTTTCCGACGGGCTGAAAAAACGGCGCACCACGAGATTATGTCCCGCACCTGGCTCGGAGGGTCCTACACTCACGGAGTCTCGCTGATTGCTAGCACAGCAGTCTGAGATCAAACTGCAAGGCTGCAGCCAGGCTGGGGGAGGGGCGCCCGCCATTGCACAGGCTTGATTAGGTAAACAAAGCAGCCAGGAAGCTCGAACTGGGTGGAGCCCACCACAGCTCAAGGAGGCCTGCCTGCTTCTGTAGGCTCCACCTCTGGGGGCAGGGCACAGACAAACAAAAAGACAGCAGTAACCTCTGCAGACTTAAATGTCCCTGTCTGACAGCTTTGAAGAGAGCAGTGGTTCTCCCAGCACGCAGCTGGAGATCTGAGAACGGGCAGACTGCCACCTCAAGTGGGTCCCTGACCCCTGACCCCCGAGCAGCCTAACTGGGAGGCACCCCCCAGCAGAGGCACACTGACACCTCACAGGGCAGGGTATTCCAACAGACCTGCAGCTGAGGGTCCTGTCTGTTAGAAGGAAAACTAACAAACAGAAAGGACATCCACACCAAAAACCCATCTGTACATCACCATCATCAAAGACCAAAAGTAGATAAAACCACAAAGTTGGGGAAAAAACAGAACAGAAAAACTGGAAACTCTAAACAGCAGAGCGCCTCTCCTCCTCCAAAGGAACGCAGTTCCTCACCAGCAACGGAACAAAGCTGGATGGAGAATGACTTTGACGAGCTCAGAGAAGAAGGCTTCAGACGATCAAATTACTCTGAGCTACGGGAGGACATTCAAACCAAAGGCAAAGAAGTTGAAAACTTTGAAAAAAATTTAGAGGAATGTATAACTAGAATAACCAATACAGAGAAGTGCTTAAAGGAGCTGATGGAGCTGAAAACCAAGGCTCGAGAACTACGTGAAGAATGCAGAAGCCTCAGGAGCTGATGCGATCAACTGGAAGAAAGGGTATCAGCAATGGAAGATGAAATGAATGAAATGAAGCGAGAAGGGAAGTTTAGAGAAAAAAGAATAAAAAGAAATGAGCAAAGCCTCCAAGAAATATGGGACTATGTGAAAAGACCAAATCTACGTCTGATTGGTGTACCTGAAAGTGATGGGGAGAATGGAACCAAGTTGGAAAGCACTCTGCAGGATATTATCCAGGAGAACTTCCCCAATCTAGCAAGGCAGGCCAACGTTCAGATTCAGGAAATACAGAGAACGCCACAAAGATACTCCTCGAGAAGAGCAACTCCAAGACACATGATTGTCAGATTCACCAAAGTTGAAATGAAGGAAAAAATGTTAAGGGCAGCCAGAGAGAAAGGTCAGGTTACCCTCAAAGGGAAGCCCATCAGACTAACAGCGGATCTCTCAGCAGAAACCCTACAAGCCAGAAGAGAGTGGGGGCCAATATTCAACATTCTTAAAGAAAAGAATTTTCAACCCAGAATTTCATATCCAGCCAAACTAAGCTTCATAAGTGAAGGAGAAATAAAATACTTTACAGACAAGCAAATGCTGAGAGATTTTGTCACCACCAGGCCTGCCTTAAAAGAGCTCCTGAAGGAAGCACTAAACATGGAAAGGAACAACCAGTACCAGCCGCTGCAAAATCATGCCAAAATGTAAAGACCATCAAGACTAGGAAGAAACTGCATCAAATAATGAGCAAAATAACCAGCTAACATCATAATGACAGGATCAAATTCACACATAACAATATTAACTTTAAATGTAAATGGACTAAATGCTCCAATTAAAAGACACAGACTGGCAAATTGCATAAAGAGTCAAGACCCAACAGTGTGCTGTATTCAGGAAACCCATCTCATGTGCAGAGACACACATAGGCTCAAAATAAAAGGATGGAGGAAGATCTACCAAGAAAATGGAAAACAAAAAAAGGCAGGGGTTGCAATCCTAGTCTCTGATAAAACAGACTTTAAACCAACAAAGATCAAAAGAGACAAAGAAGGCCATTACATAATGGTAAAAGGATCAATTCAACAAGAAGAGCTAACTATCCTAAATATATATGCACCCAATACAGGAGCACCAAGATTCATGAAGCAAGTCCTGAGTGACCTACAAAGAGACTTAGACTCCCACACATTAATAATGGGAGATTTTAACACCCCACTGTCAACATTAGACGGATCAAAGAGACAGAAAGTCAACAAGGATACCCAGGAATTGAACTCAGCTCTGCACCAAGCGGACCTAATAGACATCTACAGAACTCTCCACCCCAAAGCAACAGAATATACATTTTTTTCAGCACCACACCACACCTATTCCAAAATTGACCACATAGTTGGAAGTAAAGCTCTCCTCAGCAAATGTAAAAGAACAGAAATTATAACAAACTGTCTCTCAGACCACAGTGCAATCAAACTAGAACTCAGGATTAAGAATCTCACTCAAAACCGCTCAACTACATGGAAACTGAACAACCTGCTCCTGAATGACTACTGGGTACATAACGAAATGAAGGCAGAAATGAAGATGTTCTTTGAAACCAATGAGAACAAAGACACAACATACCAGAATCTCTGGGACGCATTCAAAGCAGTGTGTAGAGGGAGATTTATAGCACTAAATGCCCACAAGAGAAAGCAGGAAAGATCCAAAATTGACACCCTAACATCACAATTAAAAGAACTAGAAAAGCAAGAGCAAACACATTCAAAAGCTAGCAGAAGGCAAGAAATAACTAAAATCAGAGCAGAACTGAAGGAAATAGAGACACAAAAAACCTTTCAAAAAATTAATGAATCCAGGAGCTGGTTTTTTGAAAGGATCAACAAGATTGATAGACCGCTAGCAAGACTAATAAAGAAAAAAAGAGAGAAGAATCAAATAGACGCAATAAAAAAATGATAAAGGGGATATCACCACCAATCTCACAGAAATACAAACTACCATCAGAGAATACTACAAACACCTCTATGCAAATAAACTAGAAAATCTAGAAGAAATGGATAACTTCTTCGACACATACACTCTCCCAAGACTAAACTAGGAAGAAGTTGAATCTCTGAATAGACCAATAACAGGATCTGAAATTGTGGCAATAATCAATAGCTTACCAACCAAAAAGAGTCCAGGACCAGATGGATTCACAGCCGAATTCTACCAGAGGTACAAGGAGGAACTGGTACCATTCCTTCTGAAACTATTCCAATCAATAGAAAAAGAGGGAATCCTCCCTAACTCATTTTATGAGGCCAGCATCATTCTGATTCCAAAGCCAGGCAGAGACACAACCAAAAAAGAGAATTTTAGACCAATATCCTTGATGAACATTGATGCAAAAATACTCAATAAAATACTGGCAAAACGAATCCAGCAGCACATCAAAAACTTATCCACCATGATCAAGTGGGCTTCATCCCTGGGATGCAAGGCTGGTTCAATATACGCAAATCAATAAATGTAATCCAGCATATGAACAGAGCCAAAGACAAAAACCACATGATTATCTCAATAGATGCAGAAAAAGCCTTTGACAAAATTCAACAACCATTCATGCTAAAAACTCTCAATAAATTAGGTAATGATGGGACGTATTTCAAAATAATAGGAGCTATCTATGAAAACCCACAGCCAATATCATACTGAATGGGCAAAAACTGGAAGCATTCCCTTTGAAAACTGGCACAAGACAGGGATGCCCTCTCTCACCACTCCTATTCAACATAGTGTTGGAAGTTCTGGCCAGGGCAATTAGGCAGGAGAAGGAAATAAAGGGTATTCAATTAGGAAAAGAGGAAGTCAAATTGTCCCTGTTTGCAGACGACATGATTGTATATCTAGAAAAACCCATTGTCTCAACCCAAAATCTCCTTAAGCTGATAAGCAACTTCAGCAAAGTCTCAGGATACAAAATCAATGTACAAAAATCACAAGCATTCTTATACACCAACAACAGACAAACAGAGATCCAAATCATGAGTGAACTCCCATTCACAATTGCTTCAAAGAGAATAAAATACCTAGGAATCCAACTTACAAGGGACGTGAAGGACCTCTTCAAGGAGAACTACAAACCACTGCTCAAGGAAATAAAAGAGGATACAAACAAATGGAAGAACATTCCATGCTCATGGGTAGGAAGAATCAATATCGTGAAAATGGCCATACTGCCCAAGGTAATTTATAGATTCAATGCCATCCCCATCAAGCTACCAATGCCTTTCTTCACAGAATTGGAAAAAACTACTTGAAAGTTCATATGGAACCAGAAAAGAGCCCACATCGCCAAGTCAATCCTAAGCCAAAAGAACAAAGCTGGAGGAATCACACTACCTGACTTCGAACTATACTACAAGGCTACAGTAACCAAAACAGCATGGTACTAGTACCAAAACAGAGATATAGGTCAATGGAACAGAACAGAGCCCTCAGAAATAATGCCACATATCTACAACTATCTGATCTTTGACAAACCTGAGAAAAACGAGCAATGGGGAAAGGACTCCCTATTTAATAAATGGTGCTGGGAAAACTGGCTAGCCATATGTAGAAAGCTGAAACTGGATCCCTTCCTTACACCTTATACAAAAATCAATTCAAGATTGATTAAAGACTTAAACGTTAGACCTAAAACCATAAAAACCCTAGAAGAAAACCTAGGCATTACCATTCAGGACATAGGCATGGGCAAGGACTTCATGTCTAAAACACCAAAAGCAATGGCAACAAAAGCCAAAATTGACAAATGGGATCTAATTAAACTAAAGAGCTTCTGCACAGCAAAAGAAACTACCATCAGAGTGATCAGGCAACCTACAAAATGGGAGAAAATTTTCACAACCTACTCATCTGACAAAGGACTAATATCCAGAATCTACAATGAACTCAAACAAATTTACAAGAAAAAAACAAACAACCCCATCAAAAAGTGGGCGAAGGACATGAACAGACACTTTTCATAAGAAGACATTTATACAGCCAAAAAACACATGAAAAAATGCTCATCATCACTGGCCGTTAGAGAAATGCAAATCAAAACCACAATGAGATATCATCTCACACCAGTTAGAATGGCCATCATTAAAAAGTCAGGAAACAACAGGTGCTGGAGAGGATGTGGAGAAATAGGAACACTTTTACACTGTTGGTGGGACTGTAAACTAGTTCAACCATTGTGGAAGTCAGTGTGGCGATTCCTCAGGGATCTAGAACTGGAAATACCATTTGACCCAGCCATCCCATTACTGGGTATATACCCAAAGGACTATAAATCATGCTGCTATAAAGACACATGGACACATATGTTTATTGCGGCATTATTCACAATAGCAAAGACTTGGAACGAACCCAAATGTCCAACAATGATAGACTGGATTAAGAAAATGTGGCACATATACACCATGGAATACTATGCAGCCATAAAAAATGATGAGTTCATGTCCTTTGTAGGGACATGGATGAAATTGGAAATCATCATTCTGAGTAAACTATGGCAAGAACAAAAAACCAAACACCGCATATTCTCACTCATAGGTGGGAATTGAACAGTAAGATCACATGGACACAGGAAGGGGAATATCACACTCTGGGGACTGTTGTGGGGTGGGGGGAGGGGGGAGGGATAGCATTGGGAGATATACCTAATGCTAGATGACGAGTTAGTGGGTGCAGCGCACCAGCATGGCACATGTATACATATGTAACTAACCTGCAGAATGTGCACATGTACCCTAAAACTTAAAGTATAATAAAAAAAAAGAAAAAGAAAACAGCTTAACTAGAACACATATTCAAAATTTAAGGTTATTTATATAATCACTAAAAAAAAAAATGAGATAGACTTAATTTCATTCTTTTTAAAAAAAAGCTTTTTCTGCAGATCTATTAGGTTTTCATTTTTGACCATAATATTTTTCTTTCATTTCTACATATATTTAAAATAATGCCTACATGATTTAGGATGTATTTTCAAGGAAAATTAAAACTGAACATCATCTTCTTTGAGATCTTTTGGCTTATTCCAGCATTTATCATACAAATTCTCATACTCCCTCTCTGTATCTTCTTTATAACCATAACCAGTTGTATTTTTTTAATGTAGCTTCTGACCTTTTTATAAGTTGTTCAAAATAGGTACAAAGCAACTGGGTTTTGTTATATTTAGTTGGGATATTGCGGATATGAAGAAAACAAAATGGCATTGTCTTAATTTTTATAGCTAAAAAATTTTAAGGTAGTCTTTTTTCTTTTTTCTTTTTTTTCTTTTTTTCTTTTTTTTTTTGAGACAGAGTTTTGCTCTTGTTGCCCAGGCTCAAGTGCAATGGTGCGATCTCAGCTCACCACAACCTCCACCTCCCGGGTTAAAGTGATTCTCCTGCCACAGCCTCACAAGTAGCTGGGATTACAGGCATGTGCCATGTCTTTTTTCTACTCTAACTTTTATGAGAATCTTTCTAATGCATGGGTTGAACTTCTAGTGTCTTAAGTGAATACATTTATAAGTTTTAATGAAACTGTGATTTTCCATTAAAAATACTGATGGTGGCCTGGGCACAGTGGCTCAAGCCTGTAATCCCAGCACTTTGGGTGGCTGAAGCAGGTGGATCGCTTGAGCCCAGGAGTTTGAGACCAGCCTGGGCAACATAGCGAAACCCCGTCTCTACAAAAATTAGCTGGAAATGGTGGTGTGCGCCTGTCATCCCAGCTACTCAGGAGGCCTAGGCAGGAGGATCAGTTGAGCCTAGGAGGTCTAGGCTGCAGTGAGCCATGATCACACCACTACATCCCATCCTGGGCAACAGAGCGAGAGCCTGTCTCAGAAAACAAACAAAAAACAACAACAACAACAAAAAAGAAAAAACAACTAATGGAGGGCATTTAATTTTTAAGTGGAATGTTCAAAACCAAAATGTATGCTCTCTAAAATAATGAGAAGTATAAATATATAGTATAAAATTGGAGTCAGATCTATAAATAGAATAAAAACCTATATAACTGAGCATAATTTTGGCTAATTATAAAAATTTCCTCCTTAAAAGAAATTGCAAAGAGAGCATTTCAGATATACCTATTCTTATTTCTCAAAATGTTCACAGATAACTTATTGATTCTTATTTCTCAAAATTCTGTAACAGTTGGTGTTTGTACGTAATTAATGCCTTATAGAAAGTTGTATTCAGCAAATCAAAGCTACCTTTACCTGGGTTGTGGCTTCTCGGAAAGTAAATAATCTAAATTTCTCCTTAAATAATACACAGGGAATAAATATAATACATGTTCCGCATAAATATATAAATATACTTTATTATACATAACTATACAGTGCATATAAAATGAAAGCATAAACAAACCAAAATTATTCAGTTATACCACAGATGACCACTATATTATATGTATTTCCTTACAATCCTGTGTGTGTATGTGTGTGTACTAACACATTGCATATAAGTGAGACCATGTTTCATATTACAATTATTTTCTGCTATTTTGCTTAGCATATCGTAAGCATTTTCGATATGAAAAAAATTGTATTAATTGAAAATCTTAAATCCTATGTCATGTTTTACAACATGTTTTTCTACTTTTAACCATTCTAGTTGGCATTATTGGTTTTCCCTCATATAACTTCTATAATGTGCAAATATGCATATTATAGAAGTCTGGTCTGAATTCTGAATCTTTAAGGTGAATTCCAAAAACGGAGATTGTAAGAAAGATTTTTGGAAGTATATATCACAAAACTGTTTTCATTACTGCAATACAATTTACATTACTGTCAGCATTGTAGAAATTGTATTTTACCATATTCTCATGAATTTTAGGAATTTGTGATAACATTTTGCAACTTGAAGGTTTATTGTAGTGATTGATTCATATAAGGCCCCTAAAGGAAATTTCCAAAATTCTTTGGCTAAAGAGTTTATTCTAATTTTTCAAACAGAATACGTAAGTCTTTAGGGTATGTAATGCCAGCTAAGCCAAACAGCGTTTTATTCTGTTGTTCATAAATACTTCTGTTTCTTTAGAATGTTTGTCAGAAGAAGTGTTTTGGATAATTAAGTCTAAAAAAACTAATTTGCAGAGTTACATGAATGCAAAACATTCTCATAGGCTACATCAAGAAAAATATTCAGAGGGTGTAAAATCTTGCATCCTGAGAGCATCGTTGTGAAGAAACATTGGTTTTGGTTAGACAGAGAGTGAGGGGTTCAGAGTTTCTCAGAGAGGTTTATTTTTATCTTCTTCAAGTTTCATTTAGGAGTTAGGAATACTGAGACAACTTAACATAGTACCTTGGAGTTGATGCCACAGATCATTTTGCATGACAGGTGTGTACAGGCACAGTGACAGCTTCCAACCACCAAGAGTGGCTGTGGTTTGCCATGGAATGAATGTCTACATAACTAAGAGCTGAGTATGCTCAACCATGGGAAGACCCTACTGGACTTTGTGAGTAACTGGCGGATCAAAGTGGCTGAACAGTGAGCCGTCAGTGTAGGAGGAGATGGAGTGCTGGCCCAAACTATTCTGGTCCCATGACATACTGCAAAAGCTGTTTTTAAAAAATGAACTATTATAACATCTTTGATACTGTCAAAACACTGGTTATTTGAGACTTCTATTTGCCTGAATTATAAATAAGAGTGTTTGACTTTAAAAATACATGTCATTTATTGTATAATGTTCGTAGAACATGTTTTCGGTGGTAGGATTTTGCATCATGTTCATGATATAAAACTATAAACATATTTATCATGTTAAAGTTCATTGTGTAATTATTGGATGTGTGTTTTCTTAGTTATGAGGATATTATGATTATTTTGATATCAGAAATAGATGTAGAATTTGCAGCTGTGATAAATGAGGTGTAATGGAAGTCTTTCAATTTCAATTTTCCTTTTAAAATCTTCTGGATTATTGGGAAGTCAGATATTTACATTTCACTTCAGAACCAATGTAGACATTAGATACTTCAAGTGAAGTTATCCTTTCTAGGAAATTACAAAACTGTTTGCAAGTGATTATTAATAACATCAGGATCATATTTAAAATATGGACACGCATGCAGTTTTATTCAAGTACTGTATTAAAGGCTTCACTTACTCAATTTTCATTACTGTATATATTGTAAAATATAAATGTAAGATATAATTTTACTTAAAATAGGCCATTTAATGGTAAAAACACCTGTAAAACTATGCATAGCAAATGCACAGCACCTTTCCGATGACTGATAATAAAGCTCTCAAATGCAAAGAGTTCTAATATTTTAAGCATAGTTATATATCTAAAAAAATAATAATGTTTTTCACAGAACCAGAAAATGGCCAAGTTTAATACTGTACTAAAAATAGCATAACTTGCATCAGCAACTGTGGATTTCTGGTGAGGTAAGGAAAGGTGGGTGCTTTCTCTCCCTCTTGTCATACTTGCTCATCTCTTTCATTTCTACCTCAAAGTATGCGATCATATAGCTTTTGAAGATCTTTCCCCCCAATATAGTCCTTTTGTGGTTTCTTTTAACTGAGTCCAATCTTACTTGCCCTCCATAGAGTTTGTGATTCCTTAGTCACATGTGGAATTGTAGTGCCATGTACTGTTCTAATGATAAAATACACCTCCTCTTTCGAATCGAAGTTAGAGTATTTACAGCTTCTATAAATGAGACCCTTCCATCACTTACCTTCCCCCTTGAAAAGATGTAATGCATAGGTTATATTAACCATTATAATAAAACTCACAAGTTTATGCTAGCAAGAAAAGCTTGCTGTGGGATTTAGGGATCTTAGTTTTATAATACTGTTGAACTTAGCAAGAGAATTGCCTGGGGGTGTGTTCACCATCTTTGCAAGACAGAAGACATACAGCAGGAAGAAAGCCAGGCTGTAGTAAGTAAGGTTAAAGCAAACTTCTAAGCAAATAAAGTTTATAAAATGATATCTGAAAAACCTTTGAGAATTCAGCAGTTAATGGAGTGGTAGAGAATTCAGAGTCAAAAGCTGGGACCCATTTTCCCACCTTACTAATTGTGTTCTTGAGTATATCACTGAAGTTCAGTTTTCTTTAATTTTTAAAGCACGACCGATAATATCTACCTCATAGGATTGTCCTCAGATTTAAAAAGATTTTAGCATTTTGCAAAACTTACAATAATATTTTATTAGTAGTTTTTAGCTTACAAAACATTAAAGGAGATTTTTCAATTGATAAAAGGTCTCTTATGGAACATACCAAAGCATATTATAGTCCTCTACTATGTAAATTTTCTCACAAATATTACACATTGGATGGTTCAAAAATATTTTTATGCATAAAACTTGTACTGAGTGCAATGGACTCATTTACAATTTGAAGTTTTTCGGGACTCAGTATGTTTAAAGTGGTTGTGTTTTTTGTGTGTGTTTTAATAGATTGGAATAAGTCTGCATAATCCTCACAGGAGGAACGCTGTTGGACTGTAGCCCAAGGACTTTCTAAATACTCAGATGTTTCCTTTCTCTGGTAAATTATCCATCATGTTCTATCTCATTTAGGTATGGCTTATTCTCTGCAGTTGGTAATAAGAAAGTCCTGGGTCATTTAAACAAGTAATTAAAAGGACTGTTTTACTATTTCTTGCCTTTGAAGAGTGTTAATTTTATTTGTTGTGAGTTAATGATGCATTTATTGTCTATGCTTACAGCTTCTAGTAGTTCAAAGGTGAATCATTCTCAAAGTAAAAAGCGTTTTTCTTTGGTAATATTTAATTGGGCTACTGCTCTTTAACTAAAGACATATGCTTTTCCCATAAAAAAAAGCCTTTTTATAAATGAAATGCAAAACTAAACATAACTCTGAAGCAAGAATGTATCAACTTAGAAAGTCTGATTATTTGCTTGGAAAAATGCCAATATAGCTAAGTTGAATTATTTTATGAGACATTTATTTGAATTAATGTGACATTATTTAACAGGGAGAGTATCATATACAACTGTATATAACTTGTCAAATGAGATATAGTTTTGTACTTTCTTCTCAGTATACTTTTGCAGGTGGCTTTCACGGAAATTCATTCTTTCATTCCTTTAGTATTTTAGTACCTACTATGTGCCAGATACTGTACTAGAAGCTAGGATATATCCATAGCAGAGTCAGACAGACAATCAGTGCTATTTCGATAATGGTAAATGCTTAACAACTGGCTGGCTGCAGGGAAAGAAAGGCCCTGATTTTTAGCATTTGCTGATTTTGATAGTGTAAATATTCCCACCACAACTGATTTTAAGCTACCAATGTGGTTGAACTGAATGCAAAGATATATATATAGCATTTCTACCATACTCATAAATGTAAATAACCTAAAAAACATAAATTTAAATGTAGTAAAATAATTGGGAAATGATGAGTTTTGAGTATTTGTTACCTTTGTCTTTTATATAATTGTCACTTTACAGACTACACTTGCTAATAATAGCTGTAGTTTAATGACTAGCTCGCAGAATTCCTGAAAAGTTAAGAATTGGCTTCCACGAGCCAGTATAAGCTGCCTCCAGTACACCACTACACAATAAACAAAGTAAAATGTGATATGTTAAATGGTGATAAATATTGCCACCAAATACAGCATAAATCAGAAGCATCACTGTGTGTGCATGCATGCCCATGCATGAGTACTGCTTTAGAGAGTACTGCGGGATCAGTAGAGGCCTCACTGAGAAGTTTGAGCAACCTTGTGAAGATTGTAAAGGAGATAGTTGTACAACTTCTGGGGGAAGAACATTCCAGGCAGAGTGAATAGCAGATGCAAATGTCCTAAGCAGGAGTATCTTGGCACATTCCAGAATCATCAAGGAGGCCAGCATGGCTGGTGCAGACTAAACAAGAGTGCAGTGTAATTGGCAGTGAGGTGATTAATAGGGCCTTTTCATGTAGGCCTCTGTAGGCCACTATTAGGACTTAAGTTGTCACTGGGGCAGTTGGAAACTTTTGAGCAAATGAATGGCATCTGACTCATATGTCTCAAGATTACTCTGGCTGCTATGTGATTCTAGGGGACAGGGGCCAAGGTATGGAATCCTGTTAGGACACTATTGGCAGTAATTCACTTGGTGATTGCTGGAGCATTGTGGTAGTGATTGAGGTGGTGAGAAGTGACCAATTCTGGATGTATTTTGATGGTAGTTGATTGGATCTGCTGATGTGAAGTGTGAGAGAGAAAAAGATGGCTCCGGGGCTTGTGTTTGAGCAGCTGCAAGAATGCAGTTGTCATTAACCCAGATGGGGAAGATTGCTGCAGGTTTGGAGGTGAGAAGTATGTTTTCTCAGCTATGTTGAGGTGCCTATTAGACATTTACGTGGATATGATGAGTAGACAGTTGGATTTCAGAATTTGGGGAGAAGTTTGGTTTGGAGTTATTAATTTGAGAGTCATAAGAATAGAGCTGAATGAGGTTACCCAGAGAATGGAGAAACGAAAATATCCAAGAGAAATTCAACCCACTGGGAAGATAAGGAGGAGTTGGCAAAAGAGATTGAAAAGTACAGCCCAGGTGTTAGAAGGGAAACAAAAGCACATAGTGTCTGGAAAGCAAACAAAGAACATATTTCAAGAAGAGTGAGATGAAATGTGTCTGATGCTGCAGGTTATAAGGTCAGATAAGGCGAGAACTGAGAGTCATCCATTGGATTTAGACTGTGAAGGTCTCTGGTGACCGTGCTAAGCAGTTTTGCTGTGGCTGACCATGTGCAGGGAGTGGGATCATGAGAGTGTGGGAGGAGAGAAACTGGAGACAGGGAGCACAGAGAATTCTGTCCGTGGTTTTGATGCAAAGAACAGAAATTGCTGGTAGCTGGCAGGGGAAATGGGATCAAAGTGTTCTTTTAAAAAAATTATTTTAAAGATGTCATGGCATGCTCATATGCTGATAGAAATTAACCCGAATAATTAAAAGGAGCAAATTTAAGGGGAGCATCATTGATGAGCAGGCATGAGAATGTGGGGAGCTGATTTACCAGGCGAAGAGTCGACATTAGTTAGAAGCATCTTTGGATCATCTGTAGAAACCCAAGGGAACAGAATACACAGGCCCAGCAGGTACAGGTGAGCAATTATGCTGGCTGGTAGAGACTTATGAAAGATCTTATAATCGCCTTTGTTTTCTCAGTTAAAGGAGATGATATACATAGTTCTGTAGGTCCATGTGACAGCAAATAGACTAGGGAAATGTACTGTGATGCCTGGGAGATTTCTAGGCAGTACTAAAGGTTCACTTGCATTTGTTGATCTTAAAATGAGACCCATAATCTTGGTTGAGTTTTATCTAGCCATTTTCAGCTGTATAGATGCAGGTGTGGAGTACATGGAGCCTTGGGTATAAGCACAGGTGGGATTTTGCTGGGAAAGTATGATGAAATGAGCACCAGGTAGCTGGAGGAATTGAGGATATATGCAAGTGGAGCGATTAAAATACACTGGAATGAAGTAATCTAAATTCTAGCATAAGTCTATGTAAGTAGTTTAGGAGGAAGTATCTTAAAAGTTTTCTGTTAATTTTCATTGTAAAAATAATTCTAGTTATTATGATGAAATAATTATATCGTATTCATTCACAGACCTTAGTAAGTAGGATAGTTTTTTTTAAGCCCTGTGATTTTTTTCTCATTATTTCCTCCACCCCCGCCCTTGGAGAGCCTTCATTTTTTTGTTTGCTCATTTATTATTTATTCACCATCGTTTATTAAGTGCTTATGATGTATCAGATATTATCATCTAATTGTTCACTTAACACATTCTATGAAATTTATAGTTACTATGATGAGATAAATAAGGAGTCAAATAATTTAAGTTTACGTACTACATGGCTACTTATAGTCATGGGAACTTGGACAATCCCCATAATCTTTCAAGGTCTGTAAAATGAGAGAGATAATATGAAGATTTCTGAAGTCTAATTCTGTTCATAAAAACACTGCATCTTTTAACCATGTGCATGTGTGTCTCTTCTTACTAGATTGTGGGTTTTTTAAGGGCAAAATTGTGTTTTGTTGATAACTATAGAAAGAGAGAATATGAAGATTCTGAAGTCTAATTCTATTCATAAAAACACTGCATCTTTTATCCATGTGCATGTGTGTCTCTTCTTACTAGATTGTGGGTTTTTTAGGGGCAAAATTGTGTTTTGTTCATGACTGTATATAGAGAATATGAAGATTTCTGAAGTCTAATTCTATTCATAAAAACACTGCATCTTTTATCCATGTGCATGTGTGTCTCTTCTTACTAGATGGTGGGTTATTTAAGGGCAAAATTGTGTTTTGTTCATAATTATAGAGTACATAGTCAATGTTTATTAAATAACTTTAGTTTTAAATATAGTTTTAACAGGTTGAAATCACATTTGTTTTCTATTTCATGTATTGTTTTTCCAGCACACAGTAGTTCTAAATGGTGGTGTCCATCTCTTATTCTTTCTTCTTTTTCTTTAAAAAATTTTTTAAATTGACACATAATAATCATACCTGTTCAGAGGGTACACAGTGATGTTTTGATACGTATAATGTATAGTGATCAAATCAGGTAATTATATCCATCATCTCAAACTTTTTTTTTTGTATTGAAAACATTCAATATCCTCCTTTCAGCTATTTGAAACTATATAATATATACATATTTTTTAAGACAGAGTCTCACTCTGTTGCCCAGGCTGGAGTGCAGTGGCATGATCACAGCTCACTGCAACCTCCACCTTTCAGGCTCAAGTGATCCTCCCACCTCAGCCTCCCAAGTAGCTGGGACCACAGGCATGTGCCACCATGCCTAATTTTTTGTATTTTTGGTAGAGATGGGGTTTTACCGTGTTGCTCAGGCTGGTCTCGAACTCCTGAGCTCGAGCAAGCCGCCCATCTTGGCCTCCCAAAGTGCTGGGATTACAGGCCACTAAGCCTGGCCTGGAAACATGTTGTTGTTAACTATAGCCATCCCACAGTGCTATAGAACACTAGAATTTACTCCTTCCTTTTAGCTGTGATTTCTTATCCTTTAACAAATCTCTCCCCAATTGCCCCCTTCCCCATACCCTTCCCAGCCTCTAGTATCCTCTGTTCTACTTTTTGCTTCTATGAGAGATCAACTTTTTTTTTGGCTTCCACATATGAGTAATGCAGTGTTTAACTTTCTGTTCCCTTGTCATAAGTTGGTACTCATCATGTAGTTTTTTTAGAGTAAATACATCAACTTTATATGCTGGTGGAT
The DNA here is from genome assembly GCF_000001405.40 of Homo sapiens. Classification (NCBI taxonomy): domain Eukaryota; kingdom Metazoa; phylum Chordata; class Mammalia; order Primates; family Hominidae; genus Homo; species Homo sapiens. The sequence continues at coordinate 148,308,406 of NC_000004.12, read as the reverse complement.
TTCAAGTAGAAACAGACTAAGATCTTTGGGATTCATATATGCAACAAATTTTCCTACCATATTGCTAGAATTCAAAATGTTTGAAGGTTTATTCTTTAGAAATTTTCCTCCATAATACGTAATGGCACAGATCTTAATACGGACGCTGCTGTTGTGTTTGTATGGGTTTATATTTGTCGCTTTCTAGAAAAAAAAGGACTGGCTGCTCACCTCCACAGATCCGTAGATGTTACCCTCAAGCCTGAGAGACACCCAGACTTGGAACTTCACATGTCCTTGGGTTCTGGTAAAGAACCCAAACAATGTGAAGTTTCTTAAATGTTTGGTAGTAAAGATAAAAAGAGAGGCATTGTATCTCACAAACCTCATAAGCAAAACTTAGAAATCCACAGTTAGAGTTGCCTTCTCCACCATCTCTGCTCAGTCCTGTTGCTTTGTGTTTTCCTCTGATCCTGCACCTGGGGGTCTCATCTTCTCTAGTTCCTCTCTGTCTCAGTATTAACTTTTTTTCTTTTAGAGTATCTTCAAGTGCCCTTTTTTTGTTTTGTTTTGTTTTTTTTAATGATGCAGAGCTTAGCTTTATACTGGCTCTTTTTGCCATATGTAAGCTTATCTAAAACATTTTCCTTCATTCAGTAGGACCCACCATCCTTAAAAGACCTACTTGTTTTCATCCTTTGTGACTTTACCCTTCCCTTTGGGGAAGAAGCTTGTTCTGTTTCCCGACTACCCCCAAGGTAGTGCTGGCACCATCTCTAGATGATTATGTATTGTTAAACAAATATAAATATGAAATTGTGAATGAAGATCACATGGGCATGTTTGGCTTTGTGTATAAAGGCATTCACAAAATACAAGTTCTCATGATTTAGATATAAAAGATATTTAAGTAGTTGCTCTGTGTCATGCATACATCTCACATTCTCTGAGCCTCTTCTTTTGTCAGATGGAGCCTACAAATCTCGTTTGATCTTCATATGAGTCTATGAGTTAATACTTTGAACATAACTTATGATTCTGTTGAAAATCCTAAAATATAATAGAATAACTGATTTCCTTAGCTCACCATTTCATTTTCACCTTCTAGTACACAACACATTTTAACTGCTATAGTAAGTTAGATCTGAAATCGTCAAAAATGACTGATCCCAGAGAGAATTCAACAGAGAAAATTATCTTAAGTGGAAAAATTCTTTGAATGATAGTTGTCATTTCTCTTTGCCAAGTTTTTTTTTTGCATTTTTAACCTAATAATGTAATATAATAGCTAACTCTCTTAGTGTTTGATTATAACATGGTTTCTTATCAGTGAGGCTGAAATAGAAAAAAAAAAGTAAATTTAAAAACACTAAAGTGTCACAAAAATATTCACGTTCGAGAGAAAGCCTTTCCTCTTATACTATGCTAAGATATTAAGATGTAAATTAAGGAAATAGTTTTAAGTGTTATTTATAAAGCTGTCACATTTAATCCATTAATTCTATTAAAAGAGACACATAGTTGTAAACAATATTATCTTTTAACTATGAGTTTATCCACTATAAAATTCCTTTTATCATTTCATTTGCCCCATAAGATATATGTGCTATAATCTATTTTTAATGTTTTACAGCATATTTATAGGGTGAAATTATGCATTTAACTCTATGAATGTGTTTGGAAACCATCTGTTAGAACTTACAGGAAAATAGAAGCTTCCTTCATTAATATGTTTTTTCCTATTTTGGGGACTTAAACATTTAGTATTATCCTTCCTAGTCCATACTGAGAGATTAAAAACATTATTGAAGAATGAGTTCTATTGTGTTCCCACAGGGGGATTCAAACTTTACTGCTTTGTAGTCTGGCATACTCCAGAATTGTTGTGTTATAAAAATAAACATTTCTGATTTACTAAGGGAGGAAATAAATTTGTCCAGTTGGTGGTAGTTTAGTATTTTAAACTTCGGGATATGTTGGAAGAATATACTGGATAGACTTACCCTCCGACATAGGAGTGATAAATTGATTCACCTGAAAATTCACTCAATTGGAGAAGGTGAAAGAGGGGTAGATTTAAAAATGAACACAACAGTGTCTCTGATTTCAAGGAAGCTAATAGAGCTGTAAAATATGCATAATAATTTGTAGCTGAGTGATATGATGAGTTTCAAAAAAGGGGTACATCTAAGACCCTGTTTTACCTCTTGCTTCCTTAGGCAGTTAGTTGATTTATTTCCATTTCTTTTTTGAAAATGGAGATAAGATTGCCTAGAACAGCACCTGCTAAGCTGCAGAGAGAGAATTCAGTTTGTGAAAACATGTCTTAAACTGTAAAGTACTATGCAAACAAATATAAGGCAGTGGTATGGCACATATTGTTGGCCAGATGGCTATCATGGAATAGTCTGTTTCAAAATAGAACCAACTTTTGTCCTCCCCATGAGTCTGTCCTCAGAATCCTTTCCATGGCCTTCTAGCTCTGGCGAGTCTCTTTTCTGAGAACTCTGGGAGCAGCTGCTTATTTGACACGTACAGTAAATGCAGCTGGAACAGCCAGGAAACATATTGAATTAATAACTTCTATGAGTTTTTATAAAACATGCTTATTCCTGAGAGAACGTCCACCTGTTTTAATAGTAGCAGTGTTTCTTCACTTCTGTGTTGTCAATTCAAACCAAGTTAACGCCTGCAAGTCCCAACTTTTCCTAGCTCTAAGTCATAATCTTTAATGCATGCACAATATACTGCTTTGCTCAGAGAGGAATTTTTATGTGCACAACTGCAGAAGAAATTTATCCTGAAGTTCTCTCAAAGCGTAGCCTTTTCTTAATTTTTAGGTTTTCAGAGGAGTTTCACAAGTCGTGATTTTTTTTTTTTTTTTTTTAAGAAAGAATGGGATCCTTGCAAAATGATCCGGTGGACTCTATTAGTTCTGCAACACAGTGCTGTGCCCTTTGCCTCATCTGTATACAGACCTGGAAAGTGGGATCACAGCAGATGAGACCCAGAGTCCCCTCTAAAATACTCTACGTCTCTTGGGAAAAGTGGCACCCTCAGTTTCTGAAAGGCTGACTGTTGCTGCTTTTTTCACTGTCTTTAAAAGAAGACTGTGTTTTATTCTGAGGAGAATGGAGTAGAAAAAATTTATTTCTTCCTGGACCCAAAAGATACTTGATCTAGAACAAAAATTGAGAAAACCTGAAGCAAGATTCAGAATTTATTAGATGAAAAATGAACGATTTCCTACTTTTCATTATATTTGTACCAGGATTTTTTGTTATTCCAGTAAAACCAAAAAGCTTTACATTTGTTTTCTATTATTTTGCAAATGATTAAGTTTTTATTTTATCATTTCATTTACCACTTAAGAACTTCAAGCGATGATGATGGATTTTTTTTTTTAACTCGTTAGTTCAGCTAAAACCTGGGTTCTTGTGTCATGACCAGGAAAAATTAGGCATGTGGACACATTGAAAGGTGAGGAGAGCAGAATTTATTAAAAGAAATCTCTCAGGAAAAAAAAAAAAAAGGGTCCTGCCAACAGGCTCCCACCTCACAAACTGAATACCAGGCCACCACACAGGAGCTGAAGAGGCCAGACTCCTCCCCACTGCATAGTGCAAGAATTCCCAGTGGCTCCACCGCATTCTCCCAGTGCTCAGGCAGGCCCCCAGTCAGCTGCAGGCACACCCAGACAAGGCCCTGAGCAGGTTCCCTTATCTTCCTCCTGCATCTATCATTCCCCCCTCTAAAGTAGTACATCTAACTGCCATTAGAATAAGGATAAGGAAGAGGATGAAGACCAATCTTAACTGCTTCCTGCTGACAGAAGGTGCTGTTTTGGGAAAATGGCAGTCAGTTCTCCCTGAAAGGCCTATCTAAGGGTCCCCAGCAGAAGGGGCCATTGTCTGAGGCTCTGATTCCATGACGCTTTGGAGTTTAATGTCCTGAAGGTGAGAAGAGACAAACTGAGTTATTAGAAAACACATATCAAAATGAAACAAGCTGGGGTAAATCCCGAGGCCTTTTACCAGTTTGTACAGGGAGAGGGAAGCCAAAAGCCCAACTGGTTAAAAAAAAAAAAAAAAAAAAAAAAGCAACAACAACTTTTACCCTTTTGCCAGCATGTCAGGCTTCTGGGTTCCCTTCTCCTGAACTCAATCCTTAGCCAACCAGTTTAAGGTTTGAGAAATTAACTTTTCCCAGTTTGGAGGATGCATCCGAGGGGAGTGTCCCACAGTATGGCAACACAATTATATGTGAAGAGAGGACAGAGGCGGAAAAAGGAAACTCAGGAGTTCAGGATGCATTGGAAAGGGGTACAGACTGAAAATGAATGACTACTCATCTAGAAAGAGGGGAACAGGCATCCCTGGTTCTTTTCTCTTCCCCTTGAATACCCGGGCTACATGAGAGAGAGAAAGTGAGACATTCCTCTTTCTTCTGTCCTCGCATCCCTGAGTCCTGGTGACCATGACGGGCTGCTGCCCATGGGGGTCAACGCGCCTTTAACCCATGTTAACAGGGGGATCTAGGGAGTGGAAATATCCGCTCATACCCATGTATGCCCTGTCTTCCCTGGTGTCAGGAGCCTTCGAGTTCCCTAGACCTCATTTATGCCATGGATACTAGCGTGACCTTTATCCATGAAATGGAAAGCTTGGCTTAATTGGCAGGAATTTGTCATGATCACTTGCGCTGTGCCTTTTAACTTCCATTATCGTCTGCCTCTGGATCCCTCAGATCCAGTTTTCTTTCCAAGGACTTCAACGTGAAGCTTGGAATGGAGTTTGGGACCAAAAATGCATCTCGGGGGGTTGTATGGACTCCTTATCATAAGCTGAATACTAAGGTGAAGCTGTGGAATTGAGTCCCTCCAACAAAGGAGAGAAAAAGATGTCTTGTGACACGCCCAGATAACTGGTGGCTGTAGTTATGCTTGGTAAGATTTGTGTGCATGGGGCTTGGCTTTGGTTAGCCCTCTTGGTCTTACTTTCCCAAAAAGGAAACCTCTGGATGATAGGCACCCTATTTATTCCCATCACCTGGCAGGATTTTCAGGATAATTGCTCAGAACTAGAATGTTGATCCAGATATATACATTACCCATCCCTCTTGTTCCTTCTCAGCTGCAACTGGAGATTGTTGGTTGGTTCACAGGAATAAGCAGGGTTAGTCTAAAATGTAGGCAAAAACTTAAAAACAACTAATGAGTCTAGAATTTAATGTCAAATGTGAAAGTTTTGAAATGTAATTTCTCTCCAGTCCTCATCTTTGTTAAAAAAAAATTATGATAGCACTGAGTTGTTTGCAAAATAGACTTTAGTCTTATACTTGGCCTGATTATTTGCATAAAGTGCACCAAGAATAATTATTTCTACTTAGGCCTTTTAGACTGGCTTTGATGGAACTCTGTTTCACAGGGAATCTCAGATAGGACTTTCTAAAGTTGAGCCCAGCCATGGGTTTCTACCCTCAAATACCTGTGAATTGGGTAAACTTCTCTCTTCTTGAGGTCTCAAGAGCATGTGGTTCCTGGGCCTGCTGGAAAGTAACTTTTTTTTTTTTTTTTTTTTTTGAGACGGAGTTTCGCTCTTGTAGCCCAGGCTGGAGTGCAATGGTGTGATCTCTGCTCACTACAACCTCTGCCTCCCAGGTTCAAGCAGTTCTCCTGACTCAGTCTCCCAAGTAGCTAGGAGAGTGTCATTCTTTACTCACCACAGGTTAGGACCCTATGGGGACTGTGTAGACAAGGTATGAGGCCGGTTTTACCAAGGGGATTTTTATCAGCTTTTCAAGTTGAGCTTGATTCCTTAAAGGGAAGCATACCCTTTCAGTCAAAGCCTTAGTAAAACAACTGGTTTCTCCAGTTGTGTCCTATTGCAAAAGAAAATGGATTCTTATTTCACTTAAGCAAACAACTATGTTGCCATAAGTTAAGAATACTCACAACTAGTTTCTAAATTCTGGAGAAGCCAGGCAGAGAGAGACAAACATGCTCCACATTTTGTTCACAGGATGTTTACTCAATTATTAAAGGCCATTAATAGCTCCAAATAAGTTTTCTTGACTCTGAAAGACAAAACAAGGATCAGCAATGTTCCAAGCAAAAGTAAAAAAGATTACTTAGGTTTTCTGTTGTTCAGTCCATTTGGTTAACTCTTGTTTTGCTTGATATTCATGAACATTTTAGCTCTCCATGAGTCCTGTATATTTTTTCTTTATTCCAATGTCACAGTCTCCCAAGTTATCAGAAACATGCATTTGAGAGTGCCTGTCAAAGTTCCATAGCGTTTGTAAACCATCATTTGAAGATCAAAACAAGACAACAATTATCTGTGAATAACAAAATGTCTATGGTAGTTACAATCAGAAATTGACAAAGAAATCTGGTTATCTCTGTGGTTTACAATAACTTAACATAACAATCTTAATTGTGATTGATAGCATATACTCAGACATTAGAATTTTAGAAATACCATACAATTTTGGAACATATATTACTATTCTTGAAAATATAACCTGAAGAAGATTAAACATCATTTTGCCAATCCCATGTACCTAAACATGTGAGGTAACCCTGTTTACTTTTCTTCATGGTGCTCCGGGGTCCTCCGTAGCATCCAAGAGCTAAGAAAGACAACTTTGAAACTGAAATTGGATTTTGGGAAGCCTGTTAAATATGTTACAAGTGTAAAACCCTTGATGTTATGAAATAGAATTCCAGATTACCATAAGTTATTTATTTTGCCAAAATGATGACTCAGAAATTTTAAAAAGCAAAACACCTTTTATAACACTTTAACAATTTTGCTAAAGAGCAGATTAGTGCCTTAAGAGAAACTTGTTGTGCTTTTATTTCAATGCTCAATTTATCGAAAAGCCATATAATACCCTTTTGAATTTAGTCAGTATGTTCACACATGGAATTTCTTTTGCAAGATTAACGTTTACAATCCTTCCATAACTTGTTTAAACTTTGAGCTTTATCTTAACTATTTCAAAACAATCCTTTAACTCTAGGCAAAAATTTACATTTTGATGGGATATGCATTTTACCCATAATCTTAAGGTTGTTTTTACTTCTCAAAGATTAAAGACCCATGGGCCAGAAGGTACCACAGCTTTTATCTTCCCTTTAAGAAATATTTGATCCAAGCACTTATCCTTCTTTAAGTCAGTTAATTAGAGCTCTTTTTTTTAATAGACATTACACACTCAATACATATATAACTACACAGACAGGCAGAAGATCCAGTAGCTATAAGATTTTTTGTTTGCCATCTCCTAATTGGATTATTGGCCTCTGGGTGGAGCCCTTTAAGAGCAAGGGTAGGAAAGCATGTAGTTTCTAGGGCCTAATAAACAGGTATAGCTGACAAAGACAGACTTTGACAGGGATCCATCTGCCTGTAATTTCTGGGGCTCCATGAGGAAAACAGGTCTCTCCCAAAATGGAAACTGTGGTACCTTTTCTGTTCTTCCAAAGCAGTCCCAGGCCATCAGAAATTATCTTAGGGCCTCTCATTCGTGCATTAAGAGTGACAAGGCAAGGTCGGGCGCGGTGGCTCATGCCTGTAATCCCAACACTTTGGGAGGCCAAGGTGGGTGGATTACCTGAGGTCAGGAGTTCGAGCCCAGCCTGACCAACATAGTGAAACCCCATCTCTACTAAAAATACAAAAGTAGCTGGGCATGGTGGCACATGCCTGTAATCCCGGCTACTTGGGAGGCTGAGGCAGGAGAATTGCTGGAACCCAGGAGGTGGAGGAGATTGCGTCATTGCACTCCAGCCTAGGTAATGAGCAAAACTCTGTCAAAAAAAAAAAAAAAAAATGAGTAGCAAGGCAAAATGGAGAAAAATAATTCAGTTGACTGAGAAAAAACCTTTCTCCAAAAAAAGAAAATCCAAAAAGAGAAAAACATAAAGGCCTTTTAAATATACCTATAACTTGGATATCCACTTTTAATTAAGCTGAGCAGTCTTTAAGAAAATCCTTTTAAATCCCTTTCTACCTGACTTTAGCTGTGCCAAGCAGCCAGTATTCCTGGTTTTTGAACCTTACCAAAGGTAACCTTTCAGGTGCTCAGAGAGAGGAAAATTCAGGGCTGTTTGTGGAGGGGAAGAGAATCAACAAATGGCAAAGATCACATAGAATGTCAAACGAGAAAGGACTCATTTTCTAAGCCAGGACTGAACCTGGGCCACCATCGCAAAATGGTGGAGGCCAAACAAAGCATTGCCATGTGGTTACAGGTCATACTTCCAAGGACGTAAAACAAGATGGAGGCCTGCAGCAAAGTTTGCCACTAACCAGTTTGCTGGGCCAGCTTCAACAGTGGGCCTGTAGAGTCCTGGGCCCGCATCCCATCCTAAATTACCCCTCTTTCTGACAGAACCATACAGTAAAACATGGAAAGCACACCATATTGGCTACAGCTTAAGGCCAACTCATCAATCCCTTTCGATAATCAAAACTTTAGAGAGAATATAAACAGTGATAGCTGGGGTCCTGGTCTAGTAACACGGCTTCTAAAAGGGAAAAAAGGACCTTTCTTTTAAAAGTTAACTCCTGACCCAGTGGAGAAAAGAAAAAAACAAACAGCTGTAAGTGCAAGGCTGTGTTAACTGCTGACAGGGTGGAGAAAAAAATAAAAAAATAAAAATCAGCCGGAACTGCAGGTTTGGAAAGATGCCATGGGGAAGAACCTCTTATTCTTATGCATGTAGGTTTCTCCAACAGGGAGATGAACTTCTAATTGCCGTTTCTTCCCTGGGGCTTGGATGGAGCTCTACTCCTTGGCCCGGGGAGGGGAAGACTCTGTGGACTTGTATTGGAGAATGCTGGCCAGCCTGCCACACAGGCCTTTGGGCCATGTGCCCCAGCTCCAGCCAGGAGGTGAGGGGTCCGGGAGCCGCTGCTTGCCCATCCATCCCACGCATGTCTGTGGCTGTTGGGTGAGGTGGTGCCATTACAGTCCCGAAAAGAGAAGGACAATGCCATAGAAAAGTCCGGGTTGGACCAAGGCCGACATTTCTAACCCCCCAGAGCGACAGGGTTGGGGATGCAGTTTCCTCTACCCTCAGAAGAAGTCCAAGGACAAAAAGCCTCAGAAAAAAAAGGGGAAAAGATTTTTTGTTCTGCATTTTACTTACCTTTCCTCATGTCCCCGTACAGGCCACGAAAACGATGCAGGCTTTTTTGCTCCTTAGTTCAGCTAAAATCTAGGTTCTTGTGTCACAACCAAGAAAAATTAGACACATGGACACATTGAAAGGTGAGGAGACCAGAATTTATTAAAAGAAAGATCTCAGCAAAAAATAAAAATAAAAAACGGGGAGGTTCTGCCAATAGGCTCCCACCTCACGTATTGAATACTGGGCCACCATGCATGAGCTGAAGAGGCCAGACTCTTCCCCCTTGCATAAGGTGCGAATTCCTGGTGGCTCCACCCCATTCTCCCACTGCACAGGTGGGCCCCCTGGTCTGTTGCAGGCACACCCAGACAAGGCCTTGGGCAGGTTCCCTTATCTTCCTCCTGCATCTATCAATGGTAAATTAAATAGAAAAGTAGGTACAGGTTGCTTATTCATCAAGTATATGTTTTAAATATGAAAGCCTTATACAAGACATAGCATATTTGAAATAGCATTTGTAATTTCTCTGAAGCAGGGTAACTAGAATTTGTGTGCTTTGTTGAACTCTGATCAGCCCAAGTGCTAATTAACAGTGGATGATAAGAGACTAATAAGGAGTAGTAGTTCTGCAGAAAGCACTCTTTTGTGATTACTCAGCTGTCTGTTCTAAGATATCCACATAAATCATTTGATCATTTTGTCATATTTCAGTTCCTTAATTTGCCATTATTGATTTTTAATTTAGCTGTGACTTCACTGGTAAAGAGGAAAGTAAATTAGCAATTTGTTCTTATTTTATGCCACTTCTTTATTTTGGTTAAAACCCAAAACCTATCAATTCTAAAAATAGTGATCAAGGCGCAACACATTTCCATCACCCCAGTTGTTCCCCTCCCCTGCCTTCTTCCGGCAGCCATCACTGTTCAGGGTTTTGTTTTGCTTGGGTTAATCATAGGTTAGTTTTTCACTTTCTAGAATTTCATGTAAATTGAATCATGTAGTATGTTTTTCTTCCACATAATGTTTTTGAGATGTATTTATGTCATCTATAAAGTCATTCTTATTGCTGCATAATATTCCATTGAATATACTACAGTTTATATGTCTTTTATTGTCTATAGGCTGCTTCTTTGAATGCTACCACAAGTCTTTCTGAAAATGTAATAAAATGTTTTCATTTTATTGGGTAAATATCTAAGAGGGGAATTGTTGGACCATGAGGCAGATATGTGTTTAGTCTTAGAAGAAGAAACTGCTGGACATTTTTCTAAAGTAGTGACAACACTTTACACTCCTTCCAACAGTGCCTGAGAGTTCCTTTTACTTAACATTCTCACCAGCATTTTGTGTTGTCCATCTTAGTAGATGTATACTACGTGATTTTTTTTTTTTTTTTGAGACGGAGTTTCACTTTTGTCGCCCAGGCTGGAGTGCAATGGCGCAATCTCAGCTCACTGCAACCTCCGCCTCCCAGGTTCAAGCAATTCTCCTGCCTCAGCCTCCTGAGTAGCTGGTATTACAGACATGCAAAATGAAGGTTTTTCTTCAGAATAAGCTATGTTGTCAGATCTTTTTTTGGAAGCCAATATTTAAGATATACTGATATAATAAGAAAAGAAAACTCTGCAGAAAAATGAAGAAAACATAATGTAAAAGGAACCACTACACCTGTCTACTTTTGTAGTTTTAGTAGACACATGGTTTCACCATGTTGGTCAGGCTGGTCTCGAACTCCTGACCTCAGGTGATCCACCTGTCTTGGCCTCCCAAAGTGCTGGGATTATAGGCATGAGCCACCATGCCCAGCCTGTGTGATTTTTAAATATATAGGTGTAGTTTAAAAGAATTCTATGGTTGATTCAAATGTGATGAATTATTCTAAGTTATACCTATGTATTTTGGTATTTTTAAATAAGAAAATGCATAGTCTTTTGAAATGTGCAGAAATATTTTTGTTCTCTGGTTTGAGTGGAGAAATTTGATAAATACAATATCAATTTTGAAAAATAACTAGGCAACTATGATCCATTCTCACATTTAATATGGAAATTTATGTTTTTAATAGATGTGTTGATTAGTCAACAAATGACAGTGGTGTGTCATTTCTTCATTGATTCATTCACTTACATATGTTTTTTTCTTTGTGATTGTCTAGCAGCACAGTCCTGTAGGGCTTTCTGTGTTCATGGAAAGATCATTCTGTGTTATTCAGTACAGTAGCCACCAGCAACATGGGGCACTTGAGCACTTGAAATGTAGCTAGTGCAACTGAGCAACTGATTTTAAATTTCTTAAAAAAAGTATTGCTAGTGACTACTTTACTGGATAGTGTGTGTCAAAATAAATATATTTAGGTGTTATCTGGTCTTTTATTGTAAAACAAAGAAAGTGTTTTCCTTATTTATATACTAGAAAGTGCAAGCCTGGCTGTAATCATTGCTTTTAATGTCTCTTAAATTTTTGATATTTGGAATTTTAAACAAAAATCCTGAGTATTGTGAAGTTATATTTTTGGTAGACTAGGTCTAAGGCTTAGATTATTTAAAATAATAACCACCCATAAAAACATTTGTTCTGCTGGTCATTTGTTGCTATGCATAAAATGAAATGGGCAGCTGATTCAGTTCCCCTGTCTTTATGGCATTGGAAAGCTTTCTCACATGTTCCATTTGTGTTACAGGTACATGCTTTTTTTTTTTTTAATTGGTCAGATCATTTGAGCAGATTGAAGTTACAAAGACAGCGAATCATTAGAAATCCAGTTTTCTTAAGGATGAAGTCGTTTGGTTTCAATGATTACATGATTATGAAAGGTGTAATGTCTCAGTGTGAAGAAAGAAAACAAAAGATTCTAATTAGACAGTGTTCTCTTTCACTGTAGAATATAATAGGACAAAATAAAAT